>NC_000007.14:37740242-38365242 GCF_000001405.40 Homo sapiens | reverse complement strand
TTCCATGAATCTTGTCATTCTAGTGCCAGTATTGCCTTCTCTTCAGCACTGTAGCTTTATAGTTCTTTTCACATTCTGATGAAGTTTCTCTCATTATCTTTTTGTTTTAAGAATTTTCTGTGCATGCTAGTGTGATCTCAATCCTCTCCCTTCCCATTTTTAAACCGTGAGACTTCTGTCCAGCAAGACTTTTTCACGCTCCAAGGCAGGCAAGCTTCCCTCCTTCACAAGGACCTGAGAATTCAGCTTTCAGAGCTGTTCCTGTGGAAGCCTCATGTCCTGCACATATGGTCCAGAGGCAGAGGGAGACCAACCGGAGCCCCCTCCCTTTCTCATTCCCAGCTGTGATGACAGCAAAAACTGAACTCTGTGAGCTAGGCCAACAACACAATTAAGAGAGACATTGTTCTACATCTCATTATGCATCTTTCAAACATGTGTCTCTATATACTTCTGACACAGGTGGTGGTAATCTGTGTATGCCTTACTGAATTTTCACAATTATATTACTGTACTACTTTTGTCCCCTATATTTCCATCTGTGAATCCAGGTGTACTGCAGATCTCAGTCCCCTTTCTGAGGGTAGGGCTGACAAATAAAATATACAATACCAAACAATTTGGAAGTTCAGATAAACAACAAGTTTTTAGTTTAAGTATGTTCCAAATATTGCATGACATGGCACCCTGAACTACTTAGAAAAAAAAAACAAAAAAACCTCACACTCCTACTTCAGTGAACAAAAATCCTCTAATAAAGAGATCACACCCACAGGATCACACACACACAAACACACACACACACACACACCCCACATACACCCATTTATCTTAGAGCAGAGTCCAAGACCCACCAACACACATGATCCTCAGTCCTTTCATTTTTATTATTTATTTATTTATTTATATTTATTATACTTTAAGTGCTAGGGTACATATGCACAACGTGCAGGTTTGTTACATATGTATACATGTGCCATGTTGGTTTGTTGCACCCATCAACTTGTCATCTACATTAGGTATATCTCTTAATGCTATCCCTCCCCCCTCCCCCCACCCCACTACAGGCCCCAGTGTGTGATGTTCCCCCACTCTGTGTCCAAGTGTTCTCCTTGTTCAATTCCCACCTACGAGTGAGAACATGCACTGTTTGGATTTCTGTCCTTGGAATAGTTTGCTCGGAATGATGGTTTCCAGCTTCATCCATGTCCTTACAAAGGACATGAACGCATCCCTTTTTATGGCCGCATAGTATTCCATGGTGTATATGTGCCACATTTTCTTAATCCAGTCTATCATTGATGGACATTTGGGTTGGTTCCAAGTCTCTGCTATCGTGAATAGTGCCACAATAAACATATGCTTTGCGTGGTGCCTCCAAGTGTCCTCGCAGATGCCAAAAGGAAGGTGGTTCAGTTCCCTAATCAGAGACTTCCTGGCAGGACAAGGTCCTGGCATCAGCATTAGCTGCTGCAACTCTGAAGGGCAGGGTGTGAGCCTGCTGTGGGACTGCCCCCTCCTAGGGCTGGGCCTGCTGACTCCAGGGTCTGCTTCCCCCACCTCTGCACTCCCTCTGCTGCAGGCCTGAGCTCTCCTTGCCCCTGGCTCTCTTCTGCAGAGGGCCTGCTCTCAGCTGCCACAAGAGGGCGCCGGAGAACGGACCTGAGCAGAGAGGCAGGGGCTCCTCTGCAGGTCCTCCCAGGCACCAACCCTTCTGGGAGGGAGGAAGGCTTGGGAGTCCTCTTAGACAGATCCTCAGTCACTTCCCTCTGCTTGTGTCTCAGGAAGACCACCTCCTCCTACTGTCTTCTGTGCTAGGGATCACTTCCTTGTTGAGTGGAACCTGAGTTTTAAGAGGATCTTCTGCTCCTCTTCATCTGGTCCCTTTCCTTCCAAGGCCCCAGAGAGGAAGGCATGCAGTGGGCCCTAGCGGTGCTTCTAGCTTTCCTGTCTCCTGGTGAGTGCGCTGCCTACAGAGAGGATCACGGGTTTTGTTTTATTTTCTTCTTTTGCAAGGAGTACCATACTAAGGAATTCCTCATTATATTTTGTGTTGTTCCCATTGCAGCCAGTCAGAAATCTTCCAACTTGGAAGGGAGAACGAAGTCAGTCATCAGGCAGACTGGGTCATCTGCTGAAATCACTTGTGATCTTGCTGAAGGAAGTAACGGCTACATCCACTGGTACCTACACCAGGAGGGGAAGGCCCCACAGCGTCTTCAGTACTATGACTCCTACAACTCCAAGGTTGTGTTGGAATCAGGAGTCAGTCCAGGGAAGTATTATACTTACGCAAGCACAAGGAACAACTTGAGATTGATACTGCGAAATCTAATTGAAAATGACTTTGGGGTCTATTACTGTGCCACCTGGGACGGGCACAGTGATTCAGATCCGCCCTACACCACACTGAAAATCTGCCTTGTGGCTGCTTCTGGTACACAAGATAGAGCCGCCCCCTCTCATTTCCTGCCACCAAATTTACCGTGTGCTGAACAAGAGAAACATTGCTTAACTCCTGATCTCCCCTGCAATATTACACTCCCCTGGCAGCAGCTGCACCCTGTTCCCCACCCTCCCCCAGGACTTTCCTGAAGACCAAGCCGCCATCTCAGCTAAGCCTCAGAGAAGCAGCCTGGCTGAGAGCAAGGTTCTCTTAGCTCTCCTAGGACATGGGGGAGGCCCACTCACTCTGCTTCCTAGGACAAATGGGTACCCCTAGGGTCCAGCTGTAAAGCAAGATATTTTGGACAACAAATGGGAAGGGAATTTATACTAAATTGTGTATCCCATCATGATCCAGAAACCGCAGCTGAGACTGGTGCTTATTCCTTATGTCTATAACAATATAAGCAATACTATAATGACCACTGAAACACCAGGCCTAGGTATGCAGTTGAACATTCTCTCCCTCTGCCCTCCCTTTTATTCTCTCTCTCTTTTTTCTTAATTCTTTGCTTGCTTTTATTATTTTTCTCTCTCCCTTCCTCCCTCGCTCCATCGCTCCCTCCGTCCTTCCCTCCCTCTCTCCCTCTCTCCTTCCCTCCCTTCCTCTCTTCTTTCCTTCCATCCATTCTCCTTCGTTTTCCTTCCTTCCTTCTTTGCTTTTCTCTTGCTTTCCTTTTTGGGTACATAATCAGAATACTTTTTCCACAAAATCATTTGAAATAATTTTTCTCTATGTGTTCATGTCAACATTGATATAGCTACTTTAATTGTTCAGTTTTCTTTTTTACATTTTGGAAATTTGTTGTATTACTTTGTTTTGTTTCATATCTGTTTTGTATATATAAAACATTTACATGGAAGTGAAGTCAAAATTATAAAAGATGATGCATTTGAAGATTTTAGCTTCCATTGTAGACTTCTCATTCTTCTTTTCTCCCTGACACTATAGGTAACAATATTTTTGGCAGTTCACTTGAGTTTTTTCACTGTTTGTCATAGCGGAGTATGTATTGTTTCTATTTCAATGCCATATTTATATTTTCTTTCTGATATTCAGTTTCTATATATTTTAATCAATCTTATATTTTCCTGTGTCTGGACTGTGTGTCTTACTTCTAAAGGTGCACATACTTCATAAGTATGCATAAAGACGTCCATATCATTTATTTGAATGTTTTTATGCATTCATTATTTAATGATGGCATCATTGATCTATCAGGAATTTTTATACAATAATTACTGTATTAGTAATAATAATACTGGCCAGGCCCGGTGGTTCATGCCTGTAATCCCAGCATTTGGGCAGTCCAGTCGTTAGGATCACTTAGGCCGGGAGATTGCGACCAGCTTAGCCAACATGGTGAAACCCTGTCTCTACTAAAAATACAAAAAATTAGCTGGCTATAGTGGCGCACACATGTAATCCCAGCTACTTGAATGCTGAAGCAGGAGAATCTGTAGAGCCTGGTAGGTGGAGTTTTCAGTGAGCTAATATCACACTACTGCAGTCCAGTTTGGGCAACAGAGTGAGACTCTGTCTCAAAAAAATGAATAACGATAATAATAATATTGATGCTACATATGGGTACTGACATTCTGGTAGTTAATGTACTAAGCACATTACATGCATATTTTATTTAATCTACACAGAAATTTCATTAGGGTTTAAAGTACTGTTGAATGTAACATTAGAAATTGAGGGGGTTAATTAACATTCCCTGAGTCATATACTTTAACTTGATAATGATTGCAATCCAAGCTCTGTGATTCTGAAAACGAGATTTGTAAATTCAGTTTGCATTCCCTCATCTTTGGGAGTACTAACATTATTTCACAACTTTATAGGTCATTTATAGTTCTTCTTTTGTGAATTGCCTTGTCATACTCTTTGCCTATTCCTCTCTTGGAGGATTAATTTTTTCTTATTAGTTTGTAAGAGTTAATATACACTATTTTAAAGATACTGACCCTTTATCCAATGTGTTGAAGATATTTCTCCTCATTTGTTGTTATTTACATTTGGCATCTTTTGGTGAATTGAACTTTGAAAAAAAAAGCATTAAAATCTATCAGTTTTTCTAGGGTGTCTAGTTTGATGTCAAGCTTAGAAAGGCCAATCTCACCTAGAATTTCTATGCAATTCATCATTGTTTAAGTGTAATGATTTTGTTTTTATTACAACTAAATCACTATCTATATCTGGTAAGAACGAAATGCAATAATATTTGTTTCCATATGGTAAGTCAATACCCAAAACAGAACTTATAAAATAATTGACTATTTCCTTGTGGGTATTAACATATCACTTTATCACATGATAAAATATTACATACGTGTGGCTCTCTTTCTGGATTTTCCACTGTGTTCCATGAATCTTCTCATTCTAGTGCCAGTATTGCCCTCTCTTCAGCACTGTAGCTTTATACTTCTTTTCACATTTTGATGAAGTTTCTCTCATTATTTTTTTGTTTTAAGAATTTTCTGTGCATTCTAGTGTGATCTCAATCCTCTCCCTTCCCATTTTTAAACCATGAGACTTCTGTCCTGCAAGACTTTTTCACGCTCCAAGGCAGGCAAGCTTCCCTCCTTCACAAGGACCCGAGAACTCAGCTTTCAGAGCTGCTCCTACAGCAGCCTCATGTCCTGCATGTGTGCTCCAGAGGCAGAGGGAGACCAACCAGAGCCCCCTCCCTTTCTCATTCCCAGCTGTGATGACAGCAGAAACTGAACTCTCTGAGCTAGCCCAACACAACAACTGAGAGGGACACTGTTCTCCATCTCATTATGCATATTTCAAACATGTGTCTCTATATACTTCTTACAGAGGTGGTGATAATCTGTGAATGCCTTACTGAATTTTCACAATAAT
This sequence comes from Homo sapiens, assembly GCF_000001405.40. Lineage (NCBI taxonomy): Eukaryota > Metazoa > Chordata > Mammalia > Primates > Hominidae > Homo > Homo sapiens. The sequence continues at coordinate 38,359,925 of NC_000007.14, read as the reverse complement.
ATTACTGTACTTGATTTGTCCCCTTATTTTCATCTGTGAAGCCAGGTGCACTGCAGATATTAGTCTGCTTTCTGAGGGTAGGGATGACAAATAAAATATACAATACCGGGGGAATTGGAAGTTCAGATAAATAACAAGTTTTTAGTTTAAGTATGTTCCAAATATTGCATGACATGGCACCCAGTTCTACTTTAAAAACAAACAAGCAAACAAACAAATTCACACTCCTACTTTAATGAACAAAAATCTTCTAATAAGGAGGTCACACACACAGGATTACAGGCACAACCCCCACACACAAACACACACACACATTTACCTTAGAGCAGAGTCCAGGACACACCAACACACATGATCCTCAGTCCTTTTAATTTAAAGCACGTTCAACCCTTCTCAGAGTGGCCTTGAGTGGTTGCCTCCATGAGTCTGCAGATGCGAAAAGGAAGTTGGTTCCGGGCCCTAATCAGAGGCTTCCTGTCAGGACAAGGTTCTGGCATCAGCATTACCTGCTGCAACTCTGAAGGGCAGGGTGGGAGCCTGCTATGGGACTGCCCCCTCCAAGGTGTGAGCCTGTTAATTCCAGGGTCAGCTTACCCAACATCTGCAGTCCCTCAGCTGGAGGCCTGAGCTCTTAATGCCCCTGCCTCCCTTCTGCCCTGGGCCTGCTCTCAGCTGCCACAAGAGGGCGCCGAAGAAAGGGCCTGAGGAGATGCAGGAGCTCCTCTGCAGGTCCTCCCAGGCACCACCCCTTCTGGGAGGAAGGCTTGGGAGTCCCCTAAGACACATCTTCAGTCACTTCTCTCTGCCTGTGTCTCAGGAAACCAGCTCCTCCTACTGTCTTCTGTGCTAGGGATCACTTCCTTGTTGAGTGGGGCCTGAGTTTTAAGAGGATCTTCTGCTCCTCTTCATCTGGTCCGTTTCCTTCCAAGGCCCCCGAGAGGAAGGCATGCGGTGGGCCCTACTGGTGCTTCTAGCTTTCCTGTCTCCTGGTGAGTACGCTGCCTACAGAGAGGCTCACAGGTTGGGTTTTGTTTTGTTTTCTTCTTGAAAGGGGTGCCATACAAAGGAATACCTCATTGTATTTTGTGTTGTTCCCATTGCAGCCAGTCAGAAATCTTCCAACTTGGAAGGGAGAACGAAGTCAGTCACCAGGCAGACTGGGTCATCTGCTGAAATCACTTGCGATCTTACTGTAACAAATACCTTCTACATCCACTGGTACCTACACCAGGAGGGGAAGGCCCCACAGCGTCTTCTGTACTATGACGTCTCCACCGCAAGGGATGTGTTGGAATCAGGACTCAGTCCAGGAAAGTATTATACTCATACACCCAGGAGGTGGAGCTGGATATTGAGACTGCAAAATCTAATTGAAAATGATTCTGGGGTCTATTACTGTGCCACCTGGGACAGGCACAGTGATTCAGACCTGTCCTACACCACACTGAAAATCTGCCTTGTGGCTGCCTCTGGTACACAAGATAGAGCCGCCCCCTCTCATTTCCTGCCACCAAATTTCCTGTATTCTGAACAAGAGAAAGACAGCTTAACTCCTGATCTCCCTCCTAATATCACACTGTCCTGGCAGCAGCTGCATCCTGTTCCCCACCCCTCCCCCACAACTTTCCTGAAGATCAAGCTGCCATCTCCAGGCCTCAGCTAAGCAGCCTGGCTGAGAGCAAGGTTCTCTCAGCTCTCCTAGGACATGGGGGAGGCCCACTCACTCTGCTTCCTATGACACACAGGTACAACTAGGGTCCAGCTGTGAAGCGAGATATTTTGGACAGCAAATGGGAAGGGTATTTATACTGAATCATGTATCCACTCATGGTCCAGAGATCACAGCTGAGAGTGGTGCTTATTCCTTATGTCTATAACAACATAAGCAATACTATAATGACCACTAAAACACTAGGCCCAGGTATGCAGTTGAACATGGTCTCCCTCTGCCCTCCCTTTTATTCTCTCTCTCTTTTCTTACTTCTTTGCTTGTTTTTATTTTTCTCTCCCTCCCTAACTCCCTCCCTCCATCCATCCTTTCCTCCCTTCCTCCCTTGTTTCCTTCCATCCATTCTCCTTCCTTGTTTTCCTTCCTTCCTTCCTTGCTTTTCTCTCTCTTTCTTTCCTTTTTGGGTACATAATCAGAATACTTTTTCCACAAAATCATTTGATATAATTTTTCTCTATATGTTCATGCCAACATTCATACAGCTAGTTTAATTGTTCAGTTCTCTTTTTCACATTTTGGAATTTTGTTGTATTACTTTGTTTTGCTTCATATCTGTTTTGTATATATAAAACATTTACATGAAACTGAAGCCAAAATTATAAAAGATGATGCATTTGAAGATTTTAGCTTCCATTGTAGATTTCTCGTTCCTCTTTTCTCCCTGACACTATAGGTAACAATATTTTTGGCAGTTCACTTGAGCTTTTTCACTGTTTGTCATAGCGGAGTATGTATTGTTTCTATTTTAATGCCATATTTATATTTTCGTTCTGATATTTGGTTTTTATACATTTTAATCAATCTTATATTTTCCCGTGTCTGGACTGTGTGTCTTACTTCTAAAGGTGCACGTACTTCATAAGTATGCATAAAGAAGTCCATATCATTTATTTGAATGTTTTTATGCGTTGATTATTTAATGATGGCATCATCGATCTATCAGGAATTTTTATACAATAATTACTGTATTAGTAATAATAATACTTGCCAGGCCCGGTGGCTCATGCCTGTAATCCCAGCATTTGGGCAGTCCAGTCGTTAGGAACACTTAGGCCGGGAGATTGCGACCAGCTTAGCCAACATGGTGAAACCCTGTCTCTACTAAAAATACAAAAAATTAGCCGGCTGTAGTGGCGCACACATGTAATCCCAGCTACTTTGGATGCTGAGGCAGGAGAAACTCTTCAACCTGGAAGTTGGAGTTTTCAGTGAGCTAAGATCACACTACTGCAGTCCAGTTTGGGCAACACAGCGAGACTCTGTCTCAAAAAGACTAATAATAATAATAATATTGATGGTAAATATGGGTACTGACATTCTGGTAGTTAACGTACTAAGCACATTGCATGCACATTTTATTTAATCTACACAGAAACTTCATTAAGGTTTTAAAGTACTGTTGAATGTAACATTAGAAATTGGGGGGTTAATTAACATTCCCTAAGTCATATACTTTATCTTGATAATGATTGCAATGCAAGCTCTGTGGTTCCTAAATGAGATTTGTTAATTTGGTTTGCATTCCCCCATCTTTAGGAGTACTAGCATCATTTTACAACTTTACAGGTCATTTATAGTTCTTCTTTTGAGAATTGCCTTGTCATACTCTTTTCCTATTCTTTTTTTGGAAGATTAGTTTTTTCTTATTAGTTCGTAAGAATTAATATACACCATTTTAGAGATACTGACCCTTTATCCAATGTGTTGAAGATATTTCTCCTCATTTGTTATTATTTACATTTGGCACCTTTTGGTGAATTCAACTTTGAAAAAAAAACAATAAAAGCTATCAATTTTTCTAGGGTGTCTAGTTTGATGTCAGGCTTAGAAAGGCCAATCTCACCTAGAATTTCTATGCAATTCATCATCGTTTAAGTCTAATGATTTTCTATTTATTACAACTAAATCACTATTTGTAACTAGTAAGGTAGAAATGCAACAATATTTGTTTCCATGTGGTAAGTCAATACCAAAAAGAGAACTTATTTAATAACTGACTATTTCCTTGTGGGTATTAACATATCACTTTATCACATGATAAAATATTACATACATGCAGCTCTCTTTCTGGATTTTCCACTGTGTTCCATGAATCTTGTCATTCTAGTGCCAGTATTGCCCTCTCTTCAGCACTGTAGCTTTATAGTTCTTTTCACATTCTGATGAAGTTTCTCTCATTATTTTTTTGTTTTAAGAATTTTCTGTGCATTCTAGTGTGATCTCAATCCTCTCCCTTCCCATTTTTAAACCGTGAGACTTCTGTCCAGCAAGACTTTTTCACGCTCCAAGGCAGGCAAGCTTCCCTCCTTCACAAGGACCCGAGAACTCAGCTTTCAGAGCTGTTCCTGTGGAAGCCTCATGTCCTGCACGTGTGCTCCAGAGGCAGAGGGAGACCAACCGGAGCCCCCTCCCTTTCTCATTCCCACCTGTCATTCCCAGCTGTGAAGACAGCAGAAACCGAACTCTGTGAGCTAGGCCAATACCACAACTGAGAGGAATATTGTTCTACATCTCATTATGCATCTTTCAAACATGTGTCTCTATATACTTCTTACAGAGGTGGTGATAATCTGTGTATGCCTTACTGAATTTTCACAATTATATTACTGTACTTCCTTTGTCCCCTATATTTCCATCTGTGAATCCAGGTGTACTGCAGATCTCAGTCCCCTTTCTGAGGGTAGGGCTGACAAATAAAATATACAATACCAAACAATTTGGAAGTTCAGGTAAACAACAAGTTTTTAGTTTAAGTATGTTCCAAATATTGCATGACATGGCACCCTGAACTACTTAGAAAAAAAAAAACAAAAAAAACTCACACTCCTACTTCAATGAACAAAAATCCTCTAATAAAGAGATCACAACCACAGGATCACACACACACAAACACACACACACACACACACCCAACACACACACCTTTATCTTAGAGCAGAGTCCAAGACCAACCAACACACATGATCCTCAGTTCTTTTATTTTTATTATTTCTTTATTTATTTATATTTATTATACTTTAAGTGCTAGGGTACATTTGCACAACGTGCAGGTTTGTTACATATGTATACATGTGCCATGTTGGTTTGTTGCACCCATCAACTTGTCATCTACATTAGGTATATCTCCTAATGCTATCCCTCCCCCCTGCCCCCACCCCACTACAGGCCCCAGTGCGTGATGTTCCCCCACTCTGTGTCCAAGTGTTCTCATTGTTCAATTCCCACCTACGAGCGAGAACATGCACTGTTTGGATTTCTGTCCTTGGAATAGTTTGCTCGGAATGATGGTTTCCAGCTTCATCCATGTCCTTACAAAGGACATGAACGCATCCCTTTTTATGGCCGCATAGTATTCCATGGTGTATATGTGTCACATTTTCTTAATCCAGTCTATCACTGATGGACATTTGGGTTGGTTCCAAGTCTCTGCTATCGTGAATAGTGCCGCAATAAACACACGCTTTGCGTGGTGCCTCCAAGTGTCCTTGCAGATGCCAAAAGGAAGGTGGTTCAGTTCCCTAATCAGAGACTTCCTGGCAGGACAAGGTCCTGGCATCAGCATTAGCTGCTGCAACTCTGAAGGGCAGGGTGTGAGCCTGCTGTGGGACTGCCCCCTCCTAGGGCTGGGCCTGCTGACTCCAGGGTCAGCTTCCGCTACATCTGCATTCCCTCTGCTGCAGGCCTGAGCTCTCCTGGCCCCTGGCTCTCTTCTGCAGAGGGCCTGCTCTCAGCTGCCACAAGAGGGCGCCGGAGAACGGACCTGAGCAAGAGAGGCAGGAGCTCCTCTGCAGGTCCTCCCAGGCACCAATCCTTCTGGGAGGGAGGAAGGCTTGGGAGTCCTCTTAGACAGATCCTCAGTCACTTCTCTCTGCTTGTGTCTCAGGAAGACCAGCTCCTCCTACTGTCTTCTGTGCTAGGGATCACTTCCTTGTTGAGTGGGGCCTGAGTTTTAAGAGGATCTTCTGCTCCTCTTCATCTGGTCCCTTTCCTTCCAAGGCCTCAGAGAGGAAGGCATGCAGTGGGCCCTAGCGGTGCTTCTAGCTTTCCTGTCTCCTGGTGAGTGCGCTGCCTACAGAGAGGATCATGGGTTTTGTTTTCTTTATTTTCTTCTTTTGCAAGGATTGCCATACTAAGGAATTCCTCATTATATTTTGTGTTGTTCCCATTGCAGCCAGTCAGAAATCTTCCAACTTGGAAGGGAGAACGAAGTCAGTCATCAGGCAGACTGGGTCATCTGCTGAAATCACTTGTGATCTTGCTGAAGGAAGTACCGGCTACATCCACTGGTACCTACACCAGGAGGGGAAGGCCCCACAGCGTCTTCTGTACTATGACTCCTACACCTCCAGCGTTGTGTTGGAATCAGGAATCAGCCCAGGGAAGTATGATACTTACGGAAGCACAAGGAAGAACTTGAGAATGATACTGCGAAATCTTATTGAAAATGACTCTGGAGTCTATTACTGTGCCACCTGGGATGGGCACAGTGATTCAGATCCGCCCTACACCACACTGAAAACCTGCCTTGTGGCTGCTTCTGGTACACAAGATAGAGCCGCCCCCTCTCATTTCCTGCCACCAAATTTACCGTGTGCTGAACAAGAGAAACATTGCTTAACTCCTGATCTCCCCTGCAATATCACACTCCCCTGGCAGCAGCTGCACCCTGTTCCCCACCCTCCCCCAGGACTTCCCTGAAGACCAAGCCACCATCTCAGCTAAACCTCAGAGAAGCAGCCTGGCTGAGAGCAAGGTTCTCTTAGCTCTCCTAGGACATGGCGGAAGCCCACTCACTCTGCTTCCTAGGACAAATGGGTACCTCTAGGGTCCAGCTGTGAAGCAAGATATTTTGGACAACAAATGAGAAGGGTATTTATACTAAATTGTGTATCCCATCATGATCCAGAAATCGCAGCTGAGACTGGTGCTTATTCCTTATATCTATAACAATGTAAGCAATACTATAATGACCACTGAAACACCAGGCCTAGGTATGCAGTTGAACATTCTCTCCCTCTGCCCTCCCTTTTATTCTCTCTCTCTTTTTTTAATTCTTTGCTTGCTTTTATTATTTTTCTCTCTCTCCCTTCCTCCTTCCCTCCGTCCTTCCCTCCCTCCTTCCCTCCCTCTCTCCCTCCCTCCTTCCCTCCCTTCCTCTCTTCTTTCCTTCCATCCATTCTCCTTCGTTTTCCTTCCTTCCTTCTTTGCTTTTCTCTTGCTTTCCTTTTTGGGTACATAATCAGAATACTTTTTCCACAAAATCATTTGAAATAATTTTTCTCTATGTGTTCATGTCAACATTGATATAGCTACTTTAATTGTTCAGTTTTCTTTTTTACATTTTGGAAATTTGTTGTATTACTTTGTTTTGTTTCATATCTGTTTTGCATATATAAAACATTTACATGGAAGTGAAGTCAAAATCATAAAAGATGATGCATTTGAAGATTTTAGCTTCCATTGTAGACTTCTCATTCTTCTTTTCTCCCTGACACTATAGGTAACAATATTTTTGGCAGTTCACTTGAGCTGTTTCACTCTGTTTTTCATAGCGGAGTATGTATTCTTTCTATTTGAATGCCATATTTATATTTTCTTTCTGATATTCAGTTTCTATATATTTTAATCAATCTTATATTTTCCTGTGTCTGGACTGTGTGTCTTACTTCTAAAGGTGCACATACTTCATAAGCATGCATAAAGATGTCCATATCATTTATTTGAATGTTTTTATGCATTGATTATTTAATGATGGCATCACTGATCTATCAGGAATTTTTATACAATAATTACTGTATTAGTAATAATAATACTGGCCAGGCCCGGTGGCTCATGCCTGTAATCCCAGCATTTGGGCAGTCCAGTCGTTAGGATCACTTAGGCCGGGAGATTGTGACCAGCTCAGCCAACGTGGTGAAACCCTGTCTCTAGTAAAAATACAAAAAATTAGCTGGCTGTAGTGGCACACACATGTAATCCCAGCTACTTGGATGCTGAAGCAGGAGAATCTGTAGAGCCTGGTAGGTGGAGTTTTCAGTGAGCTAATATCACACTACTGCAGTCCAGTTTGGGCAACAGAGTGAGACTCTGTCTCAAAAAAATGAATAACGATAATAATAATATTGATGGTACATATGGGTACTGACATTCTGGTAGTTAATGTACTAAGCACATTACATGCATATTTTATTTAATCTACACAGAAACTTCATTAAGGTTTAAAGTACTGTTGAATGTAACATTAGAAATTGGGCGGTTAATTAACATTCCCTAAGTCATATGCTTTAATTTGATAATGATTGCAATCCAAGCTCTGTGGTTCCGAAAATGAGATTTGTAAATTCAGTTTGCATTCCCCCATCTTTGGGAGTACTAGTATTATTTCACAACTTTATAGGTTATTTATAGTTCTTCTTTTGTGAATTGCCATGTCATACTCTTTGCCTATTCCTCTCTTGGAGGATTAATTTTTTCTTATTATTTCGTAAGAGTTAAGATACACTATTTTAAAGATACTGACCCTTTATCGAATGTGTTGAAGATATTTCCCCTCATTTGTTATTATTTACATTTGGCACCTTTTGGTGAATTGAACTTTGAAAAAAAAAGCATTAAAATCTATCAATTTTTCTAGGGTGTCTAGTTTGATGTCAAGCTTAGAAAGGCCAATCTCACCTAGAATTTCTATGCAATTCATCATTGTTTAAGTGTAATGATTTTGTTTTTATTACAACTAAATCACTATCTATATCTGGTAAGAACGAAATGCAATAATATTTGTTTCCATATGGTAAGTCAATACCCAAAAGAGAACTTATAAAATAATTGACTATTTCCTTGTGGATATTAACATATCACTTTATCACATGATAAAATATTACATGCATGCGGCTTTCTTTCTGGATTTTCTACTGTGTTCCATGAATCTTCTCATTCTAGTGCCAGTATTGCCCTCTCTTCAGCACTGTAGCTTTATAGTTCTTTTCACATTCTGATGAAATTTCTCTCATTATTTTTTTGTTTTAAGAATTTTCTGTGCATTCTAGTGTGATCTCAATCCTCTCCCTTCCCATTTTTAAACCATGAGACTTCTGTCCAGCAAGACTTTTTCATGCTCCAAGGCATGGAAGCTTTCCTCCTTCACAAGGACCCCGAGAACTCAGCTTTCAGAGCTGCTCCTACAGCAGCCTCATGTCCTGCACGTGTGCTCCAGAGGCAGAGGGAGACCAACCGGAGCCCCCTCCCTTTCTCATTCCCAGCTGTGATGACAGCAGAAACTGAATTCTCTGAGCTAGGACAACACAACAACTGAGAGAGACACTGTTCTACATCTCATTATGCATCTTTCAAACATGTGTCTCTATATATTCTTACAGAGGTGGTGATAATCTGCCTATGCCTTACTGAATTTTCACAATAATATTACTATACTTTTTTTGTCCCCTATATTTCCAACTGTGAATCCAGGTGCACTGCAGATATTAGTCTGCTTTCTGAGGGTAGGGATGACAAATAAAATATACAATACCGGGGGAATTGGAAGTACAGAAAAATAACAAGTTTTTAGTTTAAGTATGTTCCAAATATTGCATGACATGGCACCCAGTACTACTTTAAAAACAAACAAGCAAACAAACAAATTCACACTCCTACTTTAATGAACAAAAATCCTCTAATAAGGAGGTCACACACACAGGATTACAGGCACAACCCCTGCCCCCCCAACACACACACACACATATTTACCTTAGAGCAGACTCCGGGACACACCAACACACATGATCCTCAGTCCTTTTAATAAAGCACGTTCAACCCTTCTCAGAGTGACCTTGAGTGGTTGCCTCCATGAGTCTGCAGATGCGAAAAGGAACTTGGTTCAGGGCCCTAATCAGAGGCTTCCTGTCAGGACAAGGTTCTGGCATCAGCATTACCTGCTGCAACTCTGAAGGGCAGGGTGGGAGCCTGCTATGGGACTGCCCCCTCCAAGGTGTGAGCCTGTTAATTCCAGGGTCAGCTTACCCAACATCTGCAGTCCCTCAGCTGGAGGCCTGAGCTCTTAATGCCCCTGCCTCCCTTCTGCCCTGGGCCTGCTCTCAACTGCCACAAGATGGCGCAGAAGAAAGGGCCTGAGGAGATGCGGGAGCTCCTCTGCAGGTCCTCCCAGGCACCACCCCTTCTGGGAGGAAGGCTTGGGAGTCCCCTAAGACACATCTTCAGTCACTTCTCTCTGCCTGTGACTCAGGAAGACCAGCTCCTCCTACTGTCTTCTGTGCTAGGGATCACTTCCTTGTTGAGTGGGGCCGGAGTTTTAAGAGGATCTTCTGCTCCTCCTCATCTGGTCCCTTTCCTTCCAAGGCCCCCGAGAGGAAGGCATGCGGTGGGCCCTACTGGTGCTTCTAGCTTTCCTGTCTCCTGGTGAGTACGCTGCCTACAGAGAGGCTCACAGGTTGGGTTTTGTTTTGTTTACTTCTTTTGAAAGGGGTGCCATACAAAGGAATACCTCATTAAATTTTGTGTTGTTCCCATTGCAGCCAGTCAGAAATCTTCCAACTTGGAAGGGGGAACGAAGTCAGTCACGAGGCCGACTAGGTCATCTGCTGAAATCACTTGTGACCTTACTGTAATAAATGCCTTCTACATCCACTGGTACCTACACCAGGAGGGGAAGGCCCCACAGCGTCTTCTGTACTATGACGTCTCCAACTCAAAGGATGTGTTGGAATCAGGACTCAGTCCAGGAAAGTATTATACTCATACACCCAGGAGGTGGAGCTGGATATTGATACTACGAAATCTAATTGAAAATGATTCTGGGGTCTATTACTGTGCCACCTGGGACAGGCACAGTGATTCAGACCTGTCCTACACCACACTGAAAATCTGCCTTGTGGCTGCCTCTGGTTCACAGGATAGAGCCGCCCCCTCTCATTTCCTGTCACCAAATTTACTGTATTCTGAACAAGAGAAAGACAGCTTAACTCCTGATCTCCCTCCTAATATCACACTGTCCTGGCAGCAGCCGCACCCTGTTCCCCACCCCTCCCCCACAACTTTCCTGAAGATCAAGCTGCCATCTCCAGGCCTCAGCTAAGCAGCCTGGCTGAGAGCAAGGTTCTCTCAGCTCTCCTAGGACATGGGGGAGGCCCACTCACTCTGCTTCCTATGACACACAGGTACAACTAGGGTCCAGCTGTGAAGCGAGATATTTTGGACAGCAAATGGGAAGGGTATTTATACTGAATCATGTATCCAGTCATGGTCCAGAGATCACAGCTGAGAGTGGTGCTTATTCCTTATGTCTATAACAACATAAGCAATACTATAATGACCACTAAAACACTAGGCCCAGGTATGCAGTTGAACATGGTCTCCCTCTGCCCTCCCTTTTATTCTCTCTCTCTTTTTTCTTACTTCTTTGCTTGTTTTTATTTTTCTCTCCCTCCCTAACTCCCTCCCTCCATCCATCCTTTCCTCCCTTCCTCCCTTGTTTCCTTCCATCCATTCTCCTTCCTTGTTTTCCTTCCTTCCTTCCTTGCTTTTCTCTCTCTTTCTTTCCTTTTTGGGTACATAATCAGAATACTTTTTCCACAAAATCATTTGATATAATTTTTCTCTATTTGTTCATGCCAACATTTATACAGCTAGTTTAATTGTTCAGTTTTCATTTTTACATTTTGGAAATGTGTTGTATTACTTTGTTTTGCTTCATATCTGTTTTGTATATATAAAACGTTTACATGAAACTGAAGCCAAAATTATAAAAGATGATGCATTTGAAGATTTTAGCTTCCATTGTAGATTTTTCGTTCCTCTTTTCTCCCTGACACTATAGGTAACAATATTTTTGGCAGTTCACATGAGCTTTTTCACTGTTTGTCATAGTGCCGTATGTATTGTTTCTATTTCAATGCCATATTTATATTTTCATTCTGATATTCGGTTTTTATACATTTTAATCAATCTTATATTTTCCCGTGTCTGGATTGTGTGTCTTACTTCTAAAGGTGCACATACTTCATAAGTATGCATAAAGACGTCCATATCATTTATTTGAATGTCTTTATGCATTGATTATTTAATGATGGCATCATTGATCTATCAGGAATTTTTATACAATAATTACTGTATTAGTAATAATAATACTGGCCAGGCCCGGTGGCTCATGCCTGTAATCCCAGCATTTGGGTGGTCCAGTCATTACGATCACTTAGGCCAGGAGATTGCGACCAGCTTAGCCAACATGGTGAAACCCTGTCTCTACTAAAAATACAAAAAATTAGCCGGCTGTAGTGGCGCACACATGTAATCCCAGCTACTTTGGATGCTGAGGCAGGAGAATCTCTAGAGCCTGGAAGGTGAAGGTTTCAGTGAGCTAAGATCACACTACTACAGTCCAGTTTGGGCAATAGAGTGAGACTCTCTCTCAAAAAAATGAATAATGATAATAATAATATTGATGGTACATATGGGTGCTGACATTCTGGTAGTTAATGTACTAAGCACATTACATGCATATTTTATTTAATCTACACAGAAACTTCATTAAGGGTTTAAAGTACTGTTGAATGAAACATAAGAAAATGGGGGGTTAATTAACATTCCCTAAGCCATATATTTTAATTTGATTATGATAGCAATCCAAGCTCTGTGGTTCCAAAAATGAGATTTGTTAATTCGATTTGCATTCCCCCATCTTTAGGAGTACTAGCAATATTTGACAACGTTATAGGTCATTTATAATTCTTCTTTTGAGAATTGCCTTGTCGTACTCTTTGCCTATTCTCCCTTTGGAGGATTAATTTTTTCTTATTGGTTCGTAAGAATTAATATGTACTATTTTAGAGATGATGACCCTTTATCCAATGTGTTGAAGATATTACTCCTCATTTGTTATTATTTACATTTGGCACCTTTTAGTGAATTCAACTTTGAAAAAAAAACAATAAAACCCATCAATTTTTCTAGGGAGTCTAGTTTGATGTCAGCTTAGAAAGGCCAATCTCACCCAGAATCTGTATGCAATTCATCATCGTTTAAGTCTATTGATTTTCATTTTATTACAACTAAATCACTATTTGTAACTGGTAAGGTAGAAATGCGACAATATTTGTTTCCATATGGTAAGTCAATACCTAAAAGAGAACTTATTAAATAATTGACTATTTCCTTGTGAATATTAATATATCACTTTATCACATGATAAAATATTACATACATGCAGCTCTCTTACTGCATTTTCCACTGTGTTCCATGAATCTTCTCATTCTAGTGCCAGTATTGCCCTCTCTTCAGCACTGTAGCTTTATAGTTCTTTTCACATTCTGATGAAATTTCTCTCATTATTTTTTTGTTTTAAGAATTTTCTGTGCATTCTAGTGTGATCTCAATCCTCTCCCTTCCCATTTTTAAACCATGAGACTTCTGTCCAGCAAGACTTTTTCACGCTCCAAGGCAGGCAAGCTTCCCTCCTTCACAAGGACCCGAGAACTCAGCTTTCAGAGCTGCTCCTACAGCAGCCTCTTGTCCTGCATGTGTGCTCCAGAGGCAGAGGGAGACCAACCAGAGCCCCCTCCCTTTCTCATTCCCAGCTGTGATGACAGCAGAAACTGAATTCTCTGAGCTAGCCCAACACAACAACTGAGAGGGACACTGTTCTCCATCTCATTATGCATATTTCAAACATGTGTCTCTATATACTTCTTACAGAGGTGGTGATAATCTGTGAATGCCTTACTGAATTTTCACAATAATATTACTGTACTTGATTTGTCCCCTTATTTTCATCTGTGAATCCAGGTGCACTGCAGATATTAGTCTGCTTTCTGAGGGTAGGGATGACAAATAAAATATACAATACGCAGAGAATTGGAAGTTCAGATAAATAACAAGTTTTTAGTTTAAGTATGTTCCAAATGTTGCATGACATGGCACCCAGTACTACTTTAAAAACAAACAAGCAAACAAACAAACTCACATTCCTACTTAATGAACAAAAATCCTCTAATAAGGAGGTCACACACACAGGATTACAGGCACAACTCACCCCCCCCAACACACACACACATTTACCTTAGAGCAGAGTCCAAGACACACCAACACACATGATCCTCAGTCCTTTTAATTTAAAGCACGTTCAACCCTTCTCAGAGTGGCCTTGAGTGGTTGCCTCCATGTGTCTGCAGATGCGAAAAGGAACTTGGTTCAGGGCCCTAATCAGAGGCTTCCTGTCAGGACAAGGTCCTGGCATCAGCATTAGCTGCTGCAACTCTGAAGGGCAGGGTAGGAGCCTGTTGTGGGACTGCCCCCTCCAAGGTCTGAGCCTGTTAATTCCAGGGTCAGCTTCCCCTAAATCTGCAGTCCCTCTGCTGGAGGCCTGAACTCTCAATGCCCCTGCCTCCCTTCTGCCCTGGGCCTGCTCTCAGCTGCCACAAGAGGGCGCCGAAGAAAGGGCCTGAGGAGACACAGGAGCTCCTCTGCAGGTCCTCCCAGGAACCACCCCTTCTGGGAGGAAGGCTTGGGAGTCCCCTAAGACACATCCTCAGTCACTTCTCTCTGCCTGTGTCTCAGGAATACCAGCTCCTCCTACTGTCTTCTGTGCTAGGGATCACTTCCTTGTTGAGTGGGACCTGAGTTTTGAGAGGATCTTCTACTCCTTTTCATCTGGTCCCTTTCCTTCCAAGGCCCCAGAAAGGAAGGCATGCGGTGAGCCCTAGCGGTGCTTCTAGCTTTCCTGTATCCTGGTGAGTGTGCTGCCTACAGAGAGGCTCACAGGTTGGGTTTTGTTTTGTTTTCTTCTTTTGAAAGGGGTGCCATACAAAGGAATACCTCATTATATTTTATGTTTTTCCCATTGCAGCCAGTCAGAAATCTTCCAACTTGGAAGGGAGAATGAAGTCAGTCACCAGGCCGACTGGGTCATCTGCTGAAATCACTTGTGACCTTACTGTAATAAATGCCGTCTACATCCACTGGTACCTACAGCAGGAGGGGAAGACCCCACAGCATCTTCTGCACTATGATGTCTCCAACTCAAGGGATGTGTTGGAATCAGGTCTCAGTCTTGGAAAGTATTATACTCATACACCGAGGAGGTGGAGCTGGAATTTGAGACTGCAAAATCTAATTGAAAATGATTCTGGGGTCTATTACTGTGCCACCTGGGGCAGGCACAGTGATTCAGATCTGCCCTACACCACACTGAACATCTGCCTTGTGGCTGCCTCTGGTACACAAGATAGAGCCGCCCCCTCTCATTTCCTGCCACCAAATTTACTGTATTCTGAACAAGAGAAAGACAGCTTAACTCCTGATCTCCCTCCTAATATCACACTGTCCTGGCAGCAGCTGCACCCTGTTCCCTACCCCTCCCCCACAACTTTCCTGAAGATCAAGCTGCCATCTCCGGGCCTCAGTTAAGCAGCCTGGCTGAGAGTAAGGTTCTCTCAGCTCTCCTAGGACATGGGGGAGGCCCACTCACTCTGCTTCCTATGACAGACAGGTACAACTAGGGTCCAGCTGCGAATCTAGATATTTTGGACAGCAAATAGGAAGGTTATTTATACTGAATCATTTATCCAGTCATGGTCCAGAGATCACAGCTGAGAGTGGTGCTTATTCCTTATGTCTATAACAATATAAGCAATAGTATAATGACCACTAAAACACTAGGCCTAGGTATGCAGTTGAACATTCTCTCCCTCTGCCCTCCCTTTTATTCTCTCTCTCTTTTTTCTTACTTCTTTGCTTGTTTTTATTTTTCTCTCCCTCCCTAACTCCCTCCCTCCATCCATCCTTTCCTCCCTTCCTCCCTTGTTTCCTTCCATCCATTCTCCTTCCTTGTTTTCCTCCTTCCTTCCTTGTTTTTCTCTCTCTTTCTTTCCTTTTTGGGTACATAATGAGAATACTTTTTCCACAAAATCATTTGAAATAATTTTTCTCTATTTGTTCATGCCAACATTTATACAGCTAGTTTAACTGTTCAGTTTTCATTTTTACATTTTGGAAATTTGTTGTATTACTTTGTTTTGTTTCAAATCTGTTTTGTATATATAAAATATTTACATGGAACTGAAGTCAAAATCATAAAAGGTGATGCATTTGAAGATTTTAGCTTCCATTGTAGATTTCTTGTTCCTCTTTTCTCCCTGACACTACAGGTAACAATATTTTTGTCAGTTCACTTGAGCTGTTTCACTCTGTTTGTCATAGCAGAGTATGTATTGTTTCTATTTCAATGCCATATTTATATTTTCATTCTGATATTTGGTTTTTATACATTTTAATAAATCTTATATTTTCCTGTGTCTGGATTGTGTGTCTTACTTCTAAAGGTGCACATACTTCATAAGTATGCATAAAGACGTCCATATCATTTATTTGAATGTTTTTATGTGTTGATTATTTAATGATGGCATCATTGATCCATCAGGAATTTTTATACAATAATTACTGTATTAATAACAATAATACTGGCCACGCCCGGTGGCTCATGCATGTAATCCCAGCATTTGGCCAGTCCAGTCATTAGGATCACTTAGGCCGGGAGATTTGGACCCGCTCAGCCAACATGGTGAAACCCTGTCTCTACTAAATATACAAAAAATTAGCCGGCTGTTGTGGCGCACACATGTAATCCCAGCTACTTTGGATGCTGAGGCAGGAGAATTTCTAGAGCCAGGAAGGTGAAGGTTTCAGTGAGCTAATATCACACTACTACAGTCCAGTTTGGGCAATAGAGTGAGACTCTGTCTCAAAAAAATGAATAATGATAATAATAATATTGATGGTACATATGGGTGCTGACATTCTGGTAGTTAATGTACTAAGCACATTGCATGCACATTTTATTTAATCTACACAGAAACTTCATTAAGGGTTTAAAGTACCGTTGAATGTAACATAAGAAATTGGGGGGTTAATTAACATTCCCTAAGTCATATACTTTAATTTAATAATGATGGCAATCCAAGCTCTGTGGTTCTGAAAATGAGATTTGTTAATTTGATTTGCATTCCCCCATCTTTAGGAGTACTAGCAATATTTGACAACGTTATAGGTCATTTATAGTTCTTCTTTTGAGAATCGCCTTGTGATACTCTTTGCCTATTCTCCTTTTGGAGGATTAATTTTTTCTTATTGGTTCGTAAGAATTAATATATACTATTTTAGAGATACTGACCCTTTATCCAATGTGTTGAAGATATTACTCCTCATGTGTTATTATTTACATTTGGCACCTATGGTGAATTGAACTTTGAAAAATAAAATAATATCTGTCCATTTTTCTAGGGTGTCTAGTTTGATGCCAGGCTTAGAAAGGCCAATCTCACCTAGAACTTCTATGCAATTCATCATCGTTTAAGTCTAATGATTTTCATTTTATTACAACTAAATCACTATTTGTAACTAGTAAGGTAGAAATGCAACAATATTTGTTTCCATACAGTAAGTCAATACCAAAAAGAGAACTTATTAAATAATTGACTATTTCCTTGTGAATATTAATATATCACTTTATCACATGATAAAATATTACATACATGCAGCTCTCTTACTGCATTTTCCACTGTGTTCCATGAATCTTCTCATTCTAGTGCCAGTATTGCCCTCTCTTCAGCACTGTAGCTTTATAGTTCTTTTCACATTCTGATGAAGTTTCTCTCATTTTTTTGTTTTAAGAATTTTCTGTGCATTCTAGTGTGATCTCAATCCTCTCCCTTCCCAGTTTTAAACCGTGAGACTTCTGTCCAGCAAGACTTTTTCACGCTCCAAGGCAGGCAAGCTTCCCTCCTTCACAGGGACCCGAGAACTCAGCTTTCAGAGCTGTTCCTGCGGAAGCCTCATGTCCTCCACGTGTGCTCCAGAGGCAGAGGGAGACCAACTGGAGCCCCTTCCCTTTCTCATTCCCAGCTGTGATGACAGCAGAAACTGCAAAATTTGAGCTAGGACAACACAACAACCAAGAGAGACATTGTTCTACATCTCATTATGCATATTTCAAACATGTGTCTCTATATACTTCTTACAGAGGTGGTGGTAATCTGTGCATGCCCTACTGAATTTTCACAATTATATTACTGTACTTGTTTTGTCCCCTTATTTCCATCTGTGAATCCAGGTGCACTGCAGATATTAGTCTGCTTTCTGAGGGTAGGGATGACAAATAAAATATACAATACCCAGGGAATTTGGAAGTTCAGATATATAACAAGTTTTTAGTTCAAGTATGTTCCAAATATTTCATGACATGGCACCCAGTACTACTTTAAAAACAAACAAGCAAACAAACAAACTTACACTCCTACTTTAATGAACAAAAATTGTCTAATAAAGAGATCACACCCACAGGATTACAGGCACCCCCCCCCCCGCCCCCCGCCACACACACACACATTTACCTTAGAGCAGAGTCCAAGGCCCACCAACACACATGATCCTCAGTCCTTTTAATAAAGAACATTCAACCCTCCTCAGAGTGGCCTTGGGCAGTTGCCTCCAAGTGTCCTTGCAGATGTGAAAAGGAAGTTGGTTCACAGCCCTAATCAGAGGCTTCCTGGCAGGACAAGGTCCTGGCATCAGCATTAGCTGCTGCAACTCTGAAGGGCAGGGTGTGAGCCTGCTGTGGGACTGCCCCCTCCTAGGGCTGGGCCTGCTGACTCCAGGGGTCAGCTTTCCCCATATCTGCACTCCCTCTGCTGGAGGCCTGAACTCTCCATGCCCCTGGCTCTCTTCTGCAGAGGGCCTGCTCTCAGCTGCCACAGAGGGTGCTGCAGAACTGGCCTGAGCAGAGAGGCAGGAGCTCCTCTGCAGGTCCTCCCAGGCACCACCCTTCTGGAAGGAAGGCGTGGGAGTCCCCTAAGACACATCCTCAGTCACTTCTCCCTGCTTGTGACTCAGGAAGACCAGCCTTCCCCACTGCCTTCTGTGCTAGGGATCACTTCCTTGTTGAGTGGGACCTGAGTTTTGAGAGGATCTTCTGCTCCTGTTCATCTGGGCCCTTTCTTTCAAGACCCCAGAGACGAAGGCATGTGGTGGGCCCTAGCCCTGCTTCTAGCTTTCCTGTCTCTTGGTAAGTGTGCTGCCTACAGAGAGGCTCACAGGTTGGGTTTTGTTTTGGATTTTTCTTCTTTAGCAAGGGACGCCATACTAAGGAATACCTCATTATATTTTATGTTGTTCCCATTGCAGCCAGTCAGATATCTACTAACTTGGAAGCGAAAATAAAGTCAGGCACCAGGCAGATGGGGTCATCTGCTGTAATCACCTGTGATCTTCCTGTAGAAAATGCCTTCTACATCCACTGGTACCTACGCCAGGAGGGGAAGGCCCCACAGCATCTTCTGTACTATGACATCTGCAACTCCAGGGATATGTTGGAATCAGGAGTCAGTCAGGAAAGCATGATACTTATGGAAGTAGAAGGATAAGCTGGAAATTTATACCTCCAAAACTAAATGAAAATGCCTCTGGGGTCTATTACTGTGCCACCTAGGACAGGCAGAGTGATTCAGACCTGCTCTACACCACACTGAATATCTGTCTTGTGGCTGCTTCTGGTACACAAGAGAGAGCCGTCCCCTCTCATTTCCTGCCCTGAATTTACTGTATTCTGTACAAAGAGAAACAGCTTAACTCCTGATCTCCCCCCTAATATTACACTCTCCTGTCAGCAGCTGTACCCTGTTCCCCACCCTCCCCCAGGACTTTCCTGAAGACTAAGCTGCCATCTCAGCTAAGCCTCAGCTAAGCAGCCTGGCTGAGAGCAAGGTTTTCTCAGCTCTCCTAGGACATGGGGGAGGCCCACTCACTCTGTTTCTTAGGGTCCAGCTGTGAAGCGAGATATTTTGGACAGCAAATGGGAAGGGTATTTATACTGAATCATGTATCCAATCATGGTCCAGAGATCGCAGCTGAGAGTGCTGCTTACTCCTTATGTCTATAACAATATAGGCAATATTATAAATACCACTAAAACACTAGGCCTAGATATGCAGTTAAACACTCTCTCCCTCTGCCCTCCCTTTTATTCTCTCTCCTTTCTTACTTCCTTGCTTGCTTTTATTATTTTTTCTTCCCTCCCTCCCTCCCTCCCTCTCTCCCTCCCTTCCTTCCTTCCTTTTTTCATTTCTTCCTTCCTTGCTTTTCTCTCTCTTTCTTTCCTTTTTGGGTACATAATCCGAATATTTTTTCAACAAAATCATTTGAAATAATTTTTCTTTACATGTTCATGCCAACATTGATATAGCTAGTTTATTTGTTCAGTTTTCATTTTAAAATTTTAGACATTTGTTGTATTATTTTGTTTTGTTTCATATTTGTTTTGCATATGTAAACTATTTACATGGAACTAAAGTCATAATTTTAACGAAGATGCATTTGGAGATTTTAACTTACATTCTAGATTTCTTTTTCTCTCTCTTTTTTTTTTTTTTTTTTTTTTGAGACGGATTCTCAGTCTGTCACTCAGGCTGGAGTGCAGTGGAGCAATCTCGGCTCACTGCAACCTCCGCCTCCTGGGTTCAAGAGATTCTCCTACCTCAGCCTCCCAAGTAGCTGGGATTTCAGGTGCCCGCCAGCACATCCAGCTAATTTTTGTATTTTTGGTAGAGACAGGGTTTCCTCATGTTGGCCTGGCTGGTCTCGAACTCCTGACCTCAGATGATCCCCCTGCCTCGGCCTCCCTAAGTGCTGGGATTACAGGCATGAGCAACCTCACCAGGCCCCATTCTGGATTTCTCTTTCCTCTTCTCTCCCTGACCCTATAGGTAACAATATTTTTATCAGTTCAGTTGAACTTTTTCACTTTTTCTTATTCAGAACAAGTCTTTCAGTATTACAGAAAAGTCTTTTGTTTGTCATAGTGCAGTATATATTGTTTCTATTTGACCGTCATATTTATATTTTCATTCTGATAAGGTTTTATACATTTTAATCAATCTTTTATCTTCCAGTGTCTAGATTTTGTGTCTTGCCTCTAAAAGTGCATACACTTCATAAGTATGAATAAAGAAGTCCATATCATTTATTTGAATGCTTTTATTCATAGACTATTTAATGATGGCATCTCTGATCTATTGGGAATTTTAATACAATAATTACCGTAGTAATAATAATATGCTAATGATAAACACGGGTACTGACATTCTGGTAGTTACTGTACTAATCACATTGCATGTAAGTTTTATTTAATCTTCACAGAAACCCCATTGAGGGGTTAAAGTACCATTGAATACACCAGATGAGAAATAAAGGGCTTAACTAACATTCCCTAAGTCATATACTTTATTCGATAGCAATTTCAATCCAAGCGCTGGGGTTCAGAAAATGAGATTTGTTAATTCAATTTGCATTTTCTTACCTGTGTGAATGCTAGCATTACTTAACAACTTTGTAGGCCATTTATACTTCTTCTTTTGTCAACTGCCATTTCATACTCTTCGCCTATTCTTCTGTTGGTTATCATTTTTTTCTTATTGGTTTGTAAGAATTAATACACCTCATTTTAGAGATATTGATCCTTTATCAAATGTATTGAAAATATTTCTCGTGGTTTGCTATTATTTTCAGCACCTTTTGGTGAACTGAACTTTGTGTACTACTTTTAATAAAACCTATCAATTTTTCTAAGGGGTCTATTTTGATGTTAGGATCAGAGAGGCAAATCTCACTTACAATATGTGTGCAATTCATCATGGTTAAAGTCTAATGATTTTCTGTTTTCAGTTTTATTACAAGAAAATCTCCATTTGTAGCTGGCAACATAGTAACTTAAGAAGATTTGTTTCTGGCCGGGTGCAGTGGCTCACGCCTGTAATCCCAGCACTTTGGGAGGCTGAGGTGGGTGAATCACGAGATCAGGAGATCCAGACTATCCGGGGTAACACGGTGAAACCCCATCTCTACTAAAAATATAAAAAATTAGCTGGGCATGTTGGCAGGTGCCTGTAGTCCCAGCTACTGAGAAGGCTGAGGCAGGAGAATGGCGTGAACCCAGGAGGCGGAGCTTGCAGTGAGCCGAGATTGTGCCACCGCACTCCAGCCTGGGGGACAGAGAGAGACTCTGTCTCAAAAAAAAAAAAAAAAAAAAATTGTTTCCATATGGTAAGTCAATTCCCAAAAGAGAACTTATTACATAATCCAGTAGTTTCTCAAGGATATTAACGTACAACTTTATCATGTGATAAAATATTACATACACATGGCTCTCTTTCTGGACTTTCCAGTGTGTTCCATGAATCTTTTCATTCTAGTGCCAGTATTGCCGTCTCTTCAGCACTGTAGCTGTATAGTTCTTTTGACATTACAGTGGAGTTACTTTCCTTTATTGCTTTTTTGTTTTAAGGGTGTTCTATGCATTGCAATGTAATGGCAAATCTCTCCCTTCTAATTTTTAAACCGTGAGACATCGGTCCCAGCAAGGATTTTCCAGGCTTCAAGGCACCTGAGCTTCCCTCCTTCACAGTGACCCCAAGAACTCAGCTTTCAGAGCTGCTCCTGCGGCAGCCTCATGTCCTCCACGTGTGCTCCAGAGGCAGAGGGAGACCAACCAGAGCCCCTCCCTTTCTCATTCCCAGCTGTGATGACAGCAGAAACTGAATTCTCTGAGCTAAGCCAATACCACAACCAAGAGGGATGTTGTTCTACATCTTATTAGGAATATTTTAAACATGAATCTAAACATATTTGTTATAGAGGAGGTGAATATCTGTGTATACACTACTGAATGTTCCCAATTATTTTATTCTACTTGTTTTATCACCCATATCTTCATCTATGAATCCAGGTGCACTGCACATATTAGCCTGCTTTCCAAGGATAGAGTTGCCAAATAAAATATGCAATACCCAGGTAAATTGGAAGTTCAGATAAATAACAAATAAGTTTTGAGTTCAAGTATGTACCACATATTGCATATGGCACTGCACCCTGTACTTTTTTTTTTCTTTTTTTGAGACGGAGTCTCACTCTGTTGTCCAGGCTGGAGTGCAATGGCACAATCTCCGCTCACTGCAAGCTCCACCTCCCGGGTTCACAACATTCTCCTGCCTCAGCCTCCTGAGTAGCTGGGACTACAGGTGCCCACCCCCACAACCGGCTAATTTTTTTGTATTTTTAGTAGAGACAGGGTTTCATCGTGTTAGCCAGGATGGTCTCAATCTCCTGACCTCGTGATCTGCCCACCTCGGCCTCCCAAAGTGCTGGGAATACAGGCGTGAGCCAATCTCACACTCCTACTTGATGTGGCCTTTTTACTTGAGAATGAACAGAAATCCTCTAACAAAGAGGTTACAAACACAAGGTCACACACACCCCCTCCTGACCCCCACACACCCATTTACCATTGAGGAGAGTCCATGGCCGACCAACATACCTGATTCTCACTCCTGTTGAGAGGAGGGGCCAGCTGGGCTTCCTGGGTCGAGTAGGGGCTCAGCAAGCTGTGAAACGCACTCATTTCCTGCATCACGACTTACTTCGGTCCTGGATGAATAATATTGAAGATATATGCTTAAAATATTCCGAACACCAGGATTTGTGCATGTGTTTTCTTCCCCATGAAAGCTATGAACAGCGAAAATTTTCCTGTAAGTTTCCCTGTGTTCTCTCTCCCTCTCTTCCTTCCCCCTGCCCCAAAACTAAAGTAAAATAACGTTAACTGCCCGTTTTTCTGTAACCAGCAGACCTTATCTATACTCCCAATTCCAATTCCTTGTAAACATACTTTGTAAAGTCCTGTAAGATCCTGTCTCCTTTGCCATGACGCTGCAAGGTCATAAAGTAGATAAAACCTAAGTTGCAATTCCGGTTTTCCTCAAGATCTAAGACATGTTACAAATGGTTAATTGCCTTTGTTTCTCGCTTTGGTAACATCTTCCCGCCTCAGGTATTTCCCGCCTTGAAGAGTTTAAAAGGCAATCCTATAATCTAACTCTGGCTACCCATTCTGGACCCCCTCCATGCTTTGGAAGCTTTGTACTTTCACTCTGCTCAATAAAGCCTACAGCTTTTTCTCTCTCTCGGTCCGTGTTTCTATCACTCGCTGCGGTCAGCCGCCACACCAATTCTATGGCGTGGCTAGGCAAGAACCTTAGGTGTTACACTGTTAATAAAGCAGGTTCAGGCCTTCTCAGAGTGGCCCTGGGTATTTTGCCTCCAAGTGTCCTTGCGAATGTGAAAAGGAAAGCAGTTGAAAGACCAAATCAAGCTTCCTGACAGGACAAGGCCCTGGAAGCAGCATCAACTGCTGAAACTCTGAAGGGCAGGGTGTGAGCCTGCTGTGGACTGCCCCGTCCTATGGCCCTGGCCAGCTGGCGCCAGGGTCAGCTTTCCCCACATCTGCACTCCCTCTGCTGGAGGCCTGAGCTCTCCATGCCCCTGGCTCTCTTCTGCAGAGGGCCTGCTCTCTGCTGCCACAAGATGGCGCTGGAGAAGGGGCCTGAGCAGAGAGGCAGGAGCTCCTCTGCAGGTCCTCCCAGACACCACCCCTCTGGGAGGAAGGCTGGGGAGTCCCCTAAGACAGATCCTCCATCACTTCTCCCTGCCTGTGACTCAGGAAGACCAGCTCCTCCTACTGCCTTCTGTGCTAGGGAACACTTCCTGTTTGAGTGGGACCTGAGTTTTGAAAGCGTCTTCTGCTCCTCTTCATCTGGTCCCTTTCCTTCCAAGACCCCAGAGAGGAAGGCATGCGGTGGGCCCCAGCCCTGCTTCTAGCTTTCCTGCCTCTTGGTAAGTGTGCTGCCTACAGAGAGGCTGATGGGTTTTATTTTGTTCTGTTTTGTTTTCTCATTTTGCAAGGGGTGCCGTTCTAAGGAGTTCCTCATTATATTTTGTGCTGTTCCCATTGCAGCCAGTCAGAAATCTTCCAACTTGCAAGGGAGAAGGAAGTCAGTCACCAGGCCAGCTGGGTCATCTGCTGTAATCACTTGTGATCTTACTGTAATAAATACCTTCTACATCCACTGGTACCTGCACCAGGCGGGGAAGGCCCCACAGCATCTTCCATACTATGACCCCTACTACTCCAGGGTTGTGTTGGAATCAAGAATCAGTAGAGGAAAGTATTTTACTTATGCAAGCATGAGGAGGAGCTGGAAATTGATACTGCAAAATCTAATTGAAAATGATTCTGGATCTATTACTGTGCCACCTGGGACAGGCACAGTGATTCACACCTGCCCTACACCACACTGAAAATCTGCCTTGTGACTGCTTCTGGTACACAAGATAGACCAGCCCCCTCTCATTTGTTGCCACCGAATTTACTGTATTCTGTACAAAGAGAAACACAGCATAATTCCTGATCTCTCCCCTAATATCACACTCTCCTGGCAGCAGCTGCACCTTGTTCCCCACCCTCCCCCAGGACTTTCCTGAAGACAAGCTGTCATCTTCAGGCCTCAGCCAAGCAGCCTGGCTGAGAGCAAGACTCTCTCAGCTCTCCGAGGACATGGGGGAGGCCCACTCACTCTGCTTCCTCGGACCAACAGGTACACCTAGGGTCCAACTGCGAAGCGAGATATTTTGGACAGCAAATGGGAAGGATATTTATACTGAATCATATATCTAGAGATCACAGCTGAGAGTGTTGCTTATTCTTTATGTCTATAACAATATAAGCAATAGTATAATTACCACTATAACACTAAGCCTAGGTATGCAGTTGAACATTGTCTCCCTCTGCTTTCCTTTTTGTCTCTCTCTCTACTTTCTTGGTTACTTGCTATTTTTCTACACATCCCTTTTTCTGGCCTCCCCTCCCTCCCTCCCTAGCTCCCTCCCTAGCTTGCCTTCCTTCCTTCCTTCCTTCCTTCCTTTCTTCCTCCCTCTCTCCTTCCCTTCCTTACTTCCTTCCTTTCTTTCTTCCTCCCTCTCTCCTTCCCTTCCTTACTTCCTTCCTTTCTTCCTCCCTCCTTCTCTTACTTCCTTCTTTTTTTCCTTTCTTCCTTTTCTCTCTCTTTCTTTCTTTTTTGGGCACACAATCAGAATACAGAATCATTCTCTATATGTTCATGCCAACTTTGATACAGCTAGTTTATTCGTTCAGTTTTCATTTTTATATTTTGGAAATCTGTTGTATTATTTTGATTTGTATATGTAAAACCTTTACATGGAACTGAAGTCAAAATTATAAAACAAGATCAATTTAGAGATTTTAGCTTCCATTCTAGAATTCTCTTTTCTCTTCTGTGTCTCACCCTATAGGTAACAATATCTTTATTAGTTCAGTTGAACTTTTTCACTTTTTCTTATTTATTCAGAAGTCTATCACTATTACAGAAATACCTCTTTTGCTTGTCATATATGTGCAGTATGCATTATTTCTATTTGAATGGCATATTTATGTTTTTGTTCTGATATTCTGTTTTTATACATTTCAATCAATCTTTTAGTTTCTGGTGTCTGGATTTTGTGTCCTACTTGGAAAGGTGAACATACTTCAGAAGTATGCCTAAAGAAATTCATATCATTTCATTAATATTTTATTCATTTATTACTTGATATGATCTATCTGGAATTTTTATACAATAATTACTATAGCAATAATAATAATACTGATGATAAATATGGGTACTGACTTTCCGGTAGTTACTGTACTAAGCACATTACATGTATATTTTATTTAATCTTCACAGAAACCTTATCAACGGGTTTAAGTAACATTGAATATAGCAGATGAGAAAGTGAGGGGTTAACTAACATTCCCTAAGTCATATAGTTTAATTTGATAGCAATTGCAATCCAAGCTCTGGGGTTCAGAAAATGAGATTTGTT
This sequence comes from Homo sapiens, assembly GCF_000001405.40. Classification (NCBI taxonomy): domain Eukaryota; kingdom Metazoa; phylum Chordata; class Mammalia; order Primates; family Hominidae; genus Homo; species Homo sapiens. The sequence goes on along the minus strand of NC_000007.14, from coordinate 38,333,425 downwards.
CATTCAATTTGCATTTTCTTATCTTTATGAATACTAGCATTATTTTACAATTTTATAGGCCATTTATACTTCTTCTTTTGTGAATTGCCTTTTCATACTGTTTGCCTATCCTTCTGTTGGGGTATTAATTTTTTCTTATTTGTTTGTAAGAATTAATATACACCATTTTCGAGATATTGATCCTTTATCAAACGTGTTGAAAATATTTCTCATCATTTGCTATTATTTATTTTCAGCACCTTTTGGTGAACTGAACTTTGTATATTACTTTTAATAAAATCTATCAATTTTTCTAGGGTCTGTATTATGATGTCAGGCTCAGCGAGACCAATGTCACCTACAATTAGTGTGCAATTCATCATCGTTTAAGTCTGATTTCCTTTTTTCAGTTTTATTACAACTAAATCTCTATTTGTACCTTTTAAGTTAGCAACCCAAGGATATTTGTTTCCATATGGTAAGTCAATTCCCAAAGGAGAACATAGTAAATAATCAAGTATTTCCTTGTGGATATTAACATACAACTTTATGACATGATAAAATATTACATACACGTGGCTCTCTTTCTGGACTTTCCACTGTGTTCCATGAATCTTTTCAGTCTAGTGCCAGTATTGTCCTCTCTTTGTTGTATCTGAATGAGTTAGAGAAAATGCCACACTTTGAGACAAATTAAGATTCCGTTTATTTAGCCGGCGGCCAAGAGACGGCTAATGCTCAAAATTCTCTCGGCCCCGAAGAAAGGGCTAGATTTTCTTTTATACTTTGGTTTGGAAAGGGGAGGGGTGTCTAGTTAAAACAATTTTACAGAAATAAAGTAGGCAAAAAGTTAAAAGGATAAATGGTTACAGGAAAGTAAACAGTTCCAGGTGCAGGGGCTTTAAGACTATTACAAGGTCATAGACTTGGGGCTTTGGGCGTTATCAATCAGATGGATTCCTGGGAATTGCGGATATAGCTTGCCACAGTATCTTATCAGTTAATTGCATTCTTGGATGTGCTGGGAGTCAGCTTGCACAAGTTAAGTCCTTGAGGAAGGGGCTGCCAGTGAAAGAGCCAAGATGGAGTCTGTCTGGCTCTCTTAGCTAAGGGAGAGTCAATTCAGGTGGAAACAAGGCCAGGTGATTAAAGGAAAAGGGAGAGTCTAAAAACAGGGTTAGTAAAAACACGGTTGGGCATTACATCTTCAGCACTGTAGTTTTGTAGTTCATTTTATATTCCAGTGGAGATTGTTTCTCTCATTACTTTTTTGTTTTAAGGATTTTCTGTGCATTCTAATGTGATGGCAGTTCTCTCCCTTCTCATTTTTAAACCATGAGAGTTCTGTCCCAGGCAGGATTTTCCTGGCTCCAAGGCAGGTGAGCTTCCCTCCTTCACAAGGACCCCAATGACTCAGCTTTCAGAGCTCCTCCCCTGGCAGCCTCAAGTCCTGTACGTGTGGTGGAGAGGCAGAGGGAGACCAACTGGAGCCCCCTGCCTTTCTCATTCCCAGCTGTGATGTCAGCAAAAACTGAACTCTCTGAGCTAGGCCAAAACAACAACCAAGAGGGACATTGTTCTACGTTTTATGAATATCTTAAACATGTGTCCAAACTTTTTTTTTTTTTTACCGAAGTGAAAATCTGTGTATGCACTACTGAATTTTCACAATTATTTTACTATACTTGTTTTATCACCTGTATCTCCATCTATGAGTCCAGGTCCACTGCAGACATCAGTCAGCTTTCTGAGGATACGGTTGCTAAGTAAAATATGCAATACTCAGGAAATTTGGACGTTCAGATAAATAACAAGTTTTTAGCTGAAGTATGTCCCAAATATTGCATGACATGGCACCCTGTATTACTTTAAAAAAAAAACTCACACTTCTACTTGAATGAACGGAAATCCTCTAATAAAGAGATCACACACACAGGCATACACTCCCAACACACACACACACACAAACTCACAGAGGATCACACAAACACCCGCCCCACCCCCACACACCCATTTACCTTAGAGGAGAGTCCAAGACCCACCAACATACCTGACCCTCGATCCTGTTAATAAAGCAGGTTCAGGCCCTCTCAGAGTGACCCTGGGTGTTGCCTCTAGTGTCCTTGCAGATGTGAAAAGGATGGTGGTTTAGGGCCCTAATCAGAAGCTTCCCGGCAGAATGAGGGTCTTGCAGTTGCCTTACTTGCTGAAACTCTGAAGTGCTGGGTGTGAACCTGCTGTGAGACTACCCCCTTTAAGGTCTGAGCCTGTTAACTCCAGGGTCAGCTTCCCCCACATCTGCACTCCCTCTGCTGCAGGCCTGAGCTCTCTATGCCCGGAGCTCTCTTCCTTAGAGGGCCTGCTCTCAGCCGCCACAGAGGGCGCTGGAGAACTGGCCTGAGCAGAGAGGCAGAAACTCCTCTGCAGGTCCTCCTAGGCACCACCCAGAGTCCCCTAAGACAGATCCTCAATCACTTATCTCTGCCTGTGAATCAGGAAGACCAGCTCCTCCTACTGTCTTCTGTGTTAGGGATCACTTCCTTGTTGAGTGGGACCTGAGTTTTGAGAGGGTCTTCTGCTCCTCTTCGTCTGGTCCCTTACTTCCAAGACCCCAGAGAGGAAGGCATGCTGTTGGCTCTAGCTCTGCTTCTAGCTTTCCTGCCTCCTGGTAAGAGTGCTGCCTACAGAGAGGCTCACAGGTTTTATTTTGTTTCGTTTTGTTTATTTTCTTCTTTTGCAAGGGATACCATACTAAGAAATGCCTCATTACATTTTGTGTTGTTCCCATTGCAGCCAGTCAGAAATCTTCCAACTTGGAAGGGAGAACAAAGTCAGTCACCAGGCCAACTGGGTCATCAGCTGTAATCACTTGTGATCTTCCTGTAGAAAATGCCGTCTACACCCACTGGTACCTACACCAGGAGGGGAAGGCCCCACAGCGTCTTCTGTACTATGACTCCTACAACTCCAGGGTTGTGTTGGAATCAGGAATCAGTCGAGAAAAGTATCATACTTATGCAAGCACAGGGAAGAGCCTTAAATTTATACTGGAAAATCTAATTGAACGTGACTCTGGGGTCTATTACTGTGCCACCTGGGATAGGCACAGTGATTCAGACCTGTGCTACACCACACTGAAAATCTGCCTTGTGACTACTCCTGGTACACAAGATAGACCAGCCTCATCTCATTTCCTGCCCATGAATTCACTGTATTCTGTACAAAGAGAAACACAGCTTAACTCCTCATCTCTCCCCTAATATCACACTCCCCTGGCGGCAGCTGCACCCTGTTCTCCACCCCACCCTCATGAGTTACCTAAAGACCAAACTACAATCTCCCAGCTGTGTCAGCCAAGCAGCCTTGCTGACAGCAAAGTTCTTTCAGCTCTTCTATGGGCTGGTGGAGACCCATTCCACCTGCTTCCTAAGACAGACAAATTCCTCAAGGACTGGTCTGTAAAGGGATTCATTTAGGAGACTATATGGGAAGACTAGCTTCACTCAAGCATTTATCCAATTATTGTCTATAGGCTAAAATAGTGCTTATTCATTGCTCAGGATAAATGTTGGAATAACAACTTTGCACTTCAGTAAGACATCTAACGTGTATCAGATCTGCTATCTTTTGGACACACTGACATTTTTTTCTACATAACAAATCATGGTACTATTGGTCTGCAGGAGAATGGGTAAAAAAGTGATAGTCATAGGTACGCCAACTTGTGGGTCATATCATAGGTTTTCAACCATTTCAAGCATCCCTGCCCTAATGCAAGTATCTGAAGGATCTGACCCTTGCCCTGCAGCAGAATTCATTCCATGTCCCCTCTGGATATTAGACTGATAATTTGGATCAGGTCTCAGCATGGGCCATTGAGGAACACTACAGCCCTGCTGAGAGATAAAAAGGATTATCCACTCAAGGAGTTCACACCTCCGGGCCGACATGGAGAACGTGCCTAGAAGCAGACTTGGAGGGTGCTCAGTGGTGGGTTGTGGAATGTAAGCCTGAAGAAGCAGAGTTTAATTCTACGGGGGTGCTTTCATAATTTAGTACCCTGACAGGGCTCCTGGTGTTGGTCCTTAGACACTCCTGGGATGGCTCCCTGGAAACATGGAGGAAACCTTGGTCGCATGACATGATACGGAGATGTTGGAGCTGCCTGGACACAGTTACAGAGGGAGGCATTAAAAGGCTTCGAGAGGTAGGCATGCTAGAGTGGACTTTCCCACTAAACCTGAGAACTCACTGGATAACTGTATTCCCTGCGAGAGCCCAGAGAACCCTCTGAATTAGGAAAGAAGGGCATGTTCTGAAATGGGAGGAATCAGCGTTCTTGAGAGTCTTGGTGGAAGCTGTGCCCTGTGGGGCAGGGTTGACTATAGGAGACGCTGTTAAGGAATTAGCTCCCAAGGGTCAATGGAGATGATGTAATTTCAAAATAAGAGTCCAAATGGGCAGAATTAGTGTGAGAAGACATAAAGCCAGAAAAGCAGCCAAGGAGCCCTGCTCTACAGAAATCTGGGGTGACAGCTAATAAACCACAGTGTTCCTAGGGGTAAGGAAATTGGGCTACCACAGTGGTATTCCACATATGTATTCCATATATACATATATATCTCTCCCATATATATATATATATATATGAGATATATATATGAGATATATATGGGAGAGATATATATGATATATATGAGATATATATGAGATATATATGATATATATATGAGATATATATGAGATATAGATATGTATATCTCTCTCATATATACATAATACATATCTCTCTCATATATATATATATATATATATATATATATATATGTAATTGGAACGTATTAAGAGAAGATGAATGAAAGAATGATGTCAGCTCCTCCTGTTCTCCAACTCAGAGTCCTTTGAATGAAGGGGAAGGCAGATTGCCTTGAGGGAGAACCTTGTAATGTTCTAGCAAGTATATATGGCAGTGATTCTCCGAGCCTTTTCCCCCAAAAGATCGAAGACTAGTTACCTGAGAAATTTGTACACCTAGGGAAGGGGAATAACTAGGTCTTTCAAGGCTGTTGGAGACGGCATCTGAGCTAACTTTGATACCAAGAAATGCATACTGTCAACGTGGTCCCCCATTAGAGTGAGGACACATAGAAGCTCCCCCTCTAATGCTAGTTTTAAAGGCCCAAGTCTATCTAAAAGGGCAGTCCCATAGGTGGATGGACTGACTGTGGTCTCTACCCTGTGTCTGAGGATATCAGAGTGGATATGATGAATGGACATAAAATAAGGAGGCTGCCCCCCTACCCCCGGATAGTCCAGGCAGCCTTCATTCCTTTATTTCATTTGGAACCCATATGGCTTATTCTCTTTCACTGACTGGAGCTCACAGTCTGGCTATTGTAACCTGTCTTAAATCTTTTTCTCTTTAAAATATCTTGACTTTGAGGCAGGTCTTAGAAAATGACTCTTCCTGTCTCAAAATGCAGTCCTTCATTCTGATTGATGAATTGGAAGCACATGGCTGGTGTAAAGAATAAGAAACTAATTATAAGCCAGGAAACAGCAGGAGAAGAAAGCAGAGAAGCAACGCTTACCCTGAAGAATTAATTTCCGTTTAGAAAATATCACAGCTGATGTGTCAAAGGCCCCGGTATGCAGGAATGAGATTAAACAAATGTGGTCATGAGGAAGAGGTTTCTGAATAATGATAGAGAAGCTTGAGTCTACAAGAAATCCAGAGTCCAGAATACTGCAGGGGAGCAGTGCTGGGTTCATGTTTATCTGGTCTCTTGTCTATTGGATCCTCTTTCTTCCAGAACCCTAAACCTTGAATCAGCCTTATAGTCCTGGCTCCTAGAAGAGTGTTTCTCAAAGTGTACTCCACGGACCACCTGGATAAGAAGCACGTGAGGCTTTTAATTAAAAAAAAAAAAAAAAGTACAGGTTCTGGGAAGCATCCAACACAATAAGACAGAATCTTGGAATGAAGGGTGAAAATGTGCATTTTAAAATAACCTCCAGAGCTGATTCTTATTCAAACTGACTTTTAAAAACTGCTGCACTAGTGGCAAGAGATCGAGGGGCTGTCCTGAGCCTGACACAGAAAGGTGTTCTAGAAAGCTGCTCACAGGCTCCTTCGCAGCCCACCAAATCCGCCTCACTCTTATCTCCCCCAGCCCCTCAAAGCAGCTGCTTTGACAGTTTCTCACATTTTTGCATGATAATCCCACAACTGCAATTCCTTCTGGCTTCCTGTGACCTCACGCAAGAAAAAGTTGTGTACTAAATGAATCTGCTTTAACTTGCTCTCCTTCCTCGGGGATCACACCTTTTTAAGAAAGCCTGTCCCTTACCTTGAAGCACAAACATATTCTCATTTTTATTCTCCCAATACCTTGAAGGTTTTCTTCTGCACATGTATTTGTTTGATCTGCCTTTTGTGCGTGGGGTGGGAGTTAGGTAGGAATCTTAAAGTGGAGAGCCAGTTTCTTCCCAAATTACTGACCTAACCCATCCTTAACCCCCAGTTCAAGGCCACCTTTGTGATAGTGAAGCTTCCACATGCTCACTCAGCCCCTTCTGCTCTCTCTTCTTCTCTACTGTGCATGTCGGCTTGTACTTTTGCCAGTTTCTCTAAAGACACAACCAGAGGTGGGGTGGCTGTGTGTGCACAACTTCAACTTTACATGTGGGGCTGAGTCCCTATGTTGTATATCCTTGTGCAAAAGCACAATATGTTAATTGCTATAGCTTTTAAAAAAATAATTAATAGTTTTTCATAATCAAATTTTCTTGCTTTTTTGTTTTTTCAAAAAAGCATACTTTTATTGAAGAATAAACCCCTTATATATGTACACTTATTTATAACTATGAACCATGAACTAGGATAGAAATGCATTGTGTATATTACAAAACATAACAAAAATAATAGGGGTAGGGAGGTGCAGATGTTGGTCAAAGGATATAAACCTGCAGTTCTATGATGAATAAGTTCTGGACATCTGGAATACAGCATGGTGACTATACTTAGTAATACTATATTGTACACTTGAAGCTTACTGAAAGAGTAAATCTCAAGTGTTCTCACCACACAAACCCAAAGGTAACTATGTTCTCACCACACAAACCCAAAGGGAACTATGTATTAATTAGCTTGATTGTGGTAACCATTTCACAATGTATACATTTGCCAAAACATTATGTTGTATACCTGGAATATATAATTTTATTTATCAATTATACCTCAATAAAGCTGAAAGAGGGGATTACTAATTCCCACAAAATACAGATTTAACAAAAACTTTTATTCAACAAACAGTGCTATGAAGTTGTAAATTGGAAACAAAAGAAATAAAATTTCATCCACAGTCTTCTCATCAAAACCCTTCAGTGGCATTCCTCTTTCTGGTGTCCCAGTCTTGTCAATTTTGCTAATAACTGTCATCCTGGGAATACCCAATTTATCCTACATGACAAAATGACAAAGTCTGATTAGATGAGTTCTCAGATTCTAGCATGGCCAGAAGAGCACTGTCCTGGGTCGGATAAATCACGTGGAAGATGCAGGGGATGCGTGACTTTAAAGGTCCAGCCCTTAGTCCCTGGATCTTCATGCAGGGGCCGCCTCAGCCTGGATCTGCTCTTCCTCACCACTGCAGCCCTATCCCACGCTGGCTGAGGTCTGCTTCCACCTGGGCAGTGACTGGATGACATGGGATGAGAGGACACACCTCTCCCTCGCCCAGCATCGCATTTCTCTTTCCCTGGAGATCTGGGATCTTGGTCAGAATCCTTCAAACGCCACCCAGGGCTTGAGAGGGCAAGCCCTCCTACACCTTGACTGCGTTTTGCCCAAGATTTCCCCCATATTATTATTTTAAACGTGTCTAATTTAGACAAATAGAACCTGTAAGTGCTACATTGAGAAGAGCACAGGGCCACCGAATTGGGAAGACAAGTAGAGGAAAGGAAAGCAAATGTCACCAGACAGAATGTATGGCTGCAGGTTTACAGCAGATTCTATTAAAATCTATGGTTGGGCTGGGTGTGGTGGTTCACCCCTCTAATCTCAGCACTTTGGGAGGCCAAGGCAGAGAGATCACCTGAGGTCAGGAGTTCAAGACCAGCCAGGCCAACAGAGCAAAACCCTGTCTCTACCAAAAATACAAAAGTTAGCAAGGCGTGGTGGCACGCGCCTGTAATCCCAGCTACTGGGGAGGCTGAGGCAGGAGAATCTCTGGAACCCAGGAGGTGGAAGTTGCAATGAGCAGAGATCACACCACTGCACTCCAGCCTGAGCTAAAGAGTGAGACCCTGTCTCAAAAAACAAACAAACAAAAAATCTATGATTGGCTGATTGGCTATTGCTAACAACTTTTGAGTCTTTAATGATCAGTAATTGAATTAAAACGGTTAAAACAACAATTGAGAGAAACATAGTTTTGAACACTGACAACACAAAATAACTTATCCATGTAACCAAAAGCTACCTATTCCCCCGAAACTATTGAAATAAACAAACAAAAAAATTAGAAAGCGGAAACTTTACAAAAATTATTCTCACCAATGAGGTTGTCCAAATGTCACCAAATTTATTATAGAATAGTAATAACCAAATTTGTGCATGAATCGGTGATGACATAAGTATCTTGTAAGCATTACTGAAGTTTTTTTTTTTTCTATTAAATTTACCTTCAAGATATGCCTTCAGGATGAGGCTTTCCACTGCACTTCATTATGCAATGCCATGTTGACTTGGTATATTACCTCAGATGTGACTCTAATATGGTTTGATTTGTTATGACGAGACTAAAATGAAACATATCACTTTTTTCATGTGCATATTGCACCTTATAAGCACAAGGTGCAATTAAATAACCAATTTGAATATTGAAAACATATGTAGTTGTTATAATTTTTTTCTCCTCTAAAATAATATTTTCTTATTTCTAAAAAAATCTAGAAAATAGAGAAAGATTGAAGACAAATAATTTGCCCATTTCCATTGCTCACTGTCTGTATTTTGCACTTTCTACCTGTCATTTCCCTGCGTTGACCTTTTCTGACCATAGCTGTCACTTTCTTTCCCATTACCCTAGCCCACCCCTGGGCTAAAGGTCTATAGAGTGTATAAATGATAGCCCCAGAATATCCCTCTGTCAAAACGTTCTGCTAGCTTTGTATTTGACCACCTTCTCACCAACTCAGCACAACCCTAAGCCCTGCATGTGAGAATGCTGAAAACTGGAATCATGACTTTCAGTTTTTGCCATCGAAGAGAAGCTCAGGAACTGGGTCTGGTCGTGGGAGCCCAGGGACTCACAGCTTCCCTTCCCAAGCCAGACCCCTTTTCTTGCCATGCCCACAACCTTCCCCTCATGGCCATCTCTTTGACTACTCAGGAGGTCCTGGGTGTCATTAGCAAAGCTGAAAATGAACCTTCATTTCAGTAGGAACTCAAGGCTGGGTCTATTTCTCCAAGCCTTTGGCAGGTGTGTCCTTCGCTGGCCCTTCCCAATGCACAGTCTTCACCATTTCCAAGGACGTGCCACTGGCAGAGGATGAGCTGGTCCTGCCTCCAGGCCCTCTCTGTCTGCTGGCCTGACTTAGCCTTCTTCCTTTGGAGACACACACACACTCACACACACGCACGCACACACCTGGTTCTTGAAAACTGCATTAGTCCCTATAATTTCTACTTTGTGTGAACCCCAGAGATCATTTACTGGAACCCATCCAGTTTCCAGGTGAAACAACAACACCCCACATTTCTTGAGCATGGTCTATGCAGCTGGGATTGTGCTGCGTGCTCTGCTCACATTCTCCTGTTTACTGTCCATGTGGCCCTATGACACCTCTCTTTACAGATGAGGAAAAAGAGGTGAAACAACTTGCCCAAGACTACACAGCTATCATGTTATTTTAGGGCACTGAAAATCTCCTTCTACTAGGACCTCTGGGTGACACGCTCCGATGCTGGCTCAGACGGTTGGCATGGGTTTTTTTAGGGATTGCTGTTTTGTGTTTGTCCCTTCCTCTGGAGCAAGCAGCACACTCATTGTTCTCTGAGTATAAGATGGTTACATGAAGCAGAAATTTGTCACCAGCCTGGCCTGGCTTCTCTCCCAACTCTGATTCTCTTTAGGTATTACAGCCTTGGAAAAGCTACTTAAAATAACAGCCTTACTCCTTCATTTCTAAACTGAAGATAACATTTGTCCTATAGAGTTATTTTAGGATTTAATAAAGCAATGGCCCTAAACCAATTAGTGCAGTGCAAGAGTTTTGCTGGTGTCCAACCAATGATTGCTATTATTGCTAATTATACCAGCAACACTCTTTAAGCCTTTTTCAGCACTCTAGCCATTGGTCATCCCTCCCTTCACCTTGTGGTCAGATTTCTGTCTCTCCTCTGGAACTTCTTTCTTCCTCCCCCATTTCTCTCATCAGTTACCTCCTTGCACCACCAGGGAAATAGCAGTTCAGGCCCTAAGCTGGTCGCTACCATAACTCAGGAAAGTGTGGCTCAGGTCCATAGTTTGAAACAGGTCACTCTGGGCTCCTCTCCCCCAGTCAGGATCAGAGATATGGTGGGCTGCCCTGCCTTCCTTTGGGTCATCCTGTTTCCAGGTCAGTCTCCTACCTAAGGACCTGTGTAGAGGTGGCGAGGCTTTGGGACATCCCTACCTCACTGCTCTCTCCCTGACAGCTGGCTGGTGGCTCATCAGGCCGGAGCAGCTGGCCCATGTCCTGGGGCACTAGGGAAGCTTGGTCATCCTGCAGTGCGTGGTCCGCACCAGGATCAGCTACACCCACTGGTACCAGCAGAAGGGCCAGGTCCCTGAGGCACTCCACCAGCTGGCCATGTCCAAGTTGGATGTGCAGTGGGATTCCATCCTGAAAGCAGATAAAATCATAGCCAAGGATGGCAGCAGCTCTATCTTGGCAGTACTGAAGTTGGAGACAGGCATCGAGGGCATGAACTACTGCACAACCTGGGCCCTGCGCAGCCTTGCATGCTGCCCCAGCCCTACACAAAAGGACTCTTCCTCCCGATCCAACAAGGCCTTGGGCATTTTCACTTACTCTTGGTCCCTTGGGTTTCCCTGTGGCATAGAAGAAAAAAGTCTTATCCCCTGTCCCTCACCTCCCCATCTATCCTGGAGGTCCCTTCCCCGGTCCCACTACAGATGAGGCTTTCAGCTTGTGCAGACTCAGTGATCTATATCTCATCGAAAGGGGTCTGTTTAAAGATGCTCCAGTTCAGTGTCTCTGAAGCCTTTGCAGGATGACCTGTGCTCCTGAATGCAGGTGCCACTAGCCACCTGTGGCTATTGAGCATGGGAAACATACCAAGTGCAATAGTCCAAGCTGAGATGGGCTGTGTGTCTAAAATCATATTTTGAAGCTTTAGTGTTAAAAGTGAGATAACTCTTATAATGATCAAAAGTTGAAATGATTAGGTATCTTGGACTAAAGCCAATAGCATTAAAACTAATTTTACCTGTTTCTCTTTACTTTTTTTAATGCAGCAACTAAAAAAATTAAAGTGTGTGACTCACATTGGTGACTCATTTATTTCTGTTGGACAGTGCTGTTAGAGACTGATCATTTAAGAATCTGACCATCTCCCCTGAAGAATGCACAAATAAAATATTTTGGAAGAGATTTCAAGGGTGGAGGACTTGCTGAGATTTACCACAAAATGGTTGAAAAGCTGAGACTAGAAGCCTACTCCTGTTTCCAGCTTCCAAGCTCTTGGCCCTGGGACTGTTATCATTTTGCAATAGAGTCAGCAATTAGAAGCATGGGAAACATGACTGCCCACTTCTCAGTACTTTCACCCGTGGGCGGGCTGCATAGGAACTGATGTGAGTAGACAGTCGCCATGGCAGGGTGATGCAGTCCTCCCTGGATGAGACATTTACCTTCCACTTCTCCTTCAACAGCACCCCAGTGTGGAACACGTGTGTATCCCAAGCTTCTCTAGACTTTTGTTCTCCTATCTGACAAATGAGGGGGTTTAGCCAAATGTCTGCTAAGTTATATGACTATGATTTTTGTATTAAAGCAAAGCCATACACATAAGATCACTATGCCCACTACCTTCATATAAAGCAGTCTTTTTTAACATAGAATAAATGAAAGAAAAAAAAAGAAAGCCTGTGTTACTGATCCTCCAGCACCAAACAGGAAACCCCTCTGCTGCTCTATGTGCAGAAAAAAAAGAAATTCTTTGAAGTCTAAGCTGAATTTAAATGCCTTTTCAAGAGAATGCTTAATACACTGTTGATGAGAATGTAAATTAGTACAACTTCTCTAGAAAACAGTATGGAAATTTCTCAAAGAACTAAAAATAGAACTACCATTCAATCCAGCAATCCCATAACTGGATATCCACCCAAAGAAAAATAAATCATTATATTAGACTGCATTCATATATTTATCACAGCACTGTTCATAATAGCAAAAATATGGAATCAACCTAAATGTCCATTAGTGGATGGCTGGATAAAGAAAATGTGGTATATATACACAGTGGAGTACTATTCATCCATAATAAATGTGGTATATACACACAATGGAATACTGCTTATCCATACAAAAGAATGAAGTCCTGTTTTTTGCAGAAACATGGAGGAAGCTGGAGGCCATTATCTAAAGTGAAACAACTCAGAAATAGAAAGACAAATACTGGATGTTCTCACTTATAAGTGGGAGCTAAATAATGTGTACAAGTGGACATAGGGTGTGGAACCAGACATTGGAGGCTTGTAAGGGTGGTGGGGGGCAGAAGGAATACAGATGGAAATTAAGTAATTTCACATCACAATGAGTATTATCCAGGTGTGGGGTATACTAAAAGCCAAGACTTTACCACTGTGCATTATATGTGTGTAACAAAATTGCACTTGTACTCCTTAAATTTATACAAATAAAAAACAAAAGGAGAATCACTTGGACCCAGGAGGCAGGGGTTGTGGTGAGCCGAGATCGTGCCATTGCACTCCAGTCTGAGCAACAAGAAATAAAAAAAAAAAACGCTACGCCTTGCTTCTGAAACAGCCCAGCGTCTCTAACCTCTACTGAAGGCTCAGTTCACGGCTAAGGCCTTCCAACTTGTGTGAGAAGGACAGAGGCCATACAGGAGGAAACTTTCATTCTGTTTTGGAGTTGTTCCTTCATTTCATTTTTCTAATTGTGCTGATAAAACCAAATGGGCACAGAGAGGAGATGCCTCCTCTTCTGCCTGCCCCCTCTCTCAGTGCTTTACTCCAAACAAGAGTAAATTTGGTGAAATGGTGACTATCAGGGTGTGGCCAAATGGAGGCGCAAGCTCCCCAGTCACCTCCTTATGGAACAACATCTTTCATTTCCTCAAGAGGAGACTCTGCCACTGCAGTGAACCTTCACCACCACAAACCTCCACCTTCACTCCTCACCAACACCTGCTGTACTCTTCATGAATGCTGTGAGCTTGAGCGAGTTCTTAAATTTCCTAGCCATCAGTTTCCTCATCTCCAAAATAAAGAAAACAGCAATGTCCAAAATCAATCTCCCTCTGAATTATACTACCTGGTTTCAGCCTCAACCTCCAGGGTGATAGACCAGCTTAGAGACCAAGATTTTATCTTTCCTAAGTGATCTCACCTTCAGAGGCATCATCACCAGACTTTTCAAGTTTTGTTTCTTAGAAATGGTCCCAAGTTCTTTCCCTCTCATCGTCTCTTGCTTTAGGGAGCCTCCCAGCTAGTCTGTCTTAGCAAGACAAGGGCATAGCTGGTGCATTGCTGCTGGTGAGCAGGGGCAAGTTCACAGAAGGCAGCATGGGAGAGTATAACAGAAATCACCATCAGTTTCCAAGGGCTTGCTCTGTGTCAGGCATTGCCCTAAACAGTCTACCTGGGCAAACATTTATTCTTTGCAACATCCAGTAAGGTAGGCTGTGATTTTATTCTCCTTTGGTAGATAAGAAAACAGAGGCAGAGAGAACTACTCAAAGAGCTCAGGCTTTGCAGCCCGATAGAATTAATCTTAAATCTGTCACCAACAAGCTGTTAAACCTTGACCCATTACCTGACCTGCTTTGAGTAGGGCTTTGTGAAGATTATACTAAATTTATGGTATTAAACATCATAATGGCTACAAACTGCTTGACACATTAAGGCATTCACTAAGTGTCCATTGCTTGGTAACTCTTTAAAAACTGTATTTTAAATGGTGATGTTTTGTTAACATCAGAACGACAAAAAAATACTACAATGGCCATCCATTCCCTCACTCCACCCTTTCATCTATTCAACAAACACCTGGGAATAGAGAGATAAACAGCACATGATCTTACTCCCCTGGGAACTCTTAACTGTCGTTTAGAATGAGAGAGAAATGGGTAAACAGGCCAAGACTTGGGTAGGAGGTGCTAGGAGAGAGGAAGGCACTAGGTGGCGTGAAGAGAAAGCAATTTGAAGCATCTCCATCCTGGACTTACTGGGTGAGGTAAGCTTCCTGGGGAAGACTGCCTGGGGCTGAGCCCAGAAGGATAAACAGGAATTAGCCAGGGAATGTGGAGTAGAATGCAGTCCAAACACAAAAAAATTCAAGTCAATCCATAGAAGTGGGTCGTGGAATTCCAGGCAGAAAGTGACTAAATGAAGATGGAAGGACAGGGAGGGGGTGGCCACATCACAGAGAACCTCTTATCCTAAGAACTCTGGACTTCATCTTCAGAGGCAAGGTAGAGAGAGCAAGGACTTTAGAGCAGGAAAAGGACCAGGTCAGTCTAGTGGCCATGGGGAAGGTGGGTGGGAGGGGCCGAGATGGGATGTATGGAGGTGCGTGAGGTGGAGGCAGTGGTGAGCCAGGAAATGTTTAGGACGTAGAATCCTCAGGAATTAGAGTGCGGTGAATTAGAGGGGAGAATTGAGGCTGATGCTCAAGCTCCTGGCTTGGGCAATGTGGGTAGTTATGTCATACAGGGAACTCGGAAGAAGATATGGTTTGGGGGAAGGGAATGAGTTCACTCTGGCTATGAGCAGACTTTGTTTGAGATCCCATGTCAGACGTACTTGAAAATGTCCAAGAGTTAGCTGGATATGGGTACAGACAGCTTTCGATTTAACTGAGGTCCGACTTAAGATTTTTTTTTACTTTATGATGGTGCAAAAGTGACACGCATTTGGTAGAAAACATAATTTGACCTTTGCTGTTTCCCCAGGACAGTGATATAAGGTTATGATACTCTCTTGCGATGCTGGGCAGTGGCAGTGAGCTGCAGCTCCCAGTGGGTAAATTAAGCATGGAAATCTGGAACACAGCAGCTTTTAAGGGATGCACTGGGGAGAGCAGTTTGTAAAAATACCTTGGGACGGATTAAATGTCTTGGCTTAGAGAAAGAACAACAGACAATAGGAAACTGTCATTGAGGAGAAGCCGGGATTCAGGAGATGTACATTATTCAGGTAGCTGAGGGAGGGGACAGGAACCTGAATCTTCAACAGAAGCAAACAAACTGGGATGGAGGGCCCAGCCTCATGAAGGTGACCAGAAGGACCCGGTGCTGCAGGCTGTGTGGGTAGCTGAGCAGAGCTAAGCGGCTTGACGGACCAACATCTCTCCAGCTGGTTGAAGACAAGCTCTCAGAAGACAATGCTGCATGTCACAGCCCCAGCAACCAACAACACCAGCCTGACAACTTGCTGGGGTGGCCGCCTTGTGGTCTGAGGTGGCCGTCTAAACTATGTGGTCTGATCTCAGGCTGCAGACCTTGCAGGACTGTCTTCACACAGACTGGAAGTGCTAACAGGTGGTGAGGACACCGCTTTACAACGATGCAGGGGGCCCCATGTCACCCTCACCCATGGGAAGTTTGACTTGGTGGACTCAGCCAAGCCACAGAGGTCTAACGCTTCTCTGCGGTGATTTCAGGCTGCCCTGGCAGAAAGCACAGTGCCTGCAGACATGCTGTCACTGCTCCACACATCAACGCTGGCAGTCCTTGGGGCTCGTAAGTAGTTTTGCTCCCCCAATCACTTTGGACTGATATTCTCTATTGTTATATATTTTTATAAATTCCAAATTCTTGGTTTATTTACTCCCTCCCATTTTTTTCCCCAGTGTGTGTATATGGTGCAGGTCACCTAGAGCAACCTCAAATTTCCAGTACTAAAACGCTGTCAAAAACAGCCCGCCTGGAATGTGTGGTGTCTGGAATAACAATTTCTGCAACATCTGTATATTGGTATCGAGAGAGACCTGGTGAAGTCATACAGTTCCTGGTGTCCATTTCATATGACGGCACTGTCAGAAAGGAATCCGGCATTCCGTCAGGCAAATTTGAGGTGGATAGGATACCTGAAACGTCTACATCCACTCTCACCATTCACAATGTAGAGAAACAGGACATAGCTACCTACTACTGTGCCTTGTGGGAGGTGCACAGCAGCAGACAGTTTGAGCCATCCCATTCAATAAATGTTTATTGAGTCTTTGTTTATAATTACGAATTGGGAAGCCACAGTTACCACCAGTGTGCTTGTAAACAGTTTTTAAGATAAACATTCATGTGGTGACTCTACTTGGAGTTGCCAAATTCCACATATTTTCTCAAAGCAGAAGCTTTGCATAAGTCTATACAAGTGACCAGCCTCCTCTTTTTCAGGGTTGTACTCTCTCACCAACAGCTTTTCTAGGTCACCCATGCTTATTTTTCTGGTTCAACCTCTCCTACTCATTATATATTTTTTTTCTGGTATAATATATACACATTTTTAGTGTGATTCTTTTGTACTAGTCAATATGCATTACATAAGTTTTCTCTGACCTTCCTATTTCTCTCGATTAAAAAATGGATATGACATTAAATGGTATTCATTTTTCTGGAGGTTAACATGTAACAAACGCAGCATGATCTAACCACGAGCAGGGCAGACTGCAATGACAAATCTATCACATGCATGCCTTGAGTGGTGATGTTTGATTTTGTACAAAATCCGTAAACACTTCCACTAATCGAATCTAAGTCAAAGTCCACTTTGGATTGGGGTTTGAGAAAAAATTCATTTGCTGCAACCTCTGCCTCCCGGGTTCAAGCGATTCTTCTACCTCAGTTTCCCAAGTAGCTGAGACTACAGGTGCGTGCCACCACGCCCATCTAATTTTTTTGTATTTTTAATAGAGACGGGGTTTCGCCATGTTGGCCAGGATGGTCTCTATCTCCTCCTGACCTCGTGATCTGCCCACCTCAGCCTTCCAAAGTGCTGGGATTACAGGCGTGAGCCACCGTGCCTGGTCATCCAACCATGAGCTTTTGATAGACTACTCTGAGCCAGGCATTATGCACAGCAGAAATTACAAGGCCCATACGCTCTGCAAAGGCCCGAGGTTGCTTCTGTTGAACCACATTCTGCTACTGGGCTGCCATTCACCACTAAAATGGCAGTCCTCAACTTGAATATAACTCATGATTGTAAGTCTCTTATGAATTTTCGTTACTTCTAGTTCAACTCAGGCTTTGCAATTTATTATTGTTGATGGTGTTGTTTTAATTTATGTTTTTGCCATGAAACCCTTTCTTGAAATGTGATCTTACAAATATAAAATAGAGAAAAGTAGATTTCCACTGGGAAAGAGTTCAGAGATGAATGATCCTTAGTCTCATCTTCTCAAATTTCTCTGATACTTTGATTTTTCAACAGCTCAATAATTATCTGAGTATACATATAATGTACAAAGTGGTCAAGACCTGGGCCTGTCATGTCAGAAGGACATAGGTCCAAATGGGGCTCTACTTACCACGGATAAGCTGTGTGGCAAGGCCTTGAGCTTCTCTAGCCCCATTTCCTCACCTGTGAGGCAATGGTCCTGTGGTTATCATATGGGTGGCTGTGAGAACTCCTGACATGATGCATTTCAAGGATTTGGCCTAGTGCTTGGCATATTGTGACAGCCCAGCGTTATCTGACAAGAGACAAAACTAGATACAACAAAAAAATAACAGCAAGCACACATATATAGTCATGTGTCCCTTAACGACAGGAAAACATCCTGAGAAATGCATCCTTTGGCAATGTCCTTGTTGTGCAGATATTGTAGAGTGCCCTTAACACACACCTACATGGTACAGCCTACTACATACCTAGGATATATGGTATAGCTTATTGCTCCTAAGCTGCAAACCTGCATAGCATGTTGCTGTACTGAATGCTATATGCGATTGTAACACTGATAAATATTTGTGTATTTAAACATAGCATAGAAAAGGTACAGTAAAAATAGAATATAAAAAAAATGCTACACATGTGTAGGGCAGTTTCATTATAATTTGTCCATCTTTGACTGAAACATTATTATTCAGCGTATGACTATATATACAAGAAAACATACACACACACACACACACACATACACACATCTGGTTTTTTTTTTTTTGAGATGGAGTTTCACTCTTGTTGCCCAAGCTGGAGTGCAATGGCGCGATCTCGGCTCACTGCAACCTCTGCCTCCCAGGTTCAAGCGATTCTCTTGCCTCAGCCTCCAAGTAGCTGGGATTACAGGCACGCACTACCATGCCCGGCTAATTTTTTGTATCTTTAGTAGAGATGGGGTTTCGCCATGTTGGCCAGGCTGGTCTCGAACTCCTGAGCTCGTGATCACCCCACCTCGGCCTCCCAAAGTGCTGGGATTACAGGCATGAGCCAACACGCCTGGCCCATATACACATCTTTATATATCCAGGGCTTAGTGCTACGTCTATCATAGTGTGGCTATTACATTTTATAGAGAGAATAGCTAAGTATGAAGAAACTCTTACAAGAGGTTATCCCAGATTAATTTAATTCTAAGCTTTTGGTCATGGTTCCCTAAGACCTTTGACTCACACACAGCTGGACAGGACAGTGGCCTTGTGCATAGTGCAGATGACCATTATAGGGGAAAAACAAGTCGAAATTCATAGTCCTTTACTCCTCCTGCCCTTCTCCTTTTGCTTAAGGTGAGCTTCACCAGGAACATTTTCGCCACACCAAAGGAAAACTAGCCAGAGGCAAACCAGCTCTAAGTTAATATTTGCCAATTAAATGGTTTAAGTTTTGGATTCACAGAAACACTGACAGCATCTTATTAGAATATACTGTACTGCATATAGTAGGGGCTCAATGAATATCTGTTGAATTGAGATTGATACTTTCATTATTATTGATGGGTTCATTTTACCTAATGGGTCAACGCGTTGTATGGATGGATGCCCTGAATATTCTGATGATTTGGGTTCGACTTCTTTTCTTTTCTACCTGAGGTGGGTGAGCTACAATGACTCTGAATAATAGAATCAACATTATATTATCTAGTTAATATAAAATCTGAATAAAATCTAAGGAAATCTTGGAAAGCAATATTTTCATAAACCATATCATCTGTTGCCGAACTCCCCACACATACAAGTACTATGGAAAAAGTAATGTCTACTGCCCAGGAGTCATCTTATAGAAACCACAATTCTAGAAGTTGCTGTACCCACCTGGAAATCCATGCTGACTGTTTTGTCTCGGGTGCTTTTTGCTTTCAGTCCTGTGAAGGGGTTCACAAGAGGCAGACTGGGGTAGACAAAAAAAGGGCACAGACTTTGAAATGCTTATCTCCAGACATTGCGCTCATGAGTATTTTTATCTGTGTCATTTCTGTACTTTTGAAATGGTCTAATAGAAAACACATTACTTTTTAATTTTATTTTAAAATTGACTTAAAAAAAGAATTCCTGTTTTATAATATTAAACATATCCCTGCACATTATTGAGCACCTAGAGACAATATGTAAAATGTGTTGGTTAGAAGGACCTGGAAGGGGCTCTGCTTGACTACTTTTTCTTTCCTCTTCTCTAACAACGTTTGCTTCTTGTAAAAAGCAAAATCTTACCTTTTCTCCTGTTTCCTACTGATCACTGTGCTGAGCTAAAGAAAATGTTAGTGATTTGAATGCTCAAGGCAGCTTATTGGGCTTGTATGTCTTCCTGGAACACTAGGATTTTTCAAGCCTGTAGATCAAAGGTCTTGGGAAAAAAGAAACAACTTTTTTCAGTGAGCTAACTGAAATAGAAGAGAATGGCGACTCCTACCCACACCTCTTGGATCCTGGACATCAGCTCTGGCTGTGGGGCAAATGGCACTGCATATTGGCCAATGTGGGGAGGATGCAGCCAACTTAAGGCCCCTTTTCAGGGAGGGAACGCTGACCCCACGCTCCTATTTCCCAGCTGCCTGCTGATGTTTCCATTTTCTACCCCCAAACAACACCTGCAGGATAGGGAAGACCATCCATGCAGCCCAGGGCGGTCAGACTTTTAAGGCAGAGTTATGTGGAAAATGGACTTGGATGAGCCAAGGAGGAAATCCTGCAGATGGCCCAATAAGTGGATTATGTTTGACTTCAGATAAGTAGGACAAGCTAGGGAGCCAGAAGGTTTTATTAGTTTTGTTTCACTTTCCACAAAACCACCAAGGTCCCATCTCCAACAGAACAGGATGTGTGACTGTTCCTTGAGTAAAAAAACAGGAAACTGGACAAATCTTGAGAGATCATCATTAATTAGTACTTCTTTAGTTGATTTCTTAATATGGAGGAGCATGTAGATTATTAATAATGCTTTTGTTCTTGAGTTAAGTGAAGGAGTCTTAGGTATTTGTTGACTCATTAAATAAATCACCAACATGTAGTAGACTCAAATAAGAAACATAAAAGTGATACACATTTAGATAAATGATTATAGTGCTTTATGCTTGTAGTGCTTCATGAATCGATAGTATGATTAATCCAATTGTGCTCGTAGTGTTCTTTACAACAACTAAGTTTAAAATAGAGAAACAATCTCAACTCTCATTAGATGATTGAGGATAGAGAAATGCCTGTCACGTTCATGTCAAGTAGAATTTATCCCCTCACCCCTGTTGCTATAATTGATGTGTCTCTTCTGTAGATCCCTAATTTAATTTCTTGTCACTTTTAAGTCAACTTTTAACTAGCAAATTAGCAAAGTGCTAAGGGATTCAGAGAGATTGAATCACGTGCTATACTTTACTGTAGTCCCGTTCTCTTTATATTTTACTTATAAACTAAAGTTACAGAGTAATTATCAAAACTCCATATTTGTGTTCTGAAATTGGCAGAATTTGAATTTGCAGTCCATAGGTCAGCAGATTTCTCTGACTTTCCTTATTTTCTTTGCTTAGCCACAGAAAAACAGAAAAATCAGTGAGTTTACATGCACAGAATTAAATGTACAGACTATTCTCTGAAAGAGCTCAGTTCTATGTGAAAATGAATAATGTAATAAATATTCTTATGAGTGTAGTAATAGTAGCTATTGTTTATTGAGTACTTCTTATGTGCATGGCACTTTATACTGCATGCTTTATGTCATTTGAGCCTAACAAAATACTATCATTATTATTATCTCATTTTTATAGATATTTTCTTTTTTTAATAAACTCTTTTATTTGCACGTTTGTGTCTTGGGTTATTCGTGGGGTGAGAAACCTCCACACTTCCAATCCCAGCCATCTGGTACAATCTGGTGTTGTGGTCCAGCTGTCGGCAAAGGGTAGAGGTGGGTGCAGGGCTGGCCCCCCAGTCTGCACCAACCTCTTCAGAGCAGGGAGCTCAGACCATGGTTGTACTTGCACTGCTTCAGGGCCTCGCTGAAGCCTTCACACAGGGACAGGTCACTCTGCGTGGTCGAACAGTCCAGGAACTGCCGGATCTCGTAGGCGCAGGACCCCATCTGCAGGGGCTGGGGGGCAGCGCGTGTGGGGGTCTGCTGGGCAGCAGGCTGGACGGGCTCCGAGCTCCCCCATCTGAAGGCTCAGGTCAGGGCGCTGCCCATGACGTGTCCCACAGCCGAGCCCACGGCTACCCCTGCGGCCATGGACGCCATCTAAGCCATGAGGCTCGGCTGGCCGGAAGGGGCGGAGATGGGGCGGCTGCCGGAGGCGGTGGCTGTGTGGGGGCAGGTGGGCAGAGGGCGCGGCGGGAGGGGGCTGGGTGGTCGGACCGCCGCGCTGCGGCTTCCCAGAGACATGGTGGCGGCGGAGGGACCCGGGCGATCTTAAATGACAGCGATGGCGGCAGCGGTTCTGTCGCGGGGACAAATGCCCTTTATAGATATTTTCTAAGTACAGATTTGAGACTTTGATAAATTAAGATACTTGATAGTAAGCAGCGAGGCTGGGATCTGAATCCAGGTCTGTCTGACTACAAAATCTATTGCCTTGATCTCCTACAGTGATGAGAAAAACAAAACCAAACACGAACTTTTAAATAGAGACATTTCAGGGGGAAATAAAAAAATTTATAATTCGTTTTATGAGTTTTTTTTTTTTCATTTGCGGCCTTAAGCTCCTTTCCCCAGGGTCACATGAAGTTAGTTAAATTGATGCTAACGGTGTTTACTTACAGACAATCTGCAGAGAATTCTCTACAGAGAATTTTCTTATGCAATCAAGTTTTTCTGACTTCTGGGTTCTAAGATTTTTTTCTTTTTTTAACAAGAAAAAAAAGCGTAACCAAAACTGTGTTTATTGAGCAACAGAAAAGCAGCGAGATGGAACACAGAGATATTCCCCCTGATTATCACCTTTCCGCTGCACTCCCTTACCCTCAGTCCGCTGGGGAGCACAGAAATGTTATCCAAAGGTGGATGGGAAAGGGTGGAAAGGCTGAGACCCAACTGCAGCCTGGCCTGAGATGGCCACATCATGTTCTGCTTCCTGCCTGGCTGCCCAGGGAGGGCCTGGATGGGCAGAGGGCCAAGTCAGTGTCAGGCTGGGAACTTTACATGCTTTTCTCACTTAAATATTGTCATCTCCTTTCTCAGAGGAGGAACCAGAGATTCAGAGAGACTCTGTAGCCTCCAAGATCACGCAGGCATCACTAGTAGCAGAGAAGGGATGTAGAGCAAGTGTGACGGTCCATAAGACTTACTCTCTTCCCACCACACCACACTCACCCAGCAAGAACTGGAATAAATGACAAGGGAGGGAAGAGGGGCTCAGACTTCTCTGTATATTCACAAGGATGTGGAATGTGTTCCTGTAAGCGTACCCAAGTTGGGAATTTGGTCCTTTAAAGAAAAAGGTTGAAGCAGGAAGACTTCCAGTTTGCTGGATGAAACATAATGCAGCAATCAAACAGCCCGACTCTTTTGAGTGAATATCAATAGGAATACCACTATACCATTCACTTGTTCTTCAAAGGAAAAAATGAAACTAATGAGTCCTTGATTCCATGACATAGATAAATGTTCTGAGAAGGAAGAAGTTAATGGATCACTGGGAAGGCTTCATAGAGCCAGAAGATTCAAGTAAAAGTCTTGCCAAACAAGAAAAGGAGAAAGTTCATTTTTGTCACAGTCTGGTTGCAACAGTAAAAACTAGCTTTTGTCATCATCACATTTTCTAATATCGAAAGGACATATTTTAGGAAAAAGCATCCCAAATTTATAGGTATGTTGTTATTTATAGAACTTCATTTTTTTAAATCAAACTCTTCAGTGAATTAATTTTTACCACCTCCTCAGGTACAGGATAAATGGGACATTTGCAGCCAGTTTCCTCCTTGCCCATGTTTGCTGCGAGGTGGGGCGTGGATGTGGGGAACCTCTCTGGGGGAAGAGGATGGGTGCAGCAGCCCGACGACTGGTCGTGAGGCCCCACCACAAAAAGCCTCCACTTAAAGGGCAATGCTGAGAGCCCCACCACACCTCATGATGGGGAATTCCTCTGTCTAGAGATGTTATTTATTGTCATTCAAGTCAAGGAACTAAAATCCTAAGAAAAAGAGCATACCCCAAAGCCAAACTAGGCCTCCTAACAGTAGCTCTGTGCTCATCCTGCTTCAACAAGGAGGCAGAGTAGAGAGGAAGGAGGTGAAAGATATGGAACCCACTGAGCTCCCACTTTATTCCAGGCGTATTATGCACCTATCTAAGCCAATGCTGGTAGATAGGGATTTCAATTTCATTTTCATAGTTGAGGGCACTGGGTGTCAGATAGCAACAAGTCAAGCTAACAGCAGGCTGAACTGGAATTAAAAGCAGGACTGAATGATTGCATGCTCGCCTGTATAGCACACTACGTGGATTTGCTTGGCATTGAAGAAATAGGTTTTAGTTCCAGCTCTACCATTTACTAGCTGAGAGGCCTTACATTACCCCCTCTTCCCCATGGGGAATCCCTTCCTGCCTCAAAATATTGTTTGGATTAAATAAGCCAATGTTTGTAAAAGAGTTTTGGAAATTGTAGACACCATAACAAAGTAAAGAGTTATAGTTTTTTTTAAACACATTTTCATTCATTCTAATATGATTTCTCATATGAATTATCTCCTAAGGATAGTCAATATTTATGGAGCTCCCACTATAGGGAAGGCATCCTTCTTGATGAAATAAGGGGCTTTAACAATCCCTACAACTTATGACTTTGACTTAACAAAAACGAAATCTAGCATGTGTTATATGAAAGTAGCAGGTAACAAGTGGTCTAGCAAAGCTGCAGTGCTATATGCTGAGTGATAGAGGTATTTGTTGTAACATCCACTCCAATTCCTCAAGAAAATAGATGGTGGCAAAGAAGATTAAGTGATATTGCTCATTAAATGATGAGAATTTTTACATACTGGATATTCAGTGGGAGTTTCATTTTGTCCCAATCTCCGCTGACACTCTAAGCTCAGGAGAATGGTAGTAATACAAAAGAAGGGGACAAAACCAGAGATTCACAGTGGAGGGCAAGCCCCTCTCCAGCAGACATTGGTAATGTCTGAGACATTTTTTACTGTCACAAACAGAGTGAGAATGCTACTGGTATCTAGTGAGTAGAGGCCAGAAGTGTTACTAAACATCCTACAATGCACAGGACAGCCCCACAACAAAGAATTATCCAGCCCAAAATGTCAATAATGCAGAGGCTGAGAAACCCTGGGGTAGTTGGCCATATTTCTCAAAGACTTGCTAAGAGGTAGACAAAACTGATGACTCCAACCTTTGGCTCATGAGCTATATCCAGGCTAATTACAGTAAGAGCTTTCCTGGGGACTCTAATTTTGCAAAGACTTTCTCTGAAAAGCACTGTTGGGATTTCCCTGGAAACCCCCTCCTCTCCCAGTGAGGAGGTGATGAGGTAGCTCTTCTACTTCCACACCAAATAGGACTCTCAGGTCCTACATCCACCATGGGTCCAGAGCAGAGCCCTGTGTGTGGGTCATGGAAGTGTTGGGTCTGTGCCGTGAGCGTTTGGTGGCCAGATAAACCAGTGAGGACTCTCACCTGGAAAAGTGGACAGGTGGCTTCAGGTCATAGCCCACGTGGTAACTTGGACCAACTCTCCCCTGAAATCAGTTAGATAATCATGATGAAATAATAATAATGAAAAAGAATCTTTCTAAAAGTTTCTAAGAGTTAGCAAGATAACAAGGTGAATAACTTTTACCCTGGCAAATGGACTGATTATCATGGTGTCATACAGCTATGGGTAAAGTTCCCATGTGATCCTGACCAATCAGCAACCTCAGAAATGACTGATCTGGGCGCAGGGCCTAAGGACACCCATTTTCTCTGTGAACACTCTTTGAGGTTCCCCTTCCTCATCCTGGTGCAGCTTCTCCTGCTCCAGGTTCCCTATTTCCTCAGCCTTGTCTCAGGCACTCAGCCTGAGCAGACGGGACGTCACAGCTACAGATATGCACCTGTTCTTCACTCTGGGAATGTGAACTTGTTCTCCTACTTCTCAGATTGGCTGAGGGATTTTTTTGAAAATGAATGTCTCATTTCTTGATAACTTTGGTTTCATTGAAAATGCTATTTTGTTTCTAATTGAAATTGGGTAAAAACAATTGAAGCAAGTAAAAATCTTTATTTCATTAGCAGAAATGAAGCATATATTTTCACTGTAGGGTATTTAGATAGAACTTTTCATACACACTCAGGTACTGACCAACACCAAATCAGGCTTTTGAGGATTTGATATTTACTTGGAAAAAAACCCTGTTCCAGGTCAATTACAGGCAAAGAGCTGCAACCATATATAAAATTCTGTATATAAATTCTCTATATAAAATTCTGTCTACTTCCCTTTAGTTCTTAATATAAAATTCCTAGAAAAATAGAAAGACATGATGACCCAATATAATGGCCCCCAGGAAACTAGCATGACATTGGAGCTGAGGTAATGGGCACTTGCCCCATTATCATGTCTGCGACCACATCCTTCCCAATGTGGAAGAGCCTCGTCCAGCCCTCTGCCCCAGCTAGGCCTCAGCCTCAGCTTGCAGCACTTCCTGTGTTCCTCAGATGATGCCTCTGTGATCACAGGAAACCAGAAAGGGAGTCTGATGACTATCAATTTCACCCCACAAATGCCAGTACCTATACCCCCAAGTGTCTGATTTGACATCATTTCCTATTGACTTAGGTTCCTATTTAGAGACTATGTTTGTTGAAACTGCATGATTATTTCAGAGAGAAAGCAAGGTCCATTATATCATTTCTTAGAAACTTCTAGTCATGGTGAATTGCTCAGGGTGAAGATGCCAGCAAGGAACAAGATGGAATTCATATCCACTCAGTTCCCACTGGCTGCCAGAAAATGGGATAGATGTTCTACATATTCAGAATTTCAGGTGATTGTCATAAGAACCTGGTAAATAAACTTATTCATGAAAGAAATAACTGATGTTTAGACAGGGGCAGTTATCTGTCCAAACAAATAGTTCATGCTCTTTCAAGTGCACTATTGGGCCACTTTGAATACCCTTTGGGTTTATTAACTTAATGGAAATAGGGCCAGGGGCAGTGGCTCAGGCTTATAATTCCAGCGCTTTCAGAGGCTGAGGCAGGCAGATCATTTGTCCTCAGGAATTCAAGACCAGCCTGGGCAACATGGTGAAACTCCATCTCTACAAAAACACAAAAATTAACCAGGTGTGGTGGAGCTTGCCTGTAGTCTCAGCTATTCCGGAAGCTGAGGTGGGAGGATCACTTGAGCCCAGGAGGCAGAGGTTGCAGAGAGACAAGATTGCAGCACTGCACTCCAGCCTGGGATACAGAGCAAGACTCTGTCTCAAAAACAAACAAACAAAACTTTATAGGAATGAACTGTGGCATTTGTGGGTAATTATGCGCTGGCCCGGACTTACTGCCTAGTCCTGCAGAGCTAGGTCAAGACAGAATGGGCAGTGACTCAAGACAGAATGGGCAGTGACTCAAGAAGCCATGGCTAAAGGGTCATGCTGAACACACATTTGGAAGAGTTCCCACCCCCCACCCCACCCCCACCCTGCTCCCCACCGGCATTCTGCCTTAGGACCCTTCTTCTCACTGGAGGGGAAAAGGCTAAGAAAACAGAAAACCCTCTCTGTTCTTGTGAACTTGCTTTAGCAGATAATATCATGGGTGGGATACCTGGAGAGGGATCAAAACCTCACAGCCCAGACTTAAGTAAATGATCAAAATGTGTAATGAGGATCATGTTTTGGAAATGTGGCCAACATATTTTTATTCTCTAAAATAAATCATGTCACCTTTTGTCCTTTCTTTATTGTAGCTAATCCATGATATTTACTACCCATAGAAAGAGATGGTAGTTGCCCAGAACAAACTCACTTTTTTTTTTTTTTTTTTTTTTTTTTGAGATGAAGTGTTACTCTGTCGCCCAGGCTAGAGTGCAGCGCACAGGCGCCCGCCACCACGCCTGGCTAATTTTTTTTTGTTTGTTTGTTTTTAGCAGAGACGGGGTTTCACCGTGTTAGCCAGGATGGTCTCAATCTCCTGACCTCGTGATACGCCCGCCTCAGCCTCCTAAAGTGCTGGGATTACAGGCGTAAGCCACCACAGCCTGCCACAAACTCACTTTTTGAATTAATTGTGAGATGTTGGGCTTGAAAATCAGGTTCAATTTTTTTTTAAAGAGTTTTCTATAGTTGTGATTCTCTCATTCATAGGTCAAAAGGCCACACTGGCAAAGTAACAACACAGAATTTTATTACAGCTGCTAGATATGAAGACTCAGCATATGATATCGGTGACGTTAATACCTTCCCAGGGAGAAGCGCTGTTCCTTCTGGCTGGGAAGTGCGAGCCGGTGGGGGGAGAGAGAGGAGTAGAGCATTATGTGGAGGTACTTCCCGGTTCCCTTGCGTCTGAGGGTCTTATGCCAGAGGGGATAGAAAGCCCAACAGAAACTCAAGATAGAAGAAGGAGAATCTGCGAGTGTCTGTCTCCTGTCAAGCTTCCCTAATACAGCCCTGGTAGAACTTCATCAACAGTGGAAGGCATTTGCAAAGGTGAGCCCAAACCAGCACCCCTTTCCACACAGGCTGTCCATGTAGAAGGCCCAGATGCTTCTCAGGGTCTCTGAGAGGATACAAAGCTACTGAGGGGGCCAGAGGGCACAGCACCTGGGATTTGGATGAGAAGCTGCAGGAAGGGAACTTTGCACCCCAAGGGCATGGTGTGGAGTCAATAGTGGCAAGTTCAGTCTGGTTTTTTACATCAGCCGGTTCAGAGGAAGAGTGAAATCCCCAAGATCAGCAGGGCAAAATGCTGGAAGTTGTCGAGGATGCAGAGAGTAGCAGGAAGACACCTCTGAGAACTCACTCACACACCCTGCCCCTGTGTAGAGATGTCATCCTGGGGATGAGAAGGAGGAAGACAGAGAAACGCAGAAAAGCCTAAGCAGGCACCACAAAGAGACCGAGCCCGTCTGAAAGAGGCTGCTCTAACCTGGTGGAAACTATTTTAAGTTGGTAAGTTTAGTGCCTCCCCACAATATCAGAACGAGCAAGAGACGACAGGTATAGGTTGTGTACATTTCCCCTCTGCGTTGAATGATAGCGTGTGCGTGTTCCACCACTGTGCCCTGCTCAAAGTTAGCTGGGTGGCTGTGCCCTGCTCAAAGTCACTTGGGTGAGGGGCGCCCGTGGGAGCCAAAAATCCCATCTTACACCCACCCCCTGCACACTCTGGAGTTGGGCTGTGACATGCTGGAGAAAGGTGTCTTTGTCTAATTATTCTGCCTAAGGGCATGCCTTTTGTTAATTAGTAAAAGGAAGCCTTATTTGTGCTCTGCAGAGTGGGGGTGCTGTTTAGGAGGTAATTCGTGATAGAACCACACAGACAAGATAGATTCAATTTAAATAAATTGAATCTATGAAGCTTCCTAACCCCATGGAAACACAAAATTAGTTTACACAAAAATAATCATTAAAGAACTAATGAAAATAATGTTTGAATTCAGCCACCAGACATTACATTCCAGAGCCTTGAGAAAAACTGATGAAAAAAAAGTCATGAAAAAAAGTCATTCGCACAAGTGACACCATGGTGTGAAGTCAAGGAGCACAGACTCTGGAGTCAGAGGGCTTGAGTCAACCTGAGCATCTTCAGCTTTGACTGTGAAGACACAGCTTTGACTCTCTGTGTTGCAGAGATGGTAGTGCCCACTCCAGTGACGCTTGTGAGGATTAGTTGAGATAATAAATACAAAATGCTGAGCATCAAACCTAGAGTAGAGAAAGGTCTCAAGTAAGTACTCATTACCAGTATTTGTTATTTAATTTCACTTTTGTCTACATTCCCTTGTGTGAAATGGTTTGGATAATTAATTAAGGAAAACTTTCCCTCAGGGACATTGCTGATATTGCAATCTTCACTAGATACACTTATCTCTACCTCCGCCTCCACCTCCACCTTCACCTCCATCTCTTCTCTGTCTCTATCTCTATCTTCCTGTTGTTTATCTATCTAATTATTTATAAATGAACTGGTGGGTTTGTTGTTGTTGCAGCCTGGCTAATGTTATCCAGACATATCTGAAACCTCATGAGTGGCATGGAATGGCAGTCCCTGCTTGAACCATTTACCTCCTTTCCTAACACCAACAATCACACACACCTGACACTGACCTGAAGCCTCTGGCCTGTCCTCGGAGGCAAAGACTGGGTAGACAAGATGCCTGGTTACCAGCAATCTTCTGCAATTTCCTCTGAGCTATTGAGATTGCTTTTCTCTTTGCTCAAATTATGTGAGAAACTTTTAAAAAAGAATTTAATGTGCTCTTTTGATATTTCAGGTGTTCATTCAAAAGCCTATGTTATTCTCTGTCTCTCTGTCTCTTTTCCTAGTTGGGTAATCAAAATGGCACAATCAGAAATATTTATATCTGCAACAGAAAAGAAGAATAAATTTATTCATGCACAAGTACATTATGTACATATATATGTTTGTGTATACATATATCTGTATAATTGATATATTTGGGAGAAATAAAAGGTTTCATTAAGCACACAAGTTCTAGAGTTAGACCCTCTGTCGCAAATTACTGTCCTGTCACTTAACTCCTGCCAGAACAAAGTGCATACTTGAACAAAATGCCTGCTCTGTAAAAATGCCTTGATCTTGAATAAAATGCCTGCTAGGTCAAAGCTTCTATTTTCCCACCTAGAAAATGGGAACAATAATAAGAATCCTCACTTAATAGATAATGGAAAAAGTTGCTTGCAGCACAGAGCCTGCTACAGACAATGCCTTCAATTAATGCAAACTATTAATATTATGAAAAGTGAGTATCTGTTTTCTGACAATGTTTTCAATAATATAAATTCTGCCTTTGTTCACTTTATTTGTTTGAAAAAACAAATAAAAAACCAAACAAAAAAGTGTCTTAAAAGTGTCCATTTGTCTTTCTTCTTGACTCCTAGTAACGCTTTCCTGTGTTTAGGGAATTTTCACCTCATGGGTTTTGGTGAGTGAATGAATTCATCTCCCTCTACAGAAAAGAAGAATGCCTGATGCATTTTCTCAGCCTTTATTCCAGGTAGTCAGGTAGACTATGGACTCCAGCAATTAGATACACTCCTCACAACCCCTCCATTACACACACACACACACACACACACACACACACACACACACACACACACGGCTGCTGGAGTTGCAGGGTCTGGAAGGAACTGTCTGGCAGGGATGGAGTGTGCAGGGTGCCTAGTGAGTTCCAGCGTGGCCGTGGCTGCCCTGGCTGTGGCAGCACCAGGGCTCTAAGCCGGGCCCTGCAGACTGGCTCAATCTGCAGCATGGGCGCTCTCTCTTACTTCCCATTCCCAGGACACATCCTGTGCAGGGGAAGAGTGAGTCCTTCTAGTTGTAGCCACAGGCCCATTGGTCTGCTGACCTCCACCTCCTCAATATTCGACTCCCCAGCATTGAGTGTCTCAAAAACAGTATTTTTCAGAAAAGAGGGTGAACAGGGCAACTGCTTTAGGAGGAGCCATCCGAGCCAGCTGCTTCCTCTCCTGTCTCCTAGGGAGGACCCAAGCTGTCGGAGTTCATACCTGTCCCACAAAACACGAGCCAGAGCTGGACAAAAGTGACAGGGACAACCACTGTCCAAGGTTAAGTGAGCCCTGAGGCACCAGAAGATCTCCAAGAAAGCCACATGGAAATCATAAAATGGAGCTGAATGGAGGAAAAGAGAAGTTCTGTAATGTGGAAAAATGAAGTACTAACAATATTTGACTGTTTTCCCTTGATTTAGCCAGGTTACTACTTCAAAACAGTCAGCAAAGCATTTTAACAATGAAAGCTGTTGGGGAAATTAAATGGCTGGAAGTGGAGGGAAACTGTGCATTGTGGTGCATGCCTGTTGTCCTAGCTACTCAAGAGGCTGAGGCAGGAGGGTGGCTTGAGCCCAGGAATTCAAGGCTGCAGTGAGCCATGATCACACCACTGCACTCCAGCCTGGCCAACATAGCAAGACCCTATCTCTACAAAAATAAAAATAAGAAGTGGAGGGGAGATAAAAATGTAGTGGTAGGAGTAGTAGTAATAATATCTAATAATTACTGAAAATTTACTATATGTCAGGAACTATACTAGGTGTACTTAGCTATTTAGTCTGCATAAAATTTTAATACCAGTGTTATTATTGTATCCATTTTCAGATGAGAGATTTGAGGCACAAAGAGATTAAGAAGTTTGCACAGGGTCAGACAGCCCCTATGTGATAAAGATGAACAGTTAGACATTAAAACATGTTTTGGTTGGGTGCAGTGGCTCACGCCTGTAATCCCAGCACTTTGGGAAGCTGAGGTGGGTGGACTGCTTGAGCTCAGAAGTCGGAGGCCAGCCTGGGCAACATGGTGAAACCCCGTCTCTACAAAAAATACAAAATTAGCCAGGCATGGTGGTGTGCACCTGTATTCCCAGTTACTCAAGAGGCTGGGGATGAAAGGATTGCTTGAGCCTCAGAGGTTGAGGCTGCAGTGAGCCATGAGTGTGCCACTGCACTCCAGGGTGGGTGACAGAACAAGATCTTGTCTCAAAAAATATATGTAAAGAAAAAATTCTCCAATGACATGGGAAGTTGCTCAGAATATAAGCTGAACTGAAAGAATACAGAACACTATACATGTAAATATATCTATAGTCCATAAAATCATATTAATATTCATGTATCCAAAATGAAAATATCTACAAGTGAGCATATGATAATGTGAATAGTAGTGGGCCTTTGTGATATGACCGTAGATGTTTTTATTGTTATCTTTCCCCATTGCTCTGAGTTTCTTCAATGAGCACTGTTACCAGCATGTTCTACCTATCAGCTGTGTGACTTCTGTGGAGTTGATGACTCTGTGCCTCATTCCCTCATCCAAAAAATGAAAATTCCAAGTACCCATATTAAGTGATCATTGTGAAGATTAGAAGGTGAAAAACGTTTAGAAAAAAAAAAGGCTAGCAAATAGAAAATGCTCAATAAGTATTTGCTATTATAAAAGTTAATGTTTATTAAATATGCAACAATTTAAAATATTATGCTGAGGAAAAGTGTTCACGAACAACTCCTAGGCAATTAGAAATCCTTCTCATTTCCACAGAAATTAAGCAACCCCCATGGCCCCCTCACATTCGTGCAGAGAACACCATCGAGATTGCTAGCCTGATTTGAGATAAGCAGGGTGAGCAGGAGGGGGGCTCAGTGCTGAGCCTGCAGGAGGCACTGAAGGGCCCAAAAAACCATTTTCTTTCTCTCCCCAGTTCAGGCCACACCCTCCAGAACCTGACCAGAGTCGTCTAGCCACCAGGTCCGCACTTTCCTGCCTTCTCCTTGGGTACACCGCCCCGAAGACAGGATGTCACTGCTGGAAGCATTTGCCTTCTCCTCCTGGGCTCCTGAGTTGCTGTCCGAACATTTCAGTCTAGCTGCGTGACCAAAATCATTCTTCAATGTTTCCCTCTTCTACTGTCAGATGTTCATTGGAAATTCTCCTCTTTTACTTACAGTTGGACTTGGATTATCAAAAGTGGAGCAGTTCCAGCTATCCATTTCCACGGAAGTCAAGAAAAGTATTGACATACCTTGCAAGATATCGAGCACAAGGTTTGAAACAGATGTCATTCACTGGTACCGGCAGAAACCAAATCAGGCTTTGGAGCACCTGATCTATATTGTCTCAACAAAATCCGCAGCTCGACGCAGCATGGGTAAGACAAGCAACAAAGTGGAGGCAAGAAAGAATTCTCAAACTCTCACTTCAATCCTTACCATCAAGTCCGTAGAGAAAGAAGACATGGCCGTTTACTACTGTGCTGCGTGGGATTACACCATACTAGAACTGTTGAAACAACATGCACAAAATCCCCTCCCAGGGTCTGTGCCCACCACATCCTTCCCAACAGGGGCAACCACAGCCAGTCCCCAGCTGGGCTCCCAGACTCAGGCTCGCCTTCTCTGAGGCTCTTCCGGGGCTTTCCAGGAAGCTGTTATGGGTTATACCTTCGTTCCCACCTGATCCCAGGACTTGTGCTCCAGAATCTTTATTTGACACTGTTTCTTAATGCATTAAAGACTTGTCTGGGGACTGAGAGAACATAGGTCGTGCCACTGTCCATCATATCACCACCTAGAGACTTCCAGTAAGTAGCAAGGTGCAGTTGAGACAGGGATCCTTATTACGTACAGTCAAGACAACCCCCCTGCAATATAACTATCACTGGCCCAGTTTACAATGAAAGAAATGAAAGCTTAGAGAACTGAGGTTGCATGATCTGCCAGACAAGTCATGTCTTTGAGCTGGTCTATGAGACCACACCGAACAGTTTAAGGATTGCAATTCTCTAAGTAAATGCTAGGATATCTGGGATAAATTCGGGAAGGAGTAAGTGCCCTTTTTTCTGGGAGGGGTAGGGAGGAGAATTTGCCTGCATGAGATCGTCAGAATAGAGCTCCAAGTCATCCCAGGGGCCATTGGATGAGACCCTTCATGTTGGAATAACCTTTGGTCTTACCTGTAAAGGAAGAGAGAATTGTATCGTGTGTGTGTGTGTGTGTGTGTGTGTGTGTGTGTAAGTTCTCTACAGTGTTCTCAATTCTTTGCATATATTAGCTCCTTTAACCCACACTACCTATAGTGTCTGCTCTGTTGTTCTCATCAAACATATCTAACTCCTGAAATAAGTGGAGTATTAGTTCATGCACTTGTCCAAATCACAGAGCTGATAGGTGGCAGGACAGCCTAGGGAGGGACCCAGGTAATCTGGTTCCTCTTGAATATGACACTAAACTGCTTCTGAATCACAGGAGTATAAAAGAAAAGACACATTGTTCCTGTCCCCATGGAGGAGACAGAACTGACCATCATGGAACAGTAACTGACACACATTACTACCGTGTGCTGAAACTTGTGCCCAGGGTTCCAGTGATTAGGTGTATTCAGAGAACAAGTAAAATGCCAATAAAGTACCAAATGACTTTTCTTTCTTTTTTTTTTTTTTTGAGACTGAGTCTCGCTCTGTCGCCCAGGCTGGAGTGCAGTGGCGCCATCTCCACTCACTGCAAGCTCCGCCTCCCGGGTTGACCCCATTCTCCTGCCTCAGCCTCCCGAGTAGCTGGGACTACTGGCGCCCGCCACCACGCCCAGCTAATTTTTTGTATTTTTAGTAGAGACGGGGTTTCACTGTGTTAGCCAGGATTGTCTCGATCTCTTGACTTCGTGATCCGCCAGCCTTGGCCTCCCAAAGTGCTGGGATTACAGGCGTGAGCCACTGCACCCGGCCACCGATTGACTTTTCAATATAAAAACATAAGAAATTTGGGTTTTCCATATCTAGGTACGTGACAGGTACTGTTATCTATACTTCATGTTCATTATCATTATTATGTGATCATGTAAATTTCTTAAGTCTCTGGAAGCCATTTAGGCACTTATAGATGTAGAACTGAGACCTAAAGATTTCAAATAACTCAGCTGATGTTAGATAGGGTAAGTAGTCTAGAAGGGTGCATATTGTCATAGGTCATTAATAGTAATATTCAGATGAGCTTTTGAAGGACCTGATATATTTTTAAATATAAAATTAAAAGATCAGAATATAAAACTGTAAATGTAAAACCCATTAAAAAACGTTTAATCATGGCTGGGTGCAGTGGTTCACGCCTGAAATCCCAGCACTTTGGGAGGCCAGGGTGGGCGGATCACGAGGTAAGGAGTTTGAAACCAGCCTGGCCAATATAGTAAAACACGTTTCTACTAAAAATACAAAAATTAGCCGGGTGTGGTGGTGCACGCCTGTGGTCCCAGCTACTCAGGAGGCTGAGGCAGGAGAATTGCTTGAATCCGGGAAGTGGAGGTTGCTGTGAGCCGAGATCGTGCCACTGTACTCCAGTCTGGGTGACAGAGCAAGACTCTGTCTAAAAGAAAAAAAAAATTTAATCCTGTGATCCTGTGTAATGATCCAAACAAATATATTACTATCTACAAATGTGTAGAGAACATGCTTAAAAGTAAATTCTGATTGCTCTTATTTTCTTTATTTTAATTAACTAATTAATGTTCTACTAGAGTCTTCTCAAAATATTTTCATCATTTTGCAACATTTGGTCAGGTTTTCTTCAGTGAGGATTGGGTAGTTATCCAAGCTCCCATGTTTACCAACTTTGTGATCTGGGACGTCATGCGTGCCACACTGTTCTTGTCTATCAGAGAGAGATAATAATACCACTGCCTCTCAACGCTGGTGAGAAGTGTGAAGGAAGTAATGGAAGAAAACGTTTAGAACAATGTTAGCAAGTCTACAATAGATGTTTGATATAACGTTAATTTTAAAGGCTTATGATTACACATAAAAATGAACTTTATTTAAAAACACCCCTCTCTGTGACATAGTGTTCATGAGATAGTTCTGAAGTCCAAGGTGAGTTCCCACAGACTGCCCTGTCGGTCCCTCCAGCAATTTCAATCAAGTTTCCTCTTGAGGTGCACCCTCTTTATAAGTGAAATTGGATTTCTCTGAGTTATAATCTGCATTGTGACATCCCAATTAATTATAAACCAAATACTTTACTGTATTTCAAACAGAAATGACTATAGCTTTTTAAATGAGGTATGAATAATGCTAGTGTAAAATTTCAGTTTGCCTTTTTTAAAATTGTAAAATACTGTCCATGTTTTATACTCCTGAGTCCTGCATCCCCAAAACATTAACAGAGGGATCAATTTTTACGTGAGGTAAAGAAAGTTATATGCTTATATATCTGGAAAAATATTGTACAGTCTGAAAATCAAGGAGAGAACAGCTAAGTTTGAAGCAGAATTAGTTCAACTCCAGAGCTGCTCCCATCCCTTTCCACAGACACATTCTTGTCAGGTAATGCACCCTACACCCCGTCAGTGGTCAGTGTAATGCTCCTGGGAACTGCTCAGCTCTTCAGTAGGCCATGAAGTCCCCAGAGGGCACCTGACCCACCACATTTTTCTCTCTCACCAAGTCATGCCATGCTGTCTCCCCACTGACTGGGGCCAGCCAGCAACCAGGGTCCTTCTCCTGGGGATATGGCTCAGCAGACAGCAGGATGTCCCTGCTGAGAATATTCATATTTTTCTCCCTCTGCAGCGGTGAGTTGCTCCTCAATTATTTCAACATAGATGAGAGATGAAAGTGATTCTTTTTTTCTTTTATTTTAAGACAGTCTCGTTCTTTCACCCAGGCTGGAGTGCAGTGGTGTGATCTCAGCTCACTTCAACCTCTGCCTCCTGGGTTCAAGCAATTCTCTCTTGTGCTTCAGCCTCCAAAGTAGCTAAGATTACAGGCATGCGCCACTGTGCCTAGCTTATTTTTTTATTTTTAGTAGAGGCAGGGTTTTGCCATGTTGGTCAGGCTGGTCTCGATCTCCTGGCCTCATGTGATCTGCCCTCCTTGGCCTCCCAAAGTACTGTGATTACAGTCATGAGCCACCACACCTGGCCAGATGAAAGTGTTTCATTATCATTTCCTCTTTCTATGTCCCAGGTTCATGGGGATTTCTCTTTTTTGTTTGCAGTTGAACTTGGTAAGTTAAATTTAAAGCAATAAAAAATGTCAACTACATTTTTGTCAACAGAGCAACAGATAAAAGTGTCTAGGTATCTTGTGTGGTGTCCACTGAAGACTTTGTAAATATAGTTATACACTGGTACCAGCAGAAACTGAATCTAAATTATGAGCCATCTGACAAATATCACTTCAATAACAAGCCCCAGTTCGAGTTTGCTTAGGTGAGAAAAACAAGAAACTTGAGGCAAGAACAAATTTTCAAATGTCTACTTCAGTCTTTACCATAAACTTCATAGGAAAGGAAGATGAGGCCATTTACTACTGCACTGCTTAGGACCCACAGCATCAGTGCCACACTGTCCCACACAACAACCTCTGTTGGGTCTCTGCCCAACCACATCCTTCCCATGGGAGCAAACTCTATGGACTCCTAGCTGGGCTCCCACCCTCAGCCTTGCCTTCTCTGCGGCACTTCTGGATCTTTCTGGGAAGCCATCTTGGGTTAATGCTTTAAGCAGGAAGCATGCCTGATCATGACGTTCCCAGATATTCATTGAACACTACTTCCTAATGAATTAAGGTTTGGCCTGGGAATGAGTGGACACAGGCTAAGGTCCCATTCCTGTCAGCATCCAGATAATTCTATTAACTGCAAACGGCTTAGGCCAAGGGAGAGAATCGTTGTGTATAGGAATCCCATATATAATTATTTCAACACCTCTGCAACAGAACTATTATTTGCCCATTTTAATAAAGAAATTAAAGCTTACAAGTTCAAAATGACTGGTCGAAGTTGAGAAGTGCATGTTTTTTGTTTTTTAAAACTGGATCATGAGGCCACCTTGAATATCTAAAAGTCACAGTTGTACAACAGACTCTTTGAGGTGACTTTGGGGTGGAGCAAGTGTCTTTTTTCTGTAGAGAAGAAGATGGTTCCTCACTTCACACTAAGGGGTGTGACAGTGTGATATCATCAGAAAAGAGCCCCAGGCATCGGACTGTTAAATGAGCCATACTTTGCATTTATTAACTCCTTTAACCTCTGGCAACCTCTGAGGTCTGTTCTGTTATGAACAGAAGTGCATTTTACTCAGGTAAGTGAGATCTATTTGTCCTAGCCACTCATCCAGGTCACACAGCTGGTTCATGGCAGTGTAGGATTGGACCCAGCTAGTCTGGCTCCAGAGTCTGTACTCCTCAGTCACAGAAGGGTAAAGAGAAGTACATTGTTCCTACTCCCATGGAGAAGACAATACTGACAACTTCTGTAAAACATTTACTGGCACAATTATTATTTTGAACTGAATCAGGTGACCAGAATTTGAGCAATTAGGAATCCTTGTTGAATAAGTGAAATACCAATAAATTATCCATTTTTTCAAAATATAAAGTGATACAAATTCGATTATTTTATGATGCCATCTCTAAAATAATTGAGAAAGAAATGAAGAATACCTTTAATCCATGTACTTTTCCTATAGCAGTACATACTAGGCACCCCCATGGAAAAATATAGATACCACCTTGCATTCGTGCCACGTGTTGTCTTACTTATTCGATAATTTCCAAGGTCAGGACAACATATTCATCCTCATCATCCCCTTTTCCAAGGAGCCAGGAAGGCTACTGAAGGAAATAAAGGGGGTTCCAGGAAAGGCTGACCTGGGGCTGGAATCAGACAATCCGTCATCCTTTATCCTCCCACCCCGATGCACTCAGCCTTTTGTGATCCACATCCTGTCTGTGTAATTCCTGACCATCATATTCCCTCAGGGTGGGCCACACTTGGTTTCTTGAACCTATATGGGCCTTTACTTGTTAACTTTAATATTAGCTAAAGTAGACAGTAAGATCTGAGGAAAAACACAGCGAATCTGAGAGGATAAGCTGTTTTCAGACAGGGATGCATAGACAGGCTTGCGGAAATACTTGTGTCACCCTCTTCTCGTGGTTGTCTCATCTACTACTCAAAACAGCCTCAGAGAGCAGCAATGAGGTATCCACTGCCAGATCCCTGTGTCCAGATCATAGAGCAGAGCTCTCCTGCAGCCTTTCAGGCATCAGACTAAATGGTGAGAAACAGAGAAAGAGATACTAGATTCATAGTGCATTCAAATGACAGAATACTATGCAGCCTGTGAAAATGATATTGTATGCATTTATTAATAAAATTCAAACATCTTCACAATACAATGTAAAGAAAAGTTCTTGAAGTGTACAAAACCTCTTAAAAATATAAATGTCTGTGTTGATAGAATAATTTTTTAAAAACAGAAAGAAATTATCCAAAATTTTAGAATAATTATTCCCGAGGGAATAATTATTTAAATTATTCTATGTACTTTTACTAATTTTTATATATTTTCTTAAGTGAGATACTAAGGCTTTGTTGTAAGATATACTTAACAAAGTAATTTTCTCTTGTTTGGTAGTAATACTAAGACACGATAACGTCATTAAGGACTCATGCTGTGCCAGGTACTGATATCTGAGTATTTTATGCATTACCATTGTGTAACACGATAATATAAGCCCCTTAGTACCTCTAGAAGATATATATGTAGGCAAGGTACACATGTAGAAACTGAGGCCCAAGAGCTTAAATAACTCAGCCCACATTCTATAGGGTTAAGTGGTATAGGAGTGTTTAATTGTATTCGGTCACTAAAAATAATGTGCACATAGACTCAAGACCTGCAGTATTGCTCATGATAATAAAGTAACCAAAATAAGAGAGTATAAAGCCAAATATGTAAATCCCACCGAAATATATACATATATCATATGTATAAATAATACCAAGCCATTCTATTTCTTTTTTAAAAATTTTTAACTTTTAAGTTCTGAGGTACATGTGCAGGATGTGCATGTTTGTTACATAGGTAAACGTGTGCTGTGTGGTTTGTTGCACCTATCAACCCATCACCTAGGTACTGAGCCCAGCATGCATTAGCTATTTTTCCTAATGCTATCCTTCCCCACACCCTGCCCGCCAATAGGCCCCAGTGTGTGTTGTTTCTCTCCCTGTGTCCATGTGTTCTCATCATTAAGCTCCCACTTATAAATGCGGACATGCAGTGTTTGGCTTTCTGTTCCTGCATTAGTTTGCTGAGGATAATGGCTTTCAGCTCATCCGTTTTCCTGTGAAGGACATGATCTCCTTCCATTTTATGGCTGCATAGTACTCCATGGTATATATGTACCATAATTTCTTTATCCAATCTATCATTGATGGGCATTTGGGTTAATACCATGTCTTTGCTACCGTGAATAGTGCTGCAATGAACAATACCAAGCTATTCTATTTCCAACCATAAATATGTTGAGAAAAATTCAAAGGAAAAGTAAATGATGGGTGCCTTTTGTTGTCAATTTTTATATCTCATTTTACTCAGATTTTCCTTAACGGATGACTGCTACTCACCTGAGTTCTTATGTTTACCAGCTCTGTGTTTTTGAATGAGTCACTCAAACTCTGTTTGCCGTTGTCCTCATTTGACACATGGAGATAATCATAAAACTTACTGCACAGGACTGTTGAGAGGATCAAGTAAAATAATATAAGAAAACATCTAGACAAGTAGCAAGTTGTAAATGGATATTAGATGCTTGTCAAGTTTCTTACTGCAGTTCTGAATTAACAGCTAATTACAGAAAGATAGTCATTGGGACAGAACACTGCAGGTTTATCTTCACATTTTCAAAGCCATATTTCTGCAATATGGTACTGCTGGGGAATGGGAGAGTGGGCAAGAGAACATCCCTGCCCCACCCCTAGAGGTACACATTCATACTAGGTATTTCTTTCCAGATAGTTAACCCACTTACCCGATCTGCCCAGCACTCATGGGATGCAGGAAACCCTGGAACTGCTCATAACTGTAGCAGCTCATGAAGAACCCTAAGGAACCACCTCATCTAGTACTTCTGAGAGACCTCAACAGCCCCGCCTTCTGCCACTGACTTGAGACCTCCAGTGAACAGGGTTACCTTCTCCCTGGGGAACCAGACTGGCAGAAAGCATGCCACTGGTAGTAGCTGTTATCTTCTTCTCCCTCTGGGTTTGTGAGTTGCCCCCTAATCATTTCAGTCTACAGAAGAGATTGAAGTCATTCTGTATTATTACCTCTTCACGTATCGTTGGCTTATGGGAATTTCTCTTCACTTGCAATTGCACTTGGGCAGTTGGAACAACCTGAAATATCTATTTCCAGACCAGCAAATAAGAGTGCCCACATATCTTGGAAGGCATCCATCCAAGGCTTTAGCAGTAAAATCATACACTGGTACTGGCAGAAACCAAACAAAGGCTTAGAATATTTATTACATGTCTTCTTGACAATCTCTGCTCAAGATTGCTCAGGTGGGAAGACTAAGAAACTTGAGGTAAGTAAAAATGCTCACACTTCCACTTCCACTTTGAAAATAAAGTTCTTAGAGAAAGAAGATGAGGTGGTGTACCACTGTGCCTGCTGGATTAGGCACCACAGTGTTAGAGTTGTCAAGATAACCTACACAGAAACTATCTCCGAGTCTGTGCCTGTCCACATCCTTCTCCATGTGGGCAACCACAGCGGTTTGCTCAGCTGGGTGCCCAGCCGGAGCCTGCCCTCCCTGCAGCTCTTCTGGAATGTTGCAGGAAGACATCTTAGATTCTGCTCCCTTGGTGTGCAGAATCACATTGGTGATTCATGGTGTCCAAACGGGAAAAGTTTTCTTGTTCCCTCTCAGGGCGTGCGATAAGGATGTGGCTCCCTTCTTGGTGCCCCTCTCCTCAAACCTCTAGGGGGAGCATGCACACGTGCAGGTTGTGGGGCTCCGACCCCACAGCAGTGTCTAGGGGTGAATGCTTATAACTCCTGAGGCCCCAGTGGGCCTGTGTTACAAGGTGTCCTTTTAGTTTGGCTGTCCATAGGTGACTTGCTTTAGCCAGCTCAATTAGACCCCCTGCCTTATTGCAAGGACGGAGGGCTTTCTGTATCCCTGGGTTTCTTGCCTTGGTGTACTGAAAGAATTGGATAACATGTGGGCTTGGAGAATGAGTGCAAGTTTTTTATTTTTGTTTTTGTTTTGAGACGGAGTCTCGCTTTGTCGCCTGGGCTGGAGTGCAGTGGCGCAATCTCGGCTCACGCAAGCTCCGCCTCCCGGGTTCACGCCATTCTCCTGGGCAGTCTCCCGAGTAGCTGGGACTACAGGCGCCCCCCACCATGCCTGGCTAATTTTTTGTATTTTTAGTAGAGACGGGGTTTCACCGTGTTAGCCAGGATTGTCTCGAACTCCTGACCTCGTGATCTGCCCACCTCGGCCTCCCAAAGTGCTGGGATTACAGGTGTGAGCCACCGCGCCTGGCCGAGTGCAAGGTTTTATTGAGTGGAAGTAGCTCTTAGCAGATGGGGGAGCCAGACGGGAGATGGAGTGGGAAGGTGGTTTTCCCCTGGAGTTGACTGCTCAGCGGCCAGGCTTTCCTCCAACCACCCCGCCAAACTCTGCTTTGTTCTGCCAGTCGATGGCCTGCAGCCCGCCAGTCTCGCCAAACTCTGCTTTGTTCTGCCAGTCGATGGCCTGCAGCCCGCCAGTCTCTGTAGGTGTGCTTTTCCACATTAGTGTTCCTCTCGATGTCCAGCCACTTGTGTGTGTGCCCACTAGGGTCTCAGGGGTTTTATAGGCACAAGATGGAGGCGTGGCGGGCCAGGGTGGTCTTGGGAAATGCAACATTTGGGCGTGGAGGCAGGAGTGCCTGTCCTCACCTAGGTCCGTGGGCACAGGCCTGGGAGTGGGGCCCTCGACAGGGACCACGTCCTTCCTTTCCCTGCACTTCCCTCCCCCAATCCCATATCAGTGTCAGCAATTAGGATCCAAATTAGGGACATTTTGACACTATTTCCTACAACATTAGGATATCTGGGAACTCTGAAAATACAGAGTGGGTGGCTTAGAGCAAAATTCATCTGTCTAGTAATTCGCTACGTAGAGATTTCTAGTAACTGGTTCAGAATGAAAGTAGGAAGCAGTATATATTTTACATAGATATTCCCTGCTGTTATCATTATTTTCCCATTTGGTTCATGAGCATTGGAGGTTTTCAAAGTTAGAGTGA
The DNA here is from genome assembly GCF_000001405.40 of Homo sapiens. NCBI lineage: Eukaryota > Metazoa > Chordata > Mammalia > Primates > Hominidae > Homo > Homo sapiens. The sequence goes on along the minus strand of NC_000007.14, from coordinate 38,290,003 downwards.
TCTGTCAAACATAGTAACTGTGTGCTTTTTATTCGCACCTGAGGCCATCCTGAAGAAATCTAGGGACAAGTAAGTAGATCTGTAAGTAAACAATCACCTGTTTGGGGTATATGAGAGATGAAAGTATAAATCCTGTGTCCTAGAGGAAGAGCATGCAGCTCACTTCACACTCAGGGCTCAGTGCTGGGACAAAACAAGCACTGTGCAGTGGAACCCAGCTCCTAGGCACAGTGGGGGATCTCAGGATGGGGGCTATGCTTTGGAGATCTTGTCTTTCAGGGTTCTGCAAAGAAAACTAAAAATCCTGAGTAAAATAGGATTAGATAGTTAAGAAGAAAGATAATACATGCTTCCTGCATCGGTAAAGGAAATAACCATAATAATACCCCTCAGAAATTAATAAATAAGAAATAATGATTGACAATTATTTTATGTTTATTCCATGATTAATCATTGGGTGGTTGGGAACTTTCAAAAAATAATGAAACAAAATATAAAACTGTAAAACTGTAAAAGTCCTCTCTCACTTCTTTGAAACTTTCAAACAACAAATTAATGATGAAAAATCCGGAGTTTCAAAGATTTTCTCCTATTTATACCTTTAGTACTATGGATATCTGACAGCATATTGCCATACATGCAGTCTACTTACAGTCCTTGAAGTAATTGCAACGTATTTTTTCTCCATTCTCCCTTCTGAGAATCAGCTTGTACCATCCTGATAGGATAAGAGGAGAAATGCTATTGAAAGCCCAATGAGGGAATACCAGGAGCCTCCATGGCAGGTCAGCCCCTTTCCAGGTGCAGACTCAGAATCTGGAGTCCCGCATCCTGTCCGCCATGATTCCTGACCATGGTGGTCCACAGGGAGAATGACCTGAGCGCCTGAGTGAGTCCTCAACAGACCTCACCTCTCACCTGATGCATACATAAAAGCAAAGGGAAGAAGATTGTTAAGGAAATACAGAGCCTGAGAACATGAACTTTTCAAGAAATAGGTGAATGAAAAGATGGAATTCAGCTTTTCACAATGTCAGTGTTAAGTATTTTACATGGATTATTTTATTTAATCCTCAAAAGAGCAGTGTAGAGTGACTGTAGTGGCCACACAAGGTCAGGTCTTAGAAGATGCAGTCACTTTGACTTTTTAAGAGACTCCTGGGAGATTTATGGGGAAGAAAACTTAGAGACACACTAGAGTGAGGAAGAGGAAGGAAAGAGACACCGTATCTGTGTGAATTTAAAGTAATGAAATACTATGTAGCAATTAAGCAGTGTTTTTGAAGAACTATAAGTAAAATTGAAAATATTCACCATGTATTTAGCAGGAGGATATTGAACACAGAACTGATTTAAATAGTAAGCTCTCATGTACATACATGTATATATTGAAGAACGAGCAAAAGGAAAAAAATTCTCCAAAGTTTAAAGAGTGGGTGTCTCTGAAAGGATGGGTGATTTTAACATCTTCTTGGTACTTGCACAGATTTTACACATTGTAACAAAAAGCTGCTACTACTTTTAAAGATGTATGCCATAATGGCTTCAATATTTTATTGATTCATGCATTTAATAATGAAACTGTTTATATAACAACATAAAATATAACTATATATGGCACACTTAAAATTATTTTTATGTTTTTCCACTTAATCATATCACTACTCTATAGCTCTCAGAAAAAAAAAAACAAAAATACCAACCTTCATGTTAATACTGGTTACTATTGAGCAGAAGGTCAGCAAACTATGTCTATGACCAGCAGTCTCCAGTTTTGTAAATAAAGTTTTATTGAAATACAACCATGCCTATTTATTTATATATTGTTTATGGCTGCTTTTGCTAGCTGCTTTTGCACTTGAATGGTAGAGTACATTCAGTCAGTCTTCACTATCTGTGCATTAAATACCTGCGAATTCAACCAACAGTGGATCAAAAATATTTGAAAAAAATAAAAAATTACAATACAGCAATAAAAATAATACAAATAAAAACAATATAATATAGCAACTACATACATAGTATTTACATTGTATTAGGTATTATACATAATTAGAGATGATTTGAAGTGTAGAGGAGGATGTGCATTTGTTATATGCAGGTACTATGCCATTTTATATCAGGGACTTGAGCATACATGGATTTTGGTATCTGTCGGGGATCCTGGAACAAATCCCCTGAAGATTCTGAGAGATGACTGTAGCTATAACAGAGACCCACAAAGCCCAAAATATTTATTATTTGGGTCTTTACAGAAAATGATTTTCAGTCACTGTCCTAGAGTGATAGACTCATGAGTGACATTTATTCATATTTAGTGTTTCCCAATTTCTCAATTTTTCTTTAATGACCCTTTGTTACACATCCACCCTCCCCATATTAGCTGTGTGACTTCAGATAAATTAGTTAGCATATATTTGATTCATTTTCCTAATTGTAAAATGGAGAACATAATAATGATTACTCAAATAAACTGTTGAGAAAAGTAACTTAAATAATACAAATAAAGTTCTTGCAAGTGCTTGGGGCATGCCTAATGCTCAACAAATTGAAGCACTACATTAATCATATGAGTTATTATTGCATATTAGAAAATAAAATTATTTAGACTAATACTCTAAGTCCTTGGTACTCAAAGTTTGATTTGTGAACCAGCAGCATTGGCTTCACTTAGGAGCTTCTTTTAAATCCAGTCAGTCAAGCCTCAGCCCAGGCCTACTGCGTCAGAAGCTCTTTTCAGAAGGTCCCTCCTACATACTATGGTGTGGGGAGTGGGAGTCTAAGGGCCAAACTGTTCAAGATATAAGCTCCACAGTCTGGTACAAGTGCAAGCCAATCCCATTTCCATAGGATGGTTGTGTCTAGTGTCCTCTCTAATTTCTGGAGAGCAATATTGAACTGATATTTGGCCTCTCTGGGGCTGAAATAGATGGCATCCTCCCAATTAATTAAACAAATATACTCAATTGTCCACGTATATGTACTTTTATTTTCATTTATAAAATTTGTTATAAAATCAGCACAAATTTTCAGTATTTTATATAGTGAGAAATACAGGTGTTTTATAACCTTGAGTTTTAGATCCACATTCAACCCACAGGAAGAGTAATTTTTGCTTTGAGTACAAAATACATATCACTGTATCCTCATATCCACATATCACATATCCTCATATCACTAGGGCTACTGAAAAACGAAATAGGAGGCAACAGGGAAGGGGAGAGAAATTGAAGTTAATTGCCACTGTCACCACTCACCCACACCTCACCCTTCATAGGAAGAGTTCTCCTCTAACCATCACCATATTGCCAGATCTCCTGGGCACTGGAGTATTTAGAGGGCCAGCCATTTCAGATCTGACAACGCTGCACTCTACAGAAAGGGTTGTCAGGGAATCACTGTGACCCACTACTTCTTTCCCTGACACCTGCTCAGACCAAGCTACCCTTGCCACACACTAAACATTCTAGGCACAGGCATCCTCACTTTCCTGCTTCTTCTTGGGAACACAGCCTGGCAGACCAGAGCATGTCAGCACCAGGAGCATGTAGGGATTCACCTTGGGGTTTGCTCCAGTCATTTCACTTTGTATATCAGGTGAAGAAATTCTTTATCACTTCATCTTTACATATCAGGTGTTCATGAGAATTAATTTTCTTTGCTTACAGTTATTCTCAGGGCGTTAAAGTTGGCACAAATTTAAAATACCCAGGGCAAAAGATAAGGATGCTTTTATACCTTGTAAAATATCCAGCCAAGACTAAAAATGAAGTCAAATACTGGTGTCAGCTGAAACCTAAGTCGGCATTGGATGTGTGTTGACAATCGCACCTGCTCAGGGTCCATTAGGTGTTGTGGCTTACAATGATGCTCATCCTTCCACTTCAACCTTGAAAGTAAATTTCACAAACATGAAGATGAGGTCATTTACTGCTGTGATTATTGAGCCCACTGGGCATCAAGCACACACTTCCCTGCCTTCTCCTTGGGACACAGCAGGATGTCGTTGCTGGAAGCATCATCTTTTCCTCTCTCTGGACTCTTACGGGTTCCCCATCATTTTGACTCTTGAGGAGAGAGCAAGTAAATTATTTAATGGTGCATCTTTATACCTCAGGTCTTCATATGGATTTCTCTTCTTTGCTTACAGCTTGTTTTGGATACAAGAAATTGGAGCAACCTGAAATATTAATTTCCAGAGAAAAATATTAAAAGTCCAAATACTATCTGGGGTGGTATCTAGCCGCTTATACTGGCTGAGACATAACTTGATGCATTTTCCTCAACAACATGACCCTCTCAATTCACTTAGGGGCTGTAGCTGAAAATGATGTTCCTAGATCTGTTTTGACCTACAAGATAAATTCTCAGGAAAAAGGAAATGGAGATAGTTATGTGCTTGCTGGAATCACAGATGAGAGATGTCAGGACACCCGCACAGAATCCCTCTTTAGGTCTGTGTGTACCAGCCCCCTTCCAACAGGAGCATAGGCTTAGCAGGGTTGTCAGGGTTGGACTGCACCTCCCAGGACTTCCCCTTCAACCTCTGGAAACTTGATTATGTTCACACATTAGGACATACAGAAATCAGTGTACTCTGTGCTCAAGGTCCAGGGATTACCTGAAAGTTTATATGATCCAGACTCAAAGAGGGAATCACTGAGTGGCAGGAAACGTGCTGGGTATCTTACACATCTTATATAACCATTGCAATACTTTCGCAATGTCATCTTCATTTTTTTCCACTTTAATATGAAATAATTTGAAAGATAAAATACCTTCTTAAACCCCAAATGCCCATGTTTCCTCAGCTGTGTCCTGTGACCTTGAAGAAGTTAGCATTCATTTGCTCCACTCATGTTGGGGGTGAGTGTGAAATGAAGCTCCTGCCCTCTCCTCAGGCTCATTCCACTCTGAGGGATCCTCCTACAGTCCAGCCAGCACACTTCCTTTGCACAGGTCTCAGATCCTCCTAGGGAAGGGAGGGGGCATTAGATGATCCACCGACAAGGTGGATCCCCACCAGGATGGATCCTCTTCCCGGCTTCTGCCTGTGATTGCAGCAGCCGTTTATTCAGGGTACTCTGCTCCCTCTTGGGCACTGCTCTAAATCCTTTACATGTAACTCATCTCATCCTTGGGACATCTTTTCACATTGGTCTGTTGTGATTCTCATCTTACGGGGGAGGAAACAGAGGCAGAGCGATGTGATTTACTTTGTGGTCAGAGTTCTTAACTGGGGGGGGGGAGGGGCTGGGGTTCTGGCTTCAGCGTCTGTCCTCGTAACCACGCTGTGTCCTGACTCTGAGAGAGGAGGTAAAAATAGCATCTAATATGTGGTCTCTACGGCTAGAAAGAAAACTGATAGGAAATTAAACTAGACATTTTAGTGAAATTATAAAGGCTGAATGCAGACTAGTGGGAGAGTGTGAGCCGCTGGGGGCCAAAATTTTAGGGAATTTCCCACCATCTTTTAGACTTTTTCTCCAGGAACCCTATGCAGGCTCTTGCAGGGAAGAGCATGGAGAATCCAGAGAAAGCTCCCCTTTTTGGTACTGGCTTAGAAGGGGAACAGTAGCCACTGTCTAAATTCACCCAGACCTACCCCACCTCTTCTCCACTGTAGAAGGACTTAATCTGCAAGAGAAGGTTTCTATGGAATTTCATTTTAGTTGAGGGAGGGAAAAGGAAGCCACCATCAACTCTGCCCAATACTTTATCCCTATCTCCACAGAGTAATGAGTTTTAATGTGCAGAAGGGTGGGTGTCAAAATCATAGCCCAAGGACACTGGTGGGTGCCTCCTATGACTGGAAATGTGCCACCTCTGGAATAAGAGCAGCAACAGTTGTGAAGTTACATTCTCAAGTCCCGGTTTGACCCTGCCTGTTTAAGACAGAAGCTGAATGAAAATAGCAGAGAATGGCTCCCTTCCTCACCTCACCACCATACTACCTTGAGCAAAAGCAACAGTAGAATGCAGTGAAGAGAGCTTCAAAAGACAGACTGTCTCTGGGGAGCAGAACAAAGGGATGGCTCAAAGCCAAGAACAAGGGATGATTAGAGAAATCTAAAGTCTCTAATGTCCTATGAAGAACAAACTCCAATCCAGACAACTTAGTAGCAACAACAAACTTCTAACCCAGTCTAACTCCTAACTAGATTAACACAAACTCCCACACTAAAGGTCTGGCAGAAAGAAAGATGCAGGCATTTTTTTTTTCTTTTTTCTTTTTTCTTTTTTTTTTTTTTTTTGAGGCGGAGTCTTGCTCTGTCACCCAGGCTAGAGTGCAGTGGCTGATCTCAGCTCACTGCAACCTCTACCTCCCGGGTTCGAGTGATTTACCTGCCTCAGCCTCCCGAGTAGCTGGGACTATAGGCATGCGTCACCATGCCTGGCTAATCTTTCTATTTTTAGTAGAGACGGGGTTTTTACCATATTGGCCAGGATGGTCTCAATCTCTTGACCTCGTGATCTGCCCACCTTGGCCTCCCAAAGTGCTGGGATTACAGGCATGAACCAGCGTGCCTGGCCAATGTAGGCATTTTTAAGCATCAAATATAGTTATCTCAGTATCTACTGTGTTATACAACATCGTCCCCTTTCAATAAAAAAATCTAAGTACCTTACCCCAAAACAAGAAGGAACACAGTCTTGAAGCCACAAAGCAATCATACGCATCGGACTCTGATATGACTCAGATGTTTGAGCTGTCAGGCAGGGAGTTTAAAATAACTGATGAGTATGTTAAAGGCTCTAATGGAAAAGGTAGACAACATGCAAGGTCAGACAGAGAATTTCAGCAAAGAGACAGCAATTACATAAAAAAATTCAAATGAAAATGCAAGACATAAAAAAAAAACACAGTAACAGAAATCAAGAATGCCTTTGAAGGGCTCACCAGTAGACCCTATGGAGATAAGGAAAGATTTGGTTAACATAAAGATAGGCCACTAGATATGACCCAAACTGCAATGCAAGGAGATGAGAAAGAAAGAACAGGAGAGAAAGCATATCTTCATGGAAGAACAGAACTGTGGACAATATCATATTTTCAAACATATTTGTAACTAGAATCCCTGAAACAAAAGAGACAAAGAGCAGAACAAATATTTGAAAAAATAATGGCTGAGAGTATTCCAAATGTAGTGATAGATACCAAACCACAGAACAAAAAAGCTAGGAAAACACCAACCAGGATAAATATTAAAAACAGAACAAAATACCTAGACATATTAGATTTAAACTGTTGAAAACCAAAAATAAAGAGAAACTCTTGAAGGTAGCTAGAGGGAAAAAAGCAGATTTTCCATCTGAAACCACGCAAGCAAGAAGACATTGGAGTGAAATCTACAAAGTGTTAAATGAAAAAACTGTCACTTGGCATAAAGACAGCTTCAGACAAAATAAAAACTGAGAGAATTCATTGCCAGCAGTTGCACTTCACAAGAAATGTCTGAAGTTATTCAGGCAAAAAAAAAAAAAATGATATGGGTCAAAAACTTGAATTCACACAAGGAAATGATAAGAACTGGAAATAAAATAAATGAAGGTAAAACATAGTCCTTTAAACCTTAATTGCTCTAAAACAGGAGTTGGCAAACTATTTTTGCAAAGGACCCAATAGTAAATATATTCTACGTTGGTGGACAACATAGTCTCTGTTGTAACTACACAAATGGGCTATTGCAACACAAAAGTCCTTGCTACTCTTAAGTCTGGAGGGACATGGAACTGTTATAACAACCGGGAGGGTATCTGTATTGAAAGGGACACAGCCAACCGGTCTTAGTTTGAGTTCCCCCAGGAAGTGAGCCTCAGGCTTTGAGGACAGCTAGTTTGTTTGGGAGACACAGGAAGACTAGTAGGAGAGTGAGGAGATGATGTTAAGAAAAGGAAGGCAGATAATTAAATTACTTTCATTAATTAGATACTAAATGAGCAACAGGAACCTCATAGAAGTTCAAAACCTAACAGATCAATTAAATCATAATTTCTTGTTTTTCTGTTCCTTTAATTCGTGGGACTGGCCATGTAAAATAAATAAAATCTGCAGACCCCTATGTGATCTGATGGTTAGTGTGGTAGTGAACCAGGGAATCTTGCTAAGTGTCAGAACGTGATAAGAAAGTAACCACAGAGCAGAAAAATATTCCTGGTGTTACCTTAAGTTATAAAGACAGAGCTTAAAATCGAGCACACATATTATATCTATGTGAAGCAAATGAAAAAGATGAGCAGATATTAGCCTGTAAGGGAATACACCAAACTGTTAATAGTAGTTGTCTCTGGTTGGTGGGGACAAAAAGTGACTGTTTTCTCTGCATTTCTTTCTGACCCATCTACCCATGTTGTCTTCCCATAGCTATTTACTGCCCTTTGTTTCTACAGCTTCCTAACTGTTCTGAAATCCCTTACTAATCAGAGCAGTTTCCCTGGTATGCCCATCACACATATGGGCATGTGGGACATAGAGATTAGCTTTTTTTCTGACTAGATTAGTAAATTCTTATAATAGAAGGACCTGCTGAACCAAGGCTGGAATTTCCTACTCTTCACTCTGAAAGCTGGAACCAATCCCAAGGGGCTGGCCACACACTTGGTTCAAATTGGGTAGTCCTGGCCTGCTTTCTGCCTTCTTAGAGTGACCTAGGACTTGTTCATGTCCAAGGCCTTACCAGCCACACCTAGAAAATAGCAAGAACAATAGTAGCAACCATATCTATACCATTACATTTAGCTCAGTACCTCTCTTTTTGGATGTCTGACAAGTAGCCAAAAAAATTATTGATTCCAATTCCACTCCCTTCCCCCAATCTCCAAGCATGTATTATTTTCCTCCCCAGACTTTCCTATTGCAGTAAATGGCAACAGTATATTGTATCATCTGATGGAATGGCAAGGGTGTTTTCTCAAGCAGATAGTGTTTTGTTGACTTCTGTGTTTTTTGTTTCTCCTAGTAATGAGAGAAGAGTGCAGAGACCCAACTATTACTGAGTTTCCTGTGATATGAGATCTGAAGGGAGTTTACAGGAGCTCTTGAAGCTATGGTTTCACCTGCGAGAAAGACACCCACAAACCAGGCCCAACCCTGTGTGGTCCAATCTGAGACTGGAGTAGGCTGTCTCAACAGAGCCCCTGACCGAAACACTACAGACCCAATGCAGGGAAGACCCAGTCTTCTCTCTAACTTACTGCAGGTTTAGAAACTCTTTGTGTTCCCCCTGACATGTGCAGGGCAATAGGCCAGCCATGACGGCAATGATTGTCATTCTGAAGTGCATGGCCCAAATGGCCCCATGGATGTATAATCTCCTGGTGTCACTGAAAGACAAATAAAAAGAAAGTAAATTGTGAGATATAATTTGATATTCAGATTCAACTAGCCCCGCTCCTCACAGATTATTTTGCTAGGTGTTGTCACTGACTACTCAATGCTTTTTAGAATATGCAAATCAACCATTTCATCTGCTTTTTATTTCGTTTAATATGTTCTGTGATTCCTAGAAAGCAATACCCAGCATCCTCTATATGGCCATTTGAGATACAGATTCTCTATATTATACAGACCTAGACTATACTTGGGAACTGCGTTCCTTCCACACATATCTCTCCAACTGTGAAGTAATTGATGAACAGGGTTTGGGATCTGGAAAACTTGAACTGAAATCCTGGCTCAGTTTGAACTCCCTAATTCTGTTTCCTCACATGACTTTTAATGGTAATAACCATTTATAGGGTAAAGCAGAAAGAGATAAATGCATAGTTAGTGCCTGACTCATGGTAGACACTATATTTATGAGTTTTCTTCTCTTTCACTATCAGAAAGCACAGGCCCATGGATTGTCATCCTGCAGCAGGGGGAAGGTAAGTGAAAAGGAGATTTGGGGCTTAGAGTAGCATATCAATTTCTCAAGACATTTTTCCAGACACGAGTCTTTTATGCAAACATTTCTTGTTTGCCAAAAAGAAACAAGTGTTTCACCAGGCATGTTTGCCTGTGGGAGCAGTATCAGTTGAAAAGTATCTATAAATCTACAATATGCATAGTGGCATGTTAAGTACCCCAAGTGCAAAAGAAACCCTAAAAGACTAAATCTTCAGGTTAAGAATGAAGACAGGTGGCACAATTGCTAAAAGGGAGAATCTGATTGAAAGTGCAGTGACCCGGCCTCTCCCAAACACTGCCCTGGTGTTTTTAGAAACAAGTGAAGATCCACTGGACTATATTGTAACATATCTGATATTATCTAAGTGATGACATATGTGAAATCAAATTATGCTAATTTATGAAAGTTAGTGGTCCACAGATTGTCAGTATGTGATTTTTTTATCTCTTGTACATGTCAGATAATGTGTTTTTTTTTGCTTCAGAGGGTGGTCTCTCTCAGAAGTGTCTTAACTTACTGCTGTACCTGATTTAATTAAGATCCACTACAATTTCTGAAAGATAAACCAATGTGAAAAAAATGTGCAAATTATTATTTTGGTTCATGTTGGCAACCAAACCCTGAAATGAAATGTGAGATATATTTTCGTATCTTTTGATGGTCTAACAAATTTGGTTGAAGCTGTTCTCTATGAAAATTATTATCATCAGACTTGAAAAAGTGATGCAAAACTTCAAGCAATGCAGTATCAACTTGTGCTTTACCTCACTTGACTTACTTGTTATTTATATATTTGTTCATTCATAACCCATCTTCTTGGAAGCAGGATTTAAGTTGCCTCAGTTTGTTAACTCAAGACATGACAAATGTGGCGGGGAGGATGTATGTGTTCCAAAACACAGGGTTAGAGGCGAAACTGCTTATCTTTATACACATTCATTTGGGTTTCATTTTACGCCTTTAGTAAAACTGAACATCATGGTCTTCACATAGTTCTTTTTTTTTGTAAACTTAATAAAATATGTTATAATTCATTACTTACTTTTTACATTGTATTACTTAAATCTTTCATGGCTGTTGAAATGTAGACAGCTTCTAAGACTTCTGATACTTCCCCACATGGTTCTGGAATAAGGAAAAGCAGAGGACAAAGAGGGATTGAATGGGCATCATCCCATCTATGACAGGTGCAAAGGGTAATTGACAGTACGAAGTAACAATAACTTATTATTTTCAGATAAAAAGACACAGAAATAAGATCTTTCCATTCTACCTTATGAAGTGAAGTCTCTCTGTCTGAATTATTACATAAATGATAAGAGAAAATTAAACAGTTTTTAGCCCCTACTGTGTCCCATGCTCGATTATAAATATCGTACAAAAGTCCTGGGAAATAGGTCTAATTCTCTCCATTTAAAAGATGAGGAAACCCAGGCTCTGAGAAGTGTGTGTGCCCAAGGGCACATCACCAGGAGTGGAAGAACTGGAATCTGAACCTGGGTTTTCCAATTTTAAAGTGTCTTTTTCTTCATTCCCAACTTCCTGAGATAATAATTTATTTCATAAGAATCCTTTAAAAGCTCGAGTAAACTTGTTAATGTTTATTGCTGCAGCCACTCTGTCCATCTCCACCATCACTGCAACAATTCAGGTCCTGGTTGCCTCTTATTGGATTATGGCGACCACCTATAAAACCATCTGCTTCAGCCAAATTGCTGTCCTGGGGAGCGCCCCTTCCTTTCTGCTTGCACATCTATCTTTCTCCAGTGCAAATGTGATCATGTCACTTTCCTCTCTAAATTTTTTAGCAAGTCCTCATTGTCTATTCTTTCAAAAACATTTATTTGAAAATACTATAAAAATAGAAAATTTTCCACATGCTTACTTCCTAAAAATTAATGTGTTAAGTTTCTCCTACCCCATTTCCATCCCATGCCCCTTTACTCAATGGATACAATAAATCTCCAATATGTTCCTTCTGGCCACGTGTTGCTTTGTAATTTTAATTTTAATCTATTTGGACCCTGTGTTATCTGGGATGAGGTAGAGTGGTATTTTTATTTTCTAAGGTAATTATTTTCCTAATGCCCGTTTCCAAACAATCCATCATTTCCTTTCAATTTAAAAATGCTGCAGCGTGTTTTAAATATGCACACATATTTGACACATTTTCTGGAGAATTTCTGTTTTATTTGTCTGTTTCATTATTCTTACATCATTATCATATTATCTCAGTAGCTTTGTGATAAAAATTAAGATCTACTATGCCAAATGTCTATTCACTGTACCATTTTTCAGAAAATCTTTTTCAATCATCTCATATTTATTCACTCCTGTAGAATTTAAAATCAACTTATCTAGCCCAACATTAAACCTCACAGCCTAGAACAACAACAACATGTCGTAGTAATTCTGACTGGAATTGCTGGAAATTTATAGATGAATTTAGGATGTATTGGCCTCTTTATGATAGGAGCTTTTTATTCATCAATGTATGTTTCTCCATTTATTTAGGTTTTATTTTATGCCCTTAGGAAAACTAAACACTGTGTTCTTCATATCATTCTTGTATTTTTTTGGTAAATTTAATAAAAGATTTTATAATTCATTACTTTTCCACATTTTATTAGTTAAATCCTTCATGGCTCTTGAAATATTGACAGCTGCTAAGACTTCTGATGCTTCGCCTCATGGTCCTGAAATAAGGAAGGCCAGAGGACAAGAAGAGATTGAGCGGGCGTCATTCCATCTATCACAGGTGTAAAGGGTCATTGACAGCGCCACATAATAATTTTGAATTTTCTATTAAGAAGAAACCCTTTCCAAACATAATTTTCACCCAGCCCCATTGTCCTCTCCATTGAATTGGGGGCTGTGAGCTGCTGTGTATGGACAGGTACCCTCTGTGACCTCATTCATATCTTCCTGAATGAGGACTCAGGGGACTTAGGCTGGAGCAGGGTGGATCTGGAGTGGACATGGAGGTTGTCAAGGCTTGTCCTCCTCAGCCCTTGCAAGTGAACACCTCATCTGTACTCAGGAGATCACACAGCTGACCCCGGCTTAAGATGGCAGATTTTTCAACATATTAGATAACTGGATTTGTTTTTTTTGGTCATGCCTCAGTATAATTAAAGAATGTATTATTTCATGGGAGATAGAATTCTACAAATTTCTTCTATTATTCCAGGAGAAATAATAAGTCATTGCAGAACACATTTTTTCATTTGGCATTGCCTTGGTAAAGCATCATGTTGCCAAATGATAAAAGTGGCTTTTTGAAAGTGGAGACCGTTGTTCAAATTTCTCAAGTATATCTGCATTGACACATTTGCATTTTCAGTTACTAAAGAGCTTCCTCCTTTCAGAAGTATCTTCCCAAATTGCTAGCAGAGAGGCTCTGGTGTTTGTGGGAACAGAAGGGCTTTTCCTTTGATGTAATCTCAAAGCAGTTTCAACACAATTGAACCCCTGGAAAAAAAAAAGACAATTCTCTGAATACTTTTCCTGGTAATTTAGAAAAGCAGTGGGTTGACCCATTAAACCTGCTGTTTTCTCTTCCTGCTTTTTTTTTTCCATTTCCCTTTTCTGTTGGTGCTTTTCAAGAATTACTGCCTTAGAAGAAAACAGGCAATTTATGAGGAAAAATTACAAACTATCACATGTCACAAAACCTATATTCAAGGACTTCCAAAAAAGCCAGAAGATGAAATTGCTAGTTCAAAGTTGTTGGATTGCTAGTCGTGTCCCGAGGATCAGAAGGCTGAGATTTTTGTAGAAGCTTAGACCGGTGTGATACCACTGGTTGGTTCAAGATATTTGCTGAAGGGACTAAGCTCATAGTAACTTCACCTGGTAAGTAACTTTTCTTTCTGTTTTTATTCCAGTAATGAAAAACTGATAGATGATTTTTAGAAAAAAATGATCAACCTTATCTGAATATGTCACATTCCTGGCCTCAGTATACGAACAGCAATTTTGCAGATTAGCTGAATATGGAAACAAAACGATTTTGTACATGATATCTTCCCTTCCCTGTCTGTAAGCGGATTAAAATTCTACTTTAAGAATACACACACACACACACACACACACACACACACAAAAGATAGACTCTGGCAAGAAATTAAAATGTTTTGAGGCCCATGTCTATACACCATTAGTGTAAGTCCTTGGTCCAAGTTACTTTTTTGTTGGTCTTTTAAGTGAGAGACATAAAAATGGAGTTTTATTAATTACTTCTTCTCTGTATTTTGAGATATAACATAGTGCTCCCTTCTTCTGCTAGCCTGCCAAACCCATGTTATTGATTTTGATCTCATCCTGAGAAATAGTATAGAAAAAAATTACTTCTTATAGTAAATTACTATAGAAGGTCAATACATCCCACTTATTAGTGTTCTAGTTTCTTTGAGGGAGGCTGAAGTCAGTCAAAATTTATGCAATTGGGACTCTTGTTATATCACCTGGAAATGGCCCGGTTTAATAGAATTTGTAAGTTCAACCAGCCATGTCAGCTCCAAGGTCAATGAAAAGAGTCTTCATCATTTTACATCTTCATTTGTTCATTCATCCTCTCAGCAAATATTTATCAAAAACAGTTTTTGTTCTGGATGCTAGAGATAAAAGGGCAAAGAAGACACAGTCTCAACACTCAAAAGCTGCCAGTCTGGCAGATAAGTATTCTAGATTCTGGCTTGGTTGGGCCCTGTCCACGTTCTTTGGCCTGTGGCTGCCGGAGAAGCAGAAGGTCTTGGGTTCATGAGCTCATTTTCTTTCTTAATTTGTGTAGCAGTTATTGCTTATAAGATCTATGTATTGCGTTTGGTGGGAGGATTTGATAAAATGACCCAATATTGTCCTTTTAAGGAGAAAATTAATATTAGCAAAGTTTATTGAGAGCCAGACACCATGCTAAATAGTTTCAATGCTTTATCTCCTTCCTCATCAGACCTATGCAGGAGATCCTCTTAGTCCCATTTCACAGATGAGGAAACTGAGGCCTAGAGAAGCTCAGTTACTTTCTTAAAGTCACATGACTAGTCACTGTGGAAAAGTCTGGGATCTATCTAAGCTTGTCTACTCCAAAGTGCCTGGTCTGGACCCTTATGTGATATTTAGAAATATTAAGTCATATTTTTATACTTTGAATATTTCTTCTTCTGTAGCTTGACCCTATGAATGGACTCTTTAGTTGACTATTTTTCTAGTAACAACTCCCAATTTGTATTACTATTTGTGTATTAATACAATTCTTCTACTTCTAATTATGGCACTGAAATGACCTCTCTCCTCCAAAAAGTCATATGGGATATACATTTATTAAATACTCAAAATATAATTTTTAGGGTATTTCTGTAGAATGAGTCATTTTGACGTCATTCCACTCAGCTGTCTTTCTGTATTGGCATCAAATTTGCTAGATATGTTGAAACTGATGTAGGAGCTATCGCAGCTATGCTATATTGCAGTGCTAAGTCGCATAACTCAGAGCTGCCTCAGATTCTCTGTTGAGTAGCACACGATTTAATTTGATGAAACTGTATAGATATTTTCAAGTCAAAAGTAGCAGTCTTTCAGCAATGAATCATCATTAAGAATTCATATTTTCTAACAACTCATCAGTATTCTATCAGTGAGAACTGGATTCTAAAAAGAACTTACTTTATTTTTATTTTTTATTTTTTGAGATGGAGTCTCACTCTGTCGCCCAGCTGGAATGCAGTGGCATCATCTCTGCTCACTGCAACCTCCGCTTCCCAGTTTCAAGAGATTCTTCTGCTTCGGCCTCCTGAGTAGCTAGGATTACAGGCTCCTGCCACTACGCCCAACTAATGTTTTGGGTTTTTTTTGTATTTTTAGTAGAGATGGGGTTTCACCATGTTGACCAGGCTGGTTTTCAACTCCTGAGCTCAAGTGATCCGCTTGCCTCAGCCTCCCAAAGTGCTAGGATTACAGGGATGAGCCACTGTGCCTGGCCAAAAAGAAGTTATTTTAGAATCAATCTAGATACCCATCCCTCCATACATATGAATCCCAAAATACCTATAAATCATATTGAATATCTATTTATTAAATGTCAAACATAGGAATCCTATTATTGTCTCTCTTTGAAAATTAAGGAAATATTAACTCTAAATTACACTTAAGACAAAGTGTATACAAGAAAACTTTTTAGGGAAGATTTAGAAGATTCAGGCAAAATCATGAGAAAAGGTAAAATCAGACTCTCTAATGTATGGGATACAAGGAGAGAATGTACATAGCCCAAAGTGCCCAGGGCAAGGTGAGGTCAGTTCTTAAATTCCTGATTACATTCAGATCCAGTGTGATTTTGTTTGACCTTTGTCTTGACTTAACGTCAGCAGGGCCAATTTTTATGTATTTATGTAAATATTGAAAAAAATGTTGGCACAATTTTAAGACAAACACAAAGGGAGATTCTTATAAAGGCTTCTCAGGTGGTGGGCAAGAGTTGGGCAAAAAAATCAAGGTATTTGGTCCCGGAACAAAGCTTATCATTACAGGTAAGTTTTCTTTAAATTTTGCAATGTAAAGAAGGGATGGGAGGCTGGCAGGCAGGAGCTGGCTCAGAATTCTAGGATTCCCTCCTTGGTCACTAATCATGGTGAAATCTCCAGAGAGGTCAGGTGACTTGGTTCATGCCTTAGGAGTCAGAACTTTTCCTGCCCTAGCATGGGAGACATTACTAAGGAGCTTAGACCAACTGCAAATCTCTAAAGGATGGAGGCCTTATGTTGTTCCATTGGTATCTCTCTGTTGAAAGTTTTGTGAACAAGTTTAGTTTTGAGATTTTATTTCTTCAGTTCTAAAAATAACCAATGGAAAAAATTAAAAAAAAAAAAAGTAAAATCAGCTACCCTCCTTATTTGGTCACCAAAAGATGAAATATTTGATAATTTGACCAAAGAATGGTTAATATCAAATGTTAAAATATTTCTCGGTGTGACCATATTTAGAAGTAACATAAGCTGCATTTATTGTTATTTAAATTGGTCCAATGAGTTTGTTTATTATTTGTTAGCTTAAGTTTAAAGATGTAATTTTGCCTGGATGAGAGAAAACATCTCATAAAGATACTCTTAGTCTGTTAGATCCACTGAAATGAAAGTTTTCAGAGAATTTTCACAAAGTTGATAAAGCATCGGAAAAAATGAAAGCAGTTTTACATTTTTAATTCCTTAGTGGTTGAGATCTTATGATAAAATGAACTTATAAGTTAAAAAGTGACCTTCCGATTCTCTTTTATCCAATTGACTTAATGAGAATTGTAGCAATCAAATTCATAATTTGTAATTTTCTGAGAAGTGATTTTTCAGGAAAGTGCGGTGCAAGAAAAGGTATGGACTTTGTTTCTCGACTCCTGGAGCTAGCACTTTCTATGTAACTCCCTTTTAGGAAGTGTATTTTGATTTACCAGTTGTTCAAATTATAAAAATGCTGGTTCATTATAGAAAAATTGGAAAACACAAAAATAAACAAAAAATTATAATTTGATATTGACCCTCATCACATTATCATTTTGTTATATTTTTATTTAAACATTTTTCTCTGCTTTTTGTTTGTTTGTTTTACAAAGTTGGAATCATACTAGATACACAATAATAGATCTGGCTTTTTCACTTCACACTGCTTCATAAACATTCTTTTCAAATGTCCTTAATATTTTTCAATACCAGAACAAAGTTGAAACTTCTGTTTTCACGTTGATCTGTACAAAGAAGATAATGGAGATTATTTATCTAAAGTGGATGTTATAAAGATTAAATGAAATTAAATATGGAAATTACCTACCAGAATGCCTGGCACTTGGTAGGTGATAGAAATATTATTTCCTCTTCTAGAATTCAAGTTACTACCCACGAAAGGTCTTTATACACTCAGGAATACAGATAAATGTATCGACTCCCATCTATTCAGCAGCTCACTTCAGAACAAATATCACTATTTGTAAAATGCTTTCTATGTCTAAAAGACTAATTGTACCTGCTTCTAAAAGTAATTAGAATGTTTTACGTATTATCTCAAATATGATCTACCTGAATACAAGGTGATTTTTCATTTTCAAGAGAAAATTTATGTTTAAGAAAATATGTATTTTCCCCTCCCCCAACTCGAATATGTAAATTTATAGGGCTACAGGTAAAACAGTCAAATGTCTACCTATAACATTTAATTTCTTACCTGGTTCATACTTTCAAAGTTAAAAATTATATCAATATCAATATCAGTTGAGAAATATTGCCTTTTTTGCCCTTATATTTCATTAAAACTTTTGTTTTGATGCTT
Organism: Homo sapiens; assembly: GCF_000001405.40. Lineage (NCBI taxonomy): Eukaryota > Metazoa > Chordata > Mammalia > Primates > Hominidae > Homo > Homo sapiens. Next base: position 38,271,803 of record NC_000007.14, on the reverse strand, counting down.
CACATGCATGTAAAGCATCTATCTCAGAACAGCTTTCTAAGGCATCTCAGGTCAAAGCGTCCACTTTGGAATCCTCTTATGATGGTGTCTCTGAATATTTTATTCTAAGACACAATTATTCACTCACAAAATAAAAGGATATATTTTTTTCCAATTTATTCTGTTATTCTACAGTTGTATGAAGTAAAAACTACAGAGACATTACCCCAAGTAATAATGACCAAATCCGTGATAAATTTCTTTGCCTTTTTTTTTCCTTTTACCAGTGCTATTCCCCAAACTAGCATCATTGAGTTCATTTCATGTCGATATCTCCTCCAGTTAGTCCTTCTGGATCAAAGCAGAGTATTAGAAGAACATTTTTTAATATGAGAAGTTACACAAAGACTGTACCATACATAAGGCACCTCCCCATGTTGTGAGAGAAAATTTTGGGGAAAAAAAGCTTCATTTTAAGTTCTGGCACTTTCTATCTAAATTTAGTATGTAGGTGTCCCTATCACAGAGCTAGGATTTGCAAACATAGTCTCCATTCCTTGTGTCTTATTTGAGCTTGACCTTACAAAACCATCAACTCCTGGGGGCAAAGGAGAAACATGCTAAATGCACAAACTCTTTGTTATTTATTTAAGCTATCTCTTTCCAAAATCTATTTGAGAAGACCTAAATTAAAATATACAAGCACAGTCAGACCATTAAATATATACAGATGATCTAAAGCCCTAAGGAAAGGAGAAGGAAAAAGGCCTGTGATTACCTAGTGAGGAGCACAGTTTAAAATTTTATGCTCAAAAGAAGGAGAAAAAGGTAGGGGAATACATACATCTTACTAATTGATAAAAAGAAGCACACCAAATTTTCAAATATCATATTTTTTTCTATTACTAGATTGGAAAAAGACTTCAATGCATGAGTCCTTTAGAAGGAAATGGAAGAGTGGGCAGTGCCTTCAACTTCCATTTTGGAAAATGAAAGGAATGGTCATGAAAAACCCACTGCATATTACCACTGCATCAGTGCTATGGGCATCCTGACATTTAATGAAATGCGCAGATGGTGATGCTCAGCAGACATGGTCAGGCAGATAACATGTAGTGATCTAAAGTGACAACAGAGAGATGGATTTGAGGACCAGGCCTCTTGCCTTTTCTCTACCCATTCTGCCTTGAAGGGTAAAGCCAGGTGTTTCAAGCTGGACTTTGGCATGAACTAGACAGAAGTCAGTTTCAGGCTGAAGTTTCTGGTGAAACTTGGAAGGCAAATAAGTTGTGCTGCTGATTAGAAAAAGGCTCACTTGTTTTGAAAAACACAAGTGAAGAATTCCCATACACTGACTGCATATATTAGACTTTAGCCAATGTTCCCTTTGACTTTCTTAACACGGTAGGTAAGGCAAAGGATAACCTATTAAAGATTGGGCGTGTGAAAGCCATGTTTCTTGTGATGATGGGGACGATGGCTTTGAGAATCCCAGAGCAAAGTGGAATGCAAACAGAGGAACTGAGAAATTATTCCTCCTGCTTAATTGCTATGGATTTAACTGCCACTCCAAAATGCTGAATTTTTTTTAGTAAGGGCAATGCTTGGTCCTATAGGGTTAAAATGTCATGTCAAGGCACACAATCATAGCAAACAGATTGCTAATCATAACAATGACATCATCATCATCATAATCTCTTATATTTCCATAGCATTTATTTTTGAGGCAGGGTCTTCCCCTGTTGCCCAGGCAGGAGTGCAGTGGTGTGATCAATTCTCACTGCAGCCTCGAACTCCTAGGCTCAAGTGACCCTCCTGCCTCAGCTTCTCGAGTAGCTGGGCCTACAGTCGTGCACATCATGCTCAGCTAATGCTTTTTGTATTTTTAGTGAATATGGGGTCTCACTGTGTTGCCCAGGCTGGCCTCAAAATTCTGAGCTCAAGCAATCCTCCCACCTCAGCCTCCCAAAGTGCTGGAATTATAGGCACAAACCACTGCACTGGGACCTATAACATTTTAATCAAATTGCTTTTTTATATCTTGTTTCATTTTGGTCTCACTTCAGTGCTGGTAGCGATGTTGAACTGATTTTGAAACATCACTGTTTTTAGACAAATAAAACACCAAAAGCTTTAAGTTATTTGATTTGTGGAGCAACAGAACTTGTTATGAGCAAAATGAACCAGGACTGGAACCCTGGTCTTTTGAGAATCCCAGACCACCAGAATTTGAAGAACTCAGGGAAACTGAATTAGAGTTTTTGATATGGACTGAATCACTGTGGAATTATTATAAGAAACTCTTTGGCAGTGGAACAACACTTGTTGTCACAGGTAAGTATCGGAAGAATACAACATTTCCAAGGTAATAGAGGGAAAGCAGGAAATTATTAAACTGGAATAATGTAATAATGTTTAGAAAAAAGAGGAATTGGATGGGGATTTGATGTAGAAAACTTAGGAGAGACTTTAAAACAAACGCTCATACTAAAAGAGAACATAGATAACATTGCACAGATATCATAATAAGATTTGGCTTTGTGCATATACGGACTTCCATAAAGGGCTCATATGTAATGTATGAAATGATCTCATTAAAATGTCTGGCCCTGAGACCAAATGTATTATGACAGGTAAGTTTGTGATAGACTCTACAGAGTGGACACATATTCATCTCTGATGGTCAAAGACATGTTTACTCTTGTTGTGAAGGAGCCCGGGTGTTGGAGTCAGGTCCACCTGGAACTCTGGCTCCACCACTCACTGCTTAGTGAAATTGAGTGATTATTCTCTGGCCTCAGTTTTCTAATCCATAAAATGGGATAACAGTATGAATTCAGCAGGGTTGTATAAGAATTGCACAACATAGTGTGAATTAAGTACTTGGCACATTGTCCAACCCAAAATAGGTGCCCAACAAATGTTTTCTGGATTCACATGTAAAGAGACAATGGGATCTACTATGGAGAGTTGCTCTCAGTCCATCTAATTTACAGAGCAGCAATTCTCCAGAGGATTCAGCTGTACTTCTAACTGCTCAAATGGAAGGTTATCAACATCAGCTCACACACGCAAAAATTGAACTTATGGATTCGTTTCTTGTTAGCAGGCTTTTTAATCACGTGGCAAAAACATTGTATTAAGATGTCTGTTTTTTATTTTTGTTGTTCTATGTGCTTTACTTAATCCTTTATCTTAATTGATATCATTTCTAACACCAACATATTGGTCCTAAGATTTATAGCCAATTAGTTTAGGGTTCTGTTCATATGTCTCAGGAAAAAAAGGTTAAAATCTTACCAAAAATGGTCAAGATATCAAATCAATTAAATCCAGTTGGAAACATCATAAATCTGAAATACATATTTAAACATAAAATGGCTATAACTATTTAGCTAATGAAAAAATAAGAAATAGAGAACACTTAAATAAATATCCATATGTAGATTTAATATATCATACCGTCTCTAAAAACTGTAGTTGATATTTGGTAAATTTACAATGCTGCATTTTAATAAACTACAAACAACTTAGGCAATTTAACTCAAATATACTATTTGATTTTGCAAATAAATGTACATAAATGAATCCAACAATAAAATAAATTTTATTTATTATTTTAAATAAAATATGTAAATTCTATTTGTTATTGAAGTAAGTAAAAATGTACCATACTTGGCCATAAAAAACTCTTAATATGTACATTTTAAAAGTAGTATTTTAAAAATCATGTGAGAGGATGATCCACAATATCGGCCCTTACCATGTGTAATCAAGTATGCTATTTAATGATTCGTTAACTACTACGTTGAGAAAGTTTTGGAAGTTCCAGATTCATTTTGTCCTGAAAAGAATGAAACTTAAAGAATCTAGCTAAAGAAAGGGGACAAGAGGCAATGAATGCTGTGGTACCGTACAGAAAATGTCCAAGTTTATCATTTGATTTTTAATTTCTTTAGTACAATGAATTAGAAGTATTTCAATGAAGAGACACTAGTTCTTAGGATGAAAATTAGATTGGAAAATATATTGACTAGAGACTACAATTATATAAATATAATGTACAATTGAAAAATTACTCATATTTTATAACATGCTTTTAAAATTAGAAGCAAACTATATGGTGGAGAAATATACACTGTCTCACAAGTATAACAAGTAAAATACTATTTGCACTAAAAGCAAAGAGTATGAAATTAAGATGAGCACATTATGCCTAATTAAATTTATAGCATGCTCACAAATTAATATTTCTGTATATGTTTACTAATTTTGTATGAAAATCAGAAGCTTTGCTACACAGACAGAAATTATCAAGACTGTTTTCTTTTCTTCTGAAATGAGAAATTTAATTCTTATTTTCTTAGAAATTGTTCAATTATTAAATTCACTTCAAACCAGCCAAAGCATTGGAGTTTCAATTGGAAATCAAAATAGAAAGAATTGTAACATTTATAATTTCAGTTATTAGATTAAAAATACGTGTATAACCCATTAACATTCCAGATTCAAGTGATATGCCTTTGTAAACATATGATGCTTTGTTATGTATCTTGACCCTATCCCTATAAGAAGCTCTGAAATCATGACTTTTAATAGAGCAATTATATGTACATTTTATTCAGCAGGCTAAGATGAAGAGAATAATGGAGCTTTAAAACAGTTAAGCAGCATATAGGACAGATACAAATTCTGGGAGAGACATAAAGAGTCAAAATATAGATACACTGATTTACACAGACCTTCTCATTAATGGGGTAAATTTATATAAAACCCAGTATAAAAAATACACCCCTGGTGCATTCTTAGTCATTCTTAAACTTCAAATGAAATTCCAAAATAAAATGTGCTTTTGGTGAATATTTTCTGAAGCAAAATGAAATTTTGATAAGTGCGTTACTGCAGAAGATTAACACAAGAGTATTTCTGAAAATAATCAAGAAAAAATTTAAATAAGAGTTTTGGAAAGTTGCCATTTTGTTTCTAAATTCAGGAGATGGTGAATAATCTGGAGGTACAGCTGTAAATACTGCTGCATCCCAAAACTTGGAGGGTGCAGATGTGAAATTGAGATGTTATATAAAGTTAGATATTAACTAGGGGGACTGCTCATGGTATACACATTGAAGCTACATGGTCAACTTGATAGACAGTATGTACATGCGGAAGTAGATTCTCTTTAAAACAAGTGACTGTGTATGTTAAAAATAAAAGTGAACAAAATGGCTAGGCATGGTGGCTCACACCTATAATCCCAGGATTTGGGAGGCTGAGGCAGGCAGATCACTTGAGCGCAGGAGTTTTAAACCAGCCTGGTCAATATGGTGAAACATGTTCCTAGAAAAAAAATATTAGCCAGGCATGGTGATGCATACCTGTAGTCCCAGCTACTTGGGAGGCTGAGGTGGGAGGATCACTTGAGCCTGGGAAGTCGAGACTGCAGTGAGCTATGATCTTGCCGCTGCATTCCAACCTGGACGACAGAGCAAGCCCCAGTCTCAACAACAACAAAAATTTTGACATTGATTCATATGGGAAATAAGATAAATAATAAGATAAATATGGTGCATCGCAGAATCAGTTAAATGAAGAGTGGGAGTACACGAAATTGCAGAACATGAGAATGTGTCATATTTGGCCAAAGAACATAAGTTACAAAGGATGGAAAAGGGAAGTGGGAAAAGGACCAAAGAGTCTCATCTGTAGAGAGATCATTAAGGTTTTCTGACCTTCCACTTTCCCCTGCCATCCACCTTGAAAACCTGCTTCACTATGATGAAACAAAAGAGATTAAAAAATAAAATAAATATGCTCATGAACTTTGGAAGCCCTGGTAGGAGGCAGTTAAAAATCACACTCATCACAGCATGTGCAGAATAAACAAAGGCCAGGTTTTCGTCCAGCATCTGACATTTGAGAGCTGTGACTTTTGGCAAGTTATTTAATGTCTTGATTCTCTTTTCAACATCTGTAAAATAAGCACAATAATAAGTACTGTGCAGCCTATCCTGGATGAAAGGCCGCAGTGGACACCAGCTCAATGGCATCTTCTCTTTTTATGGTTATGTACTAGGCCACTCCAAACTGTGCAATGTGTGTGTTTCTCTAATGATTCTTTTAAACTCATATTTCATTTCTCCCCATAGATAAACAACTTGATGCAGATGTTTCCCCCAAGCCCACTATTTTTCTTCCTTCAATTGCTGAAACAAAGCTCCAGAAGGCTGGAACATACCTTTGTCTTCTTGAGAAATTTTTCCCTGATGTTATTAAGATACATTGGCAAGAAAAGAAGAGCAACACGATTCTGGGATCCCAGGAGGGGAACACCATGAAGACTAACGACACATACATGAAATTTAGCTGGTTAACGGTGCCAGAAAAGTCACTGGACAAAGAACACAGATGTATCGTCAGACATGAGAATAATAAAAACGGAGTTGATCAAGAAATTATCTTTCCTCCAATAAAGACAGGTATGTGTTTACGCATATCATCTGTCAGAACACTTCTTTGAAAGTGAATGCTGCATTTTTTCCTTTCAGTATTAATGAAAAACAAACATAAATCTTTCTTAAATATTGTTACATTTAATGGTAGCATAAATGCCCTGCTACTTTTCTATAGAATTAAAATGGTATAGGTTTTGGAGAAAACAAAATTGAAAAAGTTACTGAAGGTTTGTCAGCCTCAGCTCCATTATCCAAAATAAGAAAGTCACGTGCTGGTTTTTAGGGTTGTTAGATGGATTAAAGAAACAACATACACAGAAGCATCTAGCAACGTGACACGTGGTAAACGCTCAAAAAGTGTTCTCCCTTCTTTTGATGACTTTACTTGATCAGGAAATAACATATATATGTCTTTCAGGAATGTTCTGCCCAAGCAGGAGAGTCACTCACCTCAATCTTGCTACCCACAAAGTTTAACCTAAAAACAACGGGTTCATTGTTGACAAAATGATGTTTATCTGTTGTTGACAGAATGATGTTTATCTAAAAACAGTTCCAATTTTCTATTTCCTTTGCTGAGACACAAAGGGGAGGCAAATGTGCAAAGCTTGAGGGTAGTCTTACCACTGTGCTTAAGTGTTCTGATTTTTCTAGTGATCAGGGCAAAATAAAAAGTATAGTAAGTTCCAAGGCAGTGAATATTATACAGGAGAGAAGTTACAGTTTTATAATGTGTTTTCCTTTACACTAAATTCTAAAAGTAAAAAGTCTTTTTTTTTTTTTGACAGAGTTTCACTCTTGTTGCCCAAGCAGGTGTGCTATGGTATGATCTCAGCTCACTGCAACCTCCACCTCCCGGGTTCAAGTGATTCTCTTACTTCAGCCTCCCGACAGGCTGGGATTGCAGGCGCCTGCCACCACACCTGGCTAATTTTTGTGTTTTTAGTAGAGATGGGGTTTCACCATGTTGGCCAGGCTGGTCTCAAATTCCTGACCTCAAGTGATCCATCCACCTCGGCCTCCAAGTGCTGGGATTATGGGCGTCAGCCACTGTGCCCAGCCTAAAAGTAAAATGTCTTTCATGAGCTTCCCAAGGCAGCTACGTTAAGGAGGACACTTCTCTTAATGTCATTCTACAGTAGATTTCTAATGCTCTTTCTTGGAAGTTTGTTTTTCTGAGAAAAGCTAAAAATATAACATGGAAGTGATCATATTATATAATCAATGAAGTGCTTTTCAAGGAGATAAAACTAATCTGGTCCACACTTGCAACCAACCTTGATTGAGAGAGAGAGAGAACTCAGGATACACTTGAAGATTTTATTATGGGGAACAGTTACTTTATTCTTTTTACCTCAATCAATGCATGGAAATAAGTGATAGTCATTTTCATTTATCTTTTAATAAATGAAGTCACCATGAGGAAAATAAAAAGACATTGAAAACCCATTAAAGTCAGCCCTTAAAGATATTTGGACATGCAGACTTGATAACTAACGTTTGCATTCTTGAGACTTACCCAAAACCCATACCTCAAGTCCAAGTTTTTAGAATTCATGAAATAAAGATCTCAGTGAGTGCATAAAATTGCGCACCAGAATCATATCCGTATAGACAAGAACACATCTACTAGAAAAATAATAAACCAACACACCAATGCAACTGTGTTTTCTTCTGTTTTAAAGTATGTTGTCTTTGTATGCATGTTTGCTTCTTCCTTTTTTTTTTTAACATCACAGATAAATTCAACTCTCACCTCAGGTTTTATTGAGAGAACTGTCAATGTGACTTGGCCTCTGTCTTTCTAGTCCCAGAAAGAATTGCACTGAAATCTGAGCTCCTGTAATAAAAACAACCATTTGCTGAGAGTAATTAACATACTGAAAGAGATTTTCTTAGAGTACACAATGGTGACATTATATTGCCTCTTTATAAATAACTTTCTATCTATTTCTGTGGATTATTCCTACAAAGTACTTTTCATATGTCCAATTTCTTTTCTTCCCCTACAACTACTGTCTGAATACTGGCTCTGCTATTTGCTGATATGATTCTCGGCAAGTTGCCTGCACTTTTTAAACTTTATTTCCTCATTCAGAACATGGGGCCATACATAATACAACTCACTTCAGTGTTATTGGGGAATTAAACAAAAAATGCATGGGAAGCATTTAACATAGTGCCTGACACAATAATGAGTACTCAGTAGATGTTAGCTTTTATTAATATTGTTGTTGTTATGTCCAGAAACACTATACCTCCAGAAAATCATGGGTACTTGCTGGGGACATTGGGGATATGCATGATTTGGAAAAGAATGACTGCTTTTTTTGCTTAGATGAGAAATTTTTCTAAGCCAGACTCCTTCAAATATGTAAGATTCTGTTGTGGATTCAAGGACTGAAAGAATTCTTGGCCGAGTGTGGTGGCTTATCCCTGTAATCCCAGCATTTTGTGAGGACAAGGCAGGAAGATTGCTTGAGTCCAGGAGTTTGAAACCAGCCTGCGCAACATGGCGAAACCCTGTCTCTACAAAAAATACAAACATTAGCTCGGAGTGAGTGCTGACATGTGCCTGTACTCCCAGCTACTCAGAAGGCTGAGATGGGAGGATCTCATGAGCCTGGGGAGTTTGAGGCTTCAGTGAGCCGTGATGACACCGTACTATACTCCACTCCAGCCTGGGTGACAGTGAGACCCTGCCTCAAAAAACAAACAAACAAACAAACAAAACAAAATTAATCTTTTTGCTGATGTCATGTCAGCAGTGTGTGTTGAAGGCTGTAAAGCAGCCATTTGTTCAGTTTATTTTTCCATTGAACAAGTATTTATCAAAAACATACTTTGTGGCAGTCACTATGCTAGGAGCTATGAATACAGAAGGAAAAGTAAATGCTCTTGGATACTACACTCCAGTTGTGATAAAAAAGAAAAAATGTATTCTTCACCAACTTCAACATCTTGATGTGCAAAAACATAATACATGAATTAGATCTACCTAATTACACAGAATTAGACCAATTGTTTCTGGAATTGTGGGCTCATATTTTTAATAACTGTCCTCCTGCCTCTCTGTCGACAGGTTTTATAAATATTCATTTAATTACACACACACACACGAACAATTGACTAGTACTTGCTCTCATTCTTCTAGATGTCATCACAATGGATCCCAAAGACAATTGTTCAAAAGATGCAAATGGTAAGCTTTTGTGTTTTTCCCTTCCTCCTGATCATTTTGTTTTGAACTTCTCTGGCTTGAAAAATCAGGGAATGGATTTTGCTAGGTTGGATGCTGCAGAATGGACCTAGTGATATTTTAAATTAGTCCCTCATTTTCTAGGAGTTGTATTAACAAACCTAACTACTGCTTTGGGGTATGAGATGACTGTAAATTAGAGAGGGTACAGTGGTATAGTGATATGCTTTTAATTATTTCAAAAAAAAGATTTTATTCATTCATGTGTCTTTTTTCTTTTTCTTTTCTTTTTTTTTTTTTTTTGGACAGAGTCTTGCTCTGTCACCCAGGCTGGAGTGCGGTGGCAGTATCTCAGCTCACCACAACCTCCGCCTCCCGGCTTCAAGTGATTCTCCTGCCTCAGCTTCTCGAGTAGCTGGGACTACAGGCGCGTGCCACCATGCCCGGCTAATTTTTGTATTTTTAGTAGAGTTGGGGTTTCACCATGTTGGCCAGGATGGCCTCGAATTTGTGACCTCGTGATCTGCCCCCTCGCCCTCCCGAACTGTTGGGATTACAGGCGTGAGTCACTGTGCCCGGCCTCCTGTCCTGTCTTTTGTTTAATGACTGGGAAAAACATGATACCATGTTGCTTCTCGAGTTGTTTTGTTTTAGTCTTTGGTCTTTGCTAGTAGCTAATAACACGAACTAGTGTTTATCAAGTGCTTTTTACACAGAAGGGCTTGGGCTGTGTTCTGCATTTTCTTGTTTAACCCTCTTAAAACTCCTATAAAATGGTACATATTTTTCTCCCAATTTACAGTCCCTTTAAAGCAAATAATTATAAAAATCCCTATACATGTCACACAGCTAGATCTGGGATTTCAAATCAGGCCATCAAACAAAGAGTTTATGTACTTAGTAAGTTTTCTGTTCTTTTTCTACAATAGAGTCAGATAGCAAGAAATTACCAAGCCAGGAACCTGAAACAAAACGGACATCATGTGGGGCTGGGTGGGTGCATGGGCTTTGCAGACTGGACTTTCACTCCAGCTCTTTTAATGATTAGGTGTAAGTGACCTACATTTTGTGAGCAACAGTTTTCTCATCAGCCAACAAAGAATAATTACACCAGATTCACAGTTATTGAAGAGATAAAGGCATGAATGTGAGATGTCTGGCATAGGGCATCTCATTTAGCAGACACAGAATGAGTACTTGTTTCTGGCTTTTTCTCTCTACATATGCACAAAGAATGCGACTAGAAGCATGGGCTCTAGCCCTGCTCAACTTTCCTCTATTTCCAATACCAAGGGGCTCTGACTTAGGCTGCCACACCAGGCAAGGAGGGCAGTACCACCTCACTTGACCAAGGGCAGGGAGTCACGGACACATCACTTCTTGAGATCCTTTTCCACACCAAGGACTGATGTTTCTGGAATTCTCACTTTATGAAGACAAAACATATAAATGGAAATTTTCTCAGGTAGAGACTCACTCTTGTAGCTCATTGAGTAGGCACTAGTGGTCCACCCCCACTGTCTTTACTTATTCCTTGACATCACATATCTCTTGCAAAACCTCAAATAATATTAAATGCAATCACCCAATAATAGCATAGCCATAATTAGAGGCATTTAGGAAAGACAGGTGAGTGTGCCACAACTACCTAACACATCAGCAAATCTGGATTAACCACTTTCTTTGATTTTCCACAATGCAACCTTACTTTTTAATAGTTGGGAATGTTCTAAGTGAATTTAGCAGAGGTTGTTAATCAACTTGAAAGCTGAATTCTGACTTGTCTGACTCTTGGTGGTGCTGGTAGCAGTAGATGTTTACTTTTAGGTTTTGGTGGTGGTGGAATATCACTTCAACGTAAATCATCAGAAATAAGTATTTGTGAACCCCTCTCGCATTAATGTATCTTATTCTGTAAAAAGAACATGTGCAATTTCTCTTAGATACACTACTGCTGCAGCTCACAAACACCTCTGCATATTACATGTACCTCCTCCTGCTCCTCAAGAGTGTGGTCTATTTTGCCATCATCACCTGCTGTCTGCTTAGAAGAACGGCTTTCTGCTGCAATGGAGAGAAATCATAACAGACGGTGGCACAAGGAGGCCATCTTTTCCTCATCGGTTATTGTCCCTAGAAGCGTCTTCTGAGGATCTAGTTGGGCTTTCTTTCTGGGTTTGGGCCATTTCAGTTCTCATGTGTGTACTATTCTATCATTATTGTATAACGGTTTTCAAACCAGTGGGCACACAGAGAACCTCACTCTGTAATAACAATGAGGAATAGCCACGGCGATCTCCAGCACCAATCTCTCCATGTTTTCCACAGCTCCTCCAGCCAACCCAAATAGCGCCTGCTATAGTGTAGACATCCTGCGGCTTCTAGCCTTGTCCCTCTCTTAGTGTTCTTTAATCAGATAACTGCCTGGAAGCCTTTCATTTTACACGCCCTGAAGCAGTCTTCTTTGCTAGTTGAATTATGTGGTGTGTTTTTCCGTAATAAGCAAAATAAATTTAAAAAAATGAAAAGTTGACTTTTGTCCATGGTATTTTAATTGGATGACATCAAATTGAACATCCAAGGTAAGAAACAGCATGGCAATTGGGCTGTGGAATTCTGTATTGGTTGTAAGAATGGTCCAACACCCCATTTCTAATTCTTTCCCTGAGATCGTGGTTATCACACCTTCTAAGAAGAACTACAACCAAATGAAGGAGCTCATGTGACTTCTGTTTGAAAGGTCACCAGAGTCAGATTCATTCGGTTTAGGACATTCCAGTGGCTATAGGACACTATCTACTGTGACGCGTACCGTGTGAGCTCAGCTCTAGAGTGTTTCACAGACACTGTGTTTCCTGATCCTCACGATACCCCCATGAGAGCTGCCCTAAAAGCAGAGAGGCAGCGTGATGGAGAGGTTCAGCACATGCTCTCTGATCCCAGGAATCCTGGGTATGGTGTTTCGTATCTGTGTGACCTCAGGTGAGTTCCAGGAACTCTATGTGCCATAATCTCCTCATGTAAAATGAAGTTATAATGCCCCGTTTCCTGGAGTTATGTGGATTAGATGAGTTAATGACACCTGGCACATGCAAGTCCTCCACAGTGTCGGCACGCACTGTTGGTAGCTCTACTCTAGAGACAGTAATAAACCAAAAAGTATCTGACACAGGCCTCAATCAACTTAGAAGTTTATTTTGCCTATGTTAAGGGCATGCCCAACTTCCTGAGATAATAATTTATTTCATAAGAATATTTTAAAAACTCGAGTAAACTTGTTAATGTTTATTGCTGCAGCCACTCTGTCCATCTCCACCATCACTGCAACAACGCAGGTCCTTGTTGCCTCTTATTGGCTTATGGTGACCACCTATAAAACCATCTGCTTCACCCAAATTGCTGTCCTGGGGAGTGCCCCTTCCTTTCTGCTTGCACATTTATCTTCCTCAAGTGCAAATGTGATCATGTGACTTTCCTCCCTAAATCTTTTAGCAAGTCCTCATTGTCTATTCTTCTTTCAAAAACATTTATTTGAAAATACTATTAAAATAGAAAATTTTCCACATTCTTACTTCTTAAAAATTAATGTGTTTTAAGTTTCTCCTACTCCATTTCCATCCCATGCCTCTTTACTCAATGGATGCAATTATTCTTCTACATGTTCCTTCTGGCCATGTGTAGCTTTGTCATTTTAATTTTAATCTATTTGGACCCTGTGTTATCTGGGATGAGGTAGAGTGATATTTTTATTTTCTCAGGTAATTATTTGCCTAATGCCTGTTTCCAAATAATCCACCATTTCCTTACAATTTAAAAATGCTCCAGCATGTTTTTAATAGCTACACATATTTGACACATTTTCTGGAGAATTTCTGTTTTATTTGTCTATTTCATTATTCTTGTATCATTATCATATTATCTCAGTAGCTTTGTGGCAAGTATTAAGATCTACTATGCCAAATGTCTATTCACTGTACCATTTTTCAGAAAATTCTTTTTCAATCATCTCATATTTATTCACTCCTGTAGAATTTAAAATCAACTTATCTAGCCTAACATTAAACCTCACACCCTAGAACAACAACATGTCGTAGTAATTCTGACTAAAATTGCTGGAAATTTATAGATGAATTTAGGGTGTATTGGCCTCTTTATGATAGAAGCTTTTTATTCATCAATGTATGTTTCTCCATTTATTTAGGTTTTATTTTATGCCCTTAGGAAAACTAAATACTGTGTTCTTCATATCATTCTTGTATTTTTTTGGTAAATTTAATAAAAGATTTTATAATTCATTACTTCTTCACATTTTATTAGTTAAATCCTTCATGGCTCTTGAAATATTGACAGCTGCTAAGACTTCTGATGCTTCCCCTCATGGTCCTGAAATAAGGAAGGCCAGAGGACAAAAAGAGATTGAGTGGGCGTCATTCCATCTATCACAGGTGTAAAGGGTCATTGACAGCGCCACATAATAATTTTGAATTTTCTATTAAGAAGAAACCCTTTCCAAACATAATTTTCACCCAGCCCCATTGTCTTCTCCATTGTTGTGGGGGCTGTGGCCTGCCGTGTATGGATAGGTGCCCTCTGTGACCTCACTCATACCTTCCTGAATGAAGACTCAGGAGACTTAGGCTGGAGCAGGGTGGATCTGGAGTGGACATGGAGGTTGTCAAGGCTTGTCCTCCTCAGTCCTTGCAACTGAACACCTCATCTGTACACAGGAGATCACACAGCCGACACCAGCTTAAGATGGCAGATTTTTCAACATATCAGATAACTAAATTTTTTTTTTTGGTTATGCCATAGTTTAAATAAAGAATGTATTACTTCATGGGACATAGAATTCTACAAATTTCTTCTGCTATTCCAGGAAAAATGATAAGTCATTGTGGAAAACATTTCCTCATTTGGCATTGCCTTGGTAAAGCATCGTGTTGCCAAATGATACAAGTGGCTTTTTGAAAGTGGAGACCTTTGTTCAAATTTCTCAAGTATATCTGTGTTGACACATTTGCATTTTCAGTTACTAAAGAGCTTCCTCCTTTCAGAAGTATCTTCCCAAATTACTAACAGGCCCTGGTGTTTGTGGGAACAGAAGGGCTTTTCCTTTGATGTAATCTCAAAGCAGTTTCAACACAATTGAACCCCTGGAAATTAAAAAAGAAAAAAAACGACAATTCTCTGAATACTTTTCCTGGTAATTTAGAAAAGTAGTGCATTGACCCACTGAGCCTGCTCTTTTTTCTCTCTATCGCCCAGGCTGGAGTGCAATGGCACGATCTCGGCTCACTGCAACCTCTGCCTCCCTGGTTCAAGCAATTCTCCTGCCTCAGCCTCCCGAGTAGCTGTGACTACAGGCACACGCCACCACGCCCGGATAATATTTTTTTGTATGTTAGTAGAGACGGGGTTTCACTGTGTTGCCAAAGCTGGTCTTGAACTCCTGAGTTCAGGCAATCCACCTGACTCAGCCTCTGAAAGTGCTAGGATTACAGGCGTGACCCACTGCGCCCGGCCTTTCTTTTTTTGTTGTTGTTGGTTTTTTATCTTAACATTTCTTTTTTCTGTTGATGCTTTTCAAGAATTACTGCCTTAGAAGAAAGCAGGCAATTTATGAGGAAAAATTACAAACTATCACATGTCACAAAACCTATATTCAAGGACTTCCAAAAAAGCCAGAAGATGAAATTGCTAGTTCAAAGTTGTTGGATTGCTAGTCATGTCATGAGGATCAGAAGGTTGAGATTTTTGTAGAAGCTTAGACCAGTGTGATAGTAGTGATTGGATCAAGACGTTTGCAAAAGGGACTAGGCTCATAGTAACTTCGCCTGGTAAGTAATTTTTTTTCTGTTTTTATTCCAGTAATGAAAAACTGATAGATGTTTTTTAGAAAAAAATGATCAACCTTACCTGAATATGTCACATTCCTGGCCTCAGTATACGAACAGCAATTTTTCAGGGTAGCTGAATGCCTGGCACTTGGTAGGTGATAGAAATATTATTTCCTCTTCCAGAATTCAAGTTACTACCCAAGAGAGGTCTTTATACACTCAGGAATACAGATAAATGTATCAATCCCCATCTATTCAACAGCTCACTTCAGAAGAAATGTCACTATTCATAAAATGCTTTTTATTTCTAAAAGCCTAATTGTACCTGCTTCTAAAAGCAATTAGAATGTTTTACGTATTATCTCAAATATGATCTGCCTGAATACAAGGTGATTTTTCATTTTCCAGAGAAAATTTATACAAGTTTAAGAAAATATGTATTTTCCCCTCCCCCAACTTGAATATGTAAATTTATAGGGATACAAGTAAAAAAGTGAAATGTCTAATTATAACATTCAATTTCTTAACTGGATCATACCTCAAAGTTAAAGATTATATCAATACCAATATCAGTTGAGAAATATTGCCTTTTTTGCCCTTATATTTCATTAAAATTTTTGTTTTATGCTTCACATGCATGTAAAGCATCTATCTCAGAGCAACTTTCTAAGGCATCTCAGGTCTCAGTGTCCATTTTGGATTCCTCAAATGATGATGTCCCTGAATATTTTACTCTAAGAAACAATGATCCACTCACAAAATAAAAGGAAATTATTTTTTCCGATTTATTCTGTTATTCTACACTTGTATGAAGTAAGTAAGAACTACAGGGACTTTAGCTCCAAGTAATAATGACCAAATCCATGATAAATTTCTTTGCTTTTTTTCCTTTTACCAGTGCTATCCCCAAAACTAGCATTCATTGAGTTCATTTCATGTCGGTATCTCCTCCAGTTAGTCCTTCTGGATCAAAGCAGAGTATTAGAAGAACATTTTTTAATATGAGAGTTTACACAAAGACTGTACCATACATAAGGCACCTCCCCATGTTGTGAGAGAAAAATTTTGGAAAAAAAGCCTCATTTTAGGTTCTGGCACTTTCTATCTAAATTTAGTATGTAGGTGTCCCTATCACAGAGCTAGGATTTGCAAACATATTCTCCATTCCTTGTGTCTTATTTGAGCTTGACCTTACAAAACCATCAACTCCTGGGGACAAAAGAGAAACATGCTAAATGCACAAACTCTTTGTTATTTATTTAAGCTATCTGTTTCTAAAATCTATTTGAGAAGACCTAAATTAAAATACACAAGCACAGTCAGACCATTAAATATATACAGATGATCTAAAGCCCTAAGGAAAGGAGAAGGAAAAAGGCCTGTGATTACCTAGTGAGGAGCACAGTTTAAAATTTTATGCTCAAAAGAAGGAGAAAAAGGTAGGGGAATACATACATCTTACTAATTGATAAAAAGAAGCACACCAAATTTTCAAATATCATATTTTTTCTATTACTAAATTGGAAAAAGACTTCAATGCATGAGTCCTTTAGAAGGAAATGGAAGAGTGGGCAGTGCCTTCAACTTCCATTTTGGAAAATGAAAGGAATGGTCATGAAAAACCCACTGCATATTACCACTGCATCAGTGCTATGGGCATCCTGACATTTAATGAAATGCGCAGATGGTGATGCTCAGCAGACATGGTCAGGCAGATAACATGTAGTGATCTAAAGTGACAACAGAGAGATGGATTTGAGGACCAGGCCTCTTGCCTTTTCTCTACCCATTCTCCCTTGAAGGGTCAAGCCAGGTGTTTCGAGCGGGACTTTGGCATAAACTAGACAGAAGTCAGTTTGAGGCTGAAGTTTCTGGTGAAACTTGGAAGGCAAATAAGTTGTGCTGCTGATTAGAAAAAGGCTCACTTGTTTTGAAAAACACAAGTGAAGAATTTCCATACACTGACACTGACTGCATATATTAGACTTTAGCCAATATTCCCTTTGATTTTCTTAACACGGCAGGTAAGGCAAAGGATAACCTATTAAAGATTGGGTGTGTGGAAGGCATGTTTCTTGTGATGATGGGGACGATGGCTTTGAGAATCCCAGAGCAAAGTGGAATGCAAACAGAGGAACTGAGAAATTATTCTTCCTGCTTAATTGCTATGGATTTAACTGCCACTCCAAAATGCTGAATTTTTTTTAGTAAGGGCAATGCTTGGTCCTATAGGGTTAAAATGTCATGTCAAGGCACACAATCATAGCAAACAGATTGCCAATCATAACAATGACACCATATTCATCATAATCTCTTATATTTCCACAGCATTTTTTTTTGAGGCAGGGTCTTCCCCTGTTGCCCAGTCGGGAGTGCAGTGGTGTGATCAAGGCTCACTGCAGCCTCGAACTCCTAGGCTCAAGTGACCCTCCTGCCTCAGCCTCTCGAGTAGCTGGGCGTACAGTCGTGCACATCATGCTCAGCTAATGCTTTTTGTATTTTTAGTAAATATGGGGTCTCACTAGATACTGGGTTGCCCAGGCTGGCTTCAAAATTCTGAGCTCAAGCAATCCTCCCACCTCAGCCTCCCAAAGTGCTGGGATTATAGGCACGAGCCACTGCACTGGGACCTATAACATTTTAATCAAATTGCTTTTTTATATCTTGTTTCATTTTGGTCTCACTTCAGTGTTGGTAGCGATGTTGAACTGATTTTGAAACATCACTGTTTTTAGACAAATAAAACACCAAAAGCTTTAAGTTATTTGATTTGTGGAGCAACAGAACTTGTTATGAGCAAAATGAACCAGGACTGGAACCCTGGTCTTTTGAGAATCCCAGACCACCAGAATTTGAAGAACTCAGGGAAACTGAATTAGAGTTTTTGATATGGACTGAATCACTGTGGAATTATTATAAGAAACTCTTTGGCAGTGGAACAACACTTGTTGTCACAGGTAAGTATCGGAAGAATACAACATTTCCAAGGTAATAGAGGGAAGGCAGGAAATGATTAAACTGGAATAATGTAATAATGTTTAGAAAAAAGAGGAATTGGATGGGGATTTGATGTAGAAATCCTAGGAGAGACTTTAAAACAAATGCTCATACTAAAAGAGAACATAGATAACATGGCACAGATATCATAATAGGATTTGGCTTTGTGCATATACGGACTTCCATAAAGGGCTCATATGTAATGTATGAAATGATCTCATTAAAATGTCTGGCCCTGAGACCAAATGTATTATGACAGGTTAGTTTGTGATAGACTCTATAAAGCGGACACATGTTCATCTCTGATGGTCAAAGAGATGTTGACTCTTGTTGTGAAGGAGCCCGGGTGTTGGAGTCAGGTCCACCTGGAACTCTGGCTCCACTACTCACTGCTTAGTGAAATTGAGTGATTATTCTCTGGCCTCAGTTTTCTAATCCATAAAATGGGATAACAGTATGAATTCAGCAGGGTTGTATAAGAATTGCACAACATAGTGTGAATTAAGTACTTGGCACATTGTCCAACCCAAAATAGGTGCCCAACAAATGTTTTCTGGATTCACATGTAAAGAGACAATGGGATCTACTATGGAGAGTTGCTCTCAGTCCATCTAATTTACAGAGCAGCAATTCTCCAGAGGATTCAGCTGTACTTCTAACTGCTCAAATGGAAGGTTATCTTAACATCAGCTCACAGACAAAAATTGAACTTATGGATTCGTTTCTTGTTAGCAGACTTTTTAATCACGTGGCAAAAACATTGTATTAAGATGTCTGTTTTTTATTTTTGTTGTTCTATGTGCTTTACTTAATCCTTTATCTTAATTGATATCATTTCTAACACCAACATATTGGTCCTAAGATTTATAGCCAATTAGTTTAGGGTTCTGTTCATATGTCTCAGGAAAAAAAGGTTAAAATCTTACCAAAAATAGTCAAGATATCAAATCAATTAAATCCAGTTGGAAACATCATAAATCTGAAATACATATTTAAACATAAAATGGCTATAACTATTTAGCTAGTGAAAAAATAAGAAATAGAGAACTCTTAAATAAATATCCACATGTAGATTTAATATATCATACCGTCTATAAAACTGTAGTTGATACTTGGTAAATTTACAACGCTGCATTTTAATAAACTACAAACAACTTAGGCAATTTAACTCAAATATACTATTTGATTATGCAAATAAATGTATATAAATGAATCCAACAGGTTTATTTAAATAAATAAAATATATATATTCTATTTGTTACTGAAGTAAGTAAAAATGTACCATACTTGACCATAAAAAACACTCTTAATATGTACATTTTAAAAGTAGTATTTTAAAAATCATGTGAGAGGATGATCCAGAATATCGGCCCTTACCATGTATAATCGAGTATGCTATTTAATGATTCGTTAACTATTACCTTGAGAAAGTTATGGAAGTTCCAGATTCATTTTGTCCTGAAAAGAATGAAACTTAAAGAATCTAGCTAAAGAAAGGGGCAAGAGACAATGAATGCTGTGGTACCGTACAGAAAATGTCCAAGTTTATCATTTGATTTTTAATTTCTTTAGTACAATGAATTAGAAGTATTTCAATGAAGAGACACTAGTTCTTAGGATGAAAATTAGATTGGAAAATACATTGACTAGAGACTAAAATTATATAAATATAATGTACAATTGAAAAATTACTCATATTTTATAACATGCTTTTAAAATTAGAAGCAAACTATATGGTGGAGAAATATACACTGTCTCACAAGTATAACAAGTAAAATACTATTTGCACTAAAAGCAAAGAGTATGAAATTAAGATGAGCACATTATGCCTAATTAAATTTATAGCATGCTCACAAATTAATATTTCTGTATATGTTTACTAATTTTGTATGAAAATCAGAAGCTTTGCTACACAGACAGAAATTATCAAGATTGTTTTCTTTTCTTCTGAAATGAGAAATTTAATTCTTATTTTCTTAAGAAATTGTTCAATTATTAAACTCACTTCAAACCAGCCAAAGCATTGGAGTTTCAATGGGAAATCAAAATAGAAAGAATTGTAACATTTATAATTTCAGTTATTAGATTAAAAATACGTGTATAACCCATTAACATCCCAGATTCAAGTGATATGCCTTTGTAAACATATGATGCTTTGTTATGTATCTTGACCCTATCCCTATAAGAAGCTCTGAAATCATGACTTTTAATAGAGCAATTACATACTCATTTTATTCAGCAGGCTAAGACAAAGAGAATAATGGAGATTTAAAACAGTTAAATAGCATATTAGGACAGATACAAATTCTGGGAGAGACATAAAGAGTCAAAATATAGATACACTGATTTACATAGACCTTCTCATTAATGGGGTAAATTTATATAAAAACCAGTATAAAAATTACACCCCTGGTGCATTCTTAGTCATTCTTAAACTTCAAATGAAATTCCAAAATAAAATGTGCTTTTGGTGAATATTTTCTAAAGCAAAATGAAATTTTGATAAGTGCATTACTGGAGAAGATTAACACAAGAGTATTTCTGAAAATAATCAAGAAAAAATTTAAATAAGAATTTTGGAAATGTTGCCATTTTGTTTCTAAAGTCAAGAGATGGTGAATAATCTGGAGGTACAGCTGTAAGTACTGCTGCATCCCAAAACTTGGAGGGTGCAGATGTGAAATTGAGATGTTATATAAAGTTAGATATTAACTAGGGGGACTGCTCATGGTATACACATTGAAGCTACATGGTCAACTTGATAGACAGTATGTACATGCGGAAGTAGATTCTCTTTAAAACAAGTGACTGTGTATGTTAAAAATAAAAGTGAACAAAATGGCTAGGCATGGTGGCTCACACCTATAATCCCAGGATTTGGGAGGCTGAGGCAGGCAGATCACTTGAGCGCAGGAGTTTTAAACCAGCCTGGTCAATATGGTGAAATATGTCTCTAGAAAAAACAAATATTAGCCAGGCATGGTGATGCATACCTGTAGTCCCAGCTACTTGGGAGGCTGAGGTGGGAGGATCACTTGAGCCTGGGAAGTCGAGACTGCAGTGAGCTATGATCTTGCCGCTGCATTCCAACCTGGACGACAGAGCAAGCCCCAGTCTCAACAACAACAACAAAAATTTTGACATTGATTCATATGGGAAATAAGATAAATAACAAGATAAATATGGTGCATCGCAGAATCAGTTAAATGAAGAGTGGAAGTACACGAAATTGCAGAACATGAGAATGTGTCATATTTGGCCAAAGAACATAAGTTACAAAGGATGGAAAAGGGAAGTGAGAAAAGGACCAAAGAGTCTCATCTGTAGAGAGATCATTAAGGTTTTCTGACCTTCCACTTTCCCCTGCCATCCACCTTGAAAACCTGCTTCACTGTGATGAAACAAAAGAGATTTAAAAATAAAATAAATATGCTCATGAACTTTGGAAGCCCTGGTAGGAGGCAGTTAAAAATCACACTCATCACAGCATGTGCAGAATAAACAAAGGCCAGGTTTTCGTCCAGCATCTGACACTTGAGAGCTGTGACTTTTGGCAAGTTATTTAATGTCTTGATTCTCTTTTCAACATCTGTAAAATAAGCACAATAATAAGTACTGTGCAGCCTATCCTGGATGAAAGGCCGCGGTGGACACCAGCTCAATGGCATCTTCTCTTTTTATGGTTATGTACTAGGCCACTCCAAACCGTGCAATGTGTGTGTTTCTCTAATGATTCTTTTAAACTCATATTTCATTTCTCCCCATAGATAAACAACTTGATGCAGATGTTTCCCCCAAGCCCACTATTTTTCTTCCTTCGATTGCTGAAACAAAACTCCAGAAGGCTGGAACATACCTTTGTCTTCTTGAGAAATTTTTCCCAGATATTATTAAGATACATTGGCAAGAAAAGAAGAGCAACACGATTCTGGGATCCCAGGAGGGGAACACCATGAAGACTAACGACACATACATGAAATTTAGCTGGTTAACGGTGCCAGAAGAGTCACTGGACAAAGAACACAGATGTATCGTCAGACATGAGAATAATAAAAACGGAATTGATCAAGAAATTATCTTTCCTCCAATAAAGACAGGTATGTGTTTACACATATCATCTGTCAGAACACTTCTTTGAAAGTGAATGCTGCATTTTTTCCTTTCAGTATTAATGAAAAACATAAATCTTTCTTAAAAATTGTTACATTTAATGGTAGCGTAAATGCCCTGCTACTTTTCTATAGAATTAAAATGGTATAGGTTTTGGAGAAAACAAAATTGAAAAAGTTGCTGAAGGTTTGTCAGCCTCAGCTCCATTATCCAAAATAAGAAAGTCACGTGCTGGTTTTTAGGGTTGTTAGATGGATTAAAGAAACAACATACACAGAAGCATCTAGCAACGTGACACGTGGTAAACGCTCAAAAAGTGTTCTCCCTTCTTTTGATGACTTTACTTGATCAGGAAATAACATATATATGTCTTTCAGGAATGTTCTGCCCAAGCAGGAGAGTCACTCACCTCAATCTTGCTACCCACAAAGTTTAACCTAAAAACAACGGGTTCATTGTTGACAAAATAATGTTTATCTGAAGATAACTGTAGATCATATTTATCTGTAGATAATGTTTATCTGTGGAGTGTGGCTCTACAAAACATAGAATAGTCTTGGTCACTGCAGTTTTATAGAGGCCTTGGGTTTTTCAGAGTTTCATTTTATATATCACCATAAAGTAACATTTCATAATTACAGGTTGGTAAGGCTTACATGTACAAACATTCTTCCATTTTCCATAATAAATGCATTTCCTGCCATTGGTGAATGCAGCTCAATAAACATTTATTGTACAATTATGACACGCCAGGCTTAGTGGAAATGTGGATGAACAGACAAGGATGAGTTACTGTCCTAAGGATGATGCATGACAGTGCAGAGAATATACTCTCTTCCTGATCACTCAGGGTCACTCATGATTCATGCGCGAGGTCCCAAAACAGTGCCTTTGATGCAGATTCTGTACATCTCTAGACGATTGGTCCAAGGGCTGAATGTGCTCTGGCCCAGTGGTCCAGTCTGTCACTATATGTCAACATCCTGAATATGAACATAACAGTCCAACATCTCAAGAGTGGGCATGAAAAGGACTCATTTTGTGCTTTTTCCTGTGGTTAACAAGTCCTTTTTAGCCTGGGGGAACAAGCATTAACAAAATGTTTGAAGATCTTTGCCACGTACCATTCCAAATTTCTAGGGTAAGTCTTTAGCTTTTCAGATCCTGAGTTTCTGCAATGATCAAATGTGATTTGGACAGTTGCGTTGACTTTCTCCTGGGGCTATAATGGAGTGCAAAGGAAACAATGGCAGGGAAAATGCTTGCTTTCAAAATGGTAGCATGGATGTGTTCATTCGTGTAGTTACTGTATTAGGTATAGCCTTTCCTGAAACTAACTGAAGTGGGGTTATAAAAACAGTCCCAATTTTCTATTTCCTTTGCTGAGACACAAAGAGGAGACAAAAGAGCAAAGCTTGAGGGTAGTTTTACCACTGTGCTTAAGTGTTCTGATTTTTCCAGTGATCAGGGTGAAATAAAAAGCATAGTAAGTTCCAGGGCAGTGAATACCATACAGGAGACAAGTTACAGTTTTATAATGTGTTTTACTTTACACTAAATTCTAAAAGTAAAATGTCTTTTTTTTTTTCCGAGACAGAGTTTCACTCTTGTAGCCCAGGCAGGAGTGCTATGGTGTGATCTCGGCTCACAGCAACCTCCACCTCCCAGTTTCAAGCGATTCTTCTGCCTCAGCCTCCCGAGAAGTTGAAATTACAGGTGCCTGGCACCATATCTCGCTAATTATTCTATTTTTAGTAGAGATCGGGTTTTACCATGTTGGCCAGGCTGGTCTCGAACTCCTGACTTCAAGTGATCCACCCGCCTCAGCCTCCCAAAGTGCTGGGATTACAGGTGTGAGTCACTGTGCCGGACCTAACAGTAAAATGTCTTTCATGTGCTTCTCAAGGCAACTACATTAAGGAGGACACATCTCTTAATGTCATTCTACAGTAGATTTCTAATGCTCTTTCTTGGAAGTTTGTTTTTCTGAGAAGAGCTAAAAATATAATAACATGGAAGTGATCATATTATATAATCAATGAAGTGCTTTCAAAGGAGATAAAACTAACCTGGTCTGCATTTGCAACCAGCCTTGATTGAGAGAGAGAGAACTCAGGATACACTTAGAGATTTTATTATGGGGAATAGTTACTTTATTCATTTTACCTCAATCAATGCATGGAAATAAGTGACAGTCATTTTCATTTATCTTTTAATAAATAAAGTCACCATGAGGAAAATGAAAACCCATTAAAGTCAGTCCTTAAAGATATTTGGACATGCAGACATGATAACTAACATTTCCATTCGTGAGACTTACCCAAAACCTATACCTCAAGTCCATTTCTTAGAATACATGAAATAAAGATCTCAGTGAGTGTATAAAACTGCACACCAGAATCATATCCGTATAGACAAGAATACATCTACTAGAAAAATATAAACCAAAACACCAAGGTGACTCTGTTTTTTTCTGTTTTAAAATATGTTGTCTTTGTATGCATGTTTGCTTCTTCCTTTTTTTTTTTAAACATCGCAGATAAATTCAACTCTCACCTCAGTTGAGAGAGAACTGTCAATGTGACTTGGCCTCTCTCTTTCTAGTCCCAGAAAGAATTGCACTGAAATGCTGAGCTCCTGTAATAAAAATGACCATTTGCTGAGAGTAATTAACATACTGAAAGAGATTTTCTTAGAATAGTGCACAATGGCCCAATGGTGACATTATATTGTCTCTTTATAAATTATTTTCTATCTATTTCTGTGGATTATTTCTACAAAGCACTTTTCATATGTCCAATTCCTTTTATTCCCCTACAAGTACTGACTGACTACTGGCTCTGCTGTTCACTGATATGACTTTCGGCAAGTTGCCTGCACTTTTTAAACGTTATTTCCTCATTCAGAACATGGGGCCATACAAAATACAACTCACTTCAGTGTTATTGGGGAATTAAACAAATAAATGCATGGGAAGCATTTAACATAGTGCCTGACACAATAATGAGCACTCAGTAGATGTTAGCTTTTATTAATATTGTTGTTGCTATGTCCAGAAACACTATACCTCCAGAAAATCATGGGTACTTGCTGGGGACGTTGGGGATATGCATGATTTTGAAAGGAGTGACTGCTCTTTACTGCTCAGATGAGAAATTTTTCTAAGCCAGACTCCTTCAAACATGTAAGATTCTGTTGTGGATTCTAGGACTGAAAGAATTCTTGGCCGAGTGTGGTGGCTTATCCTGGTAATCTCATCATTTGGGAGGACAAGGCAGGAAGATTGCTTGAGCCCAGGAGTTGGAAACAAGCCTGGACAACATGGCGAAACCCTGTCTCTACAAAAAATACAAACATTAGCTGGTCATGGGAGTGAGTGCCTGTACTCCCAGCTACTCAGGAGGCTAAGATAGGAGGATCACCTGAGCCTGGGCAGTTTGAGGTTTCAGTGAGCCGTGATGACACCATACTATACTCCACTCCAGCCTGGGTGACAGTGACATCCTGCCTCAAAAAAACCCCCAAAATTATTCTTTTTGCTGATTTCATGTCAGCAGTGTGTGCTGAAGGCTGTAAAGTAGCCACTTGTTCTGTTTATTTTTCCATTGAACAAGTATTTATCAAAAACGTACTTTGTGGAAGGCACTGTGCTAGGAACTATGCATACAGAAGGAAAACCAAATGTTCTTGGATACTACACTCCAGTTGTGATAAAAAAGAAAAAAGTATTCTTCACAAACTTCAACATTTTGATGTGCAAAAACATAATATATGAATTAGATCTACCTAACTACACAGAATTAGACCAATTATTTCTGGGATTATGGGCTCATATTTTTAATAACTGTCCTCCTACCTCTCTGTTGACAGGTTTTATAAATATTCATTTAATTACACACAGTCACAGACACACTCAGACACACACACATACACACACACACACACCTTGACAAATAATGGGCATGAACAATTGACTGGTACTTGCTCTCATTCTTCTAGATGTCACCACAGTGGATCCCAAATACAATTATTCAAAGGATGCAAATGGTAAGTTTTTGTGTTTTTTATTTCCTCCTGATCATTTTAAGTTTTGAACTTCTCTGGCTTGAAAAATCAGGGAATGGATTTTGCTAGGTTGGATGCTGCAGAATGGACCTAATCATATTTTAAATTAGTCCCTCTTTTTCTAGGAGTTGTATTAACAAACCTAACTACTGCTTCATGTAAGAGATGACTGTAAATTGAAGGGTACAGTGATATGCTTTCAGTTATTTCAAAAAACAGACTTTACTCATCCATGTGTCTTTTTTCTTTTCTTTTTTTTCTTTTTTGAGACGGAGTCTCGCTCTGTTGAACAGGCTGGATTGCAGTGACGCGATCTCACCTCACTACAACCTCCGCCTCTGGAGTTCAAGCGATTCTCCAGCCTCAGCTTCTCAAGTAGCTGGGACTACAGGCACATGCCACCATGTCCGGGTCATCTTTGTATTTTTAGCAGAGACCGGGTTTCACTATGTTGGCCAGGCTGGTCTAGAATTCCTGACTTCGTGATCTGCCCCCTCAGCCCTCCGAAGTGCTGGGATTACAGACGTGAGTCACTGTGCCCGGCCTAACAGTAAAATGTCTTTCATGCGCTTCTCAAGGCAACTACGTTAAGGAGGACACTTCTCTTAATGTCATTCTACAGTAGATTTCTAATGCTCTTTCTTGGAAGTTTGTTTTTCTGAGAAAAGCTAAAAATATAACATGGAAGTGATCATATTGTATAATCAATGAAGTGCTTTTCAAGGAGATAAAACTAATCTGGTCCACGTTTGCAACCAACCTTGATTGAGAGAGAGAGAGAACTCAGGATACACTTGGAGATTTTATTATGGGGAATAGTTACTTTATTCTTTTTTCCTCAATCAATTCATGGAAATAAGTGATAGTCATATTCATTTATCTTTTAATAAATGAAGTCACCATGAGGAAAATAAAAAGACATTGAAAACCCATTAAAGTTAGCCCTTAAAGATATTTGGACATGCAGACTTGATAACTAACGTTTGCATTCTTGAGACTTACCCAAAACCCATACCTCAAGTCCATGTTTTTAGAATTCATGAAATAAAGATCTCAGTGAGTGCATAAAATTGCGCACCAGAATCATATCCGTATAGACAAGAACACATCTACTAGAAAAATAATAAACCAACACACCAATGCAACTGTGTTTTCTTCTGTTTTAAAATATGTTGTCTTTGTATGCATGTTTGCTTCTTCCTTTTTTTTTTTTAACATCACAGATAAATTCAACTCTCACCTCAGGTTTTATTGAGAGAACTGTCAATGTGACTTGGCCTCTGTCTTTCTAGTCCCAGAAAGAATCGCACTGAAATGCTGAGCTCCTGTAATAAAAATGACCATTTGCTGAGAGTAATTAACATACTGAAAGAGATTTTCTTAGAGTACACAATGGTGACATTATATTGTCTCTTTATAAATAACTTTCTATCTATTTCTGTGGATTATTCCTACAAAGTACTTTTCATATGTCCAGTTTCTTTTCTTCCCCTACAACTACCGTCTGAATACTGGCTCTGCTATTTGCTGATATGATTCTCGGCAAGTTGCCTGCACTTTTTAAACTTTATTTCCTCATTCAGAACATGGGGCCATGTAATACTCATGTACGTGAGTATTACGTAATAATGCTCACTTAAGTGTTACTGGGGAATTAAACAAAAAAATGCATGGCAAGCATTTAACATAGTGCCTGACACAATAATGAGCACTCAGTAGATGTTAGATTTTATTAATATTGTTGTTGTTATGTCCGGAAACACTATACCTCCAGAAAATCATGGGTACTTGCTTGGGATGTTGGGGATATGCATGATTTGGAAAGGTATGACTGCTTTTTTCTGCTTAGATGAGAAATTTTTCTAAGCCAGACTCCTTCAAATATGTAAGATTCTGTTGTGGATTCTAGGACGGAAAGAATTCTTGGTCAGGTGTGGTTTCTTATCCCTGTAATCCCAGAATTTTGGGAGGACAAGGCAGGAAGATTGCTTGAGCCCAGGAGTTTGAAACCAGCCTGGGCAACAAGACGAAACCCTGTCTCTACAAAAGTACATAAATTAGCTTGGCTTGGTGGTGTGTGCCTGTATTACCAGCTATTCGGGAGACTGAGATGGGAGGATCTCCTGAACCTGTGAAGTTTGAGGCTTCAGTGAGCCGTGATGACACCATACTATACTCGACTCCAGCCTGTGCGACAGTGAGACTCTGCGTCAAAAAAAAAACCCCAAAATTATTGTTTTTGCTGATTTCAGGTCAGCAGTGTGTGCTGAAGGGTGTAAAGTAGCCACTTGATCAGTTTATTTTTCCACTGAACAAGTATTTATCAAAAACATACTTTGTGGTCTGTTTTTGATAAATAAAAAGGCACTGTGCTAGGAGCCATGAATACAGAAGGAAAACCAAATGTTCTTGGATACTACACTCCAGTTGTGATAAAAAAGAAAAATGTATTCTTCACGAACTTCAACATTTTGATATGCAAAAACATAGTATATAAATTAGATCTACCTGATTACGTAGAATCAGACCAATTATTTCTGGAATTGAGGGCTCATATTTTTAATAACTGTCCTCCTGCCTCTCTGTTGACAGGTTTTATAAATATTCATTTAATTACACACACACACACACACACCTTGACAAATAATGGACATGAACAATTGACTAGTACTTGCTCTCATTCTTCTAGATGTCATCACAATGGATCCCAAAGACAATTGGTCAAAAGATGCAAATGGTAAGCTTTTGTGTTTTTCCTTTCCTCCTGATCATTTTAAGTTTTGAACTTCTCTGGCTTGAAAAATCAGGGAATGGGCCGGGTGCGGTGGCTCACGCCTGTAATCCCAGCACTTTGGGAGGCCGAGGCGGGCGGATCACGAGGTCAGGAGATCGAGACCATCCCGGCTAAAACGGTGAAACCCCGTCTCTACTAAAAATACAAAAAATTAGCCGGGCTTAGTGGCGGGCGCCTGTAGTCCCAGCTACTTGGGAGGCTGAGGCAGGAGAATGGCGTGAACCCGGGAGGCGGAGCTTGCAGTGAGCCGAGATTGCGCCACTGCACTCCACTCCAGCCTGGGCGACAGAGCGAGACTCCGTCTCAAAAAAAAAAAAAAAAAAAAAAAAAGAAAAATCAGGGAATGGATTTTGCTAGGTTGGATGCTGCAGAATGGACCTAGTGATATTTTAAATTAGTCCCTCTTTTTCTAGGAGTTGTATTAACAAACCTAACTACTGCTTCGGGTATGAGATGACTGTAAATTAGAGGGTACAGTGATATGCTTTCAGTTATTTCAAAAAACAGACTTTATTCATCCGTCTGTCTTTTTTTTTTTTTTTTTTTTTTTTTTTTGAGACGGAGGAGTCTCACTCTATCACCCAGGCTGGAGTGCAGTGGCGCGATCTCGGCTCACCATAACCTCCGCCTTACTGGTTCAAGCGATTCTCCAGCCTCAGCTTCTCAAGTAGCTGGGACTACAGGTGCACACCACCATACCTGGCTAATTTTTGTATTTTTAATAGAGATGGGGTTTCACCACGCTGGCCAGGATGGTCTTGAATTCTTGACCTCGTGATCTGCCCCCTCGGGCTCCCAAACTTCTGGGATTATAGGCGTGAGCCACTGTGCCCGGCCTTCTGTCTTTTGTTATAATGACTGGGGAAAACATGATACCATGTTGCTTCTTGAGTTGTTTTGTTTTAGTCTTTGGTCTTTGCTAGTAGCTAATAACACGAACTAGTGTTTATCAAGTGCTTTTTACACAGAAGGGCTTGTTCTGCATTTTCTAGTTTAATCATCTTAATACTCCTATAAAGTAGTACAATATATTTTCTCCCATTTTACAGTCCCTTTAAAGTAAATAACTATAAAAATCCCTTATACATGTCACACAGCTAGGTCTGGCATTTCAAATCAGGACATCAAACAAAGAATTCGTGCAGTTACTAAGTCCTCTATTTTTTCTACAATAGAAAAAATAGCAAGAATTACAGATAGCAAGACATTACAAGGCAGGAATCTGAAACGAAAGGGACATAATGTGGGGCTGGGTGGGTGCATGAGCTTTGCAGACTAGACTTTCATTCCAGCTCTTTTAATGATTAGGTGTAAGTGACCTACATTTTGTGAGTAACAGTTTTCTCATCAGCCAACTAAGAATAATTACACCAGATTCACAGTTATTGAAGAGATAAGGGCATGAATGTGAGATGTCTGGCGTAGGGTATCTCATTTAGCAGACACAGAATGAATACTTGTTTCTGGCTTTTTCTCTCTACATATGCACAAAGAATGTGACTAGAAGCATTGGCTCTAGCCCTGCTCAACTTTCCTCTATTTCCAATACCAAGGGGCTCTGACTTAGGCTGCCACACCAGGCAAGGAGGGGCAGTACCACCTCACTTGACCAAGGGCAGGGAGTCACGGACACATCACTTCCTGAGATCCTTTTCCACACCAAGGACTGATGTTTCTGGAATTCTCACTTTATGAAGACAAAACATATAAATGGAAATTTCTGCAGGAAGAGACTCACTCTTGTAGCTCATTGAGTAGGCACTAGTGGTCCACCCCCACTGTCTTTACTTATTCCTTGACATCACATATCTCTTGTAAAACCTCAAATAATGTTAAATGCAATCACCCAATAATAGCATAGCCATAATTAGAGGCATTTAGGAAAGACAGGTGAGTGTGCCACAACTACCTAACACATCAGCAAATCTGGATTAACCACTTTCTTTGATTTTCCACAATGCAACCTTACTTTTTAATAGTTGGGAATGTTCTAAGTGAATTTAGCAGAGGTTGTTAATCAACTTGAAAGCTGAATTCTGACTTGTCTGACTCTTGGTGGTGCTGGTAGCAGTAGATGTTTACTTTTAGGTTTTGGTGGTGGTGGAATATCACTTCAACGTAAATCATCAGAAATAAGTATTTGTGAACCCCTCTCGCATTAATATATCTTATTCTGTAAAAAGAACATGTGCAATTTCTCTTAGATACACTACTGCTGCAGCTCACAAACACCTCTGCATATTACACGTACCTCCTCCTGCTCCTCAAGAGTGTGGTCTATTTTGCCATCATCACCTGCTGTCTGCTTAGAAGAACGGCTTTCTGCTGCAATGGAGAGAAATCATAACAGACGGTGGCACAAGGAGGCCATCTTTTCCTCATCGGTTATTGTCCCTAGAAGCGTCTTCTGAGGATCTAGTTGGGCTTTCTTTCTGGGTTTGGGCCATTTCAGTTCTCATGTGTGTACTATTCTATCATTATTGTATAATGGTTTTCAAACCAGTGGGCACACAGAGAACCTCACTCTGTAATAACAATGAGGAATAGCCATGGCGATCTCCAGCACCAATCTCTCCATGTTTTCCACAGCTCCTCCAGCCAACCCAAATAGCGCCTGCTATAGTGTAGACAGCCTGCGGCTTCTAGCCTTGTCCCTCTCTTAGTGTTCTTTAATCAGATAACTGCCTGGAAGCCTTTCATTTTACACGCCCTGAAGCAGTCTTCTTTGCTAGTTGAATTATGTGGTGTGTTTTTCCGTAATAAGCAAAATAAATTTAAAAAAATGAAAAGTTGACTTTTGTCCATGGTATTTTAATTGGATGACATCAAATTGAACATCCAAGGTAAGAAACAACATGGCAATTGGGCTGTGGAATTCTGTATTGGTTGTAAGAATGGTCCAACACCCCATTTCTAATTCTTTCCCTGAGATCGTGGTTATCACACCTTCTAAGAGGAACTACAACCAAACGAAGGAGCCCATGTGGCTTCTGTTTGAAAGGTCACCAGAGTCAGATTCATCTGGTTTAGGACATTCCAGTGGCTATAGGACACTATCTACTGTGACGCGTACCGTGTGAGCTCAGCTGTAGAGTGTTTCGCAGACACTGTGTTTCCTGATCCTCACGATACCCCCGTGAGAGCTGCCCTAAAAGCAGAGAGGCAGCGTGATGGAGAGGTTCAGCACATGCTCTCTGATCCCAGGAATCCTGGGTATGGTGTTTCGTATCTGTGTGACCTCAGGTGAGTTCCAGGAAATCTATGTGCCATAATCTCCTCATGTAAAATGAAGTTATAATGCCCCATTTCCTGAAGTTATGTGGATTAGATGAGTTAATGACACCTGGCACATGCAAGTCCTCCACAGTATCGGCACGCACTGTTGGTGCTCTAGAGACAGTAATAAACCAAAAAGTGTCTGACACAGGCCTCAATCAACTTAGAAGTTTATTTTGCCTAGTCTAAGGGCATGATCAGAAGAAAATAACATGGAATCACAGAAACAGTCTATGGTCTACACCTTTCTCCAAAGATGAAATTGAGGGCCTCAATGTTTAAAAAAGGAAAGTGGGCTGGAGGGGAGAGAGGGAGGGTATAATTATCCACATGTTGCAAGAGCAAGGGAGCAGGTAGGGGAACTGCCAATTATGTATTCATGTTGCGCTCAATAAATCAGCACTTTACATAAGATATGGTTAACATAGAGTAGCTACCTCTGGAGCTATTTCACCTTTCATCTGTAGCTCTCTGTTTAGGCACAAAAGGAAAGGCAGCTTCTCACATGACCCAGCTTTTGGCTTATTTTTTTCTAAAACATAGCATGATGAATTGGGATCCAGAGTTTTTCTTTTCCTTTCACATAGTAGATTCCACACATATGCAAAAGCACTAACAGTTATCTCTACTCTCACCTCTCCGCAGAGAGGTTAGGTGGTGGGAATAGGGACCCAGTGAGTGTCTACTATGCACTAGGCATCCGAAATCCTTGATGAGCCAGTTGAGGTCAGTACAATTAAGGCTCACAGTTCACAGATGAGAAAGATTAAATTACCTACTCAAGGTCACTATTTTTAAAGTAATAGTCGTAATTTAAAGCTAGGTCCCTCTGAACCCAGAGCCCATATATTTAAACACACACACACACACACACACACATTTATCCAACATCACGACTTTCCTTTCACCGACTTTCAACTGGGGAAAACAAAACAAAACATGCGTTGTTTCTTTACTAAAGGCATCCTCACCAGAGTCAATGAGAATTTTCTTAAGGAAATAATGGTGCACCTGTGTTTTCTCCTTATCTACACTCCAGGCCACTGGTTTGTCACTAATTTCCCATTTGTTTTTTCTCTTTGGGTAAAATTGGCCTACTCTGGAATTACCATTATTGCTTCCTTGGCTGTAAAGAGTATAGAAATTCTACCCCTGTGAGTGTGTGTCCTAGATCTGCAGCTGCTCTTTTTGGGGGTGCTAATGGACTGTAAATTTCAGACACAGCAGGACGGTTCATGGTGCTCTCTGGGTATGTATAACATTCTGACACCCCAGCTCCTTCCAGAGACTAAACAGGCTCAGAGCTCTGCAGAATCACCTTGGAGGAGATTCTGGAACACCCACGTGCATTTCTGAGGTAGGAGGTAGAAGAAGGTTATGCATTGTTCTTGGTCCAGTACGTTTCCACCATGGCACAGCTACCACATATCGGGAGGTCACATGGTGTGGGAGGAATACTAGTCACACTTCACAGCTAGTTAGAGCCCTGGCCACTTGGTCTGGCTCTAACAAGCTGTACCATTTGTTCTTTTCTTTTCCTTTTTTTGAGAAGGAGTCTCATTCTGTTGCCTAGGCCGGAGTGCAGTGACATGATCTTGGCTCACTGCAATCTCCACCTCCAGGTTCAAGTGATTCTCCTGCCTCAGCTTCCCAAGTAGCTGGGATTATAGGTGCCCACCACCACACTCAGCTAACCTCAGTCCTGCCTTCAGGCGATCCGCCCAACTCGGCCTCCCAAAGTGCTGGGATTACAGGCTTCAGCCACCATGACCGGCCACAATTTGTTCTTAACCATCCCACATTGCCTAAGTTCATCTGTCTTTAGAAGAATGTGTTTAGATTAAATAATTTCAGATTTCTACCTAAAGTTACAAATTCAGTGATTACCACCCTGAGGAAGTAATGATAGCAATCACAAATACAGTGCCCACCATGTACCCGGTCCTGGCTTAAGGACGTGTTCACTCATTTAATTCTCACAAAAATTCTATATGTACAATTATCTCTGTTCTATGGATGGGGAAACTGAGGCAGAGGGGGCTAAAGAACTTTCGCATAATCAAACAGCTACTAAGAAACAGGGCTGGAATTTGAACTCAAGCAGCCAGGCTCCAGGACCTCCGCTCTTACCTTCTATGTTATTTCCTCTTAGAGTGAAAACAGGTTACTTGTAGTTTCAATTAACACATGAAAATGTCCTTCCTTATTAGGCTATGAAGTAGGAAGGAAATTGCCTCTTTGGCTGTTCACATTTCCCCTCCTTGCTCCAATGCTGTTCAGATAATTAGAGGGTTATAAGCCAACCTGCCAATTTGTCAATGCTGGGAAGACTTTTATATGCTGAGCTCCCATCCATCATATAGGACTTCTGTGATTAAAGACCGAAGCACATGGTTGGACAAAATAAGTACCAGAACAGGCAGTGCCCACAGGTGTGCAATGGAAAAATTAGGCAAAGATTTATACAGTTCTACACAAAAACACGTATCTCAATAGTCACTACAGAGTTAGCATACTCCACACGCTTGTCAAATAAAAAAGAAAAAAACTCCAATATGGTGACACCCTGTCTCTACTAAAAATACAAAAATTAGCCAGGTGTAGTGGCTTGTGCCTGTAATCCCAGCTACTTGGGAGGCTGAGGCAGGAGAACCACTTGAACCCGGGAGGCGGAGGTTGCAGTGAGCCGAGATCGCGCAACTGCATTCCAGCCTAGGCGACAGAGCGAGACTCTGTCTCAAAAAAGAAAAAGAAAGAAAAAAAAAAAGGAAAAACTATATATAAAAAAACTCCATATATTTCTCAACTATAAAAAAGTAAAACTTCAGTTCAACAGTTCTCAAAATATTTCTAATTATTTATTCTTTCTACTGTTTTGGAATTCCTTTCCTCATAGATTTTATTTTTGAAGGTTTTTGGTCTTTCAAGAAGGTCACGATTAATGTTTTCCCCATTATACTAATCAAAGTCCTATATAACTGCCAGTGAGAAATTCTGAGTAATAAGAGATAACCAGAGACACTACACCCATATAATTCAGCCAAACAGCTAGAAATTCAAGATTTTCATTAGCCATGAAAAGTTATTTGAGTAGATGCGTAGCTTGCACCATGATTTGTTAGGTTCTTTTTCATTTATTTGCTTTTTCTGTTGTGTTTGAGGAATAGTGAGTACCAACCACTTACTGAGCAGCAGAAATATGGCTTGGCAGCTTGCGTCCTCTCTCTCTAATGCTCTCAACTGCATCACCTTACAGCCATTATGCTCATTTCACTGATAAGAAAACCAGATCTCGAGGTTAAAAAATATGCCCAATTAACCACTGAGTGAGTCCCAGAGTTCACATGATTCCAGGACTGTCTGACTTAAGACCTGCTGCCTTATCCATCCTACCAGGGGCTCTCCTTATGGGAGCCTTTATCACGGGCCAGGCATCAGGACCTTGGAAAATCCTCTTTTCATAATTCTAATATGCAGCCAGGGTGGAGGCCAGCAAGTGACTGAAATAGTGCCTGAACTCCAGCTGTGCTCCACACAAGCCGTAAGGAAACATCTCAGAGCTCACTACACACGGGTGGAACACACGCCACCTGGAAGGTGTTCTTATCATGGGACCCATTTATTTCCCAAGGAAACGAAAGGGGTGTACCAAGATTTATGTGCAAGGATGTTCATTCACGATAGTGTTATTTCAAACAGCCCCAAATTAACCCAGGTGAACAATCAGAAATTCATAAATAGACAAATACGCATCTTCCAAAAAGTATAGATTCTTTAACCCATTTCCCATTTAGAAAAAAGTGCAGCTCGCTGTTTTTACATAAACACACTCTTTTGAGGCTGAAGCAAATATGACTGATTTTCAACGTGAATATAAAATGTCAAATCTGTTCCTGGGCTGGGTGCAGTGGCTCACGCCTGTAATACTAGCATTTTGGGAGGCTGAGGCGGGTGGACTGCCTGAGCTCAGGAGTTCGAGACCAGCCTGGGCAACACGGTGAAACCCCGTCTCTATTAAAATACAAAAAATTAGCCGGGAGTGGCAGCGTGCACCTGTAGTCCCAGCTACTCAGGAGGCTGAGTCAGGACCATCACTTGAACCCGGAGGCGGAACGGAGGTTGCAGTGAGCTGAGATCACGCCACTGCACTCCAGCCTGGGCGACACAGTGAGACTCTCTCTCTCTTAAAAACAAAACAAAACAAAAACTGTTCTTGGAGTTATTTCTAAACAGAACTTCTCTCTAATCCTAATGTAACATCATGTACATTTCTGTTGCATTAGGATTAGAAATGAGTATTCTTGGGGCAAAAAGGAAATGGGTTAAAAACTGGAAAATAAATAGATATGGAGTTGAAAAATAATATTCATAGCATAAATCCTATTGTGAGATAAATACATTTGAACACTTACATGGTTCGAAAACACTCCAATTTTTATTTAGTTAAATATGGATGTACATATATAAGTATCCATGTACATGTATATATGTTCTCATTTCCCCTTTTTACACAGGGAGTATATAGCATATATTAATCTGCACATCTCTTTCCATTTATAAATCTTAAAGCTCTTTTTATGTTTATATACAGGGGCACTTCACTACAGGTATTTTTTTTTTCTTTTTTTTGTTTTTGAGACAGAGTCTTGCTCTGTGGCCCAGGCTGGAGTGCAGTGGCTGATCTCGGCTCACTGCAACCTCTGCCTCCTGGGTTCAAACGATTCTCCTGCCTCAGCTTCCCGAGTAGCTGGGATTACAGGCTCCCACCACCATGCCCAACTAATTTTTGTGTTTTTAGTAGAGACAGGGTTTCACCAGGTTGGCCAGGCTGGTCCCGAACTTCTGACCTCAAGTGATTCGCCCACCTCAGCCTCCCAAAGTGCTGGGATTACAAGTGTGAGCCACTGTGCCCAGCTAAATACAGATATTTTTCACTGGTGAACATACTTTCAATCGGTGCCTTGGTTTAGTACCAGTCTTTTGCTATTATAAAAAATGCTGAAATGAATGATAGTGTTTTATGTCATTTGAACATATGCACTGGTAATTTTGATGGGTACTGCCAAACTGCCCTCCATAGAAATGGCCCTAACCCCTTCTCCCACAATGTGTGTGAGTGCTGACAGCCTACTGCTTAATGTTGGGTTTTGCTAATTTGACAGGTAAAAATAGTACTGCATTGTGGTTTTAATTTGCTTTTTTTCTTACTGTGAGTGAAGATAAACATCTTTTTATGTTTAAGGTCTATTTTATATTATTCTGTGCCATATTTGTTCATGTCCTTTGGCCATTTTTTCTACTGAGTAATAACACAAATAGGCATGCCATTCATTTATATGTGTGTCTGTGTATTTCTGCAGACAAAGATAAAACAATGTTCATTGTTGGTATGTGGGTGAAAAAATAAGTGATTGTGTGTTTTCTGTTTTCTCCGGTGAATCCTTTTAAAGTAAACATTTTTATATATTAGAATTAAAACAATGTGTTACTGAACATTGGGAAGGTTTTCTGGTTTGCCTACAATCAGCTTGTTTCTGTGAAACATGTTCTTTTGGAAACCAAGTAGAGAATCCTACTTGTAAACAAAGCAAGACCAACCAGACTTAAGAAAGATCAAATTTAATTTAGATCTACTCCTTGATTCTCATGAATTGATTGAATCTCTTTAGGGCAAATACCTGGCCTCTATAGAGAAATCTGGAATGATTTCTGCACTGGGAGAGGAAACTTTCAGATCACTAAGGGCTTTGTGGGGCTGATATCACCAGCCGAGGTACTGGGCAATGTCTCCTGTGGTTTCACACTTCTTAGCGATTTCCTTCCCCAACGCAAGCTGGGCTGCCCCGAACTTCAGCAATGTAGAGAGAGAATGCAGTGGTGGTGGTGGAGGAGGCAGAGTGGGTGGTGGGAGGGCGCTGATGTGGCGGATGGTGTTTTATTTTCTCAGGCTTCTTTTGTTTACGTGCTCTGGCAAATGTGGTTGATTCATGGAAAATGCTCAAAGTCAAACCGGCCCCTACTGGTTGGGGCTGTGCATGGGGTGGCTAGGGTGTTGTAAGACAAAACGAGGACAGTTAAACCACAACCAACTTTGCTCACTTTCAAGAGCCCACAGCTAATGGAAATAAAATATCCATCTTCACACATACAAGATTACTATCAAACACACTCTCCACCCTGTGGGTAGGTGGGGCTCCCTGCATTTGATATTCAAGGTTCATTAGCTACCAGGTGAGTTGGGAATCTGATGCCCAGGACTGTTCAGACATGGCACCTTCGGTCCACTCCCATGACACTGTCCTGAAGACCAGAGGACATCTTGCAGCACGGAGATGATCCTAACATTCCACCCAGTATCTGTACCTTCCAGAGGCACCTGATTCAGAGACACTAATACCTTTGGTTTCATTTCCTCAGTGTAAACAGGGTGACACAAGACTCATGAACCTATTAGCACAGGTAGATCACAGATGTGGGCAACAGTGATGTGCTTCTTTCTCCACAGGAAACCAGGGATATAGAAGCCCTGAGTTCAACTGTGTAACAAATGTCATAAATGGAATCACATCAAGTCCCTCTACAGAGACAAAATGATTTCAGCATCAACCAGACCAAGGATTACTAGAGGACAATAACATCAGATAAATGAGTGATAAGGGTCCATCAGAGGATTGCTCAGCAATGTGAGCATAAAGGACAAATGTCTCCACTCCTACCCCACCGAAACATGGCAGAGTGGGTGCCCATGCCCCTGGGCTGAATCTATGCAGTCCCAGGAGAATATATAACTCAATCGTTGAGATAATCACTGTAGGCTCCCACAGTCTGACTTCCTAGCATATTCAAATACTATACCTCATTCCGCTTGGTCTGTGCTTAGAGAGGTAAGACTTCTGAGCCAGACTTGGCTTCCTCTGAGGATTGGCAACATCCTACCGGTTCCCCCAGCATGTCTGGGTGAGAGCTCCTTCTCAGGTTAAATTAACAACCTGATTGGCAACTTAAGCATCATCTATGAGGTTGGTGTATATGCAACTCCAATCCTGAAACAGGAGATTCTCACTCCCATAACACCATTGAGTTCTAAGGTTTTAGTCTCAAGGCCAGACATTTGAGACTTTCCTTGCCCCTTCTCCACTATGAGACGCTCATCCTGGTTAGACTCCAGCCTCCCAGCAAGCCTCCCTGTTGCACTGTTGAGATCTGATCCACTCTTAGAACAAGCACAGATAGAAGTTGTAGGGAAAAGAAAGAGAGATCAGACTGTCACTGTGTCTATGTAGAAAGGAAAGACACAAGAGACTCCATTTTGAAAAAGACCTGTACTTTAAACAATTGCTTTGCTGAGATGTTGTTAATTTGTAGCTTTGCTCCAGCCACTTTGCCCCAACCTGGAGCTCACAAAAACATGTGTTGTATAAAATCAAGGTTTAAGGGATCTAAGGCTGTGCAGGACGTGCCTTGTTAACAAAATGTTTACAAGCAGTATACTTGGTAAAAGTCATTGCCATTCTC
Organism: Homo sapiens; assembly: GCF_000001405.40. Taxonomy (NCBI): domain Eukaryota; kingdom Metazoa; phylum Chordata; class Mammalia; order Primates; family Hominidae; genus Homo; species Homo sapiens. The sequence goes on along the minus strand of NC_000007.14, from coordinate 38,231,579 downwards.
TAGTCTCAATAAACCAGGGGCACAATGCATTGTGGAAAGCCGCAGGGACCTCTGCCCTTGAAAGCGGGGTATTGTCCAAGGTTTCTCCCCATGTGATAGTCTGAAATATGGCCTTGTGGGATGAGAAAGACCTGACTGTCCCCCAGCCCGACACCCGTAAAGGGTCTGTGCTGAGGTGGATTAGTAAAAGAGGAAAGCCTCTTGCAGTTGACGTGGAGGAAGGCCACTGTCTCCTGCTTGCCCCTGGGAACTGAATGTCTCGGTATAAAACCCGATTGTACATTTGTTCAAGTCTGAGATAGGAGAAAAGCTGCCCTGTGGCAGGAGGTGAGACATGTTTGCAATAATACTGCCTTGTTATTCTTTACTCCACTGAGATGTTTGGGTGGAGAGAAACATAAATCTGGCCTACGTGCACGTCCAGGCATAGTACTTTCCCTCGAACTTAATTATGATATAGATTCTTTTGCTCACGTTTTTTGTTGACCTTCTCCTTATTATCACCCTGCTCTCCTACTACATTCCTTTTTGCTGAAATAATGAAAATAATAATGAACAAAAACTGAAGACACTCAGAGGCCGGTGCCGGTGCAGGTCCTTGGTGTGCTGAGCACCGGTCCCCTGGGCCCACTATTGTTTCTCTATACTTTGTCTCTGCGTCTTATTTCTTTTCTCAGTCTCTCGCCCCACCCGACTAGAAATACCCACAGGTGTGGAGGGGCAGGCCACCCCTTCAGAAGTGACTTGATATGCACAAAAGGTCAGTTTCTACCCAAGCCAGCATCATCACCACTACAGGCAATTAGGTTTTTCTTCAATGACACAATGAATGATGAAAGAAAACTAACAGACATCCTGACTTCCCTTGAGTCAAGGGGAATATTCATGTTTGAAAAAACAGCACACAGTATAATTTAGTTCATTTTAATTGAAATTGGCTGAACGCAAAGGAAACATGATATGAATGGTTTAAGTCATTTTGTGCATTCAAAATAAGAGTATTTAGAACATTTCAGAACAATCAGAGAAAAACATGATTTCATGATAAAAATAATACAAATGTCTGGTGACATTTTACATGTATTCGCAATTCCTTTCTTCCCCTTTTGCAAGTCCAACACTTCAGGCCATACACATAATGCAAAACAAGAAAAATAAAACTAGCCACATTGACATGTCAGATTTTATTACACTTTTTAAAACTGTACAAAGAGCACATGTGCATGAGTTAAAAAACAAGGGAAATGTAGAGTGTTAAAAAAGAAATACAAAATAAATCTGAGACATGAAACAAAAAAATTCCATTCTGTGAATTGAAATAAAAAGGTATCTTGCTTACTAAAAAAGTGTTACTTCAATATATTAAGTCTTTTGATTAGGAATACAGCACAAGACTTTCTTCACCTATTTGTTAACACATCAGGCTCAGTCTCACTGAAGAGAGGATGAATCATGACATTACCTTACCAGCCACAGGCAGGCAACTAAATGTGCATGGATATGGTACAACGTCTGTGAGGTATTACAATAAATAAATCTTTATTAGCTGTTCAATAAAGCCAGCAGTGGACGTCACCATTTCAACTTTACTGTCGACAGGGAGACTCCACTGCCTGCCTCTTTTTGCCTCGATGACTTTCTGTGAGGGTTTTTCACACTTAGAAAAAGAGAGAAGACAAAAGTATTTAATAAATAGCATTAAAAGGCAAAATGCCACGGTCACCTTACATGTACATAAAAGTCTGTGTGCTGAAGAGGGGCTGTGACAGACACACGAAGGACCATGCGTGTGGTCACATTAGAATTCATGTTAAAACATTTTAGAAAAGGCTCAACTACGAGCATGCCCACATTTTTGCTTCGCGTCTACATGACTGTGGTGGAGAGATGCGGCTGAGGTGTGCTGGGGGCTGAGGAGGCAGGCACTGGGGCTCCATGCGCCGTGACCTTGGCTACCTCTCCCACCCAGTCAGCTTCTATCCCAGCTTCCCAATGACTCACAATCTGGCAGCTTTTTCCTTCTGTGGTTAAACTGTCAGGCAGATTTGCTGCTACTACAATTTACTTCAATTGCCTTCTATTTATGAGGTTAAAATGATTTTCTTTGATGACTTAAAGGGATTTAACAATGTGTTCCACTTTGGAGCCCATTAAGCATGACTGCTTTGGATGTACAGCAGCTTTCATCTCAGAGGCTCCAAAATCCTTGAGAAATGTCCCAGTGAGGGGCTGCAGTGGACCTGGTACCAGAAAGTGTGGGCCTGAGCCCCAGCGCTGCCTCGTCTAGCTGTGCAACCTTGGATAAGTGACCCATTCTATGTCTCTGCTGCTTCAAATGTAAAATGGAGGTGATAACAGCACCTGCATCTCACAGGACTGCTGTCCTCTTAACATAGATTAGTACCTGTCATTAAAACAATGACATGTGACTGGCATGTAGACATTCTGGCTAAGTAAATTAACATAAATTCATCTCTATTCTTTAGAAATTTAGAAATCTGAGGTATTTTCAAAACCTTATAAATGTATACCTGTATAAAAAATGTTAAGACACTTGGCATTAATAAAATGTGACTGATAAATTCATGCAAGTAAGATAACTCTGGCTATCCTTACACTCTTATTCTTTGAATTCTACTTTGACTCTACTCAAAGGAAATCTCCATACTTAACTACTTTGTTGTTATGGTTTCATTTCAAACACTTACTTTAACAAAAGTAGTACTCATAGTTCTAAAAGTGGTTTCTCACTGTCCTGTTTTTCTTCAGCTTCTTCAGATCCTACGTGGTGGAGAAGGGGACAAAGAAAAAGTATTTCATTCCATTACAGTAACAAACTATTTTAAATAAATAGGTTTAAAATTATAACATATACACATAAAAACATTAAACATATGTTTAATCCTCAAGAGATTTAGGTTAACTGCTATTTGAAAGCTTTATTTATTTCTTGTAACAGGAAAACCTTTAAACAATAATCTATCACTTACACTAATCTGTCAAAATGGATTTCACTTATGTACTAAGAATATTCATGCAGACCAATAACTATTATCAATCACTATTCTTCCTCTGCCTCTTTGCTGACAAGCTTGCATATATTTTTTTACATGCAAAAATGTTGAGCTTGGTACAAATAATTGAATCTAGGTGTTTCTAACAATGGCTGTGGCAGACGAGCGAGAGAGCAGTGAGAGAGCACTGTGGCAGTGACCACAGTCTGGCCCTTCTGGATCAATGTCTCATGAGCTTCAGGATATTCCTAGATTTGACCTGGTCATTCCGCTCTGGAATTCTTTCCTTAGGATAGACCTATCCCTGAGGAAATAATGCTTATTATTCATTATGTAGATTTTCTCTCTAAAAATTAGAAAAGAAAGCTAAGTGTCTGAGAATAGAAGAAAGGTTAATACTGTAGTTCCATAACATATCTTGTATCCACTTAAAATTATGGTTATATAGAATTTATAACATGAAAAATGCATGCGCTGTAAGGTAAAAGCAAATGTATAGCAAATAAAACTTTAAATGCCATGAGATCACATTTGATAAAATTAAAAACCAAATATATGTGTGCAAACGAGAAAGAGTAGAAGAAAATAACCACGTAACTTTTATATATTTTTCTGGATATTTTAACATTTCTACAATAAACTTGAATTGACTTTATTAATAATTTTTAAATTATATTTTTAAAAAGCAGAATATGAATAATATAGGCAGCATGGGCACAATGATGTGAGATTAAACACACAGACACACACACATACACACACCCCAAGAAGGAAACTAAACTGTCAATACTGATGTTACCAAATAATTTGAAGGATACGTGATTTCTAATTTTTGTTCTTTCCACTTTTTTAAATGCATGGCTTTCATAATCAGGGAAGAGGAATTAAAAAAAAAGCAGAGGAGGCCCTGAGAGAAGACCAAAGTAGGGGGTGAGAGATGCCATCAATTCACACGTAAAAGCTGCAGCCTCTCTCAACTACGCCTGAACCTTGTTAGATAAGATACTTTAAAAAGGACATTTTTTTTTCCCTAAGGAGAATGTCTACCTGAATTATAGCCAAGAACAAATTTGTTATAGGGAAAGAATGCCTGATAATCTGAAGAAAACGTTTTAACCTCATAAATGTCACACGGTTAGGTTGAATTTGTAGTAAAATGAATAGGTAAAGACTTAACTGTTGAAGACTTTACTTTCTACCCTATTAACACACTGTCCATCATAGAGACAGGAGGTGGGGAACTGCCTGTCCTTACTGTGGAAGGAGGATGAGGAAGATGGTCACATCAGATCTTCCTGTTCCCAAGCTCACTTCAATCTGCTAGGCCAGTGGCACTGAAACCACAGTGAGTTGCCATGTCTTGGAATTATTTGGGAGTCCTAAATAAAGCTAAACCCTTAATTAAAATATAACAATATGTCTTCTTTACATATTTTAAAAGAGACTTCTTGCTACGGCCAAGTGAAGAAGTCAATAAATCCTCTCCCTGAAAGGCACCCCCAAAATGTGGCAAAATGGGCAAAACTAGCCATCTCACCACTGGAGAAATGACCAAAAGCACACAACAACTGGAGAAATGTTTATGTTTGAAACACTGCAGAATTCAGGGAATAGCAGTTGTGTCTTGCCTGGAGCTGCTCCTGTTCTTCTCCAACCTCCCAGTACCCAGCTCAATGGGCATGGAGGTTCTGCTAGGGTGAGGCAGGCCATGGGGACTGGCAGTAAAGCTACTCAGTTGAAGGGAGATCGCTTAGTTTGGAGTGGGGAGCCATGCTCATGCCCAGTGACACTGACAGTGAAGTGACAAATTCAGAGGGAGGTGAGCAGAAAGGGCCAACTACTCTGGGAGGCTGAGTTGTGGTCACCACTGGGACAAGCATATGCCCAGCTGGTGTTGTCTCCATGCACAGAGGAGACCCAAGAGAGCCCAAGCCAGCCAATTAGCCTGAGCTCTAAGCATACGCAGAGAGAGCAGGAAAGGACTTAGCAGAAAGTAAAAGCTGGGGAGGACTTGAAAATGGCCTGAACGCTGAAGGTGCTATCCAACCCATGTACATTTCTACCTGGCAGAGGATGGAAGCCTTGATCCAGGTATTTGAGTGCAATCCTCTGTGTAATCACTAGCTAGGCTCTGCCTAATCAGTAGGCTCTAGACATGGGTAACTCCTAGGAAGCTAGGCTTAAAAATATAGGCAAGAATTAATGGACAATAAAACAAAAAACTGAGAGAAAACAGAAGCAGCCACACATCCTAGGGTGTATAGATTTCACAGATTTAGCACAGCTATATAAAGATATAGCTCTTTACTAAACAAAGAGCAAGAACAGCAATGTTTCAGGAAAAAAATCAGAATCCAGAGTTACTTTATTTTCAGCAAAATACTTTTCATCAAAAAAAAAAAAAAAAAAAAAACAAGATAGGCAAAGATTCAAGAAAGTGTGACCATTCCCAGGAAAAAATGACAGTCAAAACAAACTATCTCTGAGTGAAAGAAAAAGACTGAAGAAAAGTTGAAGTGCTCAGAGACATCAAGCATATCAATCAACCATGTAATGGGAATCCCAGAAGGAGGAAAATGTCAGAAAAATGTTTGAAGAATTAATGGTTCAAATTTCTCAAATTGGCTGAGAAATATTAATCCACACATTTTATAAGGAGAATAAACACAGATTAGGATATATACAAAGAGATCCACATGCAGACACATCCGTGTCAACCTGCTGAAAGCCAAGGAATGCATTCAAATGAAAACACAACATATCAAAATTCATGTGATATCACTAAAGCAATTCCTAGAGGAAAATTTATGGCTTTAAATGGCTATATAAGAAAAGAAAAAAAAAGTATCAAATCAATCATATAAGTATTCACCTTAAGAAAGCAGAATTAAAAAAATAAAAATTGGTTTGGCACAAAATCAGTTTATAGTAAACTGATTTTAGCAAACGTGTCAAATCAGTACAATGGGGAAAGGTTGTCTTTTCAAGAACTTGTGCTGTTCAACTGAGTATCCAAAAGCAAGAGAATGAATTAATCCCTTACCTCCTCCATATTTGAAAATCAATTCAAAATGTATTGTAATCTTAATTGAAACATGTAAAACTAAAAAACCTTTTAGAAGAAAATGTAGCAGAAAATCTTCATGTCATAGAGTTAAAGAGTTCTTAGATATGAACACAAATATATTATCCATAAGAGAACAAATTCATAAACTACACTTAATCAAAATTTAAAACTTGTGCTTCAAAAGACTCTAGGAAGAAATGAAAAGACAAATAATAGACTGGGAAAAATATTTGTAAATCATATATGAAAACACTTTTATCTGGAATGTGTAAAGAATTCTTACAACTCAATAATAAAAAGAAAACACAATTAAAAATATGGCAAAAGACTTGAGATAGATTTTTCTCTAAATAAGACTTATGAATTACATATAATAGAAACATGAAAAATATCTCAGTATCACTACAAACATACAAATTAAAACCACAATGAGATACCACTTTAAATCTGCTAGCCGGGATATGATCAAAAAGACCCCATACTAAGCATTGGTGAATATATGGAGAAACTGAAATGCATACACAGTAATCTCCCTTATCCCTGGATACCTGAAACCACAGATAGTACTGTATCCTATCAGTATTATGTTTTTTCTTATACATACATACCTATGAAAAAGTTTGCCATAAGACGAACATGATAAAGTTCAGCATATGTTTTTTTTTCTTTTCTTATTAAGTTGAGAACTGTCACCTTTTCACTTAAAGGAAGCACTTTATGGTTTCTCTTTGGCATATATGAATTGCCAGAATTACTACTTTGCCATTGTTAAGTGAAATAAGGATTACTTGAACACAAGCACTGTGATACTGGGATGGTCAATCTGATAACCTGGATGGCTCCTAAGTGACTACCAGGTGGGCAGTGCATACAGTGTGGATCTGCTGGACAGAGGGATGATTCACGTTCTGGACAGGACGAAGCAGGAGAGTGTGGGATTTCATCATGCTACTCAGAACGGCACACAATTAAAAACTTATGGACTGTTTATTTCTGGAATTTTCCATTTAATATTTTCAGACCTCAATTGACCTCAGGTAAGTGAAACTGTGGATAAGAAAGGACTACTGTACATTATTGGAGGGAACGTAAAATAAAACAGCCACGATCAAGAACAGTTTGACAATTTTAAAAAAAGTTAAACAGAAACTTGCCACATGACACAGCAAATCCTCTCTTAGAAATCTGTTCAAGAATTACAAAAATAAACATCCACACAGAGGCATGTACATGAATGTTCATAGCTGGATATACTTATAATAACCAAAAGGTGGAAACAATCTAAATGTCCATCAACTTGTGGATACAGACAATATGTTGTATATCCATATAATGGAATAATACCCAGCCACAAAAAGGAGCAAAACACTGATATATGCTACAACATGGTTGGTCCTCAAACCTTATGCTAAGCAAGAGGCTGGATGCAAAAAGCCATGTATCATATCACTACATTTACATTAAATGCCCAGGAAAGGTAAATTTGTCAAGATACAAAGAAGATCAGTGGTTACTTAGGATTAGAGGTAGAAGTGGGGATTAACTGCAAATGAGCATGAAAGAAGTTTTTCAAGTAATGAAACTTCCAAAATTACACTGTAATATTGATTAAAAATTTATAAATTTACTAAAAATCATGCAATTATACATTTACAATGGATGAGTTTTATTATATGCAAATTACACCTCAATCAAGCTTTTTTAAAAAGTCAATATAATTCAGTATCCCTGGCAATGACTTTTCAATAATTTTCAAAATTTTGATTAAAAGGAAAAAGCTGTGTTTCGAATCTATTCACGACACATAGGGTGATCATAGAAATGATCATCTAAACAAGAACACTGCTGAGAGATACAAGGGCTTCTAATAATAACTATATGGGGCAACCAGAAGAAGGCAAGGCTGCTGCAGGCAAACCAGGATGCATGGCTACTCTGGGGAGGTGGCAACTTAGAATTGTAATGAATGCCTTATCTAGACTTGCACAGGACAGGCTATATTATGCAATTGAGCAATTCCTCATTTTAAGTTAATCTTTCCATGGTTTAGGAAGTGAAAAATTACCCTTTCTTCAGCTTCATAACTGGTTCACTTAAGCTCTCTGACCACACATAATTTCAACCCAGTCATCTGAGAGAGGATCATGCTTCCTAATTCTTTCCATTTAATACAAAGGGATGCAGGATGCGGTCTGATCAACAAGCAAGCCTGCAAACAAACTATTTTTATATCCTTTACAAGTATATCTAATAAACCGTGCTATCCCTGTGGTACTAAAATTCAGGCTGCTCCTTTACAAGGAAAAATGCTAACATTTTTGTTTATGGTGCCTCCTATTTCTTTCCCTTTTCTTTTCATCCCTTTCTTCAACAGTTGTAAGTCTAATATAAGCCAGGTACTGTATTAGGTGGTGGAGGAAAAAAAGACAAAAAAAGGCACGTCAGGCCTTTTTCGGACGCCCTCATGTGTACCAGGGAAGTCAGTGCTGTAGCAGGGCAACAGCAGCTTAGAACCTCAAGCTACTGAAAGGCTTCAATTTTTAGCTATTGGCATAAGGGAAAAGCTTTGCTCTAGAGTAGTCTTTTTTTTCTAGGCATATTAATTCCAGTAACAGTTTTCATTTTTAATTCTTTCCTAAATTGAACATTCAGACAATGCAAATATAATAAGGTAGTCCACTCTGACCACTCCTTCTCTGCCCATTAGTAACCTGTCTTTTGTCAAACAAAGCAGCTACACAGTGGAACACCATGAAAATGTTTTGTTTTTGTTTACCTTCCTGACTCAAGGAAATGGTAATGCTCCAAGGTACCACTAGGTGGTGGTAAATGATAAAGGTGAAATGCAGATGGATCCCAGAACTAGAAAGTTTGATGAGGCATGCTTGAGACCGTGTTCCTCGTATCACTACTATTCTATGTTCTGAACTCTAGTTAAGAAAATACATTAGTACTGAGAACCTGTATTAGTCTTAGAAAAAGAAGTAGAGATGCATGAACTCTAATATGAATTTCCTTTTTTCAAAGAGTAAAGTCCTATGACACAAAACATCTCAATGAAATAATCCTTATGAGGTAATAAACAATTTAATACTAAATTCTAGTTTTTACTGTTTTAGAAACAGATTTTCTACAAATCCATATCTGTATTTCATCTAGCTCTATGTTTCTGTGTTGTATGCTGCTTTCAGATCCAACACCAATAGTCCAGAATCTCAAGTTACTTGGAGTTCCTCCAGTACACTGATATTTCACATGGCTGTAATCTTCAATCATTCATGGCTCTTTCTGTCTGGAATCCCTTTTACCACTCTGTGTGTGTGTGTGTGTGTGTGTGTGTGTGTGTGTGTGTGTGTGAAAATATTAACTAGGCCTAATGTAGGGAATACAATGATGTAGTCTCTAACTCAAGTTTACAACCCGCAGTAGAAACAGACCAGGTCAGCGCTGAAGGCAGTGCAGACAACACAGGATGACAGGGCTGTGGAAGAGGTTCCAAAGAACATGCTAAGGATGTTCTAAGACTGCCGGGAGCGATGGGAAGGGTAGGCATGGCTGGGAAGAACATGGGAACATGTGAGCAAACACTAGGATTGCAGAGGAGATCATGCTCAGAATGGAAACAGCAAGGTGGACAATGGCTGGAGGGCCCTAGAGCACAACATTTTCAGAAGAGCTATGAACAGCACACCAGAAGGCAGTCACAAGGTGAGAAGCTAGACAACTGGTGACAGTGCCCACAGGGGCACTTCCAGCCAGGCTAAGATCTACTGATTTCTTTATCCTTTATGCTACTGAAGGCTTTTGAGCAGGGGACTGGCATGACCAAGTCTATATTTTCATAAACACCAAGAGGCTAATATACTTTAGCAGTTATAAGCATGAACTCTAGCACTGGACCCCAGCTTCAAATCCCAGCTACACCACTTATTATTAGTGTGATATTGGGTAAATTGCTTCACTTCTCTGTGCCACATTTGCTCATCTCTACATTAGGGATAATACGAGTTTTACATCACAGAGTGGAGGCACTTAGCAAACATCTAATATGCCAGGCATTAAGAATATGAAAATAGGTTAGACACAATCTTACAAGAGATTAGTGGTAAGACACAGACTTATAAAAAATGGATGTAATGGAGGAGTGATTAGACACTATGGTTTGTGATCTGTATCTCAGAAGATAAGCAGACAAGGGAGGAGTAAATGAGTGAATATTAATAAAGCTTAGAACAGCACCTGACACTTAAAAAAGTGTTAGCAATTTTAAAAATAGTGGGTTTTTTACCATAGAAAAATATATTTAACATAAAATTTACCACTTTAACCATTTTTAAGCATGCCATCCAGTGCATTCAGTTCATCTATGCTGTTGTGCAGCCATCATCACCATTCTGAAAATTTGACTTCTCTAGGTATCTCATCTAAGTGAAATCATACGACAGTCCTTTTGTGTCTGGCTTATTTCACTTAGCATAATGTGTTCACAGTTCATACATGTTATAGTATGTGTCAGAATTCTATTCTTTTCTTTTCTTTTCTTTTCTTTTCTTTTTTAATAGAGACAAGGTCTCCCTATGTTGCCCAGGCTGGTCTTGAGCTCCTGGGCTCAAGCGATCCTCCTACCTTGGCCTCCCAAAGTGCTGGGATTATAGGCATGAGCCACTGTGCCCAGCTTTCCATTCCTTTTTAATGGAGAATAATATTCCATTGGATGTACATACATGTCGTTTATCCACCCATCTGCTGACAGCTGTTTGATTTGTTTCCACCATTTAGCTACTGTGAATAATGCTGCTATGAGCATGGGTATACACATATCTGCTGTGGTCTCTGCTTTCATTTCCTTTGGGTACATACCCAGGGGTAGAAGTGTTGAATCATATGGTAACTCTATGTTTAATCTTTTACGGAAACACCATACTGTTTTCTACTGGGGCTATACCATTTTACATTCTCACCCGTAATGCACAAGGGGTCCAATTTCTCCATATTCTCACCAATACTTATTTTCTGTCTTTTTGTTTGGTTTTGCTTTTTGTAACAGTCATCCTAATCGGTATGAAGCGGTATCTTGTTGTGGTTCTGATTTGCATTTTCCTAATGATTAGTGATGTTAAGCATCTTTTATGTGCTTATTGGCCATTTGTTTATCTTCTTTGGAGAAATGTCTATCAAAACCCTTGCATATTTTTTAATCAGGTTGTTTATTTTTGTTGCTGAGTGTAATTGTTATTTTTAACAGAGCACTCTGGTTGCTGGTTAGTGAAAGACAAAACTGGAGGCAGGGAGACAAAGGCTCTTGCAGAAACTGCAGAAAGTAATGCTGAAATGAGGTTGGAGCTGATAAGAAGTGGCAGGATTTGAATGAGAAAATGGAGGTAGAAATAAGGGAGAGAGGATGGAAACAGCTTTGTGAATGATGAGATGTGAGCCATAAGAACGGGGTGAAGCCAACAGTGAGGCTCTGGTGTTTGAGCTGGGCAACTGGCTGGACAGTGCTGCCATTCTCAGATATGGGAGTCCTAGAGGGAGGTTGGTTTGGTGATGAACCGCAATAATGAGAGCACTGAGACGCTTCCCCTTGTCTGTGTGTCTTCTAAGATACATATCACAAATCATGGTGTCTAATCACTCCTCCATGACATTTATTTTTACAACTCTGTGTCTTACCACTGGTTTCATGTGAGACCGTGTCTCACCTATTTTCATATCCCTAATGCCTGGCATGTTAGATGTTAGCTAAGTATATTGAGAAACAGAGGGGGTAGGGAAAGGAAGGAAGAGCAGAGCCTTTGAATGAGAGATACAAGCACAAATAATAATCAAGTTTTTTACCTGCTTCGGATTCAGGAGGGGAATAAAACTGACCATCAGAAAGACCACCAGGTATAAGTGCTGCCCTCTCTGAAGCATCCTGAACTATCAGGAGTCCTGGAAGAGAAGAAATTCAGATGTTGGGAATGAGGTCACCTTTCTGGTAGCTTTTTGGCAAGATTAAGTAAAATAAAATGGTATTATTATTACAATGAAATACCTTTAGAAAAAGAGGTACTTTAAAAATGTTTCAACCAAACAATAAGTTTCATTAACAAATGACAAACAATACTGTAAAGACAGATAACTAAGCAGCTTAAATAAGTGCCTCATGAGACTGGGCATGGTGCCTCACACCTGTCATCATAGCACTCTGGGAGGCCAAGGATGGAGGATCGCTTGAGCCCAGGAGTTTGAGACCAGCCTGGGCAACATAGCAAGACCCTGTCTCTATAAAAAATTTAAAAATTAGCCGAGTGTGGTAGTGCATGCCTGTAGTCCCAGCTACTGGGGAGGTTAAGGTGGGAGGATTGCTTGAGCCCAGTAAGCCAAAGCTGCAGTGAGCCATGATTGTGCCACTGCACTTCACAAAGTGAGGCCCTGTCTCAGAATAAATAATTCAGTATTTACATCTTTCCCTTGTGAGTACCTGCCTTCCTACAAAAAAGCACAGTATCAAAACCAAAACAAAAAGTAAAATAAAAAACATGGTCAGTTCCTACAAACGGTCTGCTGGCTACATCTGGTTAGAGAGATGCCAGATGTAAAGTGCAATACAGGGATGGCCTTTTATAAATATATAAAGAACAATCAAGATGACAAATATTTATGCAACAAGAAGGTTTCAAAAGAAAAAAAGTGTCTTAAAAAAGCAAAGAAAAGGTAAGAAAGCAGGACGTGGACAGCTGAGGAACACTAACACACGCAAGGCCACCAACACTTAAGTTCTTTTGACTGAAAGCTGAGTTAACCTCAGGATAAAGTCGGAGGAAGCACCAGGCCAAATAGCAGATACCAGGTATGTGTGTCATACATGCTACTGACAATGAAAATAAGTGCTAATTTAAAATTTTCATTAATTGTGTGTTCTGCTTTATTAGTCACTTTGAATGTGGTTTAATCCTATAACCATTCAAGCCTCAGTCATAGTAATAGTTCATATGTTTTCAACAAAGTTCAGTTTTATATTTATATACAATTAAAAAAGACTTTCATTAGCTTTACTTATAACTTCTCCAAGATACACTTTCACAAAGGAATAGACGGCACAGGATAGAAGGTACAACTCAGTCTGATTAATGGGTTTTTAAAATCTACTCTTGAATTATCCTTTTCTTATATATTTCTTCTATGTAAATGAGATTTTCCAAAATAAAACCACTTGCAAGATTATTTTGCATCCTGCTGTTTTTTGAAGTTATAATCATGCTTAACTTTCTATAAGATACTTTTTTTTTCCTATGAGGCAGGGCAAATTGAGCCAGATGGCCAGCAGAGGCATAAAAACAGCATGTCTTGAAACTGCATGGGTGTCTGAAATGAGCTTTGATCGTTTCACCTTTAAGATGGGTGGGTGGGGCATGTGGGCTTCCATTAAGGACATTATGTGGAGAAGAATTTCAGCTTGGTAATTTACCATAAAGCTTAATCAATCATTTGGCCTTCCTAGTGAATATTCTGGGATATTGAAAGCCATGATGAGATTATAGCAGCTTTGGCAGGATTCATGAGTACACCTTGTTAGCTATGACTCAGCTACTCAGAGGATGGTGAAAGGCTGAGCGTCGCTCTGGCTTGCTGTCATCCTCCTGTGAATAATCTTCATCCTAAACCCACCAATGGTCCCCAGCCCTAGGCATTTAACTGTTCTAACAGAGGCCCATCTGAAGCCACCAACTGCTGTATGGATCACAATGGGAGACTTTGGAGAATCACTGGCTTGTATTTAGAATAGTTGCTTCCACTCACTTAAAATTGGTTTTATTTTCTCTGACCCTAAACAGCACAGTTCTGTTTACATGCACAAAATGCTTACTGTCCTGTCTATTGCTAACAGGGAGAAAAGAACAACCTGTCTGGGGAGAAAAAAGTGCTGGCTATTTTTTGTTATTGCTTGAATGCCCTTTTCACCAGTGTTCACATTTTCTTCCAGGGGAAGCCTGGCCTGATAGCTGGAGAGAGGAGCTGCTTTCTGTTACTTACCCTTTCATCCACCCAACCCTTCTCTCGATTTCTGCTGTAGCCACTAAAGAATGAAGACCCCACCACTGCCTAACTCTACCCATTTGCAGCCCCATTCACACCAAGAAACCACATCTCTTCCTCCCAGCTTGGTATCCAGTCCGCCTCAGGAGGCTGACTTTGAGAGGAACTTACTGTTTTCTTCTTCTGCTTCTTGAGGTAACACTTTGAAATCCAGGAACCACGTCTCAATCCAGGCAAGGATGAATGAAATGATGGGCAGCACATAGCCAAAAGCCCCTTGAGAGAAAAGCTGGAAAATACGACCAGGAAAGGGAAATGCAGTTACCACAAACTCACACTGAAAAACGAGGCTTCATCACTGAAGATGGTAACTGTATAGAAAAAGTGGTAGGCCATACCTTCGAAAGGATCACTTTTGCTAGTAAAAAGGCACTGGTCACTGCCGTTGTCAACTGCAAGACACATAATCCAGCACTGTTCACACTAGGCATCTCACACTGTGAAGGTACCTCCCTCTTCACAAGAGACCCGTCTGAGCCAGGAGCAGGCAAGGCCTGAAAAACCTGTGCCTAGCCTGGCTCCTTCCCATATCACTCAGTCTCTCTCCCCTAGACCCACACTGGGGCAAAATGGGCTTCTACATGTGACACAATCCCTAAATGACTGTGTGTGGTTTATTCTCCCACATTTCAGCAGGCTGGTGTGCTAGGTAACTAAGTTTGATCCACCAGAAGGTACAATTCCAAAGCCTCTACAAGCACATGAAGAGACTGGTAAAGTGCATAGGTAGGGCTCTCGCCAGGGGTTGTGAAGTCCAGAGATACCATAATACCTGAGCCTTGTCACTGTTCCTTCAACTAATATTTTTAGCATGGTGAAACCTGACCAAAATGAATACCAATAGTAGCTTGACTGACAGAAGGAGGACAGGGAACACCAAGTATCTTGCTCAATAAGTATTAACAAAGTTGCAGACACACACACACACACACTCACACACACACACACACACACACACAGAGCTGCTTGGGAGAGGAGGCAGTTTAGCATTTTATATTCTGACACTAATTAACTTTACAGGCTCACACTAAGCACTCTTTAAATACCAGCTGACTTCTCCTCCTTCCAGCTTCTAGACTCTTCTCTGCAAATGTTTTTTAAAACAAGAATCAGAAGCAATAAAATGATTTGCTAAATTAGACTTATTCTTCAGATAATCTGAAAGCAGATATTGAAGATACTGTCTTACAGCTCTCACTGAATATCTATATGTCAAACACTTTTCTAAAACAAACATTGAGAGGGATAGTCTGACAAATACTAGCATACATATGGGGACTCAGGAATACAACATCCCAAAGGGATCTGTTGTAGAAAATGCAGAAAAATGGGAGGGTACAATCATCAAAAGCTATGATGATATCAGCAAAAGAGTATTCAGGAAAGGGAGTCAAGTCTGGCCAAGACTGTCAGCCTATATCCATGAAATGAGAGCTTCCGGATTAACAGATGGTCTGACCGCTGCCCCGTGATTCTGAGAATGCTCAGAAGACATGGCCCAGACAGACATCGCCCCCTAGTGGACTCAGGAGGGCAGCACAAGTCCTATTCCCAGCTGGAGAAACCCAGGCCTGGGCCACCCAGACCCGAGCTCTCACCCTCTAATTGCAGAACTGCAGGTTATTTCTGAGCAGCTCTCTCTAGTCTGAGGAGCTCCACATTTTCTTCCCATAGAACTGACTTATTAAAGCTTTACAAAAGGCAAATATTCAGACATCTGTCAGGCAGAACTGCTAGTAATTCTATCAATCTCTAAATACTTATTAAGAATACCAAAGCTCTCTGTGCTAGATGCCAGGAAACAGAGGAGTAAAAAAGTCCTTGTCCTTGAGAAGTCCAAGGCAACAACAGAGAGACTGAGAGCTTTTCCCTCCAAGACAGGGGGTTGTGGGGAAGAAAGGAGGGGGTAAGGCAATTACCTAAATAAGTACAGACCATGTCATGAAAACAATCACTAAGCAGTTTCAACCAAATAAGACATTTTCCAAATATCTCTGTGACAGAGGTCTCCTCTCATCTCTTATTTGCAAAATGAGGTAGAGGGTGGCTTGGTGCTTGGCCAATAATCACTGTTGGGCTTCTAGATTCCTCATTTGGCTCAGCACCAAGAGACAAATCTAGTTACTCATTAACATTGGAAAGAAGCCCTGGAGTATTAAACCTACTTAAGTATGGAGGAAACGGGACTCAGGAAAGCTGGTGGGATTCCACCTGCATTAGAACTGTATCTTCTCCCAGCCCAGGCCTGTTGAGAGCAGGACTTGGCCACCAGCACTGGAGGAGATGACCCACTCATGCAGGGCATACTCACCGCTATTGCCCACCAATGGCGCAGTCTGCACACAGCATATGCAAGTATTAACACTTTAAATCGAAAAACTGCCAGAAGCTGAAAGTAAGAAAATAAAGGGATGTTTTAAAAAATATATACAAAAATGACACAGCTTTATGAAAAACTCACCAGACTGTCTTCATTACTGTGATTTAGCTGGAGACTACCAGGGACTGGCACTGGTCTGTAGACCAGCATTTGGGAATCCCTGCTCTACAA
This sequence comes from Homo sapiens, assembly GCF_000001405.40. NCBI lineage: Eukaryota > Metazoa > Chordata > Mammalia > Primates > Hominidae > Homo > Homo sapiens. The sequence goes on along the minus strand of NC_000007.14, from coordinate 38,214,865 downwards.
CTTAATGTAATAGCAAATTAGGTCTCACATTAATCTCCCATTATGAAAGAAAAAACAAGGCAAGAAAAAAAAGATGTCATTTTCATCATCTTATTATACAAATAGGTGAATTTTCCTTTCAGTGACTAGATATGTCAATGGGTTCTATTTGAGCCATTTGAAAGAATAAAGGCTCTCCAACAAGAAAATAGGAATGGCTCCTTCTGTTGCCCTCCCTTATCTGTCATTAATCTTTTATTTCCTTGAGATGATGACACAATTCCTTATTTAGAGAGAGAGAACATTGAATGGGTGGGGAATTAAAAGAAAAGGAAAATATGGTCAGTGTTCAAAAGAGGAAAAAAGGGCATGGAATTTGAAGTCTATTTAGAGGAAATCTGCCTTTTGGGTCAGTTTTATCACATCTGAAATGAAACATAAAAAATACTTACAAATATATCAAAATATGAAGAATAGTAGTCATACTGCATCACCTCCTTCTCTAATGTGTTCTCAATGCCTCCATTCACCTAGAAAGGAGAGTAAGAAGCAAAAACAAGGAGAGGTTTATGTGTGGAAATAAAACAAGGTAAGATTTCCTATCCAACTTTCCTGCCTATCTTCTCAGAACCCAGAAATGCTAAAGTGCGAAGAAAAGAACTCTCATAATTTTAATAGAAAAGGGCTAGATGGCACTCTCCAATTCCTCAACTCTGAATTCATTCACTCAACAGATATAAATGTATAGTGAAAAATAATGGCTTCTGTAGTTCATAGTTGGGAAAATTAAAATGTTAAGAAAATTATTTTTTCCCTTCTAAGATAAAGTCTTCCATCATACAAAAGTATATTTTTAAAGAAGGCAATTCACCTTTATCCAGGACTACCTTACTTTCTGATCACGCTCCACTGTCTTAGGTCTTGGAAGGCCAAGACTCCCCGACATCCGGGCAAACGTCAATGATGGCCATTAGCATGACACAGGATAGAAGTGTAAACATTCTCTGTGGTTTCTCATTTTTATTTCTCCTGGCATTTAAAGATTCTGCACTTTTATCAATTTAAATATATTTTTAACATGAATAGATAATGAAATAAGGACAGTACTAGACTCAAACCTGATACAACTTTCTGTCCTCTCCCAATGCTACTGTCAAAATAAATCTTGTATTATCGAGCTCAAAATTCGACAAATGAAACTATGGAGCATAATACTTTTAAAAAATCAAGTAAGGGGACATGTGTCGGCAGCTAATGCAGCACCCAAGCAGGGTAACTGTCAGAGCCCCTGGATTAGCCTGATCAGAGGGAGCAAACAAATGCAGAGGGTTTAAAAGAGGACCAATGGAAGGACAGTTAACCAGAGACCTGGATAAGAGGGAAAACATTAAGGAACACCTTTGCCAGGTTCAAATTCGAATGAAAGTTGCCATAGGGAAGGGTATTCCTAGCTTAGGTATCATTTCACATATTTGTATTTGTTATGCAAAAATGAAAGCATACCATAAATACTATCCTGTGCCCGAAAATCCCTTAAGGAGGTCTACATTTCTTTGTAATTAGTATGGATCCTCTGTAGACCTGCTTGGCTACAGACCTCTACAAATGAATAGAATTGAAAACCTGGGAGGAAGGAGGAATAATGATTGAAAGACACCCAACCATTTAGTCTCATTACTGTCTCTCCGGACTAAGGAAACTTGTCAACATCCAGAATATTATAAGAATGATTATTCCAAGCGGCCTACAGCAAACAGGAGTTCTCTACCACATAGAGACCTCCCCTTGCTATTCCTGGGAGAACAGGAATCAAAGCAGCCCATAGAGTTTTGCAATAAATAGCCCATAGCTTTTCTCTGGTATCTGCATACTTTAAAATGCTCTGATTTGGAGTTGGCTTTAAACAGACATTATCTAAAATGTATATCTCTATCCCTAACTTATACTCTAAATCCTCATTTCAAAATTTTTGTCTCTACCTCAAGATGTCTTAAATAAACTATCTTTAGTTTCACACAAAATCCCTTCCCAGTCAGTTCTGGTACTACTCTTCTAGAGTTCATCACTGGAAACTTTAGAGTCATCTTTGCATACTGGGGATGATAAAATCGGCCTATCAACAAGTCTTCTCATACTCCTTCCTTTAGTGACTCTCAGGTTAGTTCTTTCCTTCCTATTCCCACCGCCTTCCATGACATTCCTGCAACAGCTTCCGAATTCATGTTCTTACTGCCAATCTGTCCCACCTGCTCACCACTGCCACAATGATCTTTATCCATTCACCAAATATTTGCTGAGCATCTACTACGCACCAGGCACTGTTCTAAATATAGGAAATACTTCAGTAAACAAAATAATATGTCTTCATGGAGATTATATTCTGGCAAGGTGAGAGAGATAGCAAATAAGAAAACAAATGCTACACAGACAACAGAAGCAGGACAGTGTGACAGAATAATGAAGACATTTAAACTGATACTAGCAAAATAAGAAGTTGAATTCTATAAAAAGATAAAGGAAATTAATCATTTCATATAGAAGAAACAACTAGTAGAAGGGTCCCAAGATAGAAAGGAGCTTATTCCTTTCTGAGAACAGAAGAAGGCAAGTGTGCTCATCTACCGTGAGCCAGGAACAGAGGGTGGGGAGGAAGTCTGAGAGGCTTCTGGGGCCTCTGCAAGCCAAAGTACGACATTTGGATTTTATTCTAAAAGCATGGCCTGCCAGTGAAGAGCTGTAACAGAAAGTGACATGATCTGACTTTTGTTTTTCACAGGTTACCCTGGCTACTGTGAGAAGAATGGATTGCAGGGTGAGAGGAAGCAGGCGACCAGCCAGGAGTGCAGTTTGGATGAGTGATAATGTGGCTTGGTTGAAGCTGGAAACAGTGGAAAAGAAAGGGAAACAGTGGAAAAGAAGGGAAACAGTGGAAAAGGAGAAACAGTGGAAAAGAAGAGAAGTGGTCACATTTTGAATATATTTTAGAGGCAGATTTGACAGGACTTACTTTTAGACTGGATATGAAGCATGAAAAATACAAAACAAGCAAATCAAAATGCGTTTTCATGTTTGGCCTAAGTCTCTGCATTTTCTTACTGATGAAAAAGGGGGAAAGCAGGTGTGTGTATGCATTGGGGGAAACATGTTAAGTCAGACATCCAACTGGACAGGTCAAGGAGGCTGTGATGTAGACTGTGAGTCACTGACTTCTGGAAAATCTCAAAATCATGTTGTCCAATCTGCTCCAGAATCTGTAACAGCTCACCATTGCAGTAAATACAAATCCTTCTATATACCTTTTAATAACTTGAATAATCTAGCACCAGCCTACCTATTCAATTTCATTTCCAATAGGCACCTTACTTTCTAACCAAGCTAGTATTTTCTTAGCCTCTGTCCCTGTTCCCTCCAAATACAAGCACTTGAGCACGTACTCCCCACACATAAGCACTCACTCCTGCCTCAGTACTTCCATGCGCCGTGATCTCCAAACCCTCTCCCCAAGCTCCCACACTGAAGGATCATCCTTCCCAGATCATCCTCCCATCTTAACTGCCACCTATCCTTCCAAATCCAATTCACAGTCCATCTCTTCCATTCACTCCCTCAAACAGTCCAAGCCACTGATCTACCTCATCTGAATTTCTATTATACTTGGTCATCACCATTTATAGAGCATAGTAGGAATGAGGTAATAGAATCAGAATTAGCAGGGTAATAAGTACCTGAAACTTAAATGTAACAATAGTGAGAAAACAGTAACCTGCATTTTTTTCTTCTTTCTGGGTTAAATTTATTTTAGTTATTAATAAATTACATGAACTATAATCATGCAGACCTTTGTATCTTCAAAGGGGCTGCTGTATACATCTTTCCATTTGATCTTCACATGGACCCATGAGGAAGGCAAGACCAGTATTAGTTTATTAAATTGATCAAAAGGCCCAGAGAACTTATTAAACAGCTTGCCCAAGGCCAAAGACCTGGTCACGACAGCTCTAAGTCAAATTAGGACTGTTATGACATTTTCTAGAACGCCAGTTAGAAAATAGTAAGAAAAAAGTCACTAAGCATTGATAAAGGCTTTTTTTGAACCATAGTCTCAATCAAGTATCAAAAGCTAAAAAGAAAACCAAATTCCTTTCAACTGTCACTACTTTGATCCCTGTTCACACTGTCTACAGAGTGTAGGAGAGAGTCTGCAGAGGGAAAAGAGTCCTCAGGGAACGCAAGCCATAATTAATTCCAGATCCAACTTGGGAAATCAGTCTACTCAAAGGTGGACCAAGAGGCCTTGGATAGAATCAAAACCATCCTTTTGATTGACCGAAAAGAGATCAGCAGCCCTAAGATCTTCTAGAAGGAAAATGAACTAAGGTGGTGTTAGGCTTCTCTGGCTCACCGAGCCCTGCATTTGAGGCTGGGATGGTGCCAGTCAGGTCCCTGTGGCAAGGAGGGAAGGTGGCTAAGGTGGAAGTCATACATGAAGGCAAAGTAGTTTGGTTATTGTTATAATTGCAAAGAACAGCTGGTTCTCCATATTCTAAAGCTCTAAGCACCCTTTATGACATTTTCTTTCTTCTTTTAAAGACTACATCACAAGGCAGTATAAGATTATGTGCCATATTTATTCAGCTAAACTCTAAATCCCATATAGTTTTTTTTGGTAGAGCTTGCAACACCTGAATTAGAAGCCTGTTCTCTGGCATTTGGTAAATGTAAAGACATGTTTAAAAAAATGGATTTGAATGATTAGAGAGTTACAGAGAGACAACAAAGCAAAATGAATGGTACTGCGTGTAGTGAAAACACCAGGTCAAGACTGACAATTCAAAACAAGTAGAACTAGAAATTGGGCATCGAAAAACAATCATACTAAAAAAAGTCCTGATGTTCTTGCTTGATCATATACCCTTTTCCAATCTTTTAATTTTACAGGTGGGGAAACTAGTAGTTGGTGGAAAAGTGAGGATAAAAACACATTTCTAAATTGCTAGGCCTGGTGATTTTTCATTTATAACACGTTGCATGCAGATGTAAACAGATAACTTGTCTGTGAACAAGAACAGGGGGCAGCCTACTTCATTTCCACTTCCCTGGACAAAACAGAAAGGAGAGAAATGAGAAGTGTGATCCCATGAACCCCACCACAGTTCTACCCCATGACTTTCCTCATTTAAAGGCATACAGTGATATAAGCAGCCAAAGCAATGAATGCCCGGACTTGCTGTTGACGTTAAAATAAATTTAAAGTGTGCCCCCTTAAAACTACTGATGTGTTTCCTGTTAAAAGATGCATTTCCGGCCAGGCGCGATGGCTCACACCTATAATCCCAGCACTTTGGGAGGGCAAGGCAGGCAGATCATGAAGTCAGGAGATAGAGAACAGTGTGGCCAACACGGTGAAACCCTGTCTCTACTAAAAATACAAAAAAATTAGCAAGGCGTGATGGTGTGCGCCCTGTAGTCCCAGCTACTCTGGAGGCTGAGGCAAGAGATTTGCTTGAACCCAGGAGGTGGCAGTTGCGTGAGCCAAGATCGTGTCACTGCACTCCAGCCTGAGTGACAGAGCAAGACTCTGTCTCAAAAAAGAAAAAAAAAAAGACGCATTTCCTTTTCATCTCTCATTACATAGCTACAGTTTTGAAATCATATTACTCCTTTAAAATATACATTAATTAAAATATTTTCTTTAATGTGCATATGTGGAACACATAGCAAAAAGAGACTCTAAATTACTATGTCATATCACTGGGCTGTCTGATTATAAACAAAACTTAACAATCCCACAGTGCAAAATTAACAGAAGAAAAATCTGTAAACAGAAACTTAACAGTGGACTCATGTTCCATGTCACTGTGATTATGGGACAAATATTATTTTCTAATGTAACTGTCTGCTTTCATAACGAGTTTAGTTCCTCTATTAGGATTCATGATGAAATTAAATGAGATTCAGTGACCCTAATTATTAAGAGAATAGAGTTTAGAATTGAAATTATGCTATGAATTAGAATACTAATCAAAAATTAGATTAAGATGCTGCTTCTTGCTGTTAAAAGGCAAAATTTTAAATAATTTTCAAACAGGAATCTCAGCATCTTTTCATATTTTTGTATTATAATAAATTCTCATAAAACATCTAGCACTGTGCCTAGCAAAGAGTAACCCCCTAAAAATAAACAACAGGGAATAATGATTACTACCTAGGTCTTAGCAAACATTTCCTGGAAATAAATGAACTGCTGAAAATAGGAAAGCAGACACTTTTTGCTTGTGAGGAAAACCTCCTGGAGGAGCTCACCTATTGGTTGGTAAGAAATGTAAACAATCAGACCAAAGGCTTTGGGAAGAAAACACATATATTGGGTTAAATAAAAAATATTATTAAAATGAGTTTCATCTGTTTGATTTTTATTAATGTGGCAACTAGAGAATTTTAAATTACATATTTAATAGTTTGCATTATATTTCTATTGGACAGTACTGGTCTAAACAATTAGTTGGTAATACAGAATAACTGCATAAACCTCCAAATGCCTCCAGGACAACTTTTCCGATGAAATATAAATAAGTAATCTCTTTGCAAGAAAGTAAAGAACAAACATGTGCAAAATCTTAAACCTAGGAACTAGAAAAGTACATGAAACATCTAAAACATATTCCAAAAGCATTCTACATTTTCTGGAGGAAGGATGGGTAAACTTTTTCTGAAAAAGACTAGAGAACAAATATTTTTGCCTTTGTGGGTCAGAGGGTCTCTGTCACAACTATTCAACTGCAACTACTCAGTGCAAAAGCCAGCCATAAACAATATGTAAACAGACAGGCCTGGCCACGTTCCAATAAAACTTTATTAAAACAGGCCTACTGAATTTGTCTTACAGCCTATAGTTTGTCAACTCCTGTTACAGAGCAAAATACCAGGAATTCAAATTTCAAAACCCCAGACAACATGAGTTTTAAACTGATCACATTTGCCTTAAACAATAATATTAAAGAACAAGAAAGGTCCAAATCAGGAGGAGAAAAGCAATGGCTTCATTTGGAAAAAGATGGAAATTACTAAATGAAACAAATGATAAGAGAAACGAACAAAAAAACCCTGTTGTCTCTGGAAACACTTCTTAAAAAGTTATGAAAGAACCACCAACTTACATTTAACTCTATTATCCACAGTAATGTTACGAATAAGAGGTCAAAGGTGACAAACAAACAGAAAGTCCTCCTGACATCAGATATGCCTTTCTTTTCCCTTCCTTCATAGGACTCAATCCTGGCCATGAGTTGTGTGGGGTTGATGGAATGGATATTGCGCAGAGAAGCATGGGAGCTCTGGCTCCCGGTGAGAGCGTTCTCCATGTCTTCTGGCAGGTGGTTCATCCTGGAGGAGGGTTACAGGAGCCTTTTTCCAACCTCACCATCCCTAAAGAGAAGACACCTTTGGGAAATAAAAAAGAGACACCATGTTAAATCCAAGCTGATCAAATATAACTGTGCAACCCTCTCCACTGTGCAACTATTTCTCTAACTGAACAACAGAGTACCTTGACTGATTTATGTTTTCATGAAGACATAAAGAGAAAGAGAAATGAGAAGCAACACATAATGTTTTAGAGCAATACTACAAAATAGCTGTTTTAGCAAAGAATGGCAAGAGAGAAGAAGCAAACTGACTGTAGGAAAGGGTGAAGGCAGGATGTTAGCTACAACTGAAAGGTGTTCCTGATGACCTGGACCAAACCTCTTGGTGAACGACTCAGTTACCTTGCTGTGACAGGGAGAAAACCTCCACAGTCCTGTAAGTATAACTGTGCATGGGCTAGAAAATCATCTACTGAATGCTTTCCTGGAGCATGTAAGCAGAATGTGTAAATTAGCTATAAAAAAGCTTATTTCCAAGCCTGGGCAATATAGCAAGGTCCTGTCTGTACAAAAAAGAAAAAAGAAAAATCAGCTGCGCATGGCAGCACATGCCTATAGTCCTAACTACTCAGGAGCTGCATAGGAGGATCGCTTGAGCCCAGGAGTTGAGGTTATAGTGAGCTATGATCATGCCACTGGACTCCAGCCTGGGTAACAGAGCAAGACACTGCCTCAAACGAAAAACAAAAATCACACAAATATCCTTACTTCCTGAGGAGGAATTTCTTTCCATCAAAAGTACCTTATAAACTAAAGTTAGTTAGCATTTCCCCATCCTCTTAATGAACAAGCATGTTTCTAGGCCTCTTCTTGGAAAAGAAGTGCACACACTAAACAAAAAGTTTAGCACTATGCAAACCACCTGACCAATAATTACAGAAGATATAGTCCTATACAGAGATGCAGGCCCCTCAAGACCAGAGGGCACTTTTATAATAAAAATTAAAAATGAGTAATCCAAATAATCTGATCTGCTTATGGATGGGACAAAGACATTAAACGAAGTGTGGTGGATGGTATGATTGTCAAGCAGCCTAGTTTCCTTTCCTGTAGGACCTCTCCCTGTGGGATTATATACTCCTGGCTCTACTGAACTCCTATCTGTTCTTTAGCCATGAACGTGGCATGTAACGTGGGCAGAAGTTCATATGCCACTTGTGTCCAGAGCTGGTACATGAATCGCCAGTATGTGGCTCACCACACTCTCCTTTCTTTCTGCCACAATGACTGGCAATGTCTAGGTAAAGAAGAGGATTTTCAAAGCCATAAAATAGAATTTAGAAACAGACAGCTGAGATTTCCCTAAAGCAATATGATCCCATTTGGTCCTATTATTCACTGTCCAGAACTTCGTCTCTTTACACTTGACCCTGATTTCTCTTCCTTTCCACACTCAGGAACAAAAGTCTTTCTCATACTTTTTAACAATGTGGTGGTAAAATGGCACAGCATTTATGAAGGCAATTTGATTATGTGAAATAAGATACTTTAAAACCTCCATACTTCCTGATCTTGTAACCCTAAATCTAAATGAAATTAATCAAACTACAGACCTTCAAAGCAAAAACTGATCTATGGCCTTAAAGGTCAGGTTAGTGATTATCTTCAAGAAAGAGGAAAGAAACAGTGATTAGAAGGCAGAGGGTAGAGGGCATATTTAGGGGACTTGGTAAAGTTCTATTTCTTTACCTGAGTAGTGGTAACATAGTTGTGTTCATTTAGTGATAATTTATTGATGTACACAGTAGTTTTAGTCATGTGTTGGCTCATGAAAAATTCAAAATGCTATATAGTATATACATGTATACACAACTGAATAGTGTATATTATATTTCAATAAAAATCCATATTAAAAGACTTTATCATAAGGTATCTATAATAGTATCAATTAGAAAACAACCTAAATAACTAATTAGAATAATTAGATAAATCATGGTATAGCCACAGTATAGTCACTAAAATAAATGTTTATGAAGCATTTATAATGACTTAGAAAAAATGCCTGGGTTATGATAACTAAATTAAAAATCAAATACTAAATGGAATACACACAGACACAGTATGTTCAGAACTCTGTAAAATAAACCTAAACCGAATTCTTATAAGAAGGTACCTATGAAATATATCAGATATTGAACCAGCCTTGCATCCCAGGGATGAAGCCCAATTGATCATGGTGGATAAGCTTTTTGATGTGTTGCTGGATTCGGTTTGCCAGTATTTTATTGAGGATTTTTGCATTGATGTTCACCAGGGATATTGGTCTAAAATTCTCTTTTTTTGTTGTGTCTCTGCCAGGCTTTGGTATCAGGATGATGCTGGCCTCATAAAATTAGTTAGGGAGGATTCCCTCTTTTTCTATTGATTGGAATAGTTTCAGAAGGAATGGTACCAGCTCCTCCTTGTACCTCTGGTACAATTCGGCTGTGAATCCGTCTAGTCCTGGACTTTTTTTGGTTGGTAAGCTATTAATTATTGCCTCAATTTCAGAGTCTGTTATTGGTCTATTCAGAGATTCAACTTCTTCCTGGTTTAGTCTTGGGAGGGTGTATGTGTCGAGGAATTTATCCATTTCTTCTAGATTTTCTAGTTTATTTGCGTAGAGGTGTTTATAGTATTCTCTGATGGTAGTTTGTATTTCTGTGGGATCGGTGGTGATATCCCCTTTATCATTTTTTATTGCATCTATTTGATTCTTCTCTCTTTTCTTCTTTATTAGTCTTGCTAGCGGTCTATCAATTTTGTTGATCTTTTCAAAAAACCAGCTCCTGGATTCATTGATTTTTTGAAGGGTTTTTTGTGTCTCTACCTCCTCCAGTTCTGCTCTGATCTTAGTTATTTCTTGCCTTCTGCTAGCTTTTGAATGTGTTTGCTCTTGCTTCTCTAGTTCTTTTAATTGTGATGTTAGGGTGTCAATTTTAGATCTTTCCTGCTTTCTCTTGTGGGCATTTAGTACTATAAATTTCCCTCTACACACTGCTTTAAATGTGTCCCAGAGATTCTGGTATGTTGTGTCTTTGTTTTTGTTGGTTTCAAAGAGCATCTTTATTTCTGCCTTCATTTTGTTATGTACCCAGTAGTCATTCAGGAGCAGGTTGTTCAGTTTCCATGTAGTTGAGCGGTTTTGAGTGAGTTTCTTCATCCTGAGTTCTAGTTTGATTGCACAGTGGTCTGAGAGACAGTTTGTTATAATTTCTCTTCTTTTACATTTGCTGAGGAGTGCTTTACTTCCAACTATGTGGTCAATTTTGGAATAAGTGCAGTGTGGTGCTGAGAAGAATGTATATTCTGTTGATTTGGGGTGGAGAGTTCTGTAGACGTCTATTAGGTTTGCTTGGTGCAGAGCTGAGTTCAATTCCTGGATATCCTTGTTAACTTTCTGTCTCGTTGATCTGTCTAATGTTGACAGTGGGGTGTTAAAATCTCCCATTATTATTGTGTGGGAGTCTAAGTCTCTTTGTAGGTCTCTAAGGACTTGCTTTATGTTTATGAATCTGGGTGCTCCTGTATTGGGTGCATATATATTTAGGATAGTTAGCTCTTCTTGTTGAATTGATCCCTTTACCATTATGTAATGGCCTTCTTTGTCTCTTTTGATCTTTCTTGGTTTAAAGTCTGTTTTATGAGAGCCTAAGATTGCAACCCCTGCCTTTTTTTGTTTTCCATTTGCTTGGTTGATCTTCCTCCATCCCTTTATTTTGAGCCTATGTGTGTCTCTGCACGTGAGACGGGTTTCCTGAATACAGCACACTGATGGGTCTTAACTCTTTATCCAATTTGCCAGTCTGTGTCTTTTAATTGGAGCATTTAGCCCATTTACATTTAAGGTTAATATTGTTATGTGTGAATTTGATCCTGTCATTATGATGTTAGCTGGTTATTTTGCTCGTTAGTTGATGCAGTTTCTTTCTAGCCTCGATGGTCTTTACAATTTGGCATGTTTTTGCAGTGGCTGGTATCGGTTGTTCCTTTCCATGTTTAGTGCTTCCTTCAGGAGCTCTTGTAGGGCAGGCCTGGTGGTGACAAAATCTCTCAGCATTTGCTTATCTGTAAAGTATTTTATTTCTCCTTCACTTATGAAGCTTAGTTTGGCTAGATATGAAATTCTGGGTTGAAAATTCTTTAAGAATGTTGAATATTGGCCCCCACTCTCTTCTGGCTTGTAGAGTTTCTGCCGAGAGATCAGCTGTTAGTCTGATGGGCTTCCCTTTGTGGGTAACCCGACCTTTCTCTCTGGCTGCCCTTAACACTTTTTCCTTCATTTCAACTTCGGTGAATCTGACAATTATGTGTCTTGGAATTGCTCTTCTCGAGGAGTATCTTTGTGGCATTCTCTGTATTTCCTGAATTTGAATGTTGGCCTGACTTGCTAGATTGGGGAAGTTCTCCTGGATAATATCCTGCAGAGTGTTTTCCAACTTGCACATGTATGTTTATTGCAGCACTATTCACAATAGCAAAGATTTGGAATCAACCCCAATGTTCAACAATGATAGACTGGATTAAGAAAATGTGGCACATATACACCATGGAATACTATGCAGCCATAAAAAATGATGAGTTCATGTCCTTTGTAGGGACATGGATGAAGCTGGAAACCATCATTCTCAGCAAACTATCACAAGGACAAAAAACCAAACACCGCATGTTCTCACTCATAGGTGGGAATTGAACAATGAGAACACTTGGACACAGGAAGGGGAACATCACACACCAGGGCCTGTTGTGGGGTGGGGGGAGGGGGGAGGGATAGCATTAGGAGATATACCTAATGTAAATGATGAGTTAATGGGTGCAGCACACCAACATGGCACATGTATACATATGTAACTAACCTGCACGTTGTGCATATGTATCCTAAAACTTAAAGTATAATAAAAATAAAATATAAAAAAATAAAAATGTTAAAAAAAAAGAAATATATCAGATATTACCAATGATTCTCTCGGACTAATGAGATTATATTTTCCCCCTCCTTTGGCCTTTTTCACACTTTTTGCACTTGTTATATGTTTACAATGAGAGGCACTAAATTCAAACATCACTTTGCTGGGGTTCTGTACAGATGTCCTCAGAACCCTAAGCAGCCTTTCCCTTTCTTTTCTGCCAATATAGGCAACATTAGGTAATGTGTCTCTGTCATTCAATTTGTTTCCTCAGAGTCAGCAAATCAGCAAAGCATTTTGAAAAACTCAGTAAGAAGCCACTTAAGCATTTAGTAAAAGGAAAGAAAATAATAAGCTCCCAAATTAAAAGCATTCTTACATAATTTCTGTCTTAATGAGATCAATGCCACCCTAGTGGAAGGTACAGCAACAACATATTCCCCAGTAGCAGCTCTTAACACAAAGCTTGCAAAGCACTACCGCCTGTCAGAATTCTAGGAGTTAATTCTGAAACAGTAAGTAAATATGAATGTAATTAATACATCTTTTGTGATGAAACACATATTTTAAGTTTAAGAAAATAGCTGAGGCCGGGTGCAGTGGCACATACCTGTAATCCCAGCACTTTAGGAGGCCGAGGCGGGCAGATCACTTGAGGCCAGCAGTTCAAGACCAGACTGGCCAACATAGGGAAACCCTGTCTCTACCAAAAAATACAAACATTAGACAGGAGTGGTAGTGCACACCTGTAGTCCCAGCTACTTGGGATGCTGAGGCAGGAGAATCACTTGAACCTGGAGGCAGACGCTCCAGTGAGCTGAGATGGTGCCACTGCACTCCAGCCTGGGCAACAGAGTAAGACCCTGTCTCAAAACAAAACAAACAAAAAAAAAGAAATCTGGATGAATGAATACAGACATATTTTTGCAACAATATATCCTACATTATGAAAAAGCAACTCAAATAATTCTAAGCCAGTCTAATAATTAGCAGCTATATTTTAAAATTAATTTAAATTATTAAATTCACTAATATGTACAGAAAATTGAACGAATTCAAAATTCAAACCAAGGACTGATTTTAGGAGGAAGATCATTTTCAAGGAAATTAAATCATTTTCTTAGTTTCACTCCTTTTTCCTTCCACAAACCCACTTCTTGTGAATAAGAAAGATTAAGAAACGTATCAATCTCAGAAATGTGAAATATATTTCAAAATAAAAAAAGACATTAAATACACAATGGAAATACATGGCTTGGGAAATGAGAATCATTACATTATTTTTCATATGTATATGTGTAACTGCTAATTAGCAAGAATTTATAGATACTTTCACCTCAATAAAAAAAGTTACACAAAGCAGAGACATCTCTGAGCAGATTGGCTCTAATCAAACTGATCTTTCTCTGGGAAAAAGGGAAGTTGTAAAAAGGAGAGTGAGCTTGCTTTTCTTTTTCTTTATAGTTTACCTACTTAATCCAGTGAATTAATTGGTCTAGATGTAACCAATGACAAGGTTAATCTCTGTTAGGTTATGAAAACATATGGTTCAGACTTCTAGAATTAATTTTTTGAGTGAAACTTTTACTTAAAAACAGAAAAATTAGAGAAGAAGAAAAATTAGTTTGAGGGACTCATGTTAGAAACATACTATTCAAACTCAGAAACATTTGGCCATCTTTGTCTTCTATCTCCCTTACTGCTGGTGAAACTAACAGTCACATATGGCCTCTTGCAGCACACAACAGCAGGTCAACAAAGTTGACAGGCTCTACTCCCCATCCCCCCAAAAAAACAATTACTGCTGATTGATAATCTATTTGGGGGATCGGTAAGGGCCTGTGGACTAGTGGGAAGGGAGAGCTCAAGAATCTTTCTTACTCCTACAAAGCAGACTGTAAACTGGGAAATTTGGGAAGCACTGGTGAAAAATACTAAGGAAATATCAGCTAATTTATGCTCTGTAGGAAACTCTTGATTTCTGCATTATTAGCCCTTAAAATAAGACTGGCTTCTTTTTCTGTGACTCATTTCATTGTTGAGTTAAAACATTCTAAATACAAATGTATTTGAGTTAATATACTAGATACACTTCTAAATGTTTTTAAGAACTCAGGCTTAACACATAGAACGTTTAGCCTGAGTTCCTTAAAAAATATATAGGTTAAATGAGAATTAAAAATAGTGGAACAGGGAAGAACGAGAAGCACTGCACTAGCTTCTTCACCAGCCTTGAAGCGACACAGCAGGTTAAGGGCAGACAGGTACATTCAGCCAGGTGATACATTTCCAGATGGGTGAAATGGAGAAACCATGCCTCAGAGCAGTCTGGGGTGGGGGCTTTGAGGGGAACAGTGGGGAGGACTACATCTACCCAGCTGCTTCTTGTTGCCTATTTCCACCTGTCAAATTCCTCCTGACAGTGAGTTAACTCTACTACATTTCTAGTTGCTTCATCTGCCTAAGGTAGCCTCTCTTAAAGCCAGATTACACATTTCTGGGATGGCATTTCATTCGAGTCTTGAGGGAAGATACAAAAACTGTGTGTGGGACTGGCTAGCCTAGGTGCTGGAACCCCACAGACTAGATTAGAGCTGCCTGCCCAGCAAAGCCCGTGGCTGCAGGTTCTTGAGGCAATGCCAAGAGAGTCTGAGAAAGTGCAGAAAAAGTGTCATGGAATTTTCATACACAATCAAGTTATAAATTTTTGGTGTGCATATGCACCAATATCACATGTGGCTCTTGGTTAATCCCCAATACCTGAACCATGTGATTCTGACACTCATTGAGAAAGAGCCCTTCCTTTTAATGAGTAAAGAGAAGGATCATTCCTTACAGCCACTTTCTACTGTCTGGTTATTGGATTTCATCCTAACCATATCCTTCAGAAAGCTGAAGTACAGGGTGAGTTCCTTCAGAGAGACTTTTCTGAATGCTCCCCATATTCCAACCTCCAGGCAGTCAGATGCATTTCCCCCAAGCTCCCCTAAGTCTGTGGATGTGCCACTTAATGATACTGCTTACCACACTAGGCCTTAATTATCCACTTCACTGCCTCTCCCACTAACTAGTATATTCCTTAAAGGCTCTGAATTTGACCACAGCACACGACAGACAGCAGGAACAGAACAAATATCAACTGCATAAATTCTATCTAGCATCTAGCACATATACTAGCAGAGAGTAGGCTCTCAGCAATCTCTGTTGAATTCAGGAGATTACAACTGTTTGTTTTTGTTTCTGAGGAAAAGCTTGGGTATTTTTCCAGATGTCATTTCAGAAGTATTAAATATTCAATCCGGGGTACTGAGATCCTCTCTGGGGTTGGCTTAAGGAAAGCCATACCTCTCTAAAGAGGGTGCTAAGTATTGATTGGCTGTATACACAGGAAGCTAAATCTGCAATTCAGAATTTATCCCAACTGTGTGGGAAGTATGGGAGTGAAGAATTAGAAAATAAAGAAAAACATTTGGGTGAGAAGATGAGAATCCCCTTTGGTTGTTTTCTGAAAAAGAGATTGATGTCTTGTTTTATACCAATGTGTAACTATCCTCCTCTATACTACATTATCAGTCAGCTATTTCTATTTATGCTACATTAACAAATCACTAAAAACTCAATGGCTTAAAGTAACCTATACATTTATTCTCAAGCTCACAGGTCTGTACGTTGCCTGAATTTCACCTGATCTAGGCTGCACCTCATGATGGGTACAGAGCCGGGTCAAAACATCAGCTCCATCTGCTTCCACACAGAAGTGACACTACCCAGATGGTGGACAGCAGCTGCTATGGAGCAGGAGCTACCACTACTTGCATTTTACAGGAGCCCCACAATCTCTCAGCCTTCCTAGGAGGAGAAGAGAGAGACTGTGCACCTCCTGTTGACAGCCAAGCCAAGTCTCTCAACCCAACCACCCAGCCTTCTCAGCACTACTTATGGCAGCAGCCAGGACACTGTATGTTTTCCTCCAAAAGAATGTTGGAATAATAGACATTAAAAATATTTAATTTAGAAAGGCCTTAGTCATCATCTTAGCTAAAGGTCTTTGGAGATGATTTGGCTTAGAGACATGTTTTCTTGGTCTTGTACAGTGTTTCTTAAGATACTGACTTAACTGCTAACATTTTAATTAATTATTTTTTACCCAGATTTCCAGCTTCTCTTGAAAAGTCAAAAGATATAGAATCACCAGGTCTGCATTCTCTTACCATGATAATAAAGCCAAGCTGCTGACCACTTTCAGTGGGGCACGCACTCTCCAGTTGGCCTCAATCTTCACCTAGCCTGGAGGCAATTGACTTTGCCAGCCTGATCTTTCTGACTCTTTTTACAGGCAAAAACGGTGGGGCCTACATGGATCCATCTAAGAGATATTTCAAGATAGTGTATAGTTAGGATTAAAACTTGGCTCTTTCCTCTCTATCGTCCTGCCTTACCCCAGATTCACAGAAGAAAGTAGGAGACACATCAAGAAGTGTTCACATGGTGTGCGAAATACAGTCATGGGATTTGAGAGTCCCAAAGGACAGACTGCCATGGCTGTGACCACTGTATCCTGGGACTGGGTGCCCCTGGAAGCAGGAAGCAGCCTGAGCTGGCTGTCTTGCAAGGCCCCCCACTGTTATGAGACCTGGTTAATGACACAAAAGTCCTGTTTAGAGCCCTCACCTTCCGAGGTGAAGCAGCTAGAAGTAGGAAATGGGAACAGTGAGGGAATAACCTGACATTTATAAACTTACCTTGCTAGTATGAGAAAGAGGCCTGAAAAAACACAGATGCTTTAAAAATAAGCATGCTTAGAGAAGAGAGATGTGGGAAGGAAGCTAATCCAGAGTACTAAAACACAGCAAGACAGCGTCACCGTCATATTCTAAAGGCACCCATGTGACATGAGGAACATTATGGCATGCTAACAAGACCTGGAAAACTGATATGTCAAATTCAACCAGTAATTCAAACTTAGATAAAATAAAAAGTTCTGCTTAATGTCTGCCTACATGAGGCTGTCTACATTTTGAAAACACCTCAAAGATGGTTTGTAGATAAGCTATTCTTAAAAAAAGAAACAAGTGGCTGGGCACAGTGGCTCACAAATATAATCCTGGCACTTTGGGAGGCTAAGTAGTTTGAGAGCTGCCTGGGCAACACAGTGAGTCCTCATCTCTTCAAAATATTTAAAAATTAGCTGGGTATGGCAGTGTAGACTTGTAGTCTTAGCTACTCGGGAGGCTGAGGCAGGAGGATCACCTGAGCCCAGAAGTTCCAGCCTGCAGTGAGCTAAGATTACGCCACTGCACTCTAGCTTGGGAGACAGAGCAAGGCCCTGAAAGAAAAAAAAAATGAAAGAAAGAAAGAGAGAGGGAAAGAGAGAGAGAGAAAAAGAAAGAAAGAAAGAAAGAAAGAAAGAAAGAAAGAAAGAAAGAAAGAAAGAAAGAAAAAAGGTAATGCTATCTCACAGGATCAGAAATTCACAGGGAAAGGACTGGCAGTGGGCAAGGTTAGGGAGCTGATGCATGTGTGTGACACTCCAACCTCCTGAGTCTGAGAAGCTTCACCACGAAGCTCTACAGGAAAAGTTTCATAAAGCCAAAAGCAAACAAATCTTTCTTTGGCGAACTGCCCATTACAATTACGTTGACATTTCAAAGCAGCCTTGTTTTCCTGTGTGCCCTATATGATCCATATTAAATACAATGTCCAGAAAAAAACAGGGGTTTAAAATTTAAATCCAGTAGTCCCAATTTTAGAAATATTTTTTCTAAAAATTTATTTCATAAATTACATCCAAATTAATAGCTGAGGCAATAGAAAGCTACTATATAGAGAAATCTGGGTAAAAACCAGTCATCTCAAAATATTATGTGAAAAATTCTATAAGGCATTTAAATAAACTCACTCGGCCAGTTATTTGGTATTACTTCAAATTAAAAAATATTTTTGGAGTCAAAGAATCAAATTTTGTCAGCAAATTCCTAACGTGCCAAGTGAAAACGAGTGAAATTTTAAAAAAAGAAACAGAGAAAAAGAAGTTTATGTATGAAACTCTACAAAGCATTCCATAGATATATATCATCAGGTCTACAATGGGGAATAATTTTGAAACAAAGGAATACTGAGAGTTACACTATTAAAAAAACACATAATGAATCACAGTAGATGTGCTATATCCTCAAAGAAACAAAATAGCTCACAAGCCAAGCAATGAGAACAAGCTGACAGGCACATGCTCAAGTCTAAAGAGGAGAAGAGGGAATGTGCCCATCAGAAAGAGGATGGGTCAGCCAGGAAAACACAGGAAAAGGAGTGTCATGATCCAATGTGACACTGCATCAACTATCTCCCATCCATTGGCCAAGTGATTCCTATAATTAATTGACAACAATTTAATTTAATAATCCTCTGCATGCCTCCCACATCCTTTTTCTAATTCCATGTTTCTGATTAAGATGTAACATTTTACGTAAGGAAACAACAGGCTGGTCAGGTTGAAGTAAACATTCAGTCCACATGGCAGTTAAGGTGTTCACTGCAGACACTGAGACATGAGCCTACTCATGCAAGGCAAAGCCACTTGCAAGTGGGCTCTTTAAGCTGCTGACTAATCAGGTTTCTCAGTTAACAAGGAGAAGGGCTGGGTTCAAACACGAATAATGTCACCAATGTGATAATACGGAGTAGTTTCTTGGGAGATGGAGTCTAGATATTTCTAATGACCTACATTGGCACCATCAGCTACAAACTACTCTTTGGGAACTTCTAGAGATATCATTCAGACACAGTCTAAATGATGGATAGCTATTACAAAATACTCGCACATTCTGTACATGGTATGCAAGTGGTAATTCCAAAAAAAGAATTATAGAAAGGTTGTATCATCACTCAGATATTCCCCCAGTATCTCTTTATAAACTTACAGGTAATTATCAATAATTTTCCTTAACTGGAATTATTAAGTGGACTACAGTTAGCAAGCTCAAAGCAAAGCTAGAATCACTGAACTTGACTATACAATAATTTGTTTATTCTGACTTGCAAGTATTTGGGTATGATTACTAATTCACACCAATAAAAGTCAGAGGAGGTTCACAGCTCACACAAAGGCTTTTAATAAGTCCACAATAACTCAAGGTGCATAATTAAGCTCTGCAAATTCTGACACATATTCTTTCAACTCAGCAAGTATGGCTAACACTGGGATTTTTAAAAACTGATAAGTGTGGCCAGGGGCAGTGGCTCACGCTTGTAATCTCATCATTGTGAAAGGCCGAGGCAAGTGGATCACATGGGGTCAGGAGTTCGAGACCAGCCTGGCCAACATGGTAAAACCCGTCTCTAATAAAAATATAAAAATTAGCCAAGCATGGTGACGTGCGCCTGTACTCCCAGCGACTCAGGAGGCTGAGGCAGGAGAATCACTTGAACAGGGAGGCAGAGGTTGCAGTGAGCCGAGACTGTGCCACTGCACTCCAGCCTGGTCTACAGAGCAAGACTCAGTCCAAATATATATATAAAATTAGGCTTAATATTCACCACTCAGTATCAGTGTATGCTTTATCAGAAAGAACAGAGATACAAAATGTTTTAAAAACAAAAAAAAGGCAAATGCTATGTAAATGGAAGATTATAATCACAATGAAAGGTTTTGACATTTACTTTTTTAGCCTATTTGATATTTTAATGATACGAATACAGATTATTTCAATACTATAATTAAAATTTTTAAGACAGATAATTATTTTTTAACTTTACAGTCATAGACTATATACTATGTTGAGGAGGTAAGCCATATTTATAAAATTGATCACAAAACTAGACCACCAAAAAACACGTAATAAATCTTGCAATAAGGAACTCTATAGAGAATGAGCAGTGCATAAAATAGACTTCCATAACGTAGTACTATTTACTAAAATAACATTGAGATAAAAATATTTAAAAAGTAAAACAAACTATTGGAAAAAAATGACAGTAAAAACAATGGAAAGCTGTAAACTTGGGCTTACTATCAAAATCACTACCTTAAAGTAATTTACTACTTTTAAAATAAAGAATAAAATTAAATAATTCGGCATTTAAATAATAAGGTTAGAAAGCTGCAACTATTCTATATGGAAAAGGATAGAAAAGAAAAAAGAAAAACAATGAATACAATTAGTAAATCCAAAAGGAGGATGATGATAACTGTTGCAACCTGGGGAGTGGGAAAAATGTGACTCTTTATAACAAAAACTCTACTTTTGTGCCTGATGAACACTTCATAAACAAATTTAAAATATATAGATAAATCCAATGATCAGTCCTTTAAAAGGGCAAATGTAAAGTACTAATAAAGGGAGTACTAATAAAGGAATACAAGTACCACTATAGAAGAGGTCACTTTCAAAGTATAAGTAATATTTTAATTCCATTTGAAAACCATAACTAAAGTCAATACTCTGGAAATATATAAATTACACTAAGAAGCAGCAAATGACCTGAATAGAATAAACCATTCCAAAAAAAGAATAGTGAAAAATAATTACCTAGCAAAGGGACTGGAGTCAGACAGTTTTATGGGCATTTCAATATTTGAAATAAAAGACAAAATCCTACATATTGATTCAGAATGTTAAAAAGGAAATCTATCCTATTATTAAATAAAGCTAGGATAATACTGACATTATCTGAACAAGAACATGTAACAACACAAGAATATTAAAGATTGCAACATACTACAGGACAAAAGTATAAACTAACCACACATATTAATATAACATAATTATATATTACATAACATTGTATATCATATATTAACAATAACAAAATGAATAGAGCTTCCTCACACTGGGACTTACTGTGTCAGGCACAATGCTGAGTACTTAAGATACATTATGTCATTTAAACCTCACAACCGCTCCCACAAGTCAGACAAACATATCAGAGCTTATTCCTAAAACCTCACATAATTCAAAACACATATAGATAAAAACTAATCCTGGCTGGGCGCAGTGGCTCACGCCTGTAATCCCAGCACTCTGGGAGGCCAAGGCGGGTGGATCATGAGGTCAGGAGATCAAGAACATCCTGGCTAACACAGTGAAACCCCGTCTCTACTAAAAATACAAAAAATTAGCCGGGCGTGGTGGTGGGCGCCTGTAGTCCCTGCTACTCGGGAGTCTGAGGCAGGAGGATGGCGTGAACCCAGGAGGCAGAGATTGTAGTGAGCCGAGATCGCACCACTACACTCCAGCCTGAGCGACAGAGCGAGACTCCATCTCAAAATAACAACAACAACAACAACAACAACAACAAAAAACTAATCCTAATAGGAGGACAGACATTTCTGTTTACTCATTAAAACGTTTCACTGCATTTCAAAAGCATGCACGAACACAACTTACAATTCATTTAGGCCAAAAGCTTTGAAATTATGTACATTTTGATTGGTTTTTAATTGGAGGCAGGTGGCAGGGGGAACTTGCATAATTTCAAATTTTGTAGGACAACTCTTCATTTCCAAGTGGATATCTGTTTCACTCTCTTAAAATGTGGCTAAGTCTCTTATTCTGAAAGAGACACAGAGAAACACATAGAGAGGGAAGGATTTTGGAAAGAGCCAGGGAGAAACACATCCCTGACATAAAAAAAAACCAACAACAATGTAAGCTGAAAGAAAATTGGAAACTGACAGTTGGCCTCAGGAGACAAGGAGAACAAACAGGAGAGGAGTGTGCGCCCGATCTTCAGGGGCTATATGTGTGGAAAGAGAGGGCAGACTTATATTTATCAGTGGATGCCAGAAATCTGAATTGTAACAGGAAATTTTCCAAATATTAAGCATTAGTTCATTTTTTTAAAAAAGCACTTAGTTGACAGCAGCCGATTTTTTAGAGAAGCAAATTAAATTTATGAGATTATTTATTAAATGGTTTCTTGGGACCTTCATTCAGGTAGAGCTCAAACTCTTTAATTTTGCCTAACCTAACACTGGCCTACTTCTCCATAGCCACTTCATCATGGTAAAAAATCACAAGCAGTTCCCTAAAGACATTATGTTCTCACAAACCTCTGCTTGCATTTTTCTCTCCAGTAGCACCTTGAGTGCCACTCTCCTTATCTGTAAAGTTCTGACCCACTTGATAAGCCTTAATTCAAAGCCCATTTTCTCAGGGAAACCTTTGTTTCCTCTTACTCTTCTAACCCTCTCTGCCCCTATCAAAGAAGAGTGTACACAGACCTCTATAATTACATCTATCATGCCGCATACTTTTGCCTTCCATTTAAAAAAGCAAGAAACAAACAACAACAACAAAACTTTGTTAACAAGAGCTCACTTTTATGATTTTGTGATTCATATATTTACCAATTCCTTCAATCCAGGGGAGTGGGAAAAGACTAGACACAGAAAGAGAAAGAGAAAGCAAAAAAAGAAAGGCAAGGCAGCCATTTAAAATAGCATCAAAAACAAAACACTAAGGAATAAATTTAATAAAAGATATGCAATATTGCAAAACTGAAAGCTACATAATACTGCTGAGAGAAATGGAAGTAGTTGAAAATAAATCGTGAGATATACCATGTTCATGGATTGGAAGAATTCATATTGTTAAGATATCAATTCTCCTCAAACTGATCTACAGATTCAACTCAATCCCAATCATAATCCCACCATGCTTTTTTTTTTAATAGAAACTGACAAGCTAATTCTAAAATGTATACAAAATGCAAAGAAATAAGCCTGTCCAAAGCAATCTGGGAAAAGAACAAAAATAGAAGACACATTACCTAGCTTAAAGACTCCACAAAGCTTCAGTAATCAAAACAGTATGGTACTAGCATAAGAATAAACAAATAGGTCAATAGAACATAATAGAGAGTATATAAATAGGCCCACACATATATGGTCATTTCAATTTTGACAAAGCTGTCAAAGTAATCCAATGGTGAAAATAAAGTCTGTTTTCTGCAAACAGTGAAGAAAACAACCAGATATTAAAACTGAAAAGAACTTCAAACCCTAACTCACACCAGGTAAAAAATAATTTAAGACGATTTACAGACCTAAACGTAAAAATTAAAAATACAAAGCTTTAGAAGAATGTGTAGGACAATTTTTTTTGCAATATTTTTTGCAAAGATTTCTTAAAGAAGACACAAAAAGTTATAACCATTAAAAAAATTGTGTAGGCTGTCATGAAGGGGCTCCCCCTGGTCCATTTGGGACAACTTAAACATAAAAATGAATAATGACAGTAATGTTGGAATTTACATTGGACAAATTTAAAAATTCCATGAGTCCATGGTAATATTGTAAATAAAAGACAGATGGCAGGGGAAGAGTTCTTCTATACAGAAAAAAGTCACATAAAAATGTAAAAGGAATAATAAAATTAGAAAAATCAGTGGTTTGCAACTCCCAGTGTAGTAACAGATTCAGGCAAGGACCATTATGGATGCTGGCAATTATTAAAAGGTTGTTGGGGGATATGATATTGTAGTTTCAAAGCAGCATCTCTCAGATTATTTAATAATTTCATTGGGGATAATATGCTTTTACAGTGGAGAGATCTGGCAGTCACCATCTGAACCATGTAATCAAACAGCATCACCAATACTGGAGCAAGCTGGCATTACCTGCCTTCTGATGCGTTGCAACAAGAACTATATAACATCAATTGTGATAAATCCTTGCCAGAAGTTTTACTTGAATTTAGTCATTAAAAATAACAATAATAAACAGTATATGGGACATTCTAAAGGCGACTATCCTGGACTCTTCAGAGAAGTCAATGTGGTGAAAAACAAAAATAAAAAGGATAGTGGTGTGAATACTCTTCAAATAGAAAAGAGCATAAAGAGACACGAGCATCACATGCAATGCACAAGCCTAGAATGAATCTTGAATTAAAAACAAAAGCCACAAAAGTCAATTGGAGAATTGATTACAGTTTAGTAATGGTTATGCAGGAGAGTGCCCTTATTCTTAGGAGATGCACGCTGAAGTACTGAAGGATAAGTGTCATCATGTATGCAACTTATTTCTGATTCATTCGGAAAAACGTAAGGGCATAAGGCTGTTTTGAGATGGCACTGCTGTGTCTGTACCTGTTTATCTATACACAGTATATACACACATACACACAATATGAATACATTTAAACATAAGATGCATACAGTATACATACACACATGTAGCATATGTATGTGCCATAATCCCCCTCCCCAACCTTATCTGAAGTTTCACTTTCCAGTTTCAGTTACCTGAAGCACTTGAACTACAAAAATACTACATAGAAAATTCCAGAAATAAATGTTCATGAGTTTTAAATTGTGTGTCATCATGAGTGGCATGATGAAATCTCCCACTATCTCACTCCATCCCACCCAGAACATGAATCACCCCTTTGTCCAGAATAGCCACACTGCATATGCTATCTGCCCATTATTGTATAAGTAAAACCAAAATATTCATAGGGGTTTGGTACTATCTGTTGTTTCAGGCATCCCCTGGGGGGGCTTGAAATGTACTGTCCATGGATAAGAGGTAACTATTGTATAGCAAAGAAAGCAAAGGCAAATTTTCATGGCAAAAAAATCATGAGACCAACTTTGCTCTTAAGTATGCTACACTTAAAGGCAAAGACAAACCAAACATCCTCAAAAACCTCTTAAATCATGCTATAAAACAGAATGCATATGAATTTTGTACACGTACCTTTGTATAAAAATTCCTAGATACACAAGTTTGAGTTGCACTGATAGACTTAAAGGAAAAGCCATATAAGAATTCCAGATACCCAAATCATTCTGCCCTTAATACAACTATCAAATTACCTAAACACAAATGGAGGTAGTTAAAGGCTTCTAAAGCATGCATGACTAATAGATAGAAGTCATTCTATTTGCATTTTGAGCCAATGTCACTTATATAACTGAAAATGGTGTTTTATTATTGTTGCTGCTATAAGGTGTATGTGAAATAGTGGAGTCACATCATCCAATGGTTTGGGGTCTAAAGTTTGCTCAGGTCTTTAGTAAAAACGTGTACAACATACACCACAAGCTTTTACAAGCCAAGTTGCTCCTTCATTTGTTCCCTGCACTAGAACTCAGGGACCCCTGGGGAAAGACAGATCTTTTACAAAGCACCACCTACCAAGGCTCAGACACACCATGTGTTATTTAATTCACATGGCTGACTTATTACACTTGGATGCACATTTCAACTGCACTTCCTTCTGCTCCTCTCCTTACTTTTCTTTATGAATTTCGACAGCCCAACTCCATGGTAACATCTTTATATATTATTTCCACGGTGTTATTCTTAATCTTTATTTTCTAGGCATCATATTTTCCAGTGTTATTTATATTCATTTGGGATGTAATTAATGCTTTCATTCCATCTTAATAAATCTTCTCACTCTTGAATGCTTTGTGTTCTGCCCTTTTCCCAGACACACACACACACACACACATCCAAGGCTGCCTGTTAAAGTTTGGTCATTGTTTTGTAGTCTTGTCTCATTCAATGATTTCTATTACCATCAGCAGATAAAAGTAATTGTGTGCACATAACAGAACTTAACCTTTCAACAATCTGCTTTAAGACTCAGATTGATTTAGAAATTAACATCAATGACTTAGAAAAATTTAAGGGGAAAAATACATGTCATGGTGCTTTTAAGTCACTCCTCTGGCAGACATTAATTTATCTCCCGAACTCCGACTGTTTTTTAAAGCAACGCAATTTCTATGTGATCTATTTCCTATAGGAATATTAAAAATATTACTAAACTTTCATTTGACATGTAATGCAGAGATAAATATTAAGATTTAAAGATGGCTGGGTAAATGCATATCAATGTTTTCATAATTTACGAGACAAACCTAAAATATACATTGAGAAGCTGAATCTGGATGTGAACTACATGGTTTAAGAACCGCACTTCATAATGTTTGAAAATTCAAGTTTGCCAAGAATATACCACATCTACTTCATTCACTCCACAAATATGTTTGAGCACTAAAATTGTGTCAGGTCCCCTTCTGAGCACTCCCATGGTGATGAACAAAACATCTATCCTCACAGAGTTTACCTTCTACAGGAAGGGGATGGAAGACAAAGTAGGGCTGGAAACATGGTCATTTTAAACTGAGGGGTCGAGATTATTTCATTGAGGCAGCATCTGAGCAACGACTAGGAGATAAGGGAGAAATGCCAGGTAGATACAAGGAGGAAGGGTACTGCAGATAGAGGGAAGAACAGGGGCAAAAGTTCTGAGGAGGGGTGGAGCTGGTCACAGAGGAGTGCAGCCAGGTGGCCAGCGAAGCTGCAGCCAAGTGAGAGAGGGGAAGCACCTCAGATGATGACAGATCAGTTAACAAAGGGCTGGGCCTTGTGTGTGGGCCACTGTAAAGTCTTACTCTGAATGAGATGGGAAGACACCGGAAGATTTTCAGTAGAAGAGAAAAATAATGTAGCTTAAGTTTTAAGAGGCTCTGCTGAAAGAAGCAAAGAAGTGGGGAAACCAGTTAGGAGACAGCAGCAATAATTCAGGAGAGAGATGACGTACTGACTCCATAGAATAGGGTGAGGGCAGTAGAGGGGATGAGAATAGATTGGTTCCAAGTAAGGAGCCCAAAGCATTTGGCGACAGATTAGCCATGGGGTATGGGAGAAAATGAGGACTAAAACAGAACTGCAAAATTTAGAGCTTGAGAAACTGGAAGGATGGATGTGCTATTTAGTGAAAGCGGGAAGCTAGACAAGGGGCAGTTTTGAGCAAGAATACCAGTTCAGTTTAGACATAAAGCATGAGATGCTTATTAATATCCAAGTCGAGATAAAGTAAGCAGTTGGATATGAATCAGGAATTCAGGGGAGCATAGAGATGAAATTTTAAAACATAAGATAGGCAGAAATAAGAATGTTCTTCTATGCCATAAAAATGAAAAAAAAACTAATAAATTGTATCTATTTGTAGAACAGAAAACAATTATGAAGTGGGCCCTATGTAAGTCCACTAAGAGTTCCCATTTTAGTAAACCATAAGCATTGAGCACCGAAAAAATGTAACACCACACAGGCATTTAAAAGGATTCAAAGGTAATACAAGAGTTCTCATGCTCTCAGCAGAACCTACATCTAGTCAATAGGGAAGATATATAAATAATACAAGGGAATGACTGAAGAGAGGGAAAAAAATCAAGTATATATTATTGACAATAACTACACCACTAGGACTGTTGCTTGGTCCAGGCAAAGAAGAGCAAGCCAGAAAGAAGAAAGGCATTTGACAATGTATATAAGTTGTTCCATAGACTACAGGTTGGCAAAATGGGAAGATGCCACACAGCTGCCCAGTAATGTTGGGTGGTATGAAATACTTGTTAGCTCATCAACCCTGCAGGGGTCAACAACTTGGTAGTCAGTTATTTCACTAGCATGGGCTGAGTCAGCCAGCTGGCATGTTGGAGCTGGGTCTCACCACTCGTTCAACGCAAGTCTCTCTCAAGATGGGCCCTGAGGATTAAGAATGTTCTTTCATTTGTTTCTCTTTTTTTTTTTTAGAAGCTGCTGTCAGGTAGCCCAAAGTAACTGAAACAACGGGGTCTCTATAGCTACCTTCCTCCAGCTTCTATTGTCTCCAACCTTTTATTCTCACAGTGGTTTCTCCTGGCATTCAAATTGATTTTGCAGCTTTTTTCCCCCTTTCTCAGCTTTGGCTCTAACTCCTAAACTTAAATACAGCCATGTGTCACTTAATGACAGGGATACATTTTGAGAAATGCGTCATTAGGTGACTTCCTCATTATCACAGTGTTAACTGACACAACCTAGATGGTAGAGCCCACTGTACACCTAGGCTATATGGTACAGCCTATTGCTTCTAGGCTATAAACCTGTACAGCATGTTACTGTGCTGAATACTATAAGCAACTGTAACACAATGAGAAGTATTTGCATATCTAAACAGAAACAATACAGCAAAAATATGGTATTATAATTTTATGGGACCACCATCATATATGCAGTCCATTGTTGACCTAAATGTTGTTATGCAGCACATGGCTGTATTTTCTCCACAGCTCACCTAGAAACTCCTTTGTTTTAATCTTCCAGGTCATAGAGCTATTTGTAACCCAATTTTTCCTTTAGGAGACTAATAAGGTCACTTCCACAAGTACAAAATACTGCTGATTTTTCAGTTGTTGACTATCTTTTTCCAGAACTTTTCCTTGGTCCCTCATAACAAAATCTACTTTTAGCCGTCCTAAAAAATCACACAATACATCAGTTATAAAATACCTGATGGCTAGTGCGAAGTTACCATTATTTTTGCCAATTTTGACTCATTAGTTCTGTCAACCATCAGCAGACCAGCACTCAAGGAGTCGTGTTGCTCCTCAGTGTACATATAAATATTCCTATGAATATTTACGACTTCCTCTTAGAGATGTATCACCAGCCTTGGCAATGGAGGAGTCAAGAGTCATATTACTATCTAGACAGGTGAAGGTCCCTCAATTAAGGAACTTGAAATATTTTCCAATGCATATGAGGACATCTCTGCATCACATAATGTCATTCCTTCGATACTTACTACAAGCAATTTTCAAACAAATGCTGTCAACTTTCAGCACAGGACTTGAGATCTTATTAATCTAGATCTGAAAATCAATAGTATCCACAGTGGTGAGCTCACTGCTCTCCCAGGAATCATAGGCAAGTGGCTAAAAGTGTACCTTCTTTTAGTAACTATCCTTCATCCCAAAGAAGGTGTTCACCACACATTCTTCAACGCCTCCCCAGACCTATCTTTCTATACAGAGAAAACAGAAGCTGAATTCCCAGGGGCCAGCTGATAAGTAGTCAGCAAAGCCAGCACAGCTATTCATAGACAAGCTAGGTTTCTTTTCATTCAACAACATAAAACTCCTCAGGAATGCGGGAGATAAGTGTTCCTGAAAATGTCACTCCAGTTGACAGAGCCATCTTCTACTCACTGTCCCTTTGGTGGCTCTTGGTTGGTGGAAGTGGCACACTAACAGCAATGCTAGGGAAGATGTTACTTTAACTGCCCCAGGAGACAGCTGAGACCAACTCCCCATGTCACAAAATAGAGCAGGTTAATGAAAGGTGTGCCATTCACATCTATGCCCAGGGGTATCTATCAACAGGCAGAAGTTACATATGTTATCTCCTATGATGTGATATACAAGAACAGCACATAGGTCCAAAAAGAAATTATGAATCATACCACAGATAAAGGTTTGTAGTCCAAAGATTAGTGCATGTGACAGACAGGGAAAGTCAGTCTCAAAATCTTGATGCCTAGGTTTTAAAAATCACCAGTATCCTTTTCTCTGAAAGACTTCTTAGGCAGTCATAAAGAAAATCAGACCCTCAAGAAGATCAGCAACCGAAGTAACCTCGTGATCCCCTTTATCATCAGCCTAACTCATGTTTTAGCAAATAGAATCACACAAAGACCACTAATCACAAGACTCAATTCAACTACAGGCTAAAATATTCAGAAAATAAAGTGTGCTTTACAGTCTAATAATAAGAACAGACTCAGAGCACGTTACAGAGGCAGAGAATACAACAAAAGTAGTAGGATCTCTTTAATTTCATAAAGTTCTCAATAAAAGTTTGAAACTAGCAGCATTCTTGAAAAACTTGCTCTCAAATAATGCAACAAAACAAGCAATAAAGAAAATTATGACTATGGAAATACATATATATAGTATATATGCTGCCTATATATATATGTATTTCCATAGTCATAATTTTCTTTATTGCTTGTTTTGTTGCATTATTTGAGAGCAAGTTTTTCAAGAATGGTATATGTTATATACTATATGGGTTATATATTATATATATATTATATACTATATGGGTTATATATTATATATATAGTATATATTATATACTATATCGGTTATATACTATATATAGTATATATCATATACTATATATTGGCACCATCCCCTTGCCACCATCCCCTTGGTGATGAGTGAGCTCTTACTCTGAGTTTGCATGAGATCTGCTTGTTTAAAAATGTGTGGCATCTCCCTTCTCTCTCTTGCTCCCGCTCTTGCCATGTGACATGCTGCTCCAGCTTTTTTTTCTGCCATGACTGTAAGCCTCCTGAGGCCTCACCAAAAGCCGAGCCATGCTTCCTGTACAGCCTGCAGAACTGTGAGCCAATTAAACCTCTTTTCTTTATAAAATTATCCAGCCTAAAGTATCTATAGGAAGCGACACATATGGACTGACACAGGAAGTTTCGCCATCCTGCCTTTGCCCCAGTTCTCCCTCTGCCTGGAATGCCTTTTCCTTGAACCACCAAACTATCATATTAACAGCAAGAATAAGCCTATTAATTGTTCAAGGTAGCTTAGGTATCACTTCCTGGATGAAACTTTCTCTGACCACGTATGTATAATATATATCCCATATACCTTTAAGAGCACCTCCAGTCTTTCACATGTTTCACATATTGTTCATGTCTTCTTCTCAGTACTATACTGAAAACTCCTAGAGAACATTCTATATTCTTAGCACCCAAAGATATGCCTGGCATGTGTTAGGTATTCAATTAGTTTAAAAATTGCAACTATCATTGTATGAAAGCACAAAGTCATCTGAGTACTTGCTAACTAAAGTTAGACAAACTTACACATATGGTTGGAGTTGCAATATGGTACAGTCCTCCCTTGGTATATTATATGCAGGGAATTGGTTCCAGAACCACCTGCATACATGGGTTCCACATGCTGTGAAAACTATTTTAGGTCAGGTCCCTGTTTTATTTAAAACAATTCACATACAACTAGACAGGTTTCTGTATTATTCAAGGGTCAGCAGTATATTAAATAAGCTAAGAATATTTAATCTCCAGTTAATTTCATTTACAATGAAATTAATAAAAATGTTCCCAACTCTCCCAAATTAACTAAATTGGTAATCTTTCTTTCCAATATATTTTGAATGCTATTTAGTGAAGTCATTCTAACAACACACTACAAAAATGAATACAAGTATATAGAAACAGAAAGAAATCACTACATGAGTAGGAACCCATCTAACCCAAACAAATGGACATATTTATTAAGCATCTCTCATAAGTAAAACACTATGCTAAATGCTATGCAGGAAATAAAATGGAAAAGACATGGACTAGAGGAGGTACCACTAGCTTCTAGTGGGTAGGGGCCAGAGATGCTGCTAAACATCCCACAATGCACAGAACAGTCCCCAACAAAGAATTACCCAGCCTAAAATATCAACAGTGCTGAGGAACAGAGGCCCTGAAATAAAGCATTTAGAACAACTCCTGGCACAAAGAAAGCCCTCTATATGCATCAGTTATTACCACCAATGCCCAAGGCAAGTCTTGGCTGGTGTTCCTCCCTGGGCTAGAAAAAAGTCTAACGTCCTCTGTGTTACCTTTGAGGAATTTAACATACAATTAAAATAGAAAAAGGTACTTGAAATTCAGTTTCTACATCATTAATTTAATAAATGCTTAATTTTAAAAAATAATTCTGAGAATATATTTTCCTGAAACAAAAAGCAAACAAGAATATACTTTGGTGAGCAATAATGCACAGTATTTGAAAAGTATACCGTCCTGGAAAATATAGGACAGAGAAACCTATGATTACTGCAACATGAAAGGTCCTGGGCCAGATTCCTCCAAACTCCAGATTGAATACACTGAGGATGCTCGCTAGTCTCACAATACTATTTTGAAAACTGTAACTAGAGAGGAAGAAGAGAAGGGTTTTAAACTAAAGAGCCTACTGAACTTGATTCCATACCCATGCCTGTTCAGGAAGATCCTCCAGGCTTAAATAGCTCAGAGTCAGGGATTCCTGGTCAGAGTTAAAGCTTTAATCTTGATTCACCACAAGAGGTATCTTCCGGATCCAGGTCAGCTCACAAATAAAGCAAGCAAAACAACTGGAAAGGCCTGAGCTGTACTGATACATCATGTAAGAGGCTGCCAGGAGTTCCAACACAGGACATCAGAACTGATGACAGCCTGCTACAAGCCTCTGCAGCCATGAACCAGGGGTACTGACCAGGCTTCTTAGCCTAGCACTGCAAGTAACACAGGGCTAGTCTCTCTGGGCCTCAGTTTTCTCATCTATAATATTAAAAAGTGGAAATCGTTGTTAGTATTTTCCAA
This sequence comes from Homo sapiens, assembly GCF_000001405.40. Taxonomy (NCBI): domain Eukaryota; kingdom Metazoa; phylum Chordata; class Mammalia; order Primates; family Hominidae; genus Homo; species Homo sapiens. The sequence continues at coordinate 38,182,393 of NC_000007.14, read as the reverse complement.
TACCATAAACACAGAGAACACTGATTTTATTTGTGACAGTGTGCCTTCAACATTTATAGCCCAAAGACATGAGTTCCTCTCAAAGGACCCCTTGATAACTGCAGAAGGCAGACCCTTAACTAAAACAGAAAACAGGTTCTGTGAACCAAAGCTGAGAAAAGCCTAACAGTGTGTCTCTCAAAGATAAGATGATAAAAGTGTAAATAAAATAACAGGGCTCTACAATCTGCAAAAAACTGTGCACGTATATAACACAAATTGTCAAGTTTTTTAAGCTCAAGTCAACATATATTTTAACACCTGTGTATGTAATAGTACAATACTAAAGATATCAGGATTGGTAACTGGTGTCAAAGAGAGGCTCCCAAAAGTGCTATGAGAAAAGAAGGCTTCTGTTATAGAGACACGGGAAATGCTTTATTGATAAAGCAGCATTTGAGTGGACTTAGAGGGACAGGTAGAATTTTGGCTGGCTGGAGTTGTCTATCCAGAGGGCATTCCAAGCAGAACTAGTAATGGCACTGAAGCTGGAAAGCCTGAGGCAAAGACCAGGAGTCCAATTTGGGGCACTAGGCTCATGGCAGAAGATGGTGGTCAAATCATGATGACCTGGGTCTTCAGAATATGGGCATTAGTTGCATGAACGATCTTAAAGAATAGAGATAGCCAGGATGTCTAGGTTTGGTATTTTGGCCTAAAGAGCAAAAACTCTCTTTTGCTTAAACTTAAGTACCTTCCAATATTTAAAAAAGAAGATACTAATTCCATTAAAATTATTCTAAAGAAAAAGATAAATTCTATTAAGTTACAGCAGAGTCAAAAAGACATACAGAAAGTAAATTAAGCTATTTATTAGTCTGTTATTATTCATCTACCATATTCCACTCATAATTACTAAAATATGCAAACCTTAGAAATAAATAATGGGCATTTTTAAATTTTAAGACCACTGTTAACAGCTTTCTTATTCATATTAATTTATAAACTGATTTTGACTTATTTTTAAACATAACATATTACTAAGAAAAAGAAGTTATATCACTGACCTAAGGGCTTCCTCAATAACAGGAAGAAACTCTACTTGCTAAGAGAAACTATGAGTTAGCAAACTGTAGGCAATATTCCCATACTTCTAAGCGTAAGATTAAGGCTAGGAAAATAGTAACACATTTTAAACTCCTTTTCAAACATTTCTAAAATTAAAACAAAAATTTAAAAGTCATTTTTAAACCACAGCTTTCTATTAACAGAGACTAGATTCATCCAGAAAGTTTATACCTGTTCATTGTTCAGAAAAGGGAAGGAAAATAAGGCAAATGATTATTGTAGCCCAAGAAGAAGCAATGTCTCATCTCTTTAAAATTAACTTTTACAAGTTTATGGACAATAAATTCATGCTGTTGAAATATTATATTTTTATATGTACAGAAATATATTGATAGGGGACTTTCATGAAGAAAATAAAGCAGAAAAAACACTAGCCTGAAAATGAGCAGGGTGAAAATTTGATAGAAGTTTGGCCATTAGATGCATTATTTTAAAACTCACTGACCTTCTCTGGGCCTCCACAGCCCTAGCTCTAAACTAAGAGGGGTGAATCATGTGATCTCTAAAATGCCACATCATAAAACATAATTTTAAGTAATAGAGACTTGCTGCTCAGGGTAGCAAGGTTGGAGGTTAACAGGAGGTGGGGTAGAATGAATTAGGCTTTGAAGTAAACCTAATGGGAGTTCAAATACAAGCTCCATCAGTACTAGCTCAGTAGCTGAAGTGTAAGTTTCCCTCACTATCAAAAAGGCTTAATATTTTCCTTTGCCACAAGTTGGAAGGAATAGAATGTATGTAACATACCTGGCATATCGTAGGTACTAAAAAAAGGCAAGCGTTATGTTCCTGGTCAGTAATACAAGCTCTAATGAAGAACAATAATCCACTTGCCAATGCAGCTTCCTAGAATTTGGCTTGGAGAAGAGCAGGGACCAACTGCCACTGCTTTCCAAGTGGAAGGCAGGTACAGGTAATAAGAAAGAGTATTCACGGTTGGAAGTAGAAAGGATTAAAAGCAGGGAGCTTAAGAAAAAGCAAAGACTTTGAGTTCTGCATATAACAATGGAAAGGAAACAAACTACATCGGATAAGGTGCTGAAGGAAACAAGATCTTTTCATTAAGAGGGCCTCTGGAGAAAAAATATATACACAATAAATTACTGCAATGATTTCATAACCAAAACAAAGCAGAAAGTTGGCTAGAGTTTATGAGTATCACTAAAAGAAAACAAGACTCTGCAGTACACAAATTATCTTTCCCTTGCCTGCCTGTAAGGCTCACATGGGATACAAGATGATCCAATCCCTGTACACCTCTCCAGTGTCACCTCTGACCACTGTCTCCTCACCTCACCCTCCCCTAGGTTCACTCAGCTCCAGCCACACGGGCTTCCCTCTGTCCCTGGAACATGCCAAGTTCATTCTTCCTTTAGCTCCTTTACACTGTTTATATCTGCCTAGAAACTTCCAGCCCATTTTCTCATGGCTGACTCAGCTAAACATTCAGCTATCACCCAAAATGTCACCTCGTGTTACCTCCTTAGGGAGGTCTTCCCTGACCATCCCATTTCTCCATACAACCCAGTCACTCTCAAACTCTCTACCCAGTAGTATCTTTTCTGACATTTATTCCTATCTAAACTTGTCTCTTTGATTTACATGTTTATTATATTCTCCAACAAAAGTTAAAGTCTTTGAGGGTATGGGCCTTATCTAAATTGCTCACTACTCAATCTCTAAAACCTAAAACAATGAGTGGCATAGACAATCACTCAGGCAAACTGTCCATTGAATAAATCCAAATGATGTTAATCACCATCCTTCTGTGAACATAAGTAAGGTAATATCCCTCAGAGGCTGTTTCATTTCATTTCTTTCATGCAGTTTTAGGCAATGCAATAATGCAGTTTTAAAAGACCAATGTTTGAGACAGTTAGATTTTAAAGACAGTGACTTCTACACGACAACATATTGTATGTTTTCATTTTATGAACATGAATAATCCACCACCTTATCAGAATCCATCAATAAAACAAGGATACCATAAGTCGTTTTGTGAGATCCTGCTTCTAGAAAGAGGCGTATGGGTAGATATGGTATACAGACGGGAATTACCTTTCAGAATTCTTCCTAACAAGGAAATGTGGCAAACTGGACTAATTCCAGTAAAGATTTAATTAGACCCGTTACTTGGTTACCTTGCTAAACTTATCCAAACTAGTACTGTGTCAAGTGATGAATTCAGTGATTCCATCTGTGAAATAGAAGACAAATGACACAGTGAACAAAGAAAAGTTCCACAATGTCCACCCATGTTTGAACTAAAAGAGAGGGGGAAAAATCCCTAACCCTAAATCAAAAGTATTCAAGCAACTAAGATTTCAAACAATGGCGAGATATCTACGAGTAGGTGAAGCAGTTAACTGAAACCACAGGGAGAACATTCATGATTCGTGCTTTCTTTCTTTTTTTTTTTTTTGAACACGACTTTTCTCAATGAATAGAAGAGACTCACAACCGCCTGTGTCTGGACAACCCACGCATTACACCCAGTCACCAATTCTTGGTCCTTCTTGGGGGCCCATGGCGCCAGCCCGGGGCCGACCCCACCGGGGACTCCTCAGGGTCCGCAGGCTGGAGGAATGAGGACACTCCCGCTACCTATATCCATCCCTGAATCCCGGCCCACGCCGTGGGAGCAGCGGGGCTCAGCATTCTGCAACTTCACTCTTGTGTCCATTATGAGCACAGCCTGCCTCGCCCCTCCTCCTCCCCTGGAGGCTCGCGCAGGACTCAGGAAACAGAACAGGACCAGGATATGGCCTCCGTCCGCGGGTCCCCTGTACGCCCCCATGTAAGTCATCTGACCCAGGAGACTCAGTTTTCCAACCTGTCAAATAGGGGAACGAGAAACCCAGCCTACCTTAACGGGTGGTTCCTGGCCGGCCGCCCCAGGCTGGCCCGGGAACTGCGGATCCGCGGTCGCGCCCCGGCCTGAGGGGCGGGGCTTGGCGGGGCGTGACCGGGACCCAGTCCAGCGGACAACGCGCAGCCCACCGCCCGCACCCAGCAGCCCCGGGACCTCCGGCCCGTGACGTCAGCACGCTGACGTCGACGCACACAGCTCGCATCTCGCTCGAGGGACCAAAGACCCGACTGGTTCCTGAGTGCCTCCATAGAGGAGCCAACCTATTGGCCAGATGACATGTCAATCTTCTACTGACCAGTAAACGACGCGGGAAGGAGGGAGAGGGCGAGCCGGTCTGCCTGTAGGAATGGGTGGGAAATCTGGGCATCCAGCTTTGAAACACGGAGCTGGTTGGACTTTCCCGCATTGTGCATCGCACGGTTTAACAAGCGCCCGCTTCCTCTTCGTCCGCGTTTCTGCGCCTTCCGCTTCCCTTCAGTTATTCGGTGGGGGTTTATGCTCCAGCTCGTGGGAAAATGTCATGGAAATGGGTTTCAGGGCCTCTTGGGCACCTCATGCTGAGCCCTCCAGGAATAAAAACAGGGCATACCATTTCTATGTCGGTACTCAGCTCAAGAGTCACCTCTTCTAACTCTCACTTCCCCCAGACCTATTTAGGATACCTTTTCTCAGCGCTCCTAGTTCATAACTAACATCTCTAAGCGGTAGTCACATTTAATTATATCTATATGTCTGTTTTCACACGAAGTTAGGCACCTTTTATTGTTTTATTTAAAATTTAATTAAACTTTTCTCCCAACGGATGCTACACTTATTCACATTTTTAGAAGTACAGAGGTATACAGTGAACATTCTTTGGATCCCCATTTCATTATTTGTATATTTTTCCAAAGTCATTCTAAGTACCGTTATTAATTTTAAATTACACAAGTAAGATTTTGTCCATGCGAAAAAAAAAAAAAGCTTAAACGTTACAATTATGCTTATATCCCTTTTAGGCCCTAATTACAAACCCAGTCTGTAGATGATGACTCCTAGTTCCTGTGCATTTGCAAGTGTAGATGTTACTTTTTTACACTTAGCATTGAAATCTTTCCATATCTGTATATAAATCTACCTCATTCTCTGAAAATGCTGCATGTCCTCAGAACCAATATGTGTATATATATACATACATAATTAATGTACCATTCCCCCACCCTCACGTTTGTTTATTAATATTATTATGAGAAGCAATGGTACCATAAATATATATGTAGATGCCTTTTTGTACTTAGGTCCAAGTATTTCTCTAGAGTGCAGATACCAACAAGAGAATGTACTGGATCACAGAGTTTGCACGATGTAAATCCTTAATAGATTTCACTGATTTGCTCCCCTGAGTAGTTGTTTTAACTTACATTCCCACTGCTAGTATTTGAGCAATTTTTCCCTGTATCCTCGCCAATACTGATAAAATACAATTTAAAAAAATTTTATAAACTGATAGATGTGAAAACCTTTTAAAGCATAACACATATACAAAATAAGTGTAATAATCATAAGTGCTTGTCTTAGTGACAGTGTGAACAAACTTGTGTAACCACCGCCTCACAGCAAAATTTTAAATGTTTACCAGCAATTTAGAAGCTTTCCTCATGCTCAGTCTTAGTCATTATACCCCTACACACAGATAGGCACAATTCTGAATCCTACCACCCAATTAGTTTTGCCTGCTTCTGAATGTTTATAAATAGTCATACATAATACGCACTCTTATGTGGCTCTTTTTGCTTAATACTATATTTGTAAGATTGATCCATATTCAAGAATATAATAGTTTCATTTTCATTTTTGTATATAATTCTAAAATTTACTTGCCTATTCTACTGTTGTTTGACATTAGATTATTTAAAGTTTGGGGTAATTACAAATGACGCTGCTATGAATATTCTTGTACCTGTCTTATGATGCACATAGTTACACATTTGATTTTGGAAGATCCCTGGAAGTAGTGTTACTATGCACAGGGTATATATTCAATATATTCAACATTAATAGACACTGCCAAATAGTTTTTAGGTTTTACTAATTTATACATGCCCTAGTCGTGAATGAAAATTTCAGTTACTCTGCATCTTTGCCAACACTTACTATACTCATTTGTGTTTTGTGTTCTTCCTTTTTCTTTTCCTTTTTAAATGTTATACATTCTGGTGAATATGTAGAGGCATCACATTGTGGATTTAATTGCATTCACTCATGTGTAGCCTCTGAAGTCTCAAAGAAATTGATGGAAACCATTCCTAAGGAAGCCCAGATAGTGGACTTATTAGATAATGATTTAAGTCAACTGTCTTACATATGCTCAAAGAACTAAAGGAAACTGAGAGATGAAGCCGGCTGGGCTTCTAGGTTGGGTGGGGACTTGGAGAACTTTTCTGTCTAGCTAAAGGATTGTAAACACACCAATCAGCACTCTGTGTCTAGCTAAAGGTTTGTAAATGCACCAATTAGCACTCTGTGTCTGGCTAATCGGGTGGGGACTTGGAGAACTTTTCTGTCAAGCTAAAGGATTGTAGATGCACCAATCAGCACTCTGTGTCTGGCTAAAGGTTTGTAAACGCACCAGTCAGCACTCTGTAAAAACGGACCAATCAGCACTCTGTAAATGGACCAATCAGCGCTCTGTAAAATGGACCAATCAGCAGGATGTGAGTGTGGCCAAATAAGGGAATAGAAGCAGGCCACCCGAGCCAGTAGCAGCAACCCACCTCGACTTCCACACTGTGGAAGCTTTGTTCTTTCGCTCTTTGCAATAGATCTTGCTGCTGCTCACTCTTTGGGTCCGCATTACCTTTATGAGTTGTAATACTCACCGCAAATGTCTGCAGCTTCACTCCTGAAGCCGGGGAGACCACGAACCCAACAGGAGGAATGAACAACTCCAGATGCGCTGCTTTAAGAGTTGTAACACTCACTGCGAAGGTCTGCAGCTTCACTCCTGAAGTCAGCGAGACCACGAACCCACCGGGAGAAACAAACAACTCTGGATATGCCACCTTAAAGAGCTGTAACACTTACTGTGAAGATCTGTGGCTTCACTCCTGAAGTCAGCAAGACCATGAACCCTCCAGAAGGAACAAACTCTGGACACACCATCTTTAAGAACTGTAACACTCACCGTGAGGGTCCGCAGCTTTATTCATGAAGTCAGCGAGACCAAGAAACTCACCAATTCTAGACACAAAACCAAGAACATAAAACCTGAAGGAAACTAGGGTAATGATGTATAAACAAAAGGAAAATATCAATAAAAAGATAGAAATTATCAAAAGGAACCAAATAGAAAATCTTGGGCTTGCAAGTACAAATAAGTGAAGTGAAAACTTCACTTGAGAATTTCAAGAAACATTTTCGCATGTTGAAGGATGAATCAGTAAACTTTAAGATAGGAAAACTGAAATTATCCAGTCTTAGGAGCAGAAAGAAATAACAGGAAAATGAGCAAAGCCTAAGGAACCTATGGGATATCAACAAGGATACCGAAATATATATTACAGAAGTCACACAAGGAAAAGAGAGAAAAAGAAAAACTACATTAGCGGAGAAAAATGTCTCAGAACTCCCCAAATTTGAAAAGAGAAAGATAAGATTCAATTAAATAAAATGAGAAATGAAAGTGAAGACATTATATCAAACTTATATATGGAAAAAGGATTGTAAGATTTGACTGTGAACAGTTGTGTGCTGACAAATAACCTGAATGAAAAGGACATGTTCCTAGAAACACAGAAATTACCAAAACTAACTCAAGAAAAAATAGGAACTATAACCAGATCTATAACAAAGAGATTTAATCAGTCCTTTAAAAACAACAACAACAAAACCTTAAAAAACAAAAGTCAAAGACCAGATGGCTTCACTGGTGAATTCTACTGGACATTTAAAGAATTAACACCAATCCTTCTCAAACTCTTCCAAAAAATTGAAGAGGTGGGAACACTTCCTAACTGAATCTATGAGGCCACTAGTATTCTCATACCAAAGCCAGACAAAGACACCATAAGAAAACTAGAGACCAATATTCCTATATGAATATAGACTCAAAATCCTCAACAAAATATCAGCTATTTGAATCCAAAAGCATATTAAAAGGTTATACACTGTGACCAAGTGGGGTATATCCTAGTAATGGAAGGGTGGTTCAACAAAAGAGAATCAGTTTGCTTAACACATCATAATAATAAAATGAAAGAAACCATGTGATCATGTCAATTGACACAGAGCATTTGAAAAAAATCAACATTGTTTCTTGATAAAAACACTCAGGAAACTAAGAAAAGAAGGGAAATTCCTAAACCCACACCTACCTAACATCATACTCAATAATGAAATAAAGAAAGCTTTCCCCCTAAGATCAAGAACAAGACAAGGATGCCCACTTCTACTACTGCTCTTCAACATTGTACTGGAAGTTCTAGTTAGAGCAGTTGGGCAAGGAAAAGAAATAAAATGCATACAAATTAGAGAGGAAAAAGTAAAACTCTCTATTCAGAGATGGCATGGTCTTATATCTAGGGAATTCCAAGGAATCTGAAAAAACAAGAATGACACAACTAAAACTAATAATTTAGCAAAGTTGCAGGTACAAGATAAACACAAATTTAAGTTGTATTTTTTGCACTATTAATGAACAAACTGAAAAGTAAATTAAGAAAATTTCATTTACATAAGCATTCAAAAATTAAAATACCTAGAAATAAATTTAAACAATGAAAGACTCGTATACTGAAAACTAAAAATCATTGCTAAAAGCAATTTAATACATAAATAATTGGAATTGCATACCGTATTCAAGAATTGAAGACAATATAGTTAAGATGGCAATATTTCTGATCGCCATTGTTAAATTAAATAAACAGGAGGCCATTGACCTGATGCTGTCTCCATACTTTGAGTTCCTTCATAGTGCATCACAATCTAACTTAGTACATAAAGAAACAACTTGGGGGTCTGATTTTTAGAACACATAGCCTGATCTTTACCAATCACAGGCAGCCAACTGATCAGACCATGTCCATGTCAGTCAAATGTCTAGCTCTAATCAATCGAGCTATTTCTGCACTTTACATCACGTTCTGTCTATAAATACTGCCCATATTGCAAAGTGGAGCTCTGAACCTCTTCTATTCTGAGTGCTGCCTAATTCATGAATCATTCTTTGCTCAAATGCTGTTAAATTTAATTTCTCAAAAGTTTTTATGTTAATATCATCTATAGATTCAGTGAAATCTCTGTCAAAATTTCGACAGCCTTTTTACAAACAGGGAAAAACTAATCCTCAAATTCATATAGAATTGTCATTGTTAAATTCTACAAGAATTTAACAATAATTTTAAAATAGCCGAACAATCTTGAAACAAAACAAAGTTAAAGAATTCATATATTCTGACTTAAAAACTTACAAAGAAGCTATGGTAATCAAGAAAGTATGGCACTGGTGTATAGAGACATATAGATCATCGAGAGTCCAGAAATAAACCCATACAACTATTTCCACTTGATTTTGAACAAGGGCACCAAATGAAGAAAATGATAATCTCACCAACAAATGTTGTTGGTACAACTGGAAATACATAAGCAAAAGAGTGAAATGAGAACCCCTACCTCACTCCATTTACAAAAATCAACTCAGAATAGGCCAAAGACTAAATATCAGAGCTAAAACCAAAAACTCTTAGAGGAAAACATAGGAGTAAATCTTGGCAAGTCCTTGAATTTGGCAGTGGATTCCTTGATAGCCGAACAAAATCATAAAGATCAACAACAAAAATTTTGCTATTAACTGTACTCATCAACATTAAAAGGGCTTTACATCAAAGAACATTATCAAGAAAATGAAAACTCAATCTACAGAATAGAAGAAAATATTTGCAAATCATCTAATTGATAAGGTTCTAATATCCAGAATATATAGAGAACTCCTCAACTCAACAATAAAAAGACAACACAACTAAAAAATAGGAAAAGAAACAAAATAGACATTTCTTCAAAGAAGATATATAAATCACCAAGAAGACATGAAAACATGATCAAAATCATTAGTCAATAGGGAAATGAAAATCAAAACCACAGGTACGATTTCACAGCCGCTAGAATGACAAGAAATTGGAACCCTTGTGCACTTCTGGTGAGAATGTAAAATAGGGAAGCTGCTGTGGAAAACGGTTTGGTTGTTCTTCAAAAATAAAACATAGATTTACCATATGACTCATCATTTTCAGTTTTAAGTATATACCCAGAAGAATTAAAAGCATGTACTCAAACAAGTATATGTACATATATATGTTAATAGTACCACCATTCACAAGAACCAAAAGTTGGAAACATCCCAAATATCCATCAACAGATTAATGGTCAGAAAAAAATGTGATGTATACATACAATGGAATATTATTTAGCATAAAGAGGAACAAAGTGCTGAAACATGCTACAATGTGGATAAACCTGAATACATTATGCAAAATGAAAGAACCCAGACACAAAAGATTACATATTGTGCGATTCCATTTATATGAAATATTAAGCATAGGTAAAGCCATACAGACAGAATACAGATTGGTGCTTATCAGGGTTTGGGAGTAGGGGGAGGGTGGGAGAAAGTGCTTACGGGATAAGGGGTTTTCCTTTGAGGTGATGAAAATATTTTGAAACTAGACAGAAGTGGTAGTTGTACGACATTTGAAATATACTAAGTAAACCCTAATGAGTTTTTCACTTTCAAATGCTTAAGTTTATGTTATGTGAATTTCAACTCAATTAAAAAACATTAATTCAATGTCAATGTCTCAACTACTATCAAAAGAAATATGTTCAGAAGAGGTTTTATCTCCTTCCCAAACTTTCATGGAGCTGAGGTAGTAGGGAGATCTATAGCTACTGTAAATATGAAAGAACTATCTAAATTACTTGAAATATTTGCAATTTTTCACTTAAATTATGACAATGTCAACATTGAAATTACTAGGGAAAGTTCTACCATTATATCCCCAATTCATCTGCCACTCATCCTCCCACTTTGCATTTTAAATTAGGTATACCTTTTGTTTTTTGCCTCAGAACTGGGGCTTAGAAATATTTGTTGAATAAATGATGCAATGAACATATTAGTTTATAATTTCATGTAAACACAATGCTTCTATCAAATCCATTCTCTACGTTGCCTCTACTGAATCCATATGAGACATGATGAAATCCTGAAGTTTTGCAAGAAATATATTGATAATGGAAATCAGTAATACACATTAGGGTAGATGGAAAAGAAGTTTTAAATATGTAATCTATTAAAGACGTGGAATTGACAAAAGCTGACAATTGTCTTTATTTGGGAAAATAAAGGGGTGGGTAAACGGTGATTGGTTAAGGAATTTTGCCATGAACTTAAATCAGGAATTCAGGAGGAAGGCTATAAACTCATTCTTCAACATTTCATGTCTGAGATAGGTGTAGTTCATCTGGATGTCTAGAAGGCAACTAGATGATAAACCTGGAGAGCTCAAGAGAGACATCATCATGTGCATGCGTATAGATGCTATTGCTCAAAGTGAGTGTACAGATTGAGAAGGAAAGAGAACCAAGGTTGAATCTTGGGAATATCATTATTTAGAGTAGGCTGGAGCAGAAGAGACCAAAAGGAAACATGGACACAGTGAACTCAGGTGAGAGAAGAAACATAGGGAGTGACTAGAAAATATAGTGCTTTGAGTGCGAAGTGATAAAGACTTTAAATCAAGTAATAAGTGATATGGAGCAAAAATTAAGAGAACACAGAATAGAAATCCTAACAGAATGACACAAATACGGGAATATTTACTGAAATAGATCAGCTGCAATTTTAATCTTCAAGGATATAAGTGATATAAAGCAGTAAGACAGTAAGTGGAAGACGGAGAAAGACAAGCATTACAGGAGAAAAATGGAGGGAACAACGTGCGAGTCTACCATCCATTCGACCTTGACTGCATGTAAATTGCTATAGAACTTATTGAAAAGTCAACTTCAACTGCAGCAATTTAACTATCAGAAGTGGGAGACAGAACTAATGATGATTTATGAGCCCAGAGCTAATGTTAGAACTTAATAGAACTTTGCCAACCCAAACCATCAGTAAATTTGGTCATTTCCATCCTGTTCTCTCCTTCTTTGAGGTATTTGATTGCATTTTGGTGAAGCAGTTTAGCTCACTGCGGTCTGTCATGTAACACAGGACCACAACTCCCATGAAAATCCTCTCCTGCTCCACTGAGTGAGTCAAGACAGCCAGGAAGGAGGCACCCTCTGCCACTGTGACTCACCATGCATGGGACTGAGCTGGTGACCCGGGGAGGGAGCTGCTGCATCTCTCTGACATGTGGACCCAGTGTTAGCCAAAACTGGTCAAACCACCAATTCCACACTTCAAATTAGGCCTCTGACTTGCAAAGCTGCCAAGAAGTCATACAGAGGTCATTGGTCTATTCTTCCCAGCTGTGTTTGTAAAGTTTTCACACAGTTTATGTTGGCAAGAAGATGCTCCTAAAGATTCTAGTGGTAACGTGTGAGGAAGGGCCAACATAATGGCAGAATATCCAGGAAAGCAATGTTTACAATTATCATTAATTATTTTCAAAGGAAGTTATCCACATTGCCTTTTGGAGTTATTGGGGGTTTTCTTAGTCTTTTTGTAAGCATGTGAAACCTGATGCTGATTCTGTGTTTAAAAAAGAATTCAAATGAAACCATTGCTAGTAATTCTTAACTTTTGCCAGCAAGATATTGATATAAAAGTTTCTCCGTAAAATTATGCTATCCATAAAAGTTGCTTTTTTGAAAAGGAAAAATAATACAAACGGACAACAATATAATAATCAATATTCATTTGTGGTGAACTCACTTCCTATAATCAGAAACTGATAGAGTTATTGAGGTACTTTTTGTTTGTTTGTTTTAAAAATTAGCCTGTTTAAAATTTTAGGGAAAAGGAAATTGGACCTTCCTTCCTTCTTTCCTTCCTCTTTTCTTTCTTCCTCTTTTAGCTACAGAAAAAAGAAAAATCTAGAAAAACAGTTTTCTCATCTGGCTCTATTATCAATGCTGGGTTCTAACAGTTTCAAAAAAAGTTTGTGTTTCACAGGGGTTCACTAATATCTGATTATAACAAAGTTAGACAGTACTTAGACCCATTACCTATATGAAATAAACCTGCACAATATGTTAATTTCAACTTTTGACTTTAAAAATACCACATCACTTACATAAGTGACATAGGAATACATACTGCTTGCATAAATATGTGGTGAGTGTAGAGTGAAAATCTCCTTTCAAACACACCCTTTTCCAGTCCCTCCCCAAAGATGATTACTGTTAACTGTTAACCATCTAGGTACAGTCTTTCCAACTTTCTGTCTGTATTAACATTGTATGCATTAATATTTTAAACCAGTATATTGAACAGGTAAAATATGCAGGCTATAATTTTAAAACATCTTTATTTTTGTTTCCTATTGTCTCCTTAAACAAGCTAAGTAGGATTTTTTTTTTTTTTTTTTTTTTGGCCAACAGATTAAAACTGGGTGTGTCTATTGACTCTTCTGTTCATTCCTAGTTTACTCTAAGTTGTAAACTATAGTCCTATACTAGAAATTCGAATGCCTAGTCTTTTATGTTGATCAGCACTTCATTCTCCTCTCAGAGGAAAGCCATCCCCTTTCTCTTAGCCAGGTCCTTTACATATGGACAACTTGCTCCTGGATAAAAGGATGCTGTCTGTTTCTTCTGTCTTTCTAATAGCATCCTTGCCCACTCTCTGACAGTGATGGTTGATCCCAATTGAAGTTGGAGCTGGAGGGGTGAGAATGGAGGAGAAGGAGAGGTCGGGGAGAGAGTCAGACAGGAATGATGTTAATGTTAATGAACTTTTGTAAGATGGCTCTGGGCCAGGGTGTTTTGTTTTGTTTTAATGTGGCCAAAAAATCACACACCACATCATAATATAAAATTTACCGTCTTAACCATTTTAAGTGCATAGTTCAATAGTGTTAGCTGTATTCACATTGTTGTACAACTGATTTCTAGAAGTTTTTCATCTCACAAACTGAAACTCTTTATACCTGTTGAAAAACTACCCACTTTCCCCTTTTCCCCAACCCCCATTCTACTTTCTGTTTCAATTAGTTTAACTATTTGAGGTGCCGCATCTAAAAGGAATCAATAAGACCATCTGCTTGTGATTGACTTATTTTAGTTAGCATAATGTCTTCAAGGTTCATCCATGTTGTACCATGTGATGAGATTTTTTTTAAGGCTGAATAACATTGCATATATGTTGGGAACAAGCCCCCCAAAATCTGGCCATAAGCTGGCCACAAAACTGGTCATAAACAAAATCTCTGCAGCACTGTGACATGTTCATGATGGCCATAACGCCCACGCTGGAAGGTTGTGGGTTTACCAGAATGAGAGCAAGGAACACCTGGCCCGTCCAGGGTGGAAAACCACTTAAAAGCATTCTTAAGCCACAAACAATAGCATGAGCAATCTGTGCCTTAAGGAATGCTCCTGCTACAGTTAACTAGCCCAACCTATTCCTTTAATTCGGCACATCCCTTCCTTTCCCATAAGGGATACTTTCAGTTAATTTAAGATCTATAGAAACAATGCTAATGACTGGCTTGCTGTTAATAAATATGTGGGTAAATCTCTGTTTGGGGCTCTCAGCTCTGAAGGCTGTGAGACCCTTGATTTCCCACTTCACACCTCTATATTTCTGTGTGTGTGTCTTTAATTCCTCTAGCGCCACTGGGTTAGGGTCTCCCGGACTGAGCTGGTCTCGTCACATATATATTCCACATTTTTAAAAAATCCATTCTTCCTTTAAATGACATTTGAGGTTGCTCTCACCTCTTGGCTATTGTGAGTAATGCTTCAGTGAACACTGGCGTGCAAATAGCTCTTCAAGATCCTGCTTTCAATTCTTTGGATATATATCCAAAATAAGATTGCTGGATCATATGTAACTGTCTTTTTAATTTTTAAAAGAAACTTCATACTGTTTTCCATGGCAGCTACACAATTTTACATTCCTGTGAGCAGTGCACAAGGATTCCAATTCTCCATATCTTGACAATGCTTGTTATTTCCTGGTATATTTTGTTTGTTTGTTTTTGTGATATCTATGTGGTTTTGATGTGCATTTCTCTAATGTTTAATGATATTGAGCATCTTGTCATATGCTTTTTGGCCATTTGTATATCTTCTTTGGAGAAATATATATGTAAGTCCTTTGCCAGGTTTTTAATCAAGTTACTTGGGATTTTTTTGGTTGCTGTTGAGTTGTAGGAGTCCTTTATATATTCAATTATTAGCCCTTTGGCAGACATATGATTTGAAAATATTTTCTCTCATTCTGTAGGTTGCCTTTTCACTCTGTAAATTGTTTCCTTTGATGCACATAAGTTTTTAAGTTTGATATAGTCCCATTTGTCTATTTTTGCTTTGGTTTCCTGCACTTTTGGTGTCATAATAAAATAATTTAACAAATTATTGTGTTAAAAAAGAATTCAAATGAAAGCACTGTTAATAATTTTTAACTTTTGGCTGCACGATATTGATATAAAAATTTATTCATAAAATTATGCTATCTATAAAAGTTGCTTTTTAAAAAATGAAACATAATACAAGCAGACAACATCATAATAATCAATATTCATTCATGGTGAACTCATTCACTATACACAGATCATTACTAAATCCAATATTATGAAGCTTTTCCACTATAATTTCTTCTAGGAGTCTCAGAGTTTTGGATCTTATGTTTAAATCTTTAATCCATTTAGTTTTTATCTATGGTGTAGCTTAAATGCCCAACTTTGTTCTGTTGCATGTTGATATCCAATTTTCCCAGCACCATTTGTTGAAAAGATAATCCTTTCCTCATTGTATGGTCTTGACACCTTTGACCAAGATCATTTGACCATATGCACAAGGGTTTATTTCTGGCCTCTATATTATGTTCCATTGGTCAAAACATTTGTCTTTATGCCATTACCATAGTTTTTATTACTGTAGCTTTATAATGTTTTGAAATTAGGAAGTGTGAGGCCTCCAACTGTTTTCTTTTTCAAGATATTTTGGCTATATGGGGGTCCCTTGATTTTCTGTGTGAATTTTAGGATGGTTTTTGCTATTTTTGCAAAGAATGTGACATTGCTACTTTTATAAAGATTGCCTTGAATCTGTAGATTGCTTTGGGTAGTGTGGAAATTTTAACAATATTAAGCTTTCTCACTTATGAACACAGGATATGTTTTTATTTATTTATTTGTGTTTTTTCAATTTCCTTGAGCAATATTTTGTAGTTTCCAGTGTACATATTTTTATTTTTGTTGGTTAAATTTATTCCTAAGGATCGTTTTTATGGTTTTGTAAATGAAATTGTTTTCTTAAATTTCCTTTTGGGTTGTTCGTTGTTAGCTTATAGAAATGCAACTAATTTTATGTGTTGGTATTGTAACCTGCAACTTCGCTGAATTTGTTTAACAGTTCTGGCAGGCTTTTTTTGTTGAACTTTTAGGGTTTTCTACAATATAAAACCACATCATCTATAAACAGGAATAATTTTACATTTACCTTTCCAATTTGGATGCCTTTTATATGTTTTTCTTGTGTCATTGTTCTAGGACTTCCAGTGCTATGTTGAATAGAAGTGGTGAGAATGAGCATCCTTGCCATATTCCTGATCTTAGAGGAAAAAACTCAGCTTTTTACCATTGAGTATGATGTTAGCTGAAGGCTTTGCATATATGGCCTTAATTATATTGAGGTACATTCCTTTTTTTCCTTGCTTATTGTGTGTTTTTATCATGAAAGTGTATTAAATTTTGTCAAATGCTTTTTCTTCATTGACTGAGACGATCATGTGCTTTTAATCCTTCACTCTGTTAATGTTATGTTTTACATTGATTGATTTTCATATCTTGAACCATCTTTACATTCCAGGAATAAATCTTGCTTGGTTATGGTGTATAATTCTTTTAATGTGCTGTTGATTTCGAATTGCTAGTACTTTGTTTATAATTTTTGCATTAATATTTATTATGGATATTGGTTTGAATTTTTTCTTTTCTTATAGTAAGTTTTCTTTTCTTATCAGGGTAATGTCAGCTTCATGAACCGAGTTTGGAAGTGTTCCCTCTTTTTTAATATTTTAGAAGATTTTGAGGAGTTTTGGTATAAATTGTCCTTTAAATATTTTTTAGAATTCTTCAATAAAGCCATTTAATAATGGGCTTTTTTGGGGAGAAGATTTTTGATAATGAATTTGATCTCCTTACTAGTTATAGATATGTTCAGATTTTTAGTTTCTTTATGATTCAGTCTTTGTAGGTTTTATGTTTCTAGCTATTCATCCATTTCTTCTAGGTTCTCTATTTTGTTGTTGTATAATTGTTCATAGCAATCTCATATAATCCTTTTCATTTCTGTTGCATCAGTTGCATCTGTTCTGTTGAGGTGTAACTTTAGATCATTAATTTGGGATTTTTCATATTTTCCAATGTATGCATTTATCACTATAAACCTCCCTTTTAGTACTGCTTTCATTGTATCTTATCAGTTTTGGTACATTGTGGTTTCATTTTCATTGGTCCCAAGATATTTTCTAAATTCCTATATGATTTTTTTCTTTGACCTTGTTTGTTTAAGAGTTTGGTGTTTAATTTCCACATATTTGTAAACTTTCCAGTTTTCCTTCTGCTATTGTTTTCTAGTTTTATTACATTGTGGTTGTAAATGATACTTGGTATGATTTCAATCTTTTTAAATTTGTTAAGACTTGTTTTGTGACTTAACGTATGGTCTGTCCTGGAGAATTTTTCCATGTGCACTTGAGAAAAATGTATATTCTGCTGTTTGGGGTACAGTGTTCTGTATATGTCTATAGGTCCCATTGAGCTATAGTGTTTTGCAAGTTCTCTGTTTCCTTATTGATCTTCTGTCTGATTATTCTATTCACTATTACAAATAGAATATTGAAGCCTTCTACTATTTTTATTGTTGTCTATTTCTCCTGTCAATTATGTCAATATTTTCCTCATACATTTGGGACCTCTGATGTTGAGTATATTTGCTTATGATTGTGATAGCTCTCTGGAGAATTGATCATTTTGTCATTATAAAGTGTCCTTCTTTGTTTCTAGGGCAGTTTCTGACTTAACTCATTTATGCCTGAGGTTGCAATTTTTTGAATTTTTGCAATCAGACCTTGGCGATGATCTTGAGCAGTAGGATATAAATAACTCCCACATGCTTAGTGCCAGGTCTGTCCCACAGACCCTCGCTGACCGATGGATGAAATGAGTACTCAGACACAGGTATGCAGTGTAAGAGCAGCTAGGGGACTGCCTGGCTCTAGTGGCCAAAGTGCAGCCTCAAGAAGCTGGAGCTGCTTGCTTTTTATTCAGTGCAGGCACATGCCAAGAGCCTGGAGCAAACACAATCTGCGAGTAATTAACATTTATTGTTTTCCTTTCAGGGAACATCACCCCTTCACTTCCTTGCACATACTCCTCTCCCTTTGCCTCAGGGTTAGAGAACAGCTGCCTTCAGCTATTCTCCCCTGAAGCTATGCAGAGCCTTCTGATCTTTTAGAAGGCCTGCTCCTTTCCCGATAGTTTCTCCCATCACTCTAATGGATGTCCTACATCCCCCCCTTTTCTGTTTTTTGCATCAGGTTTTGTTGATTGAAGTAGCACACAGATGTGCACAGTGACAGGCTTGACAGGCACAGTGGTTACAGTTGTGTTCTGGCTTTGCATCCTAGAACCAGTAGATAACATAAGGCAAACATGAGTATAATCAGTAATATTTTTTTCCAATTAAAGAGTGACCCCCAGGAGTGGGGGTCTATCCAGCAGGGGTGTTTTTGCACATTGTTCTATAGGGTTGTTGTTGAGAAACCCCACCAGGGGTATATTAATCCCTCCTAGCCAAGCAGTCCCATTGTTAGAAGCTGGGAAGGGGGTGTCCACCAAAGTAACAGAGTGGAAGAAAGGAGGATCTAGAAGATGGACCTAATAGAGTGTAGCAGGTACAGGCTGCAGGTAGAGTGAGAGAATAAGAAAAACCAATACCCTACGAGAGTTGCAATGTCCAACAGAGAGAATAGCAAGGAACAGATTATCTGGAGTGAACAGTGTTTGTGTCTGGAGCAGGATTTGCTCAGCCTTCTGAGTTGTCTCCATCAGCATAATGTCCAGGGCCTGTGTTGTCCAAGGAAGCTGCATCATCTGGGGATGTGGGTCCTGCAGGATCATTTCCTTCATTTCTGGTACCAGGTTGGGTCCCAGCCATGCCGTGGTATGGTTTGATGTGTCATGCTGGAATCCAAAGAGGACCTGAGGGGGTGTGAACACAAGCATATCCTCTTCCCCATGTTAATAAATCATTTGGACTGCACCATAGATTACCATTTACATCTTTCCATAAAACTAAAGGTTTTACATCTTGGGAGGTTTTAGCAAAGTGCTTTTATATGGCTGATTAAAATTTACTATCTGAATTTAAGAAATTAAGGGTGAATAAGACTTGTGCTAGTAGTGTTGTAGGGTCCTTACTCGTATTCCTCCTTTTTTATTTTCTGAGCATATTTTTAAGGGTGGAGTGGGCACGTTCTACTGTGGCCTGTCCTTGGGGGTTATAGGGGATACCCATGGAATGTTGGACATTCCATGTGTGACAAAATTGTTGAAATTGTGAACTGGTGTAAGCCAGACCATTATCAGTTTTAATTTTTGTGGGCTGCCACATAAACGCAAAAGTTAAGAGAAGATGTTTAATGACATATCGGGTGGACTCTCCAGGAAGAGCATGTGCACTAATTAGGTGGGAAAAGGTATCTACGGATATATGTACATGTCTTAGTTTTCCAAATTCAGGGACGTGCGTAACATCTGTTTGCCACAACTCATTAGGTTCTAGTCATCTAGGGTTATAACACCTGTTGAAGGAGGGGATGGGCCTGTGAGCTGGCAATCAGGGCATTGCAGGATAATTTGTTTCACTAGTCTTTGGGTTAACTGAAATTATTTAAATTTCTCCAATTTTAGTGGAAAAATTGATGTGACTGGGTGGCTTGTTCAAGCAGTGACGTCATAACCTGCAGGTCTGCTTGATCATTGCCATGAGCTAGTGGACTGGGCAGTGAGCTGTGGGCCTGAATGTGTGTAATAAAAATAGGATGTGTATGCTGATCCAGCAATGAAGTTGAAGAAAAAGGACACAGAAGGTGGGCTCAAGAGTGGACTTAATGAGGGCTGTTTCAAGGTTTTGCAATAAATAAATGGAGTAAGCAGAGTCACTAACAATATTGATGGGCTGAGTGGAAAAGGATTCCAGGGCCAATATTCCAGGGCTCCAACCTCAGCTCTCTGAGTACTAGTAAACCCAGATCGAGTGAGGGAGTTATGTGGTTCCCACCAGATAGCTGCTTTTCCATTTTTACCAGAGCCATCAGTGAAAAGTGTTAAAGCATTAGATATGGGGTAGTGAACTACCTTTGTAGGTATAACTACAGGAATATAAGATAAGAACTGGAGTAGTTTGCCAGCGGGAAGGAGGCTTTAATGCCATAGCCAATATTTTGGCTTTGTATGTTTCAGTCTCCACCAGCTGACATGCTCATATAAGTTCCCCGACTGTAGCTGCCTTTCCTCTGATTACCTGCATTGTCTGCGGGCAGTCTACATTAGCATTTTCATAAGCCCGTTGCAACAATAAGATATCAGTGGCCTGGGCATGACTAATTTGTCTCTTAATTGCCTTGGTTAACTGATTTATAAATTCAACAAATCGCTCCTGAGGCCTTTGTTCTACATTTACAAAAGATCCCTGTTGAACTCCATCTTTGGGGATTCAGTCCCAAAACCTGAGGGTGCACAAGGACACTTGTGCTTAGGCTTGGGGGACAAAATTTAATTGTTGTTGTACATTGACATAGGGACCCCTCCCCTGGAGCATAGCAGCCATTATGTTTTGCCTGGCCAATTGATTCTGGTTGACTTCTTGTTCGCACAATTCATCATATTCTGCCCTCCAGAGGAGGTATTGACTGGCCTCTAAAGTTGTTTTAGCTATGACCAGTCCCATGGGGTCATATGGAAGTTATCTGCTATGGCCTCAATTAATCCTTTTGTAAATGGGCTAGCAGCTCCGTTTTCTCTAATGCTTTTTCTTATTTCTTTATAAGTGTTGAAAGTAGTGGGTTCATGTACCCAATTGCCTTGTTGATCTTGCATCACTGGGCAGGCCAAGAGCTCCCCTTCTAATGCCACTTGCCTAAGAGAGCGTCCCGTAGTGTATCCCTTGTCTTTTTTCCAATTTATTGGGGGAGGGGGCTCAGGAAAATTCTCTGTCTCTTCTGTGGCACCTATACCCATAACGGCAGGGCTGAGGGAGGAGGAGGGGGCAGTAAGGTAGGTGATGGTTCCTCTTCCCTTCCCTTTTTAGGCTCTTCTGTATAGAGCAGGGACAAAGCAGCCCTACCTAACGCCCATAACATTAAAGATGTTACTAGGACCCGTTGCCCTTGTGCATGATGTCTTTTAAGATTTCTTCCCACTTGTTCCCAGAGCTCTAAGTCTAGCGTGCCTTCTTCTGAGAACCATGGGTTATGGGAAACAACAGTTCGCATTAGGTCCCTTAATTAGGCCTCTGAGACAGAGGATCCAATAGCTTTAAGCAGCTGTTTCAATACTTTTATATACTGTTGCTGTTGAGATGATAACTGTTGTCTCATGGTGAAACCCTAGCTTGAAAATCCCCTTGAACTTGGAAATCCTGAGCAGGCACCAATTACTTACTGCACAGTCACTTCACCTTTGTTTTTGAGGATTCTGTCATGATCCGTTGCAGCATTCCTCAGATGGGGCACCACCTGCCAAGTCTGTCCCACAGACCCTGGCTGATGGATGAAATGAGTACTCAGACACAGGTATGCCGTGTAAGAACAGCTAGCAGACTGCCTGGCTCTAGTGGCCAAAGTGCTGCCTAGAGAAGCTGGAGCTGCTTGCTTTTATTCAGTGCAGGCACATGCCAAGAGCCTGGAGCAAACACAATGTGCACGTAATTAACGTGTATTATCTGTGGGTAATTAACATGTATATATTCCCCTTTCAGGGAACATCACGTGCATGGATGTTCAAAGGTCAATTCCTGGACAACTTCAAACAAACAAGCCTGATCAAGATAACTTCCCCTTCACTCCCTTGCACATACTCTTTGGCCTCTGTCTCAGGATTAGAGAACAGCTGCCTTCAGCTATTCCCCCCAAAGCTCTGCAGAGCCTTCCAACCTTTCAGAAGGCCTGCTCCTTTCCCTATAGTTTCTACCACCACTATGACAGATCTCCTACAGCTTAGCATTCCAATAATGGAACACTAGGCATAAATGACTAAAGTCTATTTTGTCTGATGTAAGTATAGCCCCCTGATATGGCTTGGATCTGTGTCCCTGCCCAAATCTCATGTTGAATTGTAATCTCTAGTGTTGGAGATGGGGCCTGTTGGGAGATGGTTGGATCGTGGGAGTGGTTTCTCATGAATTGTTTAGCACTATCCACTTGGTGCTGTTCTCGTGATAGTGAGTGAGTTCTCACAAGGTCTGGTTGTTTAAAAGTGTGTAGCTCCTCCCGCCTCCATCTCTTTTGCCCTTGCTTCTGCCATGTAAGAATTTGGGTCCCCCTTTGCCTAATGCCATGTTTGTAAGTTTCTTGAGGCTTCCCCAGAAGCTGAACAGATGTCAACATCATGTTTTCTGTACAGCCTGTAGAACTGTGAGCCATTTAAACCTCTTTTCTTGATAAATTACCTAGTCTCAGGTATTCTTTTTTTTTTTGGAGATGGAGTCTCACTCTGTTGCCTAGGCTGGAGTGCAGTGGCACAATCTCGGCTTACTGCAAGCTCCGCCTCCCAGGTTGACTCCATTCTCCTGCCTCAGCCTCCCCAGTAGCTGGGACTACAGGCTCCCGCCACCATGCCTGGCTAATTTTTTGAATTTTTAGTAGAGACAGGGTTTCACCGTGTTAGCCAGGATGGTCTCAATCTCCTGACTTCATGATCCAACCACCTTGGCAACCAGAGTGTTGCAGGCGTGAGCCACTGTGCCTGGCCTCAGGTATTTCTTTATAGCAATATCAGAATGAACTAACACACCACCTTTGCTTTCTTTTGGTTACTATTTGTGTGGAATATAGTTTTACATTCTTTCACTTGCAGTCTATGTATGTCCTTAGATCTAAAGTCCCTTATAGATAGCATATAAGTGGATTTTTAAAAAATCCACTCAGCCAAATATATCTCTTGATTGGTGTTTTAATCCATTTACATTTAAAGTAATTACTGATAGAAAGACTTTTGCCATTTGTTCCTAGTTTTCTGTATGTCTTGAAGCTATTTTTTTTTAATCCTCTTTTCCTCTCTTGCTGCCTTCCTTTTGTGTTTGGTTGATTTTTGTAGTGTCATGCTTTGATTCTTCTCTTACTTCCTTTTGTGGATATTCTATAGAAATTTTCTTAGTGGTTAGGATGGGAAGTATGTAAAACATCTTAAGGTTACAACAATCTATTTTAAACTGCTAACAACTTCAATTGCATATAAAACTACTCTACGTTTCTGTCCCCTGCTGATTTTATGTTATTGATATCACAAATTACATTTTTTATATTGTATATCTGTTGACATAGATGTATAGTTATTTTTATGCTTTTGTCTTTTAACTTCTATACCAGAATAAAAGTGATTACAATACTAGAGGATTCTATATTTATTTACATATTTACCTTTCCCAGAAAACTTTACATTTTCATATGCTTTTATATTGCTGTTGTAAAGTAAAAATAAAAACCTAAGCCCCTCACTACTGAATGGACTCCCTCCCAGCCAAGGGGACTCCAGAAAGACCTTAAAAACTGAGTTCTTGGTCATGATGGGGTGGGAGATCATATATGCCTCATTCATACTCCCTCCCTTTTGGGGTTTAGATACAAAAACTGACCAGAATTAATATTAAAATAGAGATTATAAGACTGACAGAACTGGCTCTCTAGGGCCATAAGATACCAAATTATAAATAGGATCTAAGGCCATGCAAGCAATGGTTTAAGTCATGTACTTCTACACTTAGATAATAAACTATGTTTTAAGTGCCACAAGGTTTTTCTCTTTCTCTAGCAGCTAAACAAGCGCTGGCCTTGAGGTAAGCAATGCTGAAGCACTTGCAGCTCACCAACCAACAAACACTGACTAACTGAGTCCCTCTGTTCCTCAAGCTGTAAATACAGTGTTGATTGAATAAGACACTGATTTTAGTTATTTTCCCCTGAAAAGAAGACCACCAACAATGTACTGTTTCTGGCCAGTTTACAGGGGTTATGCACTTGAGTGCCTTTGTGTTCTGAAAAGATCCTTTGACATTTAGGGCCTAACTGTAATACATTTATATGTTAAGGCTCCATCCCAAAATGAACATGGGCTATGTATGACCATGTAACGTGCATGTGTGTTCAATACACATGCATTAGAACCACCTTCATGAATATTCATAGCTCCTCCTATAACCTGTTAAATATGTATGTTTCACCAACTCATTCAGCATAAACCTCCTACCCCAACCCCTATTCCTTTGAAGTGCCAGTTTCTGGGTCTCTGTCAGAGGCCATGCTTCCCTGCCTGAAGAATGGCCACCTTGCATGCTGTAACCCTTTACAATAAGTAAAGTCTCCTTCTCCAAATCTTTTTTGAGACAGGTCTTGCTCTGATGCCCAGGCTGGGGTACGGTGGCACGATATCAGCTCATTGCAACCTCTGCCTCCCAGATTCAAGTGATTCTCCTGCCTCTGCCCCCTGAGTAGCTGGGACTATAGGCCTGTGCCACCACACCTAGCTAATTTGTGTATTTTTAGTAGAGATGGGGTTTCACCATGTTGGCCAGGCTGATCTTGAACTCCTGACCTTAAGTGATCCACCTGCCTTGGCCTCTCAAAGTGCTGATTACAGGTATGAGCCACCGCACCCAGCTTCCTTCTCCAAATTTGTAAAGACTTTGTAATTTTTTTAAAAGTTAAGATGTAGTGTCCTTTCATTTCAACTTGAAGGACTCCTTTTAGCATTTCTTGTAGGATATGTCTAGAGGTGTTAAATTCTCTTAACTTTTATTTATCTAGAAAAGTCTTAATTTGCACTTAATTTTTTGAAAAATAGTTTTACTGGATAGTATTTTTGATTGGCAGTTATTTTCTTTTTTTTTTTTTAGTGCTTTGAATATATCACCCCACTCCCTCTGGCATGCAAGGTTTCTGCTGAGAAATCTGCTGATTATCTTACAGAGTTGGTTCCCTCATAAGTGATTAGTCTCTTTTGCTGCTTTCAGGATTTTTTCATTGTGATGTGACAGTTTGATTACAGTATGTCTTGGTGTAATTCTTTTTTATTTTATCCTAGTTGAAGTTCTTTGAGCTTCTTGAATTTGTATGTCCATTTATTTCCTCAAATTTGGGAAGTTTTTGGTTATTATTTCTTCAAACAGACTCTCTTCCTCTTTTCTCTCTCTTCTCCCTCTGGAATTACTATAATGTGTATATTGGTTGGCTTGATGGTGTCCTATAAGACCCTTAGTCTCTCCTCATTTCTCTTCTTTCTTTTTTCTTTTCACTCCCTAACTTAATAATTTCAAATGAGCTGTCTTCAAGTTTACTGATTCTTTCTTCTACTTGGTCTACTATTAAATACCTACTGTAAATTTTTAAAGTTTAGCTATTGTACACTTCAGCTCCAGAATTTGTTTTTTTAAAATGTTTCCATCTCTTTATTGATATTTTCATTTTATTCATCCGTTGTTTTCCTGATTTCATTTAGTTGTATATCTCTGTTCTCCTTTAGTTAAGCAAGCAGCATTAACATGTTTTTTTTAACTTTTATTTTTAAATTTCAGGGATACATGTGCAGGTTTTTTAAACCTTTATTTGAAATTCAGGGGTACACGTGCAGGTTTGTTACATAAGTAAACTTTTGTCATGGCGGCTTGTTGTAAAGATTATTTCATCACCCAGGTTTTAAGCCGAACACCCATTAGTTATTTTTCCTGATCCTCTCCCTCTTCCCAACCACCATCCTCTAGTAGTCCTCAGTGCATGTTTTTCCCCTCTATGTGTCCATGTGTTCTTATCATTTAGCTGCCACTTATCAACGAGAACATAAGGTATTTGGTTTTCTGTTCCTGCATTAGTTTCCTAAAAATAATGGCCTCCAGCTTCATTCGTGTTCCTGCAAAGGACATAATCTTGTTCTTTTTATGGCTGCATAATATTCCATGGTGTATATGTACCACATTTTCTTTATGTATTGTACCATTGATAGGCATTTAGGTTGATTCCGTGTCTTTGCTATTGTTAATAGTACTGCAATAAACATATGCATGCATGTGTCTTTATAATAGAACAATTAATATTCCTTTGGGTATATACCCAGTAATGGGATTGCTGGGTCAAATGGTAGTTCTGTCTTTAGGTCTTGAGGAATTGCCACACTGTCTACCACAATGGTTGAACTAATTTACACACCCACCAACAATGTATAAGTGTTCCTTTTTCTCTACAGCCTTGCCAGCATCTGTTATTTTCTGACTTTTTAATATTAGCCATTCTGCCTGGTGTGAGATGGTATCTCATTGTGGTTTTGATTTGCATTTCTCTAATGATCAGTGATGTTGAGCTTTTTTTATATGCTTTTTGGCTGTATGTATGTCTTCTTTTGAAAAGTATCTGTTCATGTCCTTTGCTCACTTTTTTATGGGGTTGTTATTCTCTTGTAAATTTGTTTAAGTTTCCTATAGATGCTGGATATTAGACCTTTGTCAAATGCATAGTTTGCATTCTGTAGGTTGTCTGTTTATTGATAGTTTCTTTTGATGTGCAGAATCTCTTTAGTTTAACTAGATCCCATTTGCCTATTTTTGCTTCTGTGTGATTGCTTATGGAGTCTTTGTCATGAAATCTTTGCCCATTTCTACGTCCAGAATAGGTTGTCTTTTAGGGGGTTTTTATAGTTTTCAGTTTTACATTTAAGTCTTTAATTCATCTTGAGTTAATTTTTGTATATGGTGTAAGGAAGAGGTCAGTTTCAATCTTCTGCATATGGCTAGCCTGTTATCCCAGCTCCATTTATTGAATAGGGAGTCATTTTCCGATTGCTTGTTTTTGTCAGGTTTGTTGAATATCAGATAGTTGTAGGTGTGTGGTCTTATTTCTGGCTCTCTATTCTGTTCTATTGGTCTATATGTTTGTTTTTGTACCAGTATCATGCTGTTTTGGTTACCGTAGCCCTGTAGTATAGTTTGAAATCAGGTAGTATGATGCCTCCAGCTTTGTTCTTTTTGCTTAGGATTGCTTTGGCTATTCAGGCTCGTTTTTGGTTTCATGTGAATTCTAAAATAGTTTTTTCTAGTTCTGTGAAGAATCTCAAGTTTAATAGGCATAGCATTGAATTTATAACTTGCTTTGAGCAATATGGCCATTTTAACAACATTGATTCTTTGTATTCATGAGCACAGAATGTTTTTTCATTTGTTTGTGTCGTCTCTAATTTTTTGAGCAGTGCTTTATTGTATTCCTTGTAGAGATTTTTCATCTCCCTAGTTAGCTGTATTCCGAGGCATCTTATTCTTGTTGTGGCAAGTGTGAATGGGATTGCATTCTTGACTTGGCTCTCAGCTTGACTATTGTTGGTTTATAGGAACGCTAGTGATTTCTGCACATTGATTTTGTATCCTGAGAGTTTCCTAAAGTTACTTATAAGCTTAAGGAACTTTTGTGCTGAGACTATAGGGTTTTCTAGATATAGCATCATGTCATCTTCAAACAGGGATAGTTTCACTTCCCCTCTTCCTATTTGGATGCCCTTTATGTCTTTCTCTTGCCTGATTATCCTGGCCAGGACTTCCAATACTGTGTTGAATAGGAGTGGTGAGAAAAAGCATCCTTGTCTTGTGCTGGTTTTCACGGGGAATGCTTCCAGCTTTTGCCCATTCAGTATGATGTTGGCTGTGGGTTTGGCATATATGGCTCTTATTATTTAGAGGTATGTTCCTCAATACCTAGTTTATTGAGAATTTTTAAACATGAATGGATGTTGAATTTCACTGAAAGACTTTTCTGCATCTATTGAGATAATCCTGTAGGTTTTGTCTTCAGTTCTGTTTATGTGATGAATCACATTTATAGATTTGAGTATGTTGAACCAGCCTCGCATTCCAGGGATAAAGACTACTTGATCGTAGTGGGTATGCTTTCTCATGTGCTGCTGGATTTGGTTTACCAGTATTTTGTTGAGGATTTTTGCATCAATGTTTATCAAGGACATAGTCCTGAAGTTTTCTTTTTTTGTTGTATCTCTGCCAGGTTTTGATGACAGTATGATACTGAACTCATAGAATGAGTTACGAGGTGTCCCTCCCCCTCATTTTTTTGGATTAGTTTCAGTAGGAATGGAATCAGCTCTTCTTTGTACATCTGGTAGAATTCAGCTGTGAATCCATCTGGTGCCAAGCTTTTTTAAGTTGGTAGTCTATTTATTACTGCTTCAGTTTCAGAGCTTGTTATTGGTCTGTTCAGGGATTCAATTTCTTCCTGGTTCAGTCTTGGGAGGGTGTATGTGTCCAGGAAGTAGTTTATCTCTTCTAGATTTTCTAGCTTATGTGCATAGGAGAGTTCATAATATTCTCTGATGGTTGTTTACATTTCTGTGGGGTCAGTGGTAATATCTGCCTTATGATTTATGATTGTGTTTATTTGAATCTTCTCTTTTTCTTCCTTATTAGTCTATCTAGCAATCTATCTATTTTATTAATTTTTTTCAAAAAACCAGCTTCTGGGTTTGTTGATCTTTTGAAAGATTTTTCATGTGTCTCTCTCTTTCAGATTAAATCTGCTTTTGATTATTTCTTGTCTTCTGCTAGCTTTGAAATTTTTTTGCTCTTGGGTCTCTAGTTGTTTTATTTGTGATGTTAGGTTGTTAACTTGAGATCTTTTTAATTTTTTGATGTGGGCATTTAGTGCTATAAATGTGTCTCTTAACATTGCTTTAGCTGTATCCTAGAGATTCTTATATGTTGTGTCTTTGTTCTCATTAATTTCAAGGAACTTCTTGATTTCTGCCTTAATTTAATTATTTACTCAAAAGTCATTCAGCAGCAGGTTATTCAATTTCCATGTAATTTAATTATTTTGAGTGAATTTCCCAGTCTTGATTTCTAATTTGATTGTGCCATGGTCTGAGAAACTATTTGCTATAATTTCAGTTTTTTGTATTTGCTGAGGCATGTTTTACTTCTGATTATGTGATCGACTTTAAAGTATGTGCCATGTGGTGATGAGAAGAATGTATATTCTGCTGTTTGGGGGTGGAGAGTTCTGTAGGTCTATCAGATGCATTTGATCCAGTGCTGAATTCAGGTTCTGAATATCTTTGTTAATTTTCTGTCTCAGTGATCTGTCTAATATTGTCAGTGAGGTGTTAAATTCTCCCACTATTATTATGTGGGAGTCTAAGTCTCTTTGAAGGCCTCTAAGAACTTGTTTTATTAATCTGGGTGCTCCTGTTTTGGGTACATATAGATTTAGGATAGTTAGATCTCCTTGTTTAATTGAACCCTCTACCATTATATAATGCCCTTCTTTGTCTTTTTTGATCTTTGTTGATTTAGAGTCTGTTTTGTCAGAAACTAGAATTGCAACCCCTGCTTTTTTCTGTTTTCCATTTTTGTGGTAGATTTTTCTCCATTCCTTTATTTTGAGCCTATGTGTGTCACTGCATGTGAGATGGGCTTCTTGAAGACAGCATACCAATGTTTTCTTTATCCAACTTGCCACTGTATGTCTTTTAATTAAAATGTTTAACTCATATACATTTAAGATTAGTATTGATATGTATGGATTTGATCCTGTCATCATGATGTTAGCTATTTATTTTGCAGACTTGTTTATGTGATTGCTTTATAGTGTCACTGGTCTGTGTATTTTAGTGTGTTTTTGTAGTGGCTGGTAATGGTCTTTCCTTTCCACATTTAGTGCTTCCTTCAGAAGCTCTTGAAAGGGAGGTCTGGTGGTAACAAATTCTCTCAGCATTTGCTTGTCTGGAAAGGATCTTATTTCTCCTTTGCTTATGAAGCTTAGTTTGGCCAATATGACATTCGGTGTTGGAATTTCTTTCCTTTAAGAATGTTGAATATTGGCCTCCAGTCTCTTCTGGCTTGTAGGGTTTTAGCTGAGAGATCCACTGTTAGTCTGATGGCCTTCCATTTGAAGGTGAACTGAACTTTCTCTCTAGCTGCCTTCCTTTAACTTTGTTTTTTTCATTTTGACCTTGGAGAATCTGATGGTCATTTGTCTTGGGGATGATTTTCTTGTGAGGTGTCTTAGTGGGGTTCTCTGAATTTCCTGAATTTGAACGTTGACCTCTCTAGCTAGGTTGGGTAAGTTCACATGGATGATATCCTGAAATATGTTTTCCAAGTTGGTTTCATTTTCCCCATCTCTTTCAAGTAGAACAATCAGTTGTAGATTCAGTCTCTTTACATAATCCTGTTTGCATTATTGCCCTGGAGTTGGTGTTGGCTTGGGGTGGGGTGCTGGCCATTGGAGGTCTGGGTGCCTTCTCTGTGCCTTGCGAGCAGGAGTGATCTCTCAGGGTGTGAGAGGATCCCCTGTTCTTTCTGCAGTGTAGCACAAGGGAGGGGTGCTGGTGGGGACAGGGCTTGCTGGCTCTGTGTCCACCAAGGCTTTGTCTGCAGTGGCAGTTAGCAGGAGTGGAGGGGCCTATTGCACTCCCGTGTGCTGGCTGGGCAAGTAAAACAAAACCTGCCCCTGCAGACATGTGTCAGCAAAGTGATGTGGGGAATTGATGTGGGCTTGGGGAAGCTATAGTATGGGGAGGAAATGTGAGGACGGGTGTGTGGCTGTAGGAGCCACCTCACTGGAGCCCTCCTCCAGTCAGTCACAGTTCACCAGGGCAGAAGCTATGAGGAGGGCCTCCAGGGTACCCAAGACTGCCCTATAAACATGCATGGCCAGGCTGGGGCCCCAAGAGAGGACAGCAGACCAAGGAGTGCTCAGGTCCGACCAGCTCCATCTGATATGCAAGACCACCCTGCAGAGGTCAGGTTCAACAGGTCCCTTAAAGCTAAAGTCTCTTATGGGAGCAAGTCAAGCTTAGAGGGATGGCTGTCCCTGGCCATGATCCTGCACCCAACCCTCTGGGCTCCGTATCAGCTGGCTTGCTGCCCCACCACTTTGCTTGTTTACTGGGGGCTCTACTCCAGAGAGATGTGTGTCAGCAATTAGTCAGTGCAATCAGCCCAGAATTGGAGGGTCTGTGCTGTGAGCCCAAGCAAGCCAGGGGTTCCTTGTCCAGTGACACATAGTTGTAGGGTTGGGGTAGGGTGTGGGACCCATGGGAGACAGGCTGGTCCCCTCTGCAAGCGGGATAAATCTCACTTGGTCATGATGAATGACCAGTTTTATATCAGAGATATTGGCCTATAGTTTCTTTATTATGTGCCTTTGTCTAGTTTTGCCATCAGTGTAATATTTGTATCATAGAATGAGTTTGGAAGCATTCCCTTCTCTTCTATTTTTCAGAATAGTTTGAGTAGGATTGGTATCGGTTATTGAAATGTTCGGTAAAATTTAACAGTGAAGCCATCAGTTCCTGGACTCTTCTTTGCTAGGAGACATTTTATTATGGTGTCCGTCTTGTTACTAATTATTGGTCTATTCAGGTTTTGAAATTTTTTTTCCTGGTTCAAACTTGGTACATTGCATGTATCTAGGAATTTATCCATTTCTTCCAGGTTTTCCAATTTATTGGCACATAGCTACTCATAGTAAGTCTATAATGATCCTTTGAATTTCTGGTGTATCACTTGTGATGTCTAATTTTTCAATCTGATTTTATTTATTTGGGTCTTCTCTCTTTTTTTCTTAGTCTGTCTCAACTTTTGTCAACTTTATTTATCTTTAAAAAACAACTTTCCATTTTGTTGATCTTTTCTATTCTTTTTTGTTGCAATTTCATTTATTGCTGCTGTGATCTTTATTATTTCTTCTACTAATTTTGGGCTTGGTTTGCTCTTGCTTTTCTAGTTCTTTAAGATATGTCAATAGGTTGTTTACTTGAAGTTTTTACACTTTTTGATGTGGCACTTATTGCTATAAACTTCCCTCTTAGTACTGCTTTCGCTGTATCTCTTACATTTTGATATGTTGTATTCCCATTTTCATTTGCTTCAAGAAATTTTTCAATTTCCTTCTTAATTTTTGTATTGACCCAACTGTCATTCAGGAACATAGTGTTTAATTTCTGTGTGTTTGTATAGTTTCCAAAGTTTCTCTTGTTATTGATTTCTACTTGTATTCCATTGAGGTCAGTGAAGATACTTGATGTGATTTCAGTTTTTTTGAATATTTTAATACTTGTTTTGTAGCCTAACATACAGTCTATCCTTCAGAATGATCCATATGCTGAGGAGAAGAATGTATATTCTGCTGAATGTATATTCTGGATGAAATGTTCTGTAAATATCTATTAGGTCCATTTGGTCTACAGTGTAGATTATGTCTGATGTTTCTTTGTTGATTTTTTTTGTCTGAATGATCTGTCCAATACTGATAGTGGGCTATTGAAGTCTCCAACTATTATTGTATTGGGATTTACCTCTCTCTTTAGCTCTAATAATATTTTATTTACATACCTGGGTGCTCCAGTGTTGGAGGCATATAAATTTACCACTGTTATATCTTCTTGTTGAATTGACCCCTTTGTTAGTAAATAATGATTCAGTTTCCCTCTTTTTACAGTTTTTGTCTTGAAATATATTTTATCTGATAAAAGTATAGCTGCTCCTGTCCTGCTCTGTTTTAATTTCTATGTGTTTCTTGTAGGCAGCAGATAGTTGGGTCTTTTTTAAAAAAAAATGCATTCAGTCACTTGATTTTTTGACTGGAGAATTTAGTCCACTTACATTCAATGTTATTATTGGTAAGGACGGACTTATTTTGCTATTTGTGGTATGGTTGCTTTATGTTTTTCCCTCCTTCTTTTCCCTCGTTTCCTTTCCTTGCTTTCCTTCCTTCCCTTCCTTCCTTCCCTCCCTTCCCTTCCCCTTCTCTTTTCCTTCCTTCCTTCCTCCCATCCTTCCTTTCTGCCTTCCTTCCTTCTTCCTTCCATCCTTCCTTCCTTCCTTCTTCTTTCTTTTTTCCTTCCTATCTTTCTTTTAGTGAAGGTGATTTTCTCTGGTGGTATATTTTAATTTCTTGCTTTTGTGTGTGTGTGTGTGCACGTGTGTGTGTGTGTGTGTGTGTGTGCTATAGGTTTTTTTTATTTGGGGTTACCATGAGGTTTGCACATTACATCAAATAAATCATTATTTTAAACTGATGACAACTTAGCCCTCATTGCAAAAAAAATGCAAAGAGAAAATGAATAAAAACTCTACACTTTAACTTCATCCCCTTTACTTTTAAACTTTTTGTTGTTTCTATT
Source organism: Homo sapiens (assembly GCF_000001405.40). Classification (NCBI taxonomy): domain Eukaryota; kingdom Metazoa; phylum Chordata; class Mammalia; order Primates; family Hominidae; genus Homo; species Homo sapiens. Next base: position 38,148,808 of record NC_000007.14, on the reverse strand, counting down.
TATATCTTATTACTCCATGTCTTTAAAAGTTGTATAGTTATTATTTTTATGGATTCATAGATTCATCTATTTGTACTTCTGCTTAAGGTAAGAATAGTTTACACATCACAATTACAGTGTTATAATATTCTGTGTTTGTGTACTTAGTTTTGCTAGTGAGTTTCATACCTTCAGGGTTTTTGTTTTTGTTTTTATTTTTGTTTTGCTCATTAATGCCCTCTTCTTTCAGACTGAAGAACTTCCTTTAGCATTTCTTGTAGGACATGTCTGCTGTTGATGAAGTCCCTCAGCTTTTGTTTGTCTGGGTATGTCTTTATTTCTCCATTATATTGGAAGAATATTTTTGCCAGATATAATATTCTAGAATAAAAGTTTTTTTTCCTTTTAGCACTTCGAATATGTCATGCGACTCTCTCCTGGCTTGTATGGTTTCCACTGAGAAGTCTGCTGCCAGATGTATTTGAGCTCCTTTGTATGTTATTTGTTCCTTTCCTCTTGCTGCTTTTAGTATCCTTTCTTCATTCTTGACCTTGGGGAGTTTGATTGTTAAATGTCTTGGGGTAGTCTTATTTGGGTTAAATCTGCTTGTTGTTCTATAACCTCCTGGTACTTAAATATTGGTATATTTCTTTAGGTTTGTAAAGTTTCTCTTATCTCTGTGAATAAACTTTCTACCCTTATATCTCTCGCTACCTCTTCCTTGAGGTAATAACTCTTAGATTTGCCCTTTTCAGGCTATTTTTTAGATCTTGAAGGCATGCTTCATTCTTTTTTATTTTTTATTCTTTTGTTTTCTCTGACTGTGTATTTTCAAACAACCTGTCTTCAAGCTCACTGATTCTTTCCTCTGCTTGATCAATTCTGCTATTGAGATATCCAATGCATTCCTCAGTTTCTCAATTGAATTGTTTAGCTCTAGAATTTTTGCTTGATTTTAAAAAATTATTTGAATCTCTTTGGTGAATTTATCTGATAGATTTTGAGTTCCTCCTCTGTGTTATCTTGAAGTTCATTGAGTTTCCTCAAAACAGCTATTTTGAATTCTCTGTCTGCAAGGTCACATATCTCTGTCGCTCCTGGATAGGTCACTGGTGCTTTATTTAGTTTGTTTGATGAGGTTATGTTTTCCTGGGTGGTCCTGATGCTTGTGGATGTTTGTGTCTGGGCGTTGAACAGTTATGTATGTATTCTAATGTTTGCAGTCTTAGCTTATTTGTACCCATCCTTCTTGAGAATACTTTTCAGGTATTCAAATGAAATTGAGTGTTGTCATCTAAGTCTTTGGTCACTGTAGCTATATCTGCATTAGAGGACACCCCAAGCTCAGTATCACTGTGGCTGTTGCAGACTTGTAGTGGTACCACATTGGTGATCTTGGGTAAGATCTAGAAAAATTCCCTGGATTAAAAGGCAGAGTGTCTTATTCTCTTCCCTTACTTTCGTCCAAACAAACAGAGTCTATCTCCCCATGCTATACTGAGTGGACTTGAGGGAGGTGTGACACAAGAACTTTCATGGCCACCACTGCTGGGATTGTGCTGGGTCATGCCTGAAACCAGCACAGTACTTGGTTTTGCCCAAGACCTGTAGTGACTGTTGCCTGGTTACCACTGATGTTTATTCAAGTCCCAAGGGCTCTTTACTCAGCAGGTTGGTGAATCCTGCCAGGCCTGGATCTTTCCCTTCAGGGAAACAGAGTCCCTTTTGGCCCAGGGTGGGTCTAGAAATGCCATCCAGGAGCTAGGCCCTCGTATTGGAAATCCTAGGAATCTAACTGGTGCTTTGTTTTACTGTGGCTGAGCTGGGACCCAAGCCACAAGACAAAATCCTTTTTACTCTTCCCTCTCTTTTCCTCGAAAATAAGGAGTCTCTCCTCATGGTCACCATAGCTGGGAATGTAGAGAGTTACACCCAAAGCCAGTACACTAATGGGTCTCTCTCAGGGGCTGTGGCAACTACTGCCTGTCTACTGCTGAAGTTTCTGCAAAGTCTAAGGGCTTTTTAGTCAGCAAGTGATGAATCCTGCCATCACTGGGTCTTTCCATTCAGGGCAGTGGGTTCCCTTCTGTCATCTGGGAACTAGGGCCTGAATTCTGGGCTTTAGGACTCTGTTTAGTGCTTTATTATACTGTGGCCGACCTGGTGTCCAAGTTGCAAAACAAAATTCTCTCTACTCTTCCCTTTCCTTTCTTCAAACAGAAGGAAGGAGTCTCTCTCAGAGCTGTGGGTGGTGATGCCTGGGGTTGGGGGAGTGGTGATGCAAGCACCGCCTTGGCTGCCCCAGCTGGTATCTCACTAAGTCATGTGTACCCCAAGACTACTGGCTCTGAGCCCAGCATAGCACCAAGAATTGCCTGGAAATTGAAGTCCTTATGGCCTAGAATGCCTTTCAAATTTATTTAGGAGCCCATTGCCCTACAGCCCGCAGTAGTGGGGCTAGCCCAAATTCAGGTTCCAACTGCTGGGATGAATGATTCCTCTCTTGCTTGGGCTGGCTAAATGCTCCCTTTTTGGATGCCAGCTGAATTCTGCCCTATCTTGCCTTCTGTTGTGACAGGCCAGCACTGAGTTCTAATGCAAAAGTCCACAATTATTTTGTTCTCTCTCCCTCAAGCATACAGATTCTCTCTTGGTGCCACAAAGTCACCGCCAGGGAATGAAGGAGGGGTGGTGACAACAATTCGAGACTGTTTTACCTACCCTCTTCAGTGCCTCTTTTCTTGTTATGATGTTAAATGTCGTGATGTTAAAACAAGGTACTGTGTTCACACACTTGAGAGTTGGGTCTCATGAAGGTGCTTTCTTGTGTGGACAGTTGTTCAATTTGGTGTTCCTTCAGGGGAGTGGGAGACTACTGCTGGAGGGTTGTATTTGGCCATCTTGCTCCATGTCCTCCCCTCCCCAGCCCTCTGTATTGAATGGTGTGTTTATTCTCACACATCTGTCATATATGGTTTCCATATGTGAGTAGATCTACTTTTGAGCTATCACTTCTACTTGCTTGAGCTAATACCCTGAGCTAATACCAGACAGTCTTAAATACTATTGCTTTATATAATATGCCCCCTCCCCTTCTTGTTCCTCTTCAAATTTGTCTTTGAAATTCTTAGTCTTTTGTCAACTTCAATGAAATTGTCAGGTAAGACTTTGTGTTTATATTTAATTTGTAGATTTATTTAAAGATAATTACAGACTCTTTCATATAGAGTTTTCCAATCTTTGGAGTTGGTAATTTTCCCATTAATTTATGTCTTCTTTTTTCTAAGCTTCAGTATTGTTTTTTTGCTGTTCTTTGTAAAAGATCATTAGAATGATTTGCACAATAAGAGATTAACAATAACTAATAATAATACAATTATAAGAATATACTGTAATAAAAAGTTTGTGAATGAAATCTTTCTCTCTCTCTCTCTCTCTCTCTCTCTCTCTCTCTCAGAATATCTTATTATACTGTACTCACCTATTTTGGACCTTGATTGATGGTGGGTAGTTGAAACTGGGGAATCTGGCCACCCAGATTAATTCATAATTGTGCCTAATTTGTAAACTAAACTTTATTCTAGGTAAGTATGTACAGAAACAAACATATGATATATAAAGTTAGGTACTATCTGTGGTTTCAAGCATCCACTGGGGATCTTGGACCGTATCCCCTGCTGATAAGGAAGGACTACTGTAGACAATAATGGAATATGAAAATATAAACAGTTTCATCCATTCTTTCCCAATTCTTGTGTCATATATTTATTTTTCTTATTTTATTGTTTTGATTAGAATATCAGTGTTAAAAAGCAACTGTGAATGCCCTCTGCTGTTTCTTTTATTTTCTATTGCATTGATTTTTATTCTAATCTTTATTGCTTATTTTTTTCTTCAGAATATTCTTGTTATTTTATATCTTGATTTAAAGATTTAATTTTCAGTCATTTAGTTTTTAATATATCCATTCGATTCTAATAAATTTACCTCTAAATGCCACTTAGCTGCATCTCATACATTTTGATATATAGTACTTTTATAAGTGTTAATTTATGACTATTCTATTGTAATAGCCTCATTACATTTTAAAGGTTTCAAATATTGAAGCTTAAGGGAAATTTTCCTTTTAAATAATCTTTAGTGTTTATTTCTAATAGCATTGTATTATAGTCAGAGGTCACAATTTACATGCTATTAATTCTTTGACCAGATATCAGCAAAGAATATTCAATGCATTTCAACTTTTCTGAATAATCTATGTGCACATTAAAAGAATATATTTCACAGCCGGTGTTTTGGGTTACACCTGTAATCCCAATACTTTGGGAGGCTGAGGTGGGAGGATTGCTTCAGGCCAGGAATTTGAAAACAGCCTGGGCAGCACAGTCAGACACTATCTCTACAAAAGCTTAAAAAATTAGCTGAGCGTAGTGGCACATTCCTGTAGTCCCAGCTGCTTAGGAGGCTGCAGTATGAGGAATGCTCAAGTCCAGGAGTTCAAGGCTGTGGTGAGCTATGATCATGCCATTGCACTCAAGCCTGGCCAGCAGAGTGAGATTCTGTCTTTAAAAAAAAAAAAAGAAGAAAAAAAAAAGGCTTATATTTCATGTATTTGTTGGGGGCACTGTTTATATACACCACATCCATCCATCCTATCAAGCAGTTTGGTTTTATTGTTTAAATGTACTATATCCTTTAAAATTTTTTTGTCCACTAATGTTTTTTGATAGATGCAGGTAAAAATTTCCCACCATAATTCTGAATATGTATTATTTCTCTATATCTCTGCCCATTTTTGCTATATATAAATTTATTGTAATAAGGGATGCATAACATAAGATTTACCATTTTAGCTATTTCTAAGTGTACAATTCAGTGGCATTAATTATGTGCATGATGATGTGTAACCCTATTTCCAAAACATTTTTATTGCCCCAAATAGAAACTCTGTAACCATTAAGTAAAACCTCCTCATTCTTCCTCCTTCTGGTCTCTGTTACTTTCTAATCTACTATCTGTCTCTATCAATTTGCCTAATCTAGGTGCCTTAGGTAAGTGGAATTATAAATATTTATCCTTTGTGCCTGGCTTATTTTATTTAGTATAATGTCTTCAAGGTTCATTCATGTTGTAGCATCTATCAGAACTTCGTTTTTAATGGTTGAATAATATTCCATTGTGTGCACATACCACATTTTGTTTATTCATTAATCTTTTGAGGAACAGTTGGACTGTTTCCATCTTTTGGTTATTGTGAGTTGTGCTGCTATGATCATTGGCATACAAGTATCGTTTTTAGTTCCTGCCTTCAATTCTTTTGGGTACATACCTTGGAGTCAAATTGATGGCTTATATGGTATTTCTGTGCTAGCTTTTTAAACATTTTAATATAATACACATAAAATTTATCATCTTAAGCCTTTTTAAATGTACAGGTCAGTGGCATCAAGTAAATTTGCATTGTTGTGCTACCATCTCACCATTTATCCACAGAATGATTAATCTTGCAAAACTGAAATTTTGTAGCATTAAACAATAACTTCTCATCTCCCCTCCCACTAGTCCCTGCAAATCATCATTCTACTTTATGTCTCTGTGAATTTGACTACTCTAGGTACCTAATATAAGTGAAATGATGAGTGTCTATCCTCTGGTGACAGGCTTGTTTCCTTTAGCCTAATGTTTTTGAGGTTCACACACACTGTAGCTTGTTTTAATTCTTTATTTCTTTTCATGGTTGAATATTCCATTGTATGTACATACAGCGTTTTGTTTATCCATTAATCCTTCAATGAACACTTGGGTTGGCATCTACCTGTTGGCTACTGTGAATAATGCTGCTATGTACATGGGTGCACAATCTACGTTTAGCTTTTTGAGGAACTGCCAAACTTCCACAACAGCTGTACCATTTTGCATACCCACTAGCAATGCACAAGGTTTCAATTTCTCTACATACTTGCCAACTTTTGTTATTTTTCATTTTTTTTAAAAATAGCTATCCTGATGAGTGCGAAATTATTTCTTGTGGTTTTGTTTTGTATTTCTCTAATGACTAATGATGTTGAACATCTTTTTATGTGCTTATTAGCAATTTGTATATTTTCTTTGAAGCAATTTTGTTGGTTTGTAGTTACATACAATTTATAGAGTCTTTTTTTTTTTTTTTTTTGAGACGGAGTCTCGCTCTGTCACCCAGGCTGGAGTGCAGTGGCGCGATCTTGGCTCACTGCAAGCTCCGCCTCCCAAGTTCACGCCATTCTCCTGCCTCAGCCTCTCCATTCTCCTGCCTCAGCCTCCGGAGTAGCTGGGACTACAGGCGCCGGCCACCACGCCTGGCTAATTTTTTGTATATATATATATATTTTTTTGTATATATATATATTTGTGTATATATGTATATTTTTGTGTATATATATATATATATTTTTTTTTTTTTTTAGTAGAGACGGAGTTTCACCGTGTTAGCCAGGATGGTCTTGATCTCCTGACCTCATGATCCACCCGCCTCGGCCTCCCAAAGTGCTGGGATTACAGGCGTGAGCCACCGAGTCCGGCCTATAGTCTTAATAGATTCTTTATTTTATTATTCTATGATGTATCCATTTATCTCTACTGAATATTGCAAACTTTAAAATATGTAACTTATCTCTACTGCTCCGTTCAATCTTTTCAACACCTACTATGTATGTATTGGAACTTCTCAGTCTCTTCTGTATGTATCATAATTGCTCTTTCATTTGAACATGTTATTATTTTATTTCTGTACTGCATGTGGAACTTCCTCAGTACCATCTTCCATTTTTCTAATTTACCATGTTACATTACTTCATTGACTTTATATTGCATTTCTGAAATATTTCATTCTATCTCAAAACTGTCGTTTTCAGTTTCATATGTAACTGTTTCATTATTTTTGTTTGTTTCTAATAAATGCTATTACTTTTTCATGTACATTTGAAACCCACTGATTTTAAAACTTTCATTAAAAAATTACGATTATTGACTTTGTTCACTCTCTTTCTTTCTTATGTTTTGGAATTTAGTTTGCAGACTCATTTTGGGTGGAAAGGTCTCTCTCTCTCTCACTAGGTTTACATAATATAGTGAGCTCTTAATTTCTTCTGTGATAGAGACAATGCAGATTCAGGTGTGAGCCAGCGGGTGGTTGGTTTCCATTTTTGTTTAGGAGGCTACTTCTGTGTCCTCCAATTTCCTTATGCCCGTAGCTTCCTAAAAGCTGTAACCACATGCTTTTTGGTCACAGTTTGTTGGGTATTCCTCATCACTCTTCCCCTAGCCCCATTCCCTTTCATGGCCAGGGCAGCCCTACCCTAATTCCAGGCATTAAGTCTTGAGTCTGACTCTCTGATTCCTTGTCTTGAATGGTTCTCTTTCTGGCCTCTTTGCCTCAGGTAATTGGCACCCTCAGACCCTGCTTCCACGCCAGAGCTCAGAAGGCCTGTGGGTTTAGCACTGGTGGCCACTTTTAATTTTCTTTCAGTTTCTGGTTCGGAGAGTGTTTATATTATTTTTAAGTTTAGCTATGTCTTTTTATATCTTTCCCTGCATTGGACTGATAAAAAATTCTGTAACACTTTCCTTTTTTCTTTTTTCTTTCTTTCTTTTTTTTTTTTTTTTTTTGAGATGGAGTCTAGTTCTGTTGCCCAGGCTGGAGTGCGGTGGCACGATCTGGGCTCACTGCAAAGTCTGCCTCCCAGGTTCAAATGATTCTCCTGCCTCAGCCTCCCAGGTAACTGGTATTACAGGCACACACCACCAGGCCTAGCTAATTTTTGTATTTTTAGGACAGACAGGGTTTCACCATGTTGGCCAGGCTGGTCTCGAACTCCTGACCTCAAGTGATCCTCCTGCCTCAGACTCCCAAAGTGCTGGGATTACAGACGGGAGCCACTGTGCCCGGCCCCCACTTTATTAATTTCAAATCTATAGATTGTATTTCTATTCTTTTAGTGGCTGTCATTACATTTTTTAAAATGTGGAGAATTATAGCATTCTTACAATGGAGTTTATGAAAACATATTAATTCTGTTTAAAGAACAATTATAAAATAGTAAGTATATTTTGCATTTCTATTTTATAAACAATAACCAATTTTCACATTTGTAGAAAGAAAATTAGTGATATTGTTGATAGTTATGGGGAAGCTAGGAAGTACATACTGTCAGAAAGAAATGGATTAACTCCTTTTCCCTGTTGTCAAAGAAAGAACATATAATCAAGCTAGTCATTTTGCAATAAAAACTGTTTTTTTTCAGCATTACAATTGAAAAAAATTATCTGTATAGCTTTCCCTTGGAACAATTTTTAATCACTTTTTATTTTTTAAAAACAAACTTACAGAAAAGTTAAACAAATAATACAATAATGAACATCTATATTAACCTGCATCCAGATCTCACTGGTTAACATATTGCCACATATTCTTTCTCTCATACACTCTCACACACTTAGTGTGTGTGTGCAAGTGTGTGAGTGTGTGTGTATGTATCTCCCCCCATGAATCATATGAAAGAAAGTTGCAGACAGCCTGAGATTTACCCTAAACACTTCAGCATGCAGCTACTAAGAATAAGGGAATTTTCCTACATAGTCAGTCTATGTTGGAACACCTAAAAGATTATAAATAATTCTGTAATATCTAATACATAATCCATATTTAAATTACCACCAATTGTCCAAGAATGACTTTATTTATTTTTTCTTTCGCTAACAGCTTGACTATTTGTTCCGTCTATTTTCTGTAAATTGTTGGTTGGGTCTAGAGGCTTTTTGATAAGATTCAAAGTAAACATTTTTGGCAATAGTACTTCATAGATGATATTTTCAGTCCCATTGTAGTCACATCAGAGGGCCAATTATGTCAAAGTGTAATACTCTTAGCAACTATTAGTGACTTATGCTAAGTTTGATCACCTTGTTAAGGAACTGGTTTACAGATCTCTCAATTTTAAGATATATTTTTTTTTCTAATTAGTAAATGATAGGGTAATATTTGTCATATTCTGTTCCTTGATGACTTGTCCCTTAATGGTTTTATAAGACATATAAATAAAATGTGTATGAATAATTGTACTTGGGGTTGCAAAATGGTAATTTTTAAATTTTACCATTCTATTTACATTTGTTAGGTGATATTTTTGTAAAGACGACATCTCCCTTCTCTTTTTCTATTTTTCTTTTTTGTATTCTTTTAGAGTATTAGTATGAACTGTTTGACTAAAAAATTATTTTAAGTGTTCTAATCACTTACAGCCTTTATATATATTTTTTTGATGTTTAAGTTGTCCCAAATGTGACCTTTAGGAGCCACATCAGTGTGGTCACTGTGTCTTTTTAAATATGACCCCCCTAACCATTGAGCCTTTTCTTGCTTTTTATCACAAGTTGTCCCAGGCTCATCTTGCTCTTTTCTATCCAAAGATCTAGAGGAGCCATTTCTCCAAGTACTGGTTCCTTGTAAGTGGGGAACTGTATTTAAAAACTAAGATCTGAATATTAGGAGTGCTAATTGCTGTTGCAGTATTATTCTTTTTAGGCTTTTTCATGGGTTACAGCTAATAGTAATATTTTTTAAAAATAGGACCTCATATTGATATCTCCATTTCAAACTTAACATTGCATGGGTTTTTCCTCAACTTCTTTCATTTTATCTTGGACTATTTTTTCTATGACACTGGAATAATGTTGGTTCTTAATAATATTAAATATTTATTTGCTTTATTCTACAATATGCCTAAAATAATTTCAAAATTACAGTACCAATAGTACTGCTAACAATAAGTATATGGACTAAAGTTCAATATTTCTTTGCAGATTTTTTGTCTTTATAAATAACACTAAATACATGCAGTCAGAGTGTGTTACAAAATTACTTGAAATAATTATATCTCTCCTCTGTGGTTATCTGATCAAAACTGAATAATTTGGCTTATATGTTTTGTTTTAGAGAGAGTTCGCTTTATTGAGGTATAATTTACCTAAAGTAAAATTCATAAATTTTAAATGCAAATTTGATGACTGAAATAAATATATTCATCTTCATAATACAGAACATTTCCGTCACGCCAAAAAGGTTGCTTTATGTCCTTGGCAGTCAATCCCTTACCCCTTCCCTTGGCCCCTGGCAAACACTGATTTGATTTCTACTACGATAGTGTTTTCTTTTTTAGAATTTCGTATAAATGACATGATACTGTCCACGCTATTTCGGTTTGGCTTCTTTCACTTAACACAATGCTTTTAACATGAGTCCCTGTTGTTTCACTGAGCTGTTGTTTGCCTTCCTTTTTATTGCTGAGTGGTATTCCACTGTAGGGATGTACAAAAGTTTGTTTGGTGTACTTGTGTAGTTTCCAATTTGGATGACTATTAAAGTTGCTATGAACATTTGTGTGCAGATTTTTTTGTGTGAATACAAATTTTCATTTTTCTTGGGTGAATGCCTAGAGTGGGTTGCTAGATTATATAGTAAGCATATTTATAACTTTATAAGAAACAGCCAGATTTTTTCAGAATGCCTGTACAGTTTTGCATTCTCACCAGCAATCTATGGAACTTCCAGTTGCTTAGCATTCTCACTTCACTCGGTCTTGTTAGATTTTAAAAATTTGAGCCGTCATAATATGCTGTAGTCATATCCCACTGCAGTTTTAATTTTCATTTTCCCAGTTACTAAGGATGTTGAACTTCTTTTTAGGTGCTCATTAGCCATCCCTGGATCTTCTTTGCTTACGTGTCTATGTAAATCGTTACCCGTTTTAATTGAGTTGGTTGAGTAGTTATTATTGATTTGTAAGACTTTTTACGTATTTTGGATATAGAACATTTGTCAAATATAGGTTTTGAAAATAATTTCTCCTATTCTGTGGTTTATTTTTCACTTTCTTAAGACCAATTTTTAAAGAGCCCAAATTTGTAGTTTCATAAATTGTACTTAATCTTTTTCTTTTATTGTTTGTGCATTTTGTATTTCTATTTAAAAAATCTTTGCTTAACCTTAGATCAATAAGGTTTTTATAGATTGAGATTCTTTTATTTGAGTATGGATATTCAAATATCCAGTACCATTTATTAAAAGGATTATTCTTTCCACATTGAATTGTTTTGGCGTCTTTGTCAAAAATCAATTTGCTATTTGTGTGTGGATCTCTTTTTGGATCTCTGTTTTGCTCCATTGATCTATATGTATATCTTCATACAAATCACAGTGTCTGAGTTACTGTAGCCTTGAAATTAGAAGGTGTGAATATTTAAATTTGTTATTCTTTTTCAAAATTGTTTTGTTTATTCTACATTGTTTGCATTTCCACATAAATGACATAATATCTTGTTAAGTTCAAACAACAACAAAAAGCCTGCTAGGGTTATGTTTAGGAATGCATTGGATCTACAGAGTAATTTGGGGAGAATTGATATATTAACAATATTGACTCTCCTGTTCGATGAAAACTCAGCATAAGTCTCTTCAGATTCATTAAGCTATTGTTATGTATCGAGTTGATTCCTTTCTATTGCTAAGTAATATTCTATGATATGGATGTACCCTAGTTTGTTTAACCATTTACCCATTGGAGGACATCTGAGTTGTTTCCAATTAAAAGCTGTTATGAATACAACCTACGTAAAGATGTTTTCTATTGCTTTCTATGTTTCCTATTGCTTTCCTGTTTTCAATTTCATTGGATTCTGCTCTTGTCCTTATTATTTCCTTCCTTTTGCTTGACCTGGGTTTATTTTGCTCTTCCTTTTTTGCTCTTAATGTAGGTTCCTGAATTGGGAACTTAGATTGTTGATTTGAAATTTTTCTAACATAAGCAATTAACCTATACATTTCCTCCTCAGTACTACATTAGCTGTGTCCCACAATTTTTGATATGGTGCATTTTCATTTTCATTTATTTTAATGCATTTTAAAAATTTCCTTTGAGAATTCCTCTTTTATTCATGAATTGTTTTGAAGTGTGTTATTTAGTTTCCAAGGCTTTGGAGATTTTCCTATTATCTTTCTGTTATTAATTTCTAGTTTTATTTTTAACGTGGTCAGAGAAAACACTCTGTATGATCTTAATTCTTTTAAATTTATTGAGGTTCGTCTTATAGTCTGGAATATAGTCTATTTTGATAAATGTGCCTTCTGCACTTGAATAGAATGTGTATGCTAATGTTGTTGGGTGCAATTTTCTATAAATGTTGATTACATACTTTTGGATGATGGTGTTATTCTATATCCCTGCTAGCTTCATTTATTTATTTACTTTTCAATTTTTAAGAGATGAGTGCTGAAGTTTCAAATAATTATTGTGGAGTCATCTATTTCTCATTTCAGCGCTATCAGTTTTTTTTCTGTTTGCTTGTTTATTTGTTTTGATGTACCTACATTTAGGATTGCTATGTCTTCTTGGTGGACTGACCCTTCTATCATTTTGAAATGTTCTTCTCTGTCTCTGGCAATTTTCTTTGCTTTGAAGTCTACTTTATCTAACATTAATACAGCTAACTCTGCTTTTTCTTTAATTAACATTTGCACAACATCTTTTTCTGTGCTTTTACTTTCAGCATGCCTATATTCTTACACTTGAAATGAATTTCTTGTAGACAGCAAACAGTTGGGACATGTTTTTCAGTCCACCCTGCCAACCTCCATTTTTCAATTGACATATTTGGATCATTTGCATTTAATGTAATTATTGGTGTATGAGAGCTTCAGTGTGACATTTTATATTTTTTTGGTTTTTTTTTGTTCTTTTTGTTTAGTATTTCTTGTTTTCTTTTTTTTCTGACTTCTTGTGGGTTACTTGAAAATTTTTAAGAATTTAATTTTTATTTATTTCTATGGTCTGAATGTTTATGTCCCTTGGCCAAATTCATGTATTGAAATCCTCACTTGAAGACAATGGCATTAGGGAGTGACATCTTTGGGAGATAACTAAGTCATAAGTCTGGAGCCCTCATGAATAGTACTAGTGTTCTTCTAAAAGAGATTCAAGAGATACCCTCTGTTCCTTCCTTGCTGAGAAGTTATGAGGAGGTTGGCCCTCACTACACACCAAATCTGCCAGTGACTTGATCTTGGACTTTCTAGTCTCCAGAACGGTAAGAAGTAAATTTCTATTGTTTATAAACCACTTAATCTATGGTATTTTGTATAGTATCACATATGGATTAAGACATTTATCTATATTGCTGTTTAGTATATCTCTTTGTACAGTTTTATAGTGGTTGATCCAAGTATTACATTTTATATGCATATCATAATCTATTGATGTCATTTTTAACCACATTGAGTGAAGTATAGAAGTCAATTCTCTTTACATATGTTTACCCTCCCTTATTTATCACAAAATTGCCTTAAATATTTCCTTTGCATACATTTAAAACCACATCAGTGTTATCATGCTTGATTCCACCATCAAACATTGTTAAGAAAACTTAATGTATTTATATTTTTACTTACTGTGGTCTTTCTTCTTTCCTGGTGTTTCAAAGTTACTCCTTCAAAGGATCCATGGGGCAGATCCTTTACAAATGCTTTGGTGCCTTCCCTTGGTGATGAATGGGTTCTCACTCCATGAGTTCATGTGAGAGAAGGGCTAGTGGGGAGTTAGGATAACTCGGCTGACAACAACATCTCTTAGCTTACCTTCATATGGCAATGTCTTAATTTTTGCTTCATTCCTGAAGGGGATATTGTCACTGGATGGAGATATCTAGGTTGAGAGCTCTTTTCTTTCAGCTCTTGAAAAATGTTGTGTCTCTTTCTCTTGGCCTCCATGGTTTCTGATGGAAATCTGCTGTCATTTGAATTGCTTTTTCTTTAGGTAAGTTGTCATTTATCTCTTACTGCTTTTAAGACTTTGTCTTTAATTTTCAGAAGTTTGACTACAGTATATCTTGGCATGAATTTCTTTTAGTTCATCCTCTGAGGTTCACTCAGCACTGGAATCTGTAGAGTTATAGTTTTGCCAAATTTTGAAAGTTTTCAGCGATTATTTCCTTTTTTAATGAAAAAAGTACTTGTTTTAAGTTAAAATTTTTTAAACTTTCTATTTGATTTTAATTGACACATAATAATTGTACATATTTATGTGATGCTTCCAGCTGTTGTTTCTTTGAGTACTTTTTCAGCTCTGCTTACTTCTTCTTTTCTTTCAGGACTCTAATCATAGCAACGTTTAAGACCTTTTATTATAATCCCATAGCTTCCTAAAGGCTCTGTTCTTTTTTCCGCCTCAGTCTCTTTTCTCTGTTGTTCAGAATGAATGGTTATTGAGCCCATTTATTGATTTTTTAAATTTTAGTTATTACGTTTTTCAGTTCTGAAATTTCCTTTTAGTTCTCATTTTTATCTTTCATTTCTTTCCATTTTTTAAATTTCAAATTTCATTTTATTTCAAATGTGCTAATAATTGCCTATTAAGGGATTTTTGTTTAAAATCTTTGTCAAATAACTGTAACATCTCTGTCATCTTGTGTGGCATCTATTGATTTTCTTTTTCACTCAGTTTGATATCTTCCTGGTTGTTGTGATTTTAAAAATCAGAACCTGGACATCTTGTGTATTATGTTCTGAGAATCTACATCTTATTTAAATCTTCTGTTTTAGCTGAGTAACTTAGCAGAATAAGGCAGGAAGGTGCTACCTCACTACTTCCAGATAGATGGTGGACGTCCAGGTTCTCCATTCACTCTCCTTTGACACCTGAGGGAATGACTCCTTATTACAGCTGGGTGGCTGGGGATGGGATTTCTGGCTCCTCACTAGGTTTCCATTAAAACCTTTATGGCTGGATGGAGTAGGAGTGCCTAATTTCTGCTATCATATGTCTTCCACTGACACCACAGGAGTGGTGGTAGAGGGTGGCTTCTCTACTGTTGGGTGATGGTGGCAGTCCTGACTCCCCACTAGCCCTTCTCTGACACTGCTGCAGCATAGAGTGGGAATGGCACTTTGTTAGTGCCTGCTGGGTGGGTGTCTGGGTTTCCCACATGGTTTCCACTGATACCTCAAGGAAGGGAGTCCCATGACCACTCTTCAGAAATGAAAATTTCAGCTCCCTTCTTGGCCTTCTCTGACAGCACCCCATGGAGTGTTAGGAATGCCTTGTGAGTGCCTGATGTGGGTGAAAATCTACACCCCTATCACTGCCTTTGCTGGTAATGTGATTTGGATGTGTATCTCCTCCAAATCTCATGTTAAAACGCAATCCCCAGTATTGAAGGTGGGGTCTAGTGGGAGGTGTTCAGGTCATGTAGGCAGATGGTTTGGTGCCTTCCCCTTGGTGATGAATGAGTTCTCACTCTATGAGTTCTTGTGAGAGCTAGTTGTTAAAAGGAGACTGACACCTCCTCCTCTCTGTTTTGCTCCCTCTCTCACCATGTGACATATCTACTGCCCCTTCACCCCTCCAATCATTGTAAGCTTCCTGCGGCCTCACCAGAAGCTGAGAAGATGATGGTGCCATGCTTCTTCAGCCTGCAGAACCATAAGCCAAATAAACCTCTTTTCTTTATAAATTACCCAGTCTCAGGTATTCTTGTATAGCAATGCAAACAGACTAATACAACTGGCAAAGGTGGGACCACAGTTGTTTTCTGTAGTATTTGGTTAAGGTAGAATGGTTATTGTCTAAGGTTTTCTGTCTAGGCTAAGTTGTCCCTAGTCCTCTGGCTAGAGAGAGCAGGTTTTGTTAGTACTTTTTCTCTTCACACTCCTTGGCATTTCTTCGTTGCCAATTTCTCCAGCTCAAAATCTCGGATATATGAAGCAAACGCAACCTGGGGAATGCACCACTTTGTTGTTGCTTGGGTCCCAAGGTCCCTAGCCATTTTATCTTCTCTCCACTGTCCAGATTCTTCCTATGTTTGCTTTATATATGATAACTAGGATTTTTAGCTGGACTGAGTAGGAAGAATAGGAAAAAGTATATCTATTCTATCTTCCCAGATGTAAAAATTGCTCATGATTTTAATGTTCTCTTCTAATTTTTATTTCCTCTATCTTTCATTCTTTTGTGCTATCTCCTTTTTTCTGGATTAGATTATCTAGTCATTTTCTATTGTTTGTTAAAACATAGCATATAGATTTATTATACCTGTTGTTTTCCTATTTTCTAATTTATGATTTTCCACTTTTGTATTTACATATCCTTCCAACTGCTTTGTTTTGGTTTGCTTTATTAGTCTTTCTTTCTCCAGCTTTTACAATTTAGAATTTAATTCATTTATTTTTATGCTTTAATTTTTATAATTGTAGCTTTTAATGGTAAATTTAATACAAATATTTAGCTTTCATTATTTTCTAATAAAGGCTGCAGTTTTTCAGTTACTGTTCCTCTTCAGGAATAAGCCATACCATAATACCACTGAGGTCTCATAAGTAAAGTTAATAATGATGTTTTAATTTTTATATGCAATACATAATTAAATTTTCTAAAATATTTTATCAATTTTACACACACTACTTTTTTCTCCATAGGTTTGAGTTTTCTTTTGTCTTTATTGAGGTATATTCACAGCTTCTATTTTCATTTGTTCATTCATTTATTTTGAGAGCCTGCTTTTATTTATTGTTGCTGACAAAACATCTGCTTTCAGTCTAATTGTGATATATTTGTAGACACTATACCATTTACTTTCTGGATTTAAGACTTTATAGTTATAAAATTATATGCCACATGTATATTGTAGAAATTTAATCTGTCTAAGACTTGATAAATTTTTCAATCTGATGATTTACAGTTTTTCCTAAATTTTGGAAAGTTCTTTTGAATTATTGCCTTTTGAAACATTGTCTTTCCCTTATTCTATTTCATCTCTTCTTTCAGACATATGTTTTATATCATCATTATATCTTCCATATTTCTGAATTTCTCTCTGTTTTCCATCCTGTTGTATCTCCATATTACGTTCTGGGTGATATTCTTACATATATCATTAATTTACTCATGCTTGTTTTTGTTCTTTCTGGATTCTGTATAACAGAGGCATGTAAAATTTTTAAAAAATCATTTATTCATTTATAAACTCACCTAATATTCTGTTCTCCCCAAAGGAATTAATTTTTTTCTGTTTCTTTGGTCATATGCAATATATTGATATCATACTATTTTTCAAATTGCATTTTCCGTCCTATAATTTTCTCATATTTTTACTTTTGTCTCAGTACATTCTGGAGAACTTTTCAAGATTGTCCTCCATAACACTGATTTGACTTCATGGAGTGGTGGTTATTTTGTTACTGATTCTATCTCATTTTAAGTTAATCATCTGTTTGATTTCAAAATATTATTCCCTTATCTCATCTAGCTCTTTTATAAGGATCTGCCTATAAGGCAGCTTTCTTTACACGCCAGACTGAAATGACAAATCAAACATCAAATCTAGATTTTCATTTATTTTTTATTTTTATTTTTATTTATTTATTTTTTTGAGACAGAGTTCTGCTCTTCTTGCCCAGGCTGGGATGCAATGGCATGTCTCGGCTCACCACAACCTCCACCACCCAGGTTCAAGCGGATTCTCCTGCCTCAGCCTTCCCAAGTGGCTGGGATTATAGGCATGCACCACCAAGCCCGGCTAATTTTGTATTTTTAGTAGAGATGGGGTTTCTCCGTGTGGATCAGGCTGATCTCAAACTCCCGACCTCAGGTGATCTGTCCACCTCGGCCTCCCAAAGTGCTGGGATTACAGGCGTGAGCCACCGTGCCCGGCCTTCATTCATTTTTTAACATTTATTTGACAATTGTCTTTTAAATACCAATTGCATTCCTCCTCTGTGAGTGATGTCATGTCATATGGACTAGCAGGAACAACAGCCAAAAAAGCAAATAAATAAAAGATAATGAATGCTGTAATAAGAGTAGAAGATGAGTAAATGGTTTAATGAGCCCACATAGTGAGAACACGTAACCCACCTGGGGTGAGGACATGGGTAGGGTGTGTCTAGGGGGCAGTAAGGAAAAGCACCCTAGAGGAAATGACATTTAAACTCAGTCTTTTGAAAGATAAGGAGTCATGGTGCCACCAGTAAAAGTAGCAAGTCCTGAGAAGAAGAAATAGGATATTGGAAGGCTCAGATGACTGAGTATGGCAAAGGTAGCATCAGAGGACACGGCGTTAAGCTACAAAGGGCCCAGTCTGTCATTCCTGTGGAGTAGCTGGGTCAATAAAATTACCTATAACTTTCTATTATTTTGGTGAGACACACACATGACATTTATGTATACATGTTACTGATACAGGACAAGGAGAGCATACACCATGTTATTGAATAGAGGGGAGGAATATATTGATTTTGACCAGGAGAGTATGAGAAAGATTCATGAAAATGTGAAACAGGCGGTGAAGGTAGGATGGGGCCTGGCTGAAGATTCTGGAGTACAGTAGTCAGATTCTTTACCTCATTCATATCTGTCAGACTCAGGACAACTTCCCATTGTTTCCTATTCAATTGCAAACTATTTGTCCCACAAACACACAGACATTAGGGTGTTGGTCCAGAACTAACATGACCTTTTCTCTTCCAAAATGATTTCTACATTAAAAAAGAAAAACAAATTCAATTTTTTTTTTTTGACTCTGACGTCCAGGCTGGAGTGCAGTGGCGTGATCTTGGCTCACTGCTCCGCCTCCCGGGTTCACACCATTCTCCTGCCTCAGCCTCCTGAGTAGCTGGGACTACAGGCGCCCGCCACCATGCCAGGTTAATTTTTTGTATTTTTAGTAGAGACAGGTTTTCACCGTGCTAGCCAGGAGACCTCGTGCTCCACCAGCCTCGGCTTCCCAAAGTGCTGGGATTACAAGCGTGAGCCACCATGCCCGGTCAAACAGATTCAGTTTTAAAAACATACATCTGTTACAGAGAGAGCACATCACAATTTCTTTACACTGAGGTCACTTTTCAAAATGCTAGAGCAAGGTGCAGTACTGCTTTCAAAAGGCTCCCACAAGCTAGGGAAGAAAGATTCACGGCCTCAATCATTGGCCAGTTCATAAACTATTGTCTCCAGCTTCAAAGTCACCTTTTTTTACTCTCCTTTCTCATGCAGAGATGAAGCTCTGCATACTATGTTTTCCTGGTTCTAGCAGACTCCCTGTTAGACCATTTAATAGCCTAACCTGGGGCAGCTGCCTTACAAGTAGAAGTTTATTTTCCTCAAACCCTACCCCAATCACGCCTTGTTATCTGTAAACCCTTAATTTGAGTCCTATCTAATCATGTTCTGGGGCCAATTACAAGTCGAACATAGGAAGAAATAGCCTCTAAAAGAATGATAAGACTTTGGTAATTTACGTTAGCAGCAATCTTGGATATACGTGTGGGACCATGGAGGAAAAGAATATAACACTGACGATGTCTATACTTATTGCTATGGGTACATTTACCAGACATTCTGAATTGAATGTGTGAACCTGTGCAGGCAGAGTAGCTCCAACAGTCAACATGAACCTTGGGCTCAGCATTGGCTGACTTTCAATGAGGTTGAGATGCCAGAACTGCCCTGGCAGAAGGAAGGAATCCAAAAGTTTAGGAATATAGAAATGTGGGGGTGAATTCATTGTGTGCAGGATATGTACCCATTCCTCTACCCTATCTTCCAAGAGGGCCTAGAGGATACTCTCTTCACTAAGCCATTGAAAATTTTATTGATGAGAGGAGCAACAATTTTTTTTTTTTTTTTTGAGACGGAGTCTTGCTCTGTTGCCCAAACTGGAGTGCAGTGGTGCGATCTTGGCTCACTGAGAACTCTGCTTCCTGAATTCAAGTGATTCTCCTGACTCAGCCTCCTGAGCAGCTGGGACCACAGATGTGCACCACCATGTTCTGCTTAATTTTTTTGTATTTTTAAGGGAGATGGGATTTCACCGTGTTGGCCAGGCTGGGCTCGAACTCCTGACCTCAGGTGATCCACCCACCTCTGCCTCCCAAAGTGTTGAGATTACAGGCGTGAGCCACCACACCCAGCCAGGAGCACCAGTCTTAACCTTACTGCTTCATTATGGGTGGATGCGACAGTAGGAGATACTATCATTGAGATGCACTTCCTGATGTCTGGAGATAATGCAGTCTCCACTGCATTATCGAAGCAGAAGTGAAGTGGAAATGCTTAGTTGGCAAAGAGAAAGGGAGAGCATTGACCATAATGGGCTGCCAGGATGAAGTGGCAATGAGATATTTTTACACAAGATATTTGGCAGTGGCTTATTAATTTCAAGGACCCTAGGAATAAAATATATGCATACCTTATAAAAGGGTTACTTGATCAATGTAATAGAAAAATCTCCAGGTCTAGTGGCTAGAACCTAGCAATCAAGAAGTAAACCTTTATTGGGTCAAGCCACAGAAACTTTGGGATTGTTAGGAGTTTGCCTGTCTTCACTAATGTAACTGGGGCATGAGAATGACATTTATTATTTTTCATTAGAAATAAGAATTGACAAATTCAAAAGCTTTGGACATACTTATATGTGCTTTTATGGTCTGGCCTTAGTGTAGAAAGAAGAGAGAAATGAGCTTGACTCAATAATGATGAAGATATTATCAAAGGGGCTAAAAAATTTTTGCCAAAAGGTAAGGATTTAGTTTTCTGAGCTTATGTTTCAACTGTACACTTCAGTTCTCAAAGATCGGTTCTCAACAGGCCATGCAAATCAAGGGTGATGTCCTTCCATCACAGTGTCATCTCTGCACAAAGTGTTGAGTCATCTCTCCTCCTAAGTGGAAGGACTATTAGACAGCAGGTCAGCAGAGTACCTATACTCCAGATCAGTGCTGAATCCCCACTTCCTAGTCCTGAGATAGAAGTTCTCCCCTCCCTTCCTATTCTGTGGCCCCTCGCCTGCCACTCTGTCCTCTTATCTCCCTTTAGTTTCTGTTTTCTCCTTACTTACTTCCTTCTAGGCCGACCCTATCTTGGCAAGTATATCTTCCAGCCCTATTGTCTGACACTGAAGCCGAAGCTTCTTTCAGTCTTTGTTTCTGCTTTGGTGTTGGCTGGATGGAGGGAAGGAAGGAGGGAAGAGTGTGGGAGGGAAGAAAAGAGCCCCTCAGTGCATGAGTGAGAAACAGTGAGGGAAGGAATTACTCTGAAAACACAGAGATTAACTCTGTGAAATATAATCCTGCCACAAAGGGCTGTGTGGCCAAGTTACCTTCTCAACCTTCACTGTAATTAACTTTTCAGCCCTGCAGGCTTCAACCCACTGCTAAGTCTGAGGGAACAATTACTGAATTTGAGCACGCTGTGACTTAGACAAAATGTAATTTTGGTGGTTGACTTGCATGAATACACATTCCCCCAATCAGCAAAATGGGCAGATCAGCTGATGCGCTTTTTCCTATTCCTGCCTGATCATAAGAACCACCTGGGGAAACAGTTAGATATATGAATTTCTTCCCCCACCCAGATGCATCAGCCTCTCCAGGGGAGGGGCTCTGAACGTCCATTTTAAAGAGTTTCTCAGAAGAACTTCATGATCAGGCAAGTTTGGAAACTTTGAGACACCATGGGGAAATATTTCTGAGAAAGAAAATAAGAGAGCTGACAATTTACAAATACTACAACATGTATTTAACAATAACTACTCCCTTAACTAAACACATTTTTAAAGTAAAAAGTGTCCTGCTGATATCTTAATTTTTTTTCTGAGTTTGAAGACGAGTTTTCAGCTTCTCAATTCTGAATTTTTCCGTGCCTCAGGTTCTATATCATCATCATGATGAATTGCACACTTGTGCAATTAGCATCTTTAATTAAGTGAGATTACAAGTAACCACTTATAAAACAGTATGTTATCATTCGGGACCAGCCTGGGCAAGATGGCCAACTCCCTGTCTCTACAAAAAATATTAAAAACTTACCTGGGCATGGTGGCACATGCCTGTAGTCCCAGCTACTCAGAAGGCTGAGATGGGGGGATCCATGAGACCAGGAGTTCAAGGTGGCGGTGAGCTATGATCATGCCACTGCACTCCAGCCTGGACAACAAAGGGAGACTGTGTCTCAAAAAAAAAAAAAAAAAAAAAGAAAAGGAAAAATAAGTCATCTCACATGAAGGGAAGAAATGCTCTTTTTGAACACTTACCATGAATGTTATGCTACTATACAATATAACTGTCTTGAAAGCGGGACAGGGGTGTCCATTTACTGATGAGGAAACAGAAAAAGGAGGCTTTCCCATGGTCATAGGGTAAACTGTGGGCCAGGCTCTAAACCCAGATAATTTACTAGACAATGAACTTCATAACAAAATGGAGATGAAAGGTTGAGAATTCATTTGTATTTTACAAATAAAATTTTCCACAGCTGATGCAAGAAAGAAACGTCTCACAAATGCTTATGCTGATTTCTAGAAAATCTACACTGCTTTCGTATTGGTGATTGTTGATTATAGCAAGATCAGTGAAGTCACAGACTGGTTGACTCTACAAGGGTGATGAGTGAGTTTAATTAACTATAGCAAACACATAATGAATAAACACAATTTCGCACAAAAACAAATAAAATAAATATTGTCTCATGGTTTTTAATTATGCAAAAGCAAGCCATAGAACAATTTTTTTAAAAACAAAGTAAATTTTTTGATGACAGCATGTAAAGTAAGTATAATGGGACTTTAAATATTCTCCAGCTTCTCTCAATAGCTGGCTCACTGTTTTGAATTCTCCAGATACTCATATCAACTATCTTCTTACTCTTTAAAATTTTAAAACTCTTTTGAATTTAGTGGCCTCTTATTTTGACTCTAACTTAACAAATATGAAATCAAACCATTCAGCTGTATACTTTTCTAATATCACTCCAAGCAAGATCTTCTAATTAAAAAGTTACTTGCTTGTTTATGTTATTTGCCCTTCAAAGATTAAATATAAACATCTGTCATAATCTGTGTCAGGATGTATTTTGTTGCAGACAGTATATGAAGTATTTGAAGGGAAGATGTCAAACTGGTATGACGTCAAATAACTTCCTAGAGAAGCATTACAATAGTAGAAAATAATGCCACGGCATATTATATAGTCCTTTAGAATTTATATTTGGCTTTCATAGAGATTATGATTCATACTTATTACATAAGTTTATCATGTATAAGTTATATAAATAACTTATTCAGGTAAATTATGGAGGAAAGTACCAAGTCACCTTTTACTGTTGGAATAAAACTAACTGTGTGAGGATTAGATTGAGATGACGCATATAAGGAACACAGCATAAGGTGGTCTGCTCCATTGCAAATCTCCAGTAAAATTTATTCAGTATTCAAAGTTGTTATAATTGAAACTGCCTCTGCAGCATGTCTCTTTTGAAGTGAATAATCCTACTGAAAATAGAAAATGTTACACATATTTGTTTTGCTGATTGATGTGGCAAGAAACTTGAAAGTAGCAAGTGATTTTATTTAAAAAATTATATGTGAAATACTGCAATAGGATCCTTAGAAGAGACGAGGTGTTTATATACATAGGATGGAAAATTACATTTGTATACAAAACTAGAAAGAATACTACAATGAACTCATCGTCAATTTTAACAAGCATCGACTCATGGCTGGTCTTTTAAAATGTGTTTTCTTAACCCATTCTTCCTTTCCTCTGCCCACACACATACTTTTCAAGCAAACTGCAGACATCTTATAATAAAATAACATTTCAAATAAACTTTGATCCTATTAAATAAGGTAAAGTATCACAATATAAATCTGTTTGAAAGGATATGAGTCTTACATAAATGTGATCTAAAGAAGAAAAACTTGAAAAATCTCATATGGTAAACATTTATCTTCTAAAATAAAAGAAAAAACAATAATGATCTCATATTTGAAGTAAAACTTAAAATTATGTAAATGTTTATTATTCAGCTTTCAAATATATGATTGGAGAAATAATAAAAATTGAATTTTTTCAATATTAATATGTTTTCAATGAACATTACTTGAAAACACAATCTACTTATTTATTTAAAAAGTAACAAAATATTCTAAAATAAATGTTTCCAGTTATCATTCTTTCTGTTATTTGGTAAGAAGTATCTGGCAAGGTACTAATTCACATTTCTCAAAAAGACAAATGAATCACCAAGTAGAGATTACTATATATATGTGTATATATATGTATATATATGTATATACGTATATATATGTATATATGTATATATATGTGTATATATGTATATATATGTATATATATGTATATATGTATATATATGTGTATATATATGTATATATGTATATATGTATATATATGTGTATATATATATGTATATATGTATATATATGTATATATATGTATATATGTATATATATGTATATATGTATATATATGTGTATATATGTATGTATATATATATGTGTATATATATATATATTATTATTTTTTTTTTTTTGAGATGGAGTTTTGCTCTGTTGCCCAGGCTGGAGTGCAATGGTGCTATCTTGGCTCACTGCAACCTCCGCCTCCTGGGTTCAAGCGATTCTCCTGCCTCAGCCTTTCCGAGTAGCTGGGACTAAAGGCGTGTGCCACCACGCCCAGCTAATGTTGTATTTTTAGTAGAGACGAGGTTTCTCCATGTTGGTCAGGCTGGTCTTGAACTCCCAACCTCAGGTGATCTGCCTGCCTCGGCCTCCCAAAGTGCTTGGATTACAGGTGTGAGCCACTGCGCCAGGCCATGACTATTTTTTAAAAAATGTATTTTGTTGTGGTAATGAGAAATATGGATGTCAAAGAAGAGGAAATGTCCAGGTGCATTGGCCCTGCATGGCATTAAACTGAGGTAAGCACTTGGTGCAGGAATAGTCTCTCAAAAGCACTGTAGAATATTCACCATTTCAAATGCTAGCAGGATCACAAACAGGCCCCAGAACAACATGCAAAATATTTCTCTCCTATAATAATTTGTATTAGTTATCAATTGCTGTGTAACAAATTGTACCAACATTTGAAGGCTTAAAACAGCACACATTTATTATTTCATAGTCTCTGTGGATCAGGAATCTGGACCCAGTTAGGTCCTCTGTTTCAGGGTTTTTTACAACGCTGCAATGAAGGTATTGGCTGCAGCCACTTTGAGGTTCATCTCGGGCAGGGTCTGCTTATTCAGTGGTTGCTGGCAGGATTCAGTTCCTCTCTTGCTGTTGTAGCGATGGCCTTAGTTCCTCTCTTGGCCAGAGGTTGCCCCCAGTTTCTTGCCATGTGGGCTGCTCAGGTAAGTCTTTAAAGCTAGCAAGACAGTTTGCTAGCAAAACCAAAGTCTTATAATTTTTTGTAACTTAACTAAAGGAAGTTTTCTATGCATTAGAAGTCACCAGCTCCAGCCCACAGTAAAGGTGAGGGTATTACTCAAGGGTGTGGATACTAGGAGATGCAGACTATAACGTGCCATCTTGGAAGTGGGCCTTTATAGACTTCAATCCTCATGCCCCTTTTCTTTCAGCCTTAAGATGTCTTTGTTTTCTGCCATAACCCATGAACTCCTTTGGCCTGAAATCTACTAAACTAAGAAATTCACAAATGTAAGAAGATAAAGGAAATTGTCTTATTATAAGAAAAATTGAGGTTCTTAGGTGGAAATGATAAAATCAAGTCGCAGAAGTAGACATAGAAAATGACATTCGTCCATATGGCAATGGTTTCAGTATAAATCACACAAATTTGTGCAAACTAGATGTGTTGATTGATTAGCATAGCACTTTTTTGTGTTTTGAATGTGAATGTGAACATCTTTTGTGTTCAGAATGTGAATGTCTTCAGGCATGTGCCCTCTAGTTCCCTACCAGCCCCTCCCACTGCTCCTTGGCATCTTACAACTCTGGGTAACTTCTTGGGTTAATGTAAGTAACCAACTCAGCCCCAAATCATTTGAGTTGGGACTCTGTGGCATAAAATACCAACTGGCAAGAGTAGTCCAGATATTCTGTGTATTTGAAATAACCCCCATTTCCTAGTTTCTTTATGAAGAAGTCTTTTTAGGGCCGCTTTAATGCTCTGGAATTGGATATTGAGTAACAGCACGTAACTTTCATTTTTATGCTTAGTATAGGTCAGCAAACCTAGATAGTAAATACTTTGGTCTTTGTGGGCCACATATGGTTTCTGTCACATGTTCTTCGTTTTGTTTATAACTCTTTAAAAGTTAAAAACCCTCCCTAGCCCCCAGGCTGTAAAACAAAACAGGCTGCAAGCTGGATTTGACCTATGGGTTGTTTACCAACTCTGTTAGATACTTTTTTGGCCATGTTTTGATTTTCAAGAGCTGAAATGCCATAATCCTCAAATTTGAGACGCAGACATACTGCAAAGAGTGATTCAAATTTGCCTAATGAATGTGGTTAATATTATTCCTTTATATTAACTAAAATACTGGTTGAGTATCAAACATAAATGATAGTCCACCATGATAGTCATGGTGGCCACTTTCTAGGCCACTTTGATCTTGGAATTTACTGTGGGAAATTTGACTGCATTATCTTTGACATAATTTCTTGCCTTTCTTTTTTCTTACTTTTTATGAACTTTTCATTAATAAGATAGTGAACCCCTTGAA
Organism: Homo sapiens; assembly: GCF_000001405.40. Classification (NCBI taxonomy): domain Eukaryota; kingdom Metazoa; phylum Chordata; class Mammalia; order Primates; family Hominidae; genus Homo; species Homo sapiens. The sequence continues at coordinate 38,122,268 of NC_000007.14, read as the reverse complement.
TTGATTATCTTTCCTATCACATTTTCCCACCTATCTTTGTCTTTTGGTCATGCTTTTTGTGAGATTTATTTAATTTTTTTCTCTTTTAATTCCTGTAATGATCTTTAAAGTTACCTTTCTAAAAGCTCTTTTTTGTTTCACAAGTATTCATTTTTCATACCACCCTGTTCTTGTTTTATAGATATAACATCTTCTCTGATTGTTCTGAGGATATTAATTCAAGATAACAGTTTTGAAGAAAACCTCAAAAAACTCTCAGTGTTTTTTGTTTTTTTTTTTTCCTGGTTATTCTGGTATTTTTTTTTCCTGTGGGAGGTTTTCCTCAAATGTCTCATATCATTAACATTTCATAAGGACGCTCTGAAAAGCAGATTGGAAGCTGTGTCTGGTTTAGCTTGAGGGCTCCTCATTCACTGGCTGTTCTTGTTCCAACAAAATAAGGTGGCAGAGGTATATCCCAACAGTCATGAAGTTACTCAGAGAAGAAACTGCCAATCTCTTGCCTTGGATGGGAGACGGGGAGGAGCTTAGCTACCAGCCTTCCATGCATGTGGCATGCAAGGAGGCAGGAGGAGTTAATTGTATACAATTTTTGTGCTGCCTACAGAAATTCAGTTTTGCCCTGTGCCTCATCATCACTTTCCTCTGCACTTAGTGTCCCCTAGTCCCAAGTCCCTCCCAGTCCTGGTGTGTGAACTGTCATTCTTCATGCCTGCCTTTGTGAGCATGACTTCCTTACCTTATTAAATCCATATATGTTCTGTTTTCTACAAATCGATTGAACTTGCTTTGCTGTTGCTGTCCCCATTCCCATGTTCCCCTGTATTTGTCAGTTTAGATCTTATTTTCTCTTTAATGTTCTTTTTAGAGTATTTTTGGAGGGAGATTAGATGCATAGTTGACTGACTCCATATATTTATCATGTAATTTGGCTCCCTCTTGCTTTCGCTAATTTTAATTTTATTGGAATATATTCCATAGTCATTCTCTTAAATGCAGTCAGTGACTGGTAAATTGTATGATGTTTAATCACTTAGGTTGCCTTTACATTTAAATAATAGATTGTTTTGCTGAGAAAGATAAAAGATATTTTTCTCAGAACTTAGAAGATTCCACTCCATTACCTTCTAATGAGATATCTCATTTCCCTCTGGCACAAATTATATAAATAATTTATGGTTGTTAGTTGCCAGTAAACAGGAACTTGAGAAATTTTGCCGAACTTTATAGTAGGAAAGTGTTCAAATAAGTAGGAAAGTTGAAAAAATGGTACAGGGAACACCCATGTACCTCCCACCTAGGTAAGCCTTTAGCTGTATTTGCTTGGTATTTCTCTTTTTATGTGTGTGTATTTTCTTTTGTGTAACCATTTGAAAATAAGTTGCAGCCCTCATGAGAATTCACCCCTAATTATTCAGCATACATCTCCAAAGAATAAGGAAAATCTTCCATTAGCTACAATTCTCTTACTATAGCTAGGAAAATTAATACTTATTATTTTATGAGAAATATGTTCTTCCTTTTAGAATTTTGTTCTCATTTAGAAATACGTTCTACGTTTTATAATTTTTCCTTGATGTTTTGATATTTTACTTTGTGCATACTAAAGTTGGAGCTTTCTTTTTTAAAAAACATGTTAAGAACTTCATTTTTTATTTTTAAAAAAACTTTTAAGTTCAGGGGTACATGTGCAGGTGTATTGTATAGGTAAACTGTCATGGTAGTATGTTGTACAGATTATTTTATTACCCGGGTATTAAGCCTAGTACTCATTACTTATTTCTTCTGATTCTCTCCCTCCTCCCAACCTCCACTCTCCAGCAGACCCCAGTGTATGTTGTTTCCCTCTTTGTGTCCATGGGTCCTCATTATTTAACTTCCACATATAAGTGAGATCATGAAGTATTTGGTTTTCTGTTTCTGCTTTAGTTTGCTGAGGATAATGGCCTTCAGCTCCATCCATGTTCCTGCAAAGGACATGATCTCATTCTTTTTCATGGTTGCATAGTATTCCATGTTCTATATGTACCACATTTTCTTTATCTAGTCTATCGTTGATGGGCATTTAGGTTGATTCCATGTCATTGCTATTGTAAATAGTGCTGCAGTGAACATACACATGCTAGTGCCTTTATGATGGAATGATTTATATTCCCTTGGGTATATACCCAGAATGGGATTGCTGGGTCAAAAGGTAATTCTGTCTTTTGGTCTTTGAGGAATTGTCACACTGTTTTCCACAACGATTGGACTAATTTACACTCCCACCAGCAGTGTACAAGCATTCTTTTTCTCTGCAACCTTGCCAGCATCTGTCATTTTTTTGATTTTTTATAGTAGCCATTCTGACTGGTGTGAGATGGTATCTTATAGTGGTTTTGATTTGCATTTCTCTAATGATCAGTGATGTTGAGGTTTGCCTCAATATCATTAGTTATATGCTTGTTTCCCACATGTATGTCTTATTTTGAAAAGTGTCTCTTCTTGTCCTTTGCCTACCTTTTTTATGGGGTTGTTTGTTTTTCTCATAAATTTGTTTAAGTTCCTTATAGATGCTGGATATTAGACCTTTGTCAGATAGATAGTTTGCAAATATTTTCTCTCATTCTGAGGTTGTCTGTTTACTCTGTTGATAGTTTCTTTTGCTGTACAGAAGCTCTTTAGTTTACTTAGATCACATTTGTCAATTTTTGCTTTTGTTGCAATTGCTTTTGGTGTCTTTGTCATGAAATCTTTTCCTGTTTCTGTGTCTAGAATGTTATTGCCTAGGTTGTCTCCCTGGGTTTTTATAGTTCTGGGTTTTGCATTTAAGTCTTTAATTCATCTTGAGTTAATTTTTGTATATGGTGTAAGGAAGGGGTCCAGTTTCAATCTTCTGCATATATCTTTGCAGTCATCCCAGCACAATTTATTGAATAGGGAGTCATTTCCCCATTGCTTGTTTTTGTCGACTTTGTTGAGGATCAAATGGTCCTAGGTGTATGGTCTTGTTTTTGGGTTCCTTGTTCTGTTCCTTTGGTCTATGTGTCTAGTTTTGTGCCAGTACTATGCTGTTTTGGTTACTATAGCCATGTAGTATGGTTTGAAGTTGGGTAAGATGATGCCTCCAGGTTTGTTTGTTTTGCTGAGGATTGCCTTGGCTATTTGGGCTGCTTTTGGTTACATATTAACTTTAAAATAGTTTTTTCTAGTTCTGGGAAGAATGTCATTGGTAGTTTGTTAGGAATAGCATTGATGGCTTTGGGCAGTATGGCCATTTTAAAAATATTGGTTTTTCCTATCCTTGTGACATGGAATGTTTTCCATTTTTTGTGTCATCTCTGATTTCTTTGAGCAGTCTTTTGTAATTCTCCTTGTAGAGATCTCTCACCTCCCTGGTTAGCTGTATTCCTAGATATTTTATTATTTTTGTGGCAATTGTGAATAGAATTGCATTCCTGATTTGGCCTCCAGCTTGGCTCTTGTTGGTGTAGAGGAATGCTAGTGATTTCTGCACATTGATTTTTGAATCCTGAGACTTTGCTGAAGTTGTTTATCAGCTGAAGGAGCTTTTGGACTAGGATATCTAGATATAAAATCATGTAGTCTGCAAATAGGGATAGTTTGACTTCTTCTCTTCCTATTTAGATGTCCTTCATTTCTTTCTCTTGCCTGATTGCTCTGGCCAGGACTTCCAATACTATGTTGAATAAGAGTGGTGACAGAGGGCATCCTTGTCTTGTGCCAGATTTCAAGGGGAATGCGTCTGGCTTTTGCCCATTCAGTGTGATGTTGGCTGTGGGTTTGTCACAGATGGCTTTTATTATTTTGAGGTATGTTCCTTCAATACCTGGTTTATTGAGAGTTTTTTTAACTTGAAGATGTATTGAATTTTATTGAAAGCCTTTTCTGCAACTGTTGAGATAATCATGTGGGTTTTGTCTTTAGTTCTGTTTATGTGATGAATCACATCTATTTATTTGCGTATGTTGAACCAATCCTGCAATCTAGGGATAAGACCTACTTGATTGTGGTGGATAAGATTTTGATGTAATGCAGGATTCAGTTTGCCAGTATTTTGTTGAGGATTTTTGCATAGACTGCAAGCTAGACTAATAGTGAAGAAAAGAGAGAAGATTCAAATAAACAGAATTACAAATGACAGAGAGGATATGACCACTGACTGCACAGAAATACAAATAACCATCAGAGACTATTATGAACACTTTTGTGAATAAATTCCTGGACACACACACCCTCCCAAGACTGGGCCAGGAAGAAATTGAATCTGTGAACAGATCAATAACAAGGTCTGAAATTGAATCAGTAATAAGTAGCTTACCAATTCCCTCAACCAAAAAAAAAAAAAAAAAGCCTAGGACCAGACGGATTCACACCTGAATTCTACCAGATGTACATGGAAGAGCTGGTACCATTCATAGAAAAACTGTTCCAAGAAATAGAGGAGGAGGGACTCCTCCCTAACTCATTCTATGAGGCCAGGAACATCCTGATACTAAAACTCAACAGAGACAAAAAAAGGGGGTCAAAGTTGGATCTTTATATGTGATTTCTTTTTAATCTACTCTGCTTAGCACTTAAATAGGCTCTTACAATCTTACACCAAGCCTTTTTCAGTTCTAGGACATTTTCTTCTTTGATTTTACTGCCTCCTCCCTTTGCTCTCTATGCTCTCTTCCTCCAAAACTGCCTCTGAAACTTCTGGATATCCATGCTAGTTCTCTCATCCTGTTTTCTATTTCTCTTATCATGTTTTCTATTTCTTGGTTCTTTGGGGATTCATTTAGGTAGAATTCCTTAGCTTAATCTTTCAGCTCACTAATTTGTTTTTCGGCTTTGTTCATTTTACTGTTTATCCCACCTCTACCTTTTAAATTTCATAATTAGTTTTTGAATTTTGTAGATTTCTATTGGAGTCTTTACTGAATACAAAATCTTTCTGAACTTCTCTGGGGATGGGAAGGAGAGGAATTCTTTTAGACATTTTCTAAAGTTTCATTCAGTTTTCTCTGTTAGCATGATTTGTTCCAGAGGTAGTTCTTCCGTTATTTTGAAGCCTCTATTACTTTATAGTTTTTTCTGCAAATGTATTGTGATTACTGGTTGTGTGCTCATCTTTATTTGCGTTTCCCTGCCAACCTTGTGGACATATTTTGTTTTTACTGTAATCAGTTGTTTTTATTGTAATCACCTGAAAAAATCACCTGCATTAGTCATATCTGTGAGTTACTAGGGCTGGATCTCTAAGGAAAGTGTAGTGTGTCTCTCAGGATCATTCTTCTAAGGATCAACAGAGAGAAGCAATTATCCATCAATTCCTGACCCCCCCCACTGATCAAGGGTTCACCTGTGGGTTTCTAATGCCCCTGAAATTCTGGGCTGCAAATGCATGCACGTGGAGTGATCTTCTATGTCTTATGCTGCAGCAGTATGAAGCCCTGAGCAGACAGCATGAGCACTTGAGGTTATATTAGTATCACATGAGACAAAGGCTTCATGGAACTATTTGCCACAGCTGTAGCTGAAATCAAAGGTGAGACCCAGAAGGTCTAAGGAAGGTACTAGTGGCACCTGAATCAGAATATGAGATAGGAAATTTCAGGCAAAAAATGTTATCCTTTCAGTCATGGTCCCTGTGAGACACAGGGGAATCTTAAAGCAAAGGAAGTTTCTGCCTGCAATTACCTGACCTCATAAGGACAATAACATATCCAAATGAGCCTCAGGTGCACCAGCTCTGCACAGTACTTTAGACCTGATTAGACCAGGTTATTCAAATATCACTTCACCTCTTCTCATTGACACTTTTGGAATTGGCTCCTAATTTCAGAGTCTATCCAACACTAGCCATTCACAACATGATCGTGAGGATGTGGGCCACCATTAGGATATGTGGAAGTAACTAGTGGCACACACTCCACTATTTTCACCTCCAGTGCAGGGATGTTTTTCCTTGGAAGTCTCTAGAGGACAAAAAAGTCTACTTCTTGTGATTTTTAGCACCTTCCCATAAGTACTGACAGACCTGGACTTTACTGGACATCTCAGAACAAGATGATAAATTTTCAATCCTTATTAGATCTGATATTAATGTTATGCATAACATTTATATTTACTAGGGGAAATTATTCTCTGACAACAGTGGTGTGTAAGTTTTTACTGAAATAACTTCATTTTATAGGTAAAAAATAACAGAAAGCTATCATGTAATTGAAACCAGGACAAAAAATGGAAATGTTATCAGAGATTTACCTCTAACTCCCAATTGTTCTGGAAAGCTTCCACAATTTCTACTGCCTATTTTCCTTTTAAAGCATCCATTTAAAAATGTCATTGTTAAGAGCAAAGACAGCCAGGAGAGAAATAATTATTTCCTTCTTTTTTTTTTTGACAGAGTCTCACGGTTGCCCAGGCTGGAGTGTAATGGCACGATCATCGCTCACTGTAGCCTCGATCTCCATGGGCTCAGGAGATCCTCCCACCTCACCCTCCTGGGTAGTTGGGACTAGAGGTATGTGCCATGATGTCCAGATGAGTTTTCATATTTTTTTGTAGAGATGAGGTTTTGCCATGTTGCCCAGGCTGGTCTCATACTCCTGGGCTCAAGCCATCTGTCCACCTCAGCCTCCCAAAGTGCTGTGATTACAGGCATGAGCCGCCATGCCCTGCTGAGAAATGATTTTTAAAATTTGGGAAATACCATGGATTTCATGATGCTTCAGCAGCCAGAGGCTGGAGTTTGTGACATTTATAGCTAAAGGGGAGGTGAGGATTATATTATGAAGAAGTAGTGTCACAATAACCTGCCCAAATATTATTCTGTAGGCAGTCACTGAAGGGTATTAAGCATGAACATGATAAAATCAGACTTCATCAAAAAACAAAGAATGGTGGATTGTAAGCTTTGTGGAGAAAGAACATGAAGAAGTATTTAGGAGTCTTTTGTATCTTCATGCAAGTTACAAAGGCAGCATGAACCCTAGCATTTATAGTGCAGATGTAGAAGAGGCTTTCAGGTACTAGAATGTTTGAGATATAATCAATGACTATGTTAACGGTATGATGTAAACAGTGAAGGAGAAGGGAGCTACAAGGTGACTTCGGATTTCAAGCGTGGGTTAACAAAGGTGGATATCGATATAGCCAGTTGATACTGGGTATACAGAAGGGATTAGGAAAAGGATGCACAGTAGTGGGAAGACTTTCATTTAAGAAATACTGGATTTGGGAACTTCTCAAGAAGTAATAATCGGGTTCAGCCAGCTGGTAAAGATTTTGTCCACATCTCAAGAAGGGGAAGGAATTGAGATGAAAAAAAAAGTTCTGAAGTCAAAAGCACACTGATGTTAGCTGAAACTGACATAAATTAATTTTACTTGTTCTTCATGTGTATCAAGGCAGAGAGTTGAGAAAATAATCCAAAATTAAAGAATATATTAGTCCATTTTCATGTTGCTGATAAAGACATACCTGAGACTGAGGAATTTATAAGGAAAAAGAGGTTTAATGGACTCACATTTCCATGTGGCTGGGGAGGCCTCACAATCATGGCAGAAGGCAAAAGACATGTCTTACATGGTGGCAGGCAAGAGAGAATTTGCGCAGGGAAACTCCCCCTTATAAAACCATCAGATTTTGTGAGACTTGTTCACTATCACGAGAAAAGCATGGGAAAGACCTACCCCATGTTTCAATTACCTTCCACCGGGTTCCTCCCATGACACATGAGAATTGTGAAAGCTATAATTCAAGATGAGATTTGGGTGGGGACACAGCAAAACCATATCAAGGAATATGTGAAAGAGACCCCACTTACAGAAATCAGAATAGAAATATTAAAATAGTGTGTTTTGGAAACCAAGAGCATATCAAATTTTAAAAAGAAAGGGAGGCCAGTTGTAGTGGCTCACACCTGTAATCCCAGCATTTTGGGAGGCTAATGTGGGAGGATTGCTTAAAGACAGCAGTTTGAGACCAGTATGGGCAACATAGAAAGACCCCATCTCTACAAAAAATTTAAGAAACTAGCTGTGCATGGTGGTGTATGTCTGTAGTCCCAACTATGCAGCAGGCTGAGGCAAGAGGATCACTTAGAGCCAAAGAGTTTGAGGCTGCAGTGAACTGTGATGGTGCCACTGCACTCCAGCCTGGTTTACAGAGCAAGATCCTGTCTCTTAAAAAGCGGCGGGTGGGGGGGGGTGATAGACAATGTCATATAAAGTAGAGAGATCCACTAAGATATAAACTAAAAATGACTATTAAATTTGGCTGTAATGTTATGATGGACCCCAATAGAGCAATTTCAACAGCATGCTGAGAATGGGAGCCAGAATTCAGCAGATGAAGGGCAAACACCAGATAAGGTAGTCTGGGTTTATCTCTTCTTCCTGATTAATCTGAACTTGTGAGATTAAAAAGTAGCTCTCAGAGTATGAAATTCAAGGGAAGGTATTCGTCCTTATTTCTGTTTTGGTGTGGGAGTATAAGTAAGGGAGGAGGTAGGCAAGAAGAGATTGAATATGTAAGGGAGATAGTGGATGACTGAAGGTTGTGCATGGGGCTCAGGGCTGGGTGGTTGGCTGTCACTGTTAGACCAGAGGAAAAAAGGTAAACATGGGTGGTGGTAAATACATTTTTGGATGGACAGTTCAGAATTAAACACACACACACACACACACACACACACACAAATGAACCACTGAACACTTTAAGCAAAATCTAGAGAGAGGTTAAGATTGAAAAAATGTGTGAGAACAGGAAAGTAGGAGACTGGGTTGGATTTTGAATTTTTTTTTTTCGAGACAGAATCTCTCTCTGTCACCTAGGCTGGAGTGCAGTGGTGCAAACTCTGCCTAAGTATCTGGGACTACAGATGTGTGCCACCATGCCTCGGTAATTTTTGTATTTTTAGTAGAGATGGGTTTCACCATGTTGGCCAGGCTGGTCTCGAACTCCTGGCCTCAAGTGATCTGCCTGCCTTGGCCTCCCAAAGTGTTGGGATTACAGGTGTGAGCCACCACACCCAGCTGGATTGTGAATTTAATGGAAGGGAAGGGCTGGTCTAGATTTAGAAGAGTCATTGCATGGAATAAAAGGGAAATTTTACCATGGGCAAATAAAAGTGAGCAAAGGACATGAGCAAAGGCCATGACTGGCCCCCTTTCTTTTTAAAAATTGATATGCTCTTGGTTTCCAAAACACACTATTTTGTTATTTCTATTCTTATTTCTATAGGTAGGGTCTCTTTCACACATTCTTTGATATGGTTTTGCTGTGTCCCCACCCAGTTTTCAAAAGAAGACATACAAGTGGCCAAAAAAAAATACAAAAATGCTCAACATCACTAATAATCAAAGAAATGCAATTAAAACCACAATGAGATGCCATTTTTACAGCAGTCAGAATGGCTACTATGAAAAAGTCAAAAATAACAGAGGGCAAGGATGAAGAAGAAAGGGAATGCTTATGCACTATTGGTTGGATGTACAACCTCTATGGAAAACGCTATAGAGATTTCTCAAAGAACTGAAAATAGAACAGCCATTTAATTCAGTAATCCCACTACTGAGTATCAACCCAAATAAAAATATATCATTGTATAAAAAAGATATCTGCACTCGTTTGTTTATTGCAGCACTATTCACACAGTAAACTCATGAAATCAATCACATGTCCATCAATGTTTGATAGGATAAAGAAAATGTATTATCTATGCATTCTATACCATGGAATACTACGCAGTTATAAAAAAGGGATGAAATCATGTGTTTTGCAGCAACACAGATGGAACTGAAGGCCATATCCTAAGTGAAATAACTCAGAAACAGTCAAATACTATATGTTCTCATTTATAAGTGGGAGCTACACAATATATCCTGGTAAAAAAACTTCACTTGCACCCCCTAAATCTATTTTTTAAACAGCCAAAAAAATGTGCCAATAGGAGGTACCCACGGCTCTGTGAGGAACAGAAACTCAGAAGTTTAGTTTCATCAATTTGCAGGGTCACTTAACTTTCTCCAGCAGCTCTCAGTTCCTTTTCAGTAGGAAAAGTTGGATTGTTTCTAGTCTTTTGTCCAAAGATCAGATAATATTCGCAGTGAGTGTGTGGCAGCAGGATAAGATGTAGGTAAACTGAGGTACTGGTGAGAAGGGAGACAGATCAATCATCAGGTTCAGGTAGGTTGTAAAGCTACTGGTGAGAGGGCACATACAGTGGGGTGGGGGGAGATGAGGAGTCCAGGAGGGGATGGCTCTGGGGGTAAAGTCAAGGTCAGAGGAAAGAAAATCCTCTGAGAAGAGGAAGGTCAGGAGGTTGTGGTGAGAGTCTGAAACATTGTAATCTAGGATTTCTGGAGCCTAAGCACATTCTTGAGGCCAATATTGAACCAGACTAGTCTTTGAGCATAGAGAGAAGAGGAAGAACAAAATAATTATTTCTATCACAGTTAACTGTATCAATGTCCCAGATCAATACAGGGGGATAAAGCTATGCAGTTCTTATGAACTGACAACTCACAAAACTCAGTGGTGATTCCTGTCTCTTTTATCTTATCATTTAAGGGAAATCTAGTTAAAAGTGGCCATTAATCAGAGCCTGGGAAGTGCTGACTATTTGAAAGGATGGAAAAGATAATTATTAGACATGCCCTCAATCACCACTCAAATATAATGTGACTATGAGCCATCACTGGTGGGAATATTTTCAAGGTGCTTGTACCACAGGAAATATCATATTACATATTTATTTCAATATATTTTAACAAAATGCCATGCAATGGAATAATTTGATACTAGGTGTAATGTTTAAAGATACGTCAAAGAGAGGATGACTTAGCCTAGAGGTTATGAAACACTATGGAAAAAATGGAAATCTTGGGCTGTTCTCATTAACTATTGTGGATAACCACTATATTTCCCAATGTGCAAAGTATGCAAATTGTGGAAGATTCACAAAAATTTTTTCGGAAAGTGGCAACAAGAAAGTAGATAAATGATTTTCCCTCCAGGGCAGATTTTTAGAGTTTACCTTGGTTTTCTGTTGTCCTCTTAATTGTATCACCTACAACTCACATAGAAACTAGAGGATACATACTCAATTTCTGTTTTTGTTACATATCTGTCATTGTTGAAAGCGTCATTAACTTTTTTCATTGCAAAAGGATATGACTTTAGAATCCTGAAGGAGTAAAAACTACGCTGGCATTCTTGGAGCACTTTACAACCTTATTCAGATTTTCTTTTTTTTTTTTAACGTTTGTTTTAGGTTTGAAGCTTAATACCCAATAGTTATTTTTCAGATTTTCTAGCCTCTTTCTACAGAATTGGTGCTCTGACCTTAGGAAAACAAAGGGAAAAGCTTAACAACTGAAACAAGATCCATTGACAATCTAAGCGACTTTTTAATGTATCTTGAACTGGGCTGGTGAAGTTCAGTAATCAGAATGATAAAAACATCGTTTTCTTTGCCTTGCTGGTTTAGAGTGTTTATGTACTCTATGGGTTTAAGTTTTTAAAAAATTCACCCTTGCACTTAAGTTTCCTGTTCCATCAGCAAAATTTAGCTGAATTGGCCTAAAATATGCCTTCTGATAGAACGAGGTATCCTCCAAAGTACTGACCCTAAACTCTGCTGCTAAATCAAGGGTGTATACATTTTCTTAAAAAGACACTGTGTAACCAGTCGCATGTAAATGTTTAATAATTCAGAAATACAAGAGCACAGTCTGCTTTGATTTAGTTCGCAACCTTCCAGCTGCAAAACTGCCTCAAGCAACAATGTAATACAAGTTCCAGCCAACTTAATTTTTTTTAATAAGGGAAAATAAGAGTTAAAAAAGTGCTTCTTAAACCATCTCAGGATCACAGAAGGACAGAAATGAATAGTTGGCTTTGATGAACCCAAAGCGGTGGGATGGTGACAGGAACTGATCGAAAAGCTGGTGACAGACTTCTAGAACCCTTGTCCTCTCGTGCTAATTTATACTACACACACTAAATTTCTTTTAGTTTTTCTAACTCCAAAATTTTAGCCTTGCTCAATTTATTATTTCCAGTTGCCCTTGGACATTTTCAGTTACAGAAATGGATTTAGTCCCAGTGAGCTCCAGGTATGGAACAGATTATGTTAATGAGCTCCAGGTATGGAACAGAAGTTCCATGAGCTCGAGATTATGTAAATTCTGTTCCATACAGAATTCTGTTCCATACAGAATTTACATAATCTGTTCCATACCTGGAGCTCATTGGAACTAAATCTGAATACATCTCTGCTCACCTCAATCCTACTCCAAAGATAACTTGATAAAATTGTTTCCATTCCAAAGAAGGAAGGACATTTAATTAAAGAGGCTTTAAATTGTACATTTCTCTGGTTCTCAGTATAGTCAGGTATTTTTTTTTTTTTTTTTTTGTAGAACCCCGTGGGAAATTCTTTCACTGAGACAGAGCTGTTGGGCACAGTGAGCACTGAGGCAGACATGTTATTTCTGAAGGAAAATCCTCTCCTCAGATCTTTCAGAAAGGGAGAGAGAGCTTTAATGTTTGTCTTGTGGTTCTGTTTTGCTTTACTGCACTTCGTAATAAACACTCTGGTTGAAAGACCAAGTTCTGATGAAGTGGCACAAAACTGCATGTCATCCCATAGCCTTAGAAAACAAGGTCTCTGTGTTTTTATTTGTTTTTATTTTAAGCATACCATAATGTGGGATCCCATAACAATCTTTGAGAATTGAACTATAACAACACACAACTGATGTTTGGATTGCCTATAAACCACAATAGAATAGCCACGATGCCAGCAACTTTCCTTCCTTTACTTCAGCCAAGCATTTTAAAAGCTGTATCCTGGAATTGTAATGTAGAGTGGCATTGATTTCTGGGGTACAAATGGTTTTAGAAGAAAATGACTGATTAGTTCTAATGCAGCATAAGGTGCCTTAGACAGAGATTTTAGCTATTTTTACACCGAGTAACTAACCGCACAATTGAGGCCAAATCATCTGGAGCCCTCCATTTAACAGATGGGAAGGTTGATATTGAAGGCAATGAGCTTCCTTACCTGTAAATGAAGAAAACTCAAAAGCTTGAATGTGATGATCTATTAGACCTTTCTATAATTCTAAACTTTTTCTTTTTGCTTTGGGAGGGGTTCCATGACTGATATAAAAAAATGATTGCTGAATACCCTCCATTTTAGAAATAAATGACTTCTCAGGAAATCTTTTTTTAATTAATAGGAAAATTAATAAATTAATAATAGGTACTAACAAAAAATTATTTGCTTGACTAATTACCTCTAGAACTGATTGGGAAGAAAGGATGTGCAAGTCTACTTCCCGGAAGATCTTGGAGACTAGGATACAGGCACATCTCATGACCATGCGAGAGAGTAGTCAGATTCCTAATGGTAACCATGAAGCAAGGCTCAGGAGTTAGGCAGTATGTACTTATCACTTGTTGCCATTGATATTCACTAAGACACCTTTCCCTCTCCTGCAGAGGGCCAGAGCTGCTGTGGTGGTTTCAGAAAAATAAGAACCAAGCCTTGAGAATGGGCTGCTTACAGGCTGGTGGGAAGTCAGCTGGGAAGCACCAGAAGATGATGCATAGTTTATTTCCACTCTGACTTTGGATTAGTTGTGAACAGCTCTCTCTGATTAGTTGAGAATTTACTATATGTCCATATTAATGTATGTCCAGAACAAATTGGACAATTCGTCAAGAGCTTGGTCATTTCATGATCCTGAAATCCATGTTCAGTTAGCATTTTTTTCATGTATATTCTTCATCTCAAATCTCCACTTACAGATACAGAAATATTTCCCTGAGAAAGAACATTGCTATAGAGTGAAATTATATGAGAAACATCTTTTACTGAATTGGAAACTTTATTTAACTATCATTTCTTGTTCACTTGCACACACCCCTAGCTCTATAACAAACGATAAGGACACCAATTATTTTTTAAGAAGGAATTTGTAGATTATTCTCTTGGGATTCAGCTGCTGAGGATGCTTCACCCAGTTCACAGCCAAGTCTATGAAACCAAAATACACAGCTTTAATCCATCCAAGGTGATTGACTCCATGCAGAGTAATTCTCTAGGTAGTAGAGAACTTTCAGGCATTAATATTATAGCCTGTGTTTGCAACAAGGTCAGGTGTTGCCATAAAGGAACGTTAATTACTCTTTCTTGGATGAAAAAAATGGATGGCTGTTGAGGCAGAGGGATGGAGAGGAAGTTCTTTCACTGTGGGGGATGATTAAAGAAGGTGGGAGGGACGAGAGGTAATCCTGGGCAATTGCATGGCTAAGACTGAAAATCCCTCCAAATTCAGCTGCCCCGGGGGATCTTATAAAAATGGCTTTATATGTAAACTTGAATCATGTCTTAATTATAAGACTGAAGTTGTGGGTGGACCAAGCCTACAATGGCACAAAAGTATCATAGTCGAAAGTGCTACCAAGGAGACATTTCTTATCCCTGTGGAGAAACTACCACAGACAAGAGATGGATGACAGTGGTGCTTGTGGGTCATTAAAGCATTCCTCTGTTGTATTCACCAACCACAGCATGGCCTGGTACTCAGCAACAATACTGTACAGCAGGGACCATACCTGGGTGGCTATGTTCCCTGTGTTTCAACAGCGACACCGTGTGGCAGCAATTATAAAGAAGAGTGGCTTTCATCACTGACAGAGCAGGTGTTCTGCTTCTCTTTCAGGATGAAATTTAAGCATCCCTGGGATATTTGAAGTTATCCTAGGAAAGATAATCCTAGGGAGAGAAGGGAACAAATGACTGTAATCCAAATAGGCCATGCCACTATCTGAAAGGGACCCTTTTCTTCCCTCCTCTTCAAAAAGAAGATAAAGAAATATCTATTTTCTTCCATCAGGAATTATCTCTTCACTCAACAGAGAAAACCAGGATTCATCAATCTGAGGGCACAGAAAGAACCAGTATGAATGGCAAAGCAATTCTACAACTCCAAACTCCAACGCCAACCCTATTCCTCAAATAATCTCTTTGCAATAAGGGCCTTGGAGTCAAAGCTAAAAGCTTAAGCTTTGCCTCAGATCTACCTGGGATTAAGCCCAGGTATGCCACTTTCTATCTATGACTTTGGAAAAGTTATTCAACTTTGGGCCTCACTTTTTCTATCTGTGGGATGAGAAGGAAACACTACACCTCATAGAGAGATTTTGAGAACCTAATGCATTGATCCACATATATATATATATTTTTAAACTCTTGTCTCCTAGGCTGGAGTGCAGTGGTGTGATCTCAGCTCACTGCAACCTCTGCCTCCCAGGTTCAAGTGATTCTCCTGCCTCAGCCTCCAGAGTAGCTGGGATTACAGACGTGCGCCACAATGCCTGGTTAAGTTTTGTATTTTTAGTCAAGATGGGGTTTGGCCGTGTTGGCAAGGCTGGTCTCAAACTCCTGACCTCAAGTGATTCACCTGCCTTGGCCTCCCAAAGTGCTGGGATTACAGGCATGAGCCACTGCACCTGGCCCTGACCCGTATAGAGTTTTTAAACCAGTGCTGGATCCAGTAAACTGACATTTGCTGGATGCATTTGTACTTTTATCTTTTAATAGTGTCTGGCTGTTTACTTTGCTCTTGGGTCCTCCCTTATTTTCCTTAATTCAAGATTTTTGTATCATTCTGTAACCAGGTCTTGATTCTTGTATGATTTATTCTGTTTTAACTTTACATCTGCATTTCTGAAAGGCACTCCAATGTGAAATTATATTTTTGTTAGTGTTTTAGAATAAATGGTCATTGCTCAAAAGTTCTGGTGAAACTATAATGCAAGGGTCACCAAGTTGAATACCTGCAGGGGCCAAGCAGGGATATAATCAATTAAAGCACATAAGAAGCGAAGAAGCAGCAGGGCCTGATATGAAGAGTGCATTTTCCCTCTGTGGGAGCAGCCTTGTCCCATCAAGTGATTGTTGGCAGGTGGAGAAAGACCTAGTATTGCCAAGTCTTCTATTTGTCAAGAAAAGCAAGAAAGACAATTTTATAGGGTAAAATTCTCTAATCTTAAATATTGACCAGTCATCCAAATGTTTGAAAACACAATGGGCCAATCAAAGCATATTTGTGAGCCACGTCCAGGCCCTGCCAATTTGCAGCCTCTGCATCACTTTCCCAGGGAGATACAACTTTGGGTGAATGCCACCTAGTGGTAAGAATTGTAATTAAGAGACAAATAAGAAACAAATGCTTTACAATGTATGATTCCAATGCGAAGTATGAAATGGTGACGGTTGTCTTTTAATCTTTTCTTAAGTAATTAGCCATGAATGCCAGTGGAGTCCATTAGCGTTAACATCTTTAATCACAAACAGTGGTGCCATACTGTATTTCACTCTCATGACCCAAGTGGCTACAGAAGGGCTGTCCGGTAGTGCATCCATAAGATCTCTTATATTCCAGTCTACGGTTTCTGGGGCTTCTGGTTTTTTGTTTGTTTGTTTGTTTTTGTTTTTGTTTTGTTTTTTTTTGTTTTGAGACTGAGTCTGTCTCTGTCACCCAGGCTGGAGTGCAGTGGTGCGATCTCGGCTCACTGCAACCTCTGCCTCCCAGGTTCAAGTTGATTCTCTGCCTCAGCCTCCCGAGTAGCTGGGATTACAGGCTCACGCCACCATGCCCGGCTAATTTTTGTATTTTTGGTAGAGACGAGATTTAACCATGTTGGTCAGGCTGGTCTTGAACTTCTGACCTTGTGATACTCCCATCTTGGCCTCCCAAAGTCTTGGGATTACAGGCGGGAGCCACCGCACCCGGCTGGGATTCTGTTTTTTAAAACTCTGGATCGTCTGCTATTGGGAACTACTCTCCCAAAGCTATGTTCTAATTTTTACCTTGTCTAGAACTGATGTAAAGTGGGGATGAGGGAAACGGAAAGAAATCGTGGAGTTAATGATGGGTGAGAGAATCAAAAACAACTTACGTACTACCTTTGTTCAATTCCTTTTCCTTTACCTATGCTAGCTCTTGAGGCTGAGTTTTCTTGTAACATCATCTATCTTAGTTTATTTCTTTGTATATATATTTTTTGCTTATCCATAAGGCACAAGATTATGGTCTTCTAATAAACCAGAGGTCAGCAAATATGGCCTGGTGCCTGTTTTTTGAATAAATTTTTATTAGCGCACAACCATGCTCATTTGTTTACATACTGTCTGTATATGCTTTCTTACTAGAATCACAGAGTTAGGTAGTTTTAAGTTACGACTTATAAAGCCTAAAATGTTTACTGTCTGGCCCTTTACAAAAAGAAATTGCCAGCCCCTGCAATATGATTTTTTTAAAAACAGTTTGCATAGTAATCTTTTCCTATCCTTTTGCTTGTAGTCTTTTGGTATACCCATGTTTTAAGTGTGTCTTCTTTAAACAAAATATTGCTGAATTTTATTTAATCCAATCTTAATTTGTATTCAACTGGCCAATTCAGTTAAACTAGTATATTCAGGTTTTTTTTTTTGCCATCCTATTTTGTGGTTTTAAGTAATATTGCTTTCCTTCATACTTCATTTTTTTTCTTTTCAAAGTTTTAGTAGTTTTTTTGGGCAAAAATTCATATCACCCAATAATATTTTGAAGGGTTTATATTTCATTTCTATTATTTGAATAAATAGTCTCCAACATTTAATGTGTACACATGACTTTGCAAAGTTCAGTGTTACCTTTATCCTTCACCTAGAAACTACAGATTCTTAGAAGACTTAAGTAACATATTGCCTCAGATCTAACATATTATTATTTCCCTATTTTAGTTCTGACTTATTTTTATATTCATGAAACAATTTGTAAATAATAATTTTAATATTTTATATGGTCAATTGTTGTTGATGTTGACCCTAGTGTTTCTCAGTCCCGTTTTTACCACTGTTTCTTACTTCTTTGCTCTTCCTTTAGGTTGCATTTCTTTTTTCTGGAAGCACATCTTTTAAAAGATATTTACATGAAGGTCTACCAGATATGAAATTGGAGTTCTAGAAAGGGAGAAGATGAGGATGGGGAAGAAACAATATTTCAAGAAGAAATCTCTCAAGAATTTGCCAAGTCTGACCCAAAACATCAAGCAGTTGATTTAAGAAGTGTATAAGCCCAAGCTGGGTAAATACAATGAAAACCACACTTTGGCACACCAGAGTCAAACTGAGGGAAATCAAAACAATAATAAAACATTGAAAATACACATTACCTTCAAGCAACTACAATAAGATAAATAGCTAATTTCCTAAAACAAATTATGGAAGCCAGAAAACAATTTAATGACATCTTTAATGATAAAATTACTGCCAGTTTACAATTCTCTGCCAACTAAAAATTTACTCTGGAATTGAAGGTGAAATAAAGATATTTCTAGACAAAATAAGCCTGAGAGGTTTCATCATTGACAAATATTACAGTAGGTACTACAGAATTCTTCAGGCAGAAGGAAAATGATCAAGAAAGAAATACAGAAATGGAGGAGGGAAAAGCAAGTCAGTGATGTTGGTAAATACATGGACACATTTAAAATATTAATTATAAAATAATATTTTGTGATATTTACAATATATGTTGAATTAAAATGCATGACAACAATAACATAAAAAGCTAATGGGGGTTAATAGAATTAAAAAGTATAACACTTTCTCATTGCCTATAAAGTGATAAGTATGCAGGTCTAAATATATCTAAAACAGCTCTTTCGATAGATATAAAAATATAAGATATAACTTAATTGGCAACATTTTTCTTCTGCCCAGAAGTATAGGAAACAATGGTACGTTTTACAACTGATTGCATCAATAAATTATGATTCAGAAAGTTTGCTACATAAAGTGATGACATAAAAAAATATAAAGTGCTCCTTCTTTATTCTGGACTTGGAGCTTGCTATCTATTGCTAAACACCAGTTATATTGCAACCTTTGGAAAGGATAAGTAACCATTACATCAAGCATCAAGTAATGGATTCCTCTATTTCCATTCTCCCATTTTTTTCAGATGTATGAATCTTACCTACACACAGCAGCAGAGCAGCTGGAATGAAATACTAGTGTGCATAGGATAATAATATTCTGTAATTCATATCCTTGATAGAATATCCTGTAACTTTGTTGAGAAATTTGTCACACTTCTATTTTAAAGTCCAGTTTCTGTTCAATTCTGTCCCATTGAGCGGTAAGCATCGATTGTGAGGGAGAGTCTAGTTTGTAAACTATATCCAGTGGCTGGGATTACATCTGTTCATAATTATATAGATCTGCCTGCACAAAGTGGCAAAAGGAAAACCATGAATGATACCTACAGGATCTCAATGACATAATGAATATGCTATATCTGCAGTGCAAGATAGGTTGTGTAGCAAGCCAGTTCCTTTGGACCCAAACATATTGCTATCACAGAGGAAAGGCTTGGGGCATAAACCTAATAGTTTTGGTTTTCTACAGTCTCAATCTAATGTTTCATTCCTCTGTCCTTGCTTATTTTATCCTCATTAGGTTCACACAGAGTTTAAATTTATTCTCCACCCAAAAACCCACAGGAATCAAGCAAATGTGTTTTGACGGATTTCTGTAGTTTCCTTTTAGAACCAGATGTTGGACAGCAGCCATCTTAGAAAAAACACTTGCTAGATGAGGCAGGTTAAAAAGGGAAGGAAATTTGAAAAAGAAATCAATTGAAAAAAAAGTTGTTTAGCATATTCATATATAAGAAATTCAATTAGATACCATATATTAATATTTCAAAGATTTGAAGCATATAATCACTGGAAGCAACACGGAGTTCCACTTACCAAGGTCAGCCTGGCCACAGCCGCTGATGGATGCCCAATCTGCCAGCAGTAGCAACCAGCACTGAGTCCTTGAAATGGCATCATTCTCCAGGTGCACTGTGCATCAGAGAAAAGGAAATAATCAGACCTTTTGAACATTACTGAATACTGGCTTTGAATTGACATTAATTCTAAGAGAACCAAAAGTCACTGTAGTCCACCAGTCAGAGTAGGGGCTTGTAGAGGTCAGGTGATCAGTGGGGTTTAGCTCAGATCGACTCCACAGTGGGCTGAGTGGAACTCTCCCTCCATCCTGTGGTAATTTCCACAATTCTAGAATGCTTAATTTGAATAGTCACATTGAGTAAGTGGCAGAATTCCCAGCAATTCTTATATGTTAGTGGCATCAGAATTGCTAGGAGGGTTTGTTCAAACACAGATTGCTATGTTTCTGATTCTATAGGTCAGGAGTGGTATCCAGGAATTGCATTTCTAACAAGTTCTGAAATGATACTGATGTTGCTGGTATAGGTGTCACTCTTTAAGGAAGACTTATTTAAGCCATGGGACCAATTAAATATTTTACTTTTGTGTTAATTTCTTGCCATAAGTATATGAGACTACAGAGATGCTATTCGGAATATAAGTGATGAGATTATTTGAGTCCTATATCTGTAGATGCAAGAGTGATGAGGGCAATTTAAAAAATTCAGGAACTAAGATTCACATATTCTTGTTAAGAGAGTATCAGTAAATTTAAAATAAATGCAAGGTCTTTCACCCCTCTTATTTTCTTCTGCAATATGAAGTGCCTCTGAAGTCAGATGAACTAGGAATAAAAATTTTTTAAAAATAGTAAATTAAAAAATATTTTCAATAAGATTTTGATTAAAAAACTATGTATTAGTTTCCTGGGATACCATAACCAGTTATCACAAACTGGGTGGCTTAAAACAACATAAATTTATTCTGTCACTATTATGAATGCCAGAAGATTGAAGTCTATGTGTCAATAGGGCCATACTACTTCTCAAGGCCCTGGGGGAGATCCTTGCCTCTGCTAGCTCTTGGTAGGTCCAGACGTTCCTTGGCTTGTGACAGCATAACTCCAATCTCTGCCTCTGTCTTCATTTGACCTTCTTCCCTCTGTGTATTTGAGTCTTCTCCTCTTCTTATAAAGTCTATTGTCATTGGCCTTAGGGCCCACCCAGTTATTCCACAATGATTTCATCTTTTACTTTCTTATATTTGCAAAGGCTCTTTTTCCAAATAAGGTCACATTTATAGAGTACCAGGGGTTAGGGCTTGGACATGAGATTTTAGAGGTAGTTTTTCAACCCACTACAAATCAAAATTTATTTAGCCTGTGAAAATGAGAAAAATATCTTTTCCACCAGATTGAGTATTCTCTAAAGATTCATGTATTTATAATTTTGAGAAACACAGAGTGAGATACACTTTTGCAATCAAACTACCATGTGGCAGTATATAGAAAGAAAGGAAAATGATAATGGTTTTCATACAGTACTTTTGCTGGAAAATACTTTTGATATGTCTTACTGAAGCAAAGCAAAAGTAAACCTTTGTGTGGTAGGTTTTCTGCAAAGTTGACTGTCAGTGATTACTCTCATCCCAATGCATGTGTGCCTCTTGTCTGCTGAAAGGGGAACTTCTTTCCCCTTTCCTCTTCCTGAATTTTGCCTGGTCCTTTGACTTGCCTTGACAGATTGAATGCAGCTGAAGTAATTTTGTATTAATTGTGGATGTAGGCATTACGAAGTTTTGGAGCATCAATTTTTACCTGCTTGGAACACAGCTACCATTTCAAAGAGTCAAGTACCCTACTAGAGCGAGAGGCCACATGAACAGAGAAAGGTGCTGGAGGAAGAATGTATTAGTCCTTTCTCACACTGCTATAAAGAACTTCCTGAGACTCAGTTATTTATTTATTTATTTTTGAGACAGAGACTGGCTCTGTCACCCAGGCTAGAGTGCAATAGCACAATCTCAGCTCACTGCAACCTCCACTTCCTGGGTTCAAGCAATTCTCCTGCCTCAGCCCCTCAAGCAACTGTAAATACAGGTGCCCGCCACCACACCTGGCTAATTTTTGTGTTTTAGTAGAGACAGGGTTTCACCATGTTGGCCAGGCTGGTCTTGGACTCCTGACCTCAGATGTTTCTCCTGCCTCAGCCTCCCAAAGTGATGGGATTACAGGCGTGAGCCACTGCACCTGGCCGAGACCGGGTAATTTATAAAGGAAAGAGGTTTAATTGACTCCCAGTTCTGCATGGCTGGGGAGACCTCAGGATACTTACAATTATGGTGGAAGTTGAACGGGAAGCAAGGCACCTTTCTCACAAGGCAGAGGGAAGGAGAAGTGCTGAGCGAGGAGGGAAGAGCCCTTTATAAAACCATCAGATCTCATGAGAACTCACTCACTATCATGAGAACCACATGAGAACCACATGGGGGAAACTGCCCCCATGATCCAAATACCTCCACCTGGTCCCGCCCTTGACATTTGGGGTTTATGGGGATCATGTGGATTGCATTCAAGGTGATATGTTGGATGGGGACATAGCCATACCATGTCATTCTGTCCCTGGCTCCTCCAAAATCTCATGTCCTTAAATTTCAAAACCAATCATGGCTTTCCAACAGTCTCCCAAAGTCTTAATTCATTCCAGCATTAACCCAAAAGCCCAAGTCTAAAGTCTCATCTGAGACAAGGAAAATCCCTTTCACCTATAAGCCTATGAAATCAAAAGCAAGTTAGTTGCTTCCTAGATATAATGGGGGTAGAGGTAATGGGTAAATACACCCATTTCAAATGTGATAAATTGGCCAAAACAAAGGGGCTACAGGCCCCATGCAAGTCCAAAATCCAATAGGGCAGTCATTAAACCTTAAAGTTCCAAAGTGATCTCCTTTGACTCCATGTCTCACATCCAGGTCATGCTGATGCAAGAGGTGGGCTCCCATGGCCTTGGGAAGCCCCAACCCCAAGACACTGCAGGGTACAACCCCCTTCCCACTGCTTTCATGGGCTGACATTGAGTGTCTGTGGCTTTTCCAGGTGCACAGTGCAATTTATCATTCTGGGGTCTGGAGGACAGTGGGCCTCTTCTCACAGCTCCACTAGGCAGTGCCCCAGTAGGGACTCTGTGTTGGACCTCCAACCCTACATTTCCCTTTCTCACTGCTCAGCAGAGATGCTCCATGAGGGCTCCACCCCTGCAGCAAACTTCTACCTGGACATCCAGGCATTTCCATCCATCCTCTGAAATCTAGGCAGAGGTTCCCAAACCTTAATTCTTGACTTCTGGACACCTACAGTGTCGTCAACACCATATGGAAGCTGCCAAGTCTTGGGGTTTGCACCCTCTGAAGCAAAGGCCATAGCTGTACCTTGGCCCCTTTTAGTCATGGCTGGAGCTGAAGCAGCTGGGACACAGAGCACCATGCCCTGAGGCTGCACAGAGCAGGGGGACCCTGGGCTGGGTTCAGAAAACCATTTTTCCCTTCTAGGCCTCCTCCAGATCTGTGATGGCAGGGACTGCTTTGAAGATGTCTGACATGCCCTGGAGACATTTTCCCCATTGTCTTGGTGATTAATATTTGGCTCCTCATTACTTACGCAAATTTCTATAGCAGACTTGCATTTCTCCCCAGAAAATGGGTTTTTCTTTTCTATTGCATTATCAGACTGCAAATTTTCCAAACTTTTATGCTCTGCTTCCACTTGAGTGCTTTACTGCTTAGAAATTTCTTCCACCAGATACCCTAAATCATCCCTCTCAAGTTCAAAATTCCATGGATCTCTAGGGCAGGGGCAAAATGCAGCCAGTGTCTTTGCTAAAGCATAGTAAGAGTGACCTTTACTCCAGTTCCCAACAAGTTCCTCGTCTCCATCTGAGACCACTTCAGCTTGGACATCATTGTCCATATCACTATCAGCATTTTGGTCAAAGCCATTCAAAAAATCCCCAGGAAGTTCCAAATTTTCCCACATTTTTCTGTCTTCTTCTGAGCCATCTAAACTGTTCCATCTTCTGCCTATTACCCAGTTCCAAAGTTGCTTCCACATTTTGGGTATCTTTATAGCAGTGTCCCACTACCTTGGTACCAATTTACTGTATTAGTCCATTCTCATACTGCTATGAAAAACTGCCAGAGGCTGGGTAATTTATAAAGGAGAGGTTTAATTGACTCACAGTTCAGCACGGCTGAGGAGGTTGCAGGAAACTTACAATTATGGCAGAAAGTGAAGGGGAAGCAAAGCACCTTCTTCACAAGGTAGCAGCAAGGAGAAGTGTTGAGCAAAGGGGGAAGATCCCCTTATAAAACTATATGATCTTGTGAGAACTCAGTCACTATCATGAGAACAGCATGGGGGAAACTGCCACCATGATCCAATTACCTCCACCTGGTCCCACCCTTGACATGTGGGAGTTATGAGGATTATGGGGATTAAAATTCAAGATGAGATTCTCGGTGGGGACACAGCAAAACCACATCAAAGAGAGGGAAGCCACATCAAAAACAGGGAAAGAGGGGTATGGCCAGCCCCAAGACCTGCCAGTCACCCCAGCTAGAATCATGGGAGTTAAATTCTAGTTGCCCTGCCCCTGCCCAAACATATGTGGAGCTGAGAAGAGCTGAGCTTTGCCCAAGCCATAGTTTCGGAGGTGCTTTGTTATGCAGAAGTAGATAATTGAAATAGTGTCATCTAGGTTTAAGCAATCACATACATCTAGTTCTTAGTGAAGATACAAAGTACAATACCCTTATTGTAAGAAAATCCATTCTGACTTTTTAATTGTTATTATTTTCCCATAAGTATCAAAGGACTTTCTATGTTATTTCTATCAAAGTTATCAAAGTTATTTTGGCATGAACTGAGATGGTAAGACTTAAAAGGATCAGGAGATAACTTTGTGTAAAAAGGCAGTTGTTTATCAGGGGAGGATGTTATTATTCCTTTCCAGCTTGGTGCTTTTGCTAAGAATGGCTAGAAGACTGTAAATGTACTGGAGATAGAGAAGTACATGAAAATAAAGTTGTAAAGAGGTTGAACCTACTTTAGAATGTACAATTTCAACCCAAGGAATTTTGACTGAATAGTAAAGAACTATCATATATGAATGATCTTAAGATATATTAGAAAGATTGAAGTTTTTCACTCAGACTGCCATTCAGTGTCTTCCTACTGCTCACCAATTAATCTGTATCTATTAGATTACTCTAAACATCAGAATCATGGAATGGACATTAGGGTACCCAGAAGGAGGCTATTGCAGTGACCAAATTCTAGGATAAATTCTAGGGATACACTGTAAATTAGCCAATGAAGAACCAGTGAGCCACAACTTCTGCACAGTCCTCCTTAAAATTAGTTTCCTATTCCTTACAGGCTTTGGGAGCAAGAGTCCTCGAGAATTTGGAGAATGGCAATGGAAGTTGCAGATATAGAAAGCCAGTTAAAGAAACAACTTCACAGTCTAGTTTTAATCATATTGAATTAAAGGTGGCATAAATATGTTAACAAATGACTGTGAAAGGAAAGGAGAAAAAAGATGTATGTATAGATTTTAGGTCTGTTTTCTGGCAATGCAAAGCAGTGTAGCAGGTGGTTTAGGAAATGATCTGGAGAGTAATCAGGTGCTAATTCTGGCCCTGATACTTAGTAAGTCTGAGACATGAAGTTACTATGCTTTGAATCAGCTTCATCATCTGTACAGAGAAGAAAATAAAAGCATTTACCTTCTAGGATTATTGTGATGATTAAATGGGCTAATGTACATAAGGCATTTAGAGCAATGTCTGGTATTTAATATGTGCTAAATAAATGTTAACAACTAATTATGTGCTGGTTGCCTCACCATTATCAATTCCTTGCTCTTGTTTAAAACAGAAGCCTTGTGTATTTAAATACTGCAATATTCTCAGCTAAAAATATTATATTTCCAAATCTTTCTTATCTATATGGTTGGCAAAAAACCTATACATGAAAATTGTTCAATGTGACTTTGAAGAAAGTTCTTTATTTTTTGGCTTTAATGAGGTATAATTGATAAATAAAACTTGTACATATTTGCATACAGAGTGATGTTTTAATATACATATTCATTGTAAAATGATTTCTGTAATCAAGCTATTCAACATATTCATATACTTAAGATCTACTCTCAGTGAATTTCAAGTATATGATGGGTTATTATTAACTATCATCACCATGCTATATGTTAGGCCTCTACAACTTACTCATAACTACAGTTTTGTACCCTTTGACCCACATCACCTCATTTTCCCCACCCTAGATCCCTGGTAACTATCCTGCTATTCTATGTTTCTTTGTTTTAACTTTTTAAAGATTCCACATCTGAGTGAGATCATGCAATAATTGTCTTTCTGTGTCTGGCTTTTTTCTTTTTCTTTTTTTGTTTGCCACTAAGTACTGATTGGAAACGTGTCTGGCTTATTTCAGTTAGCAAAATGTCTTCCAGGTTTATCCATGTTGTCACAAATGGCAGGATTTACTTCTTTTTAAAGGTTGAATAATATTCTATTCTCTCTCTCCCTTCTCTCCCTCCCTCTCTCCCCTCTCTCCCTCCCTCCCTCTCTCCCCTCCCCTCAACTCCCCTCCCCTCCCCTTCCCTCCCATCTCCTCTCCTTGCCCTCTTTTTTGAGATAGGGTCTCACCCTACCACCCAGGCTGGAGTGCAGTGGTGCGATCACAGCTCACTGTAGCCTCAAACTCCTGGGCTCCAGTGATCCTCCCGTCTCAGCCTCCTGGCTTAGCCAGCCACCATGCCTGGCCAATTATTTTTATTTTCATAGAGACAGGGTCCTGCTTTTTTACCCAGGCTGGTCTCAAAGCCCTGGCCTCAAATGACTCTACCACCTCAGCCTCCCAAAGTGTTGGGATTATAGGTATGAGCCACTGCACCTGACCCAGAACGTCCTTTCTAAGGATGCTCACTCTCTTAGCCTGCTTATACCCCTGTGGTGGTGGCCTGCTGCCTTAACAAGGAGTCTAAACTCCTTTGCACAGTCTAAACTCTATCTATCTATCTATCTATCTATCTATCTATCTATCTATCTATCTATCTATCTATCCATCCATCTATTGAGAGACGTCTATATAACATATATAACTATTTTATATATCATATATATATCACAATTTCTTTGTACATTCATCATTTGATGGACACATGTTATTTCCACATCTTGGCTGTAATGAACATGGCAGTGCACATGTCTCTTAAGAAAAGTGATTTTATTTCCTTTGGGTATATACCCAGAAAGGGAATTGCCAGATTGTATGGTCATTCCTTTTTAATTTTTTGAGGAACTTCCATTATTCTAATAGCTGTAGCAATTTACATTTCCACCAATAATGTATGAATGAAGATTTACTTTCCTCTTTATTCTTGCCAACACTTATTATCTTTTGACTTTCTGATACTAGTCATCCCAATGGATATGAGGTGATATCTCACTGTGGTTTTGTTTTGCATTTCCTTGATGATTAGTGATGCTGAGTAACTTTTCAAATACCTGTTTGCCATTTATACCTCTTTTGTAAAAATGTCTGTTCAAGTCTTCAGCTCATTTTATAATTGGTGATTTGTTTTACTGCTATTGATTTGTATGAGTTCCTTATATATTTTGGATACCACTCCCTTATCATATATATAGTTTGCAAATGTTTTCTCACATTTGTAGGTTGTCTTTTCATTTTGTTGATTATTTCCCTTGCTGTGATTTAGTTTTATCCAGTCCCACTTATTTATTTTTGCTTTTCTTCTCTGTGATTTTGATGTCATATCCAAAAACTCATTACCAAGACCGATGTCAAGACCCTTATGTTTTCCTCTAGATGTTTTACAATTTTAGGTCTTAGGTTTTAAATGTTTAATTCATTTTGAATTGTTTGTGCATTGCAAGACAAGATTCAATATCTATTTTTTTTGCATGTGGATATACATTTTTCCCAACACTACCTAAAGAGACTATCTTTTCCCCATTGCATATTCTTGGCAACTTTAAGTTGACCGTGTATGTGTGACTTTTTTTCTGGAAGTCTATTCTATTCTATTTGTCTTTCCCACTGTTTTTATGCAGATACTATGCTGGTTTGATTACTATATCTTTGAAATCAAGATTTGTGATATCTCCAGCTTTGTTCTTCTTGCCAAAAACTGCATTAGCTCTTCCAAGTCTATTGTAGTTTCATACACATTTTAGAATTGTTTTTCTATTTCTGTGAAAAATGCCATCTTAATTTTGAGAGAGATTGCACTGGATCTGTAGATCACTTTAAGTAGTATGAACATTTTGACAATATTGATTCTTCTGATCCATGAAGAGGGAATATATTTTATTTATTTGTGTCTTCTTCAATTTCTTTCATCAATGCTTTACAGTTTTCCATGTAGAGTTCTTTGTTTTCCTTGGTTACATTTACTCCTAAGTACTGTATTCCTTTTTGTGCTGTTGTAAATGGGATTGTTTTCTTATTTTGTTTTTGCCAATAGTTCTTAATATATAGAAATGCTACTGATATTGATATGTTGATTTTGTAAACTACAACTTTATAGAATTTGTTTATCAGTCCTAACAGATTTTTTTTTTTTTTTGAAACTGAGTTTTGCTCATGTTGCTCAGGCAGGAGTGCAATGGTGCAATCTCGGCTCGCTGCAACATCTGCCTCCTGGGTTCAACCGATTCTCCTGCCTCAGCCTCCTGAGTAGCTGAGACTACAGGCACCTGCCACCATGCCTGGCTAATTTTTGTATTTTTAGTAGAGACGGAATTTCACCACATTGGCCAGGCTGGTCTCGAACTCCTGACTTCGGGTGATCCACCCACCTTGGCCTCCCAAAGTGCTGGGATTTTGTGGTGGAATATTTAGGGTTTTCTACATATAAGATGATGCCATTAGCCATCAGAGACTATTTTATTTCTTCATTTCTAAATTGTATGTATTTTATTTCTTTTTCTTGCCTGAAAGCTCTAGCTAGGACTTTCAGTGCTATGTCTAATAGAAGTGGCAAGAGTGAGCATCTTTGTCTTTTTCCTGGTCTTAGTGGAAAAGCTTTCAACTATTCGCCATTGAGAAAAATGTTAGCTGTGGGTCTATGATATGTGACTTTTTTTTGTATTCATTTACATTCCCCCATACCTAATTTGTTGAGAGTTTTCTTTTTATTATGAGAAGATGTTAAATTTTGTCAAATGCTTTCTCTGAATCTATTGAGATTATCATAGGATTCTTGCTCTTCATCCTGTGAATGTGGTGTATCACATTTATTGATTTGCATATGTTGAACAATCTTTACATTCAAGAATAAATCCCACTTGGTTATGGTATATGATCACTTTTATTCGTTGTTGAATCCAGTCTAATAGTACTTTCTTGAGGATTTTACATCGTACTCATCAGGAATATTTGCCTGTAGTTTTATTTTCTTACAGTGTTTTTGGTTTTCATACCAACATAATGCTAGACTCATAAAATGAATTTGGAAACTTTTTTTCTCTTCAAATTTTTGAATTTTTATGGGGTTTGGTATTAATTCCTCCTTAAATGTTTAATAAAATTCAGTTGTGAAGCCATCACTGCGTTTTCCTTTGGCAGGAGATGATTTTTTTAAATTAATGATTCAATCTTCTTACTCATTATTGATCTGTTCAGATTTTCTGTTTCTTCATGACTCAGCCTTGGTAGGTTGTATGTTTCTAGGAATTTCTTCTAGGTTATCTAAATTTTGACATACTTGATTATGGCAGTCTCATAATTTTTTGTATTTTTGTATTATCAGTTGTAATTTCTCCACTCTCATTTCTAATTTTATTTGAGTCTTCTCTTTTCTTCTTAGTCTGGTGAAAAGTTTGCCAATTTTGTTTTCCTTTACAAATGCCAACTCTAAGTTTTATTGATCTTTTCTATTGCTTTTCTGGTCTCCATTTTATTTCTGATTTGATCTTTGTTGTGTCCTTTTTTCTATTTACTTTGGGCTTATTTGCTCCCTATTTCTAGTTCCCTGAGGTGAATCATCAGGCTGTTTGAAATCTTTCCTCTTCTTTAACGTCAGTCTTTATTGCTATAAACTTTCCTCTTATAACAACTTTTGCTGCATTCCATATGTTTTGATATGTTGTGTTTTCATTCCATTTGTCCCAAAATATTTTAAAATTTTTCTTATATTAATATATATACACATATATTACATGTATATTATATATGTATCTTATACATATGTCATCATTATATAATGACCTTCTTTGTCTCTGTTTGTAGTTTATTACTTAAAATCTATTTTGTCCAATATAAGTATAGCTACCTCTGCTCTCTTTGCAATTCCATTTGCATGGAATATCTTTTCCTATACCTTTTCTTTTAGTTTATATGTGTCCTTAAACCTGAAGAAAGTCTCTTGTAGGCATCATATAGCTGGGTCTTGTTTTTTGTTTTTTGAAACCCTTTCAGATACTCTGTCTTTTTATCAGAGAATTTAATCCGTTTACATTCAAGGTGAGAATTGATAGGTAAGGACATACCACTGGCATTTTGTTCATTGTTTTCTAGATCTTTTGTTTCTATTTTCTTCTCTTTTTTTCTTCTTCTTCTTCTTTTTTTTTTTTTTAAGACAGAGTCTTGCTCTTGTTGCCCAGGCTGGAGTGCGATGACACGATATCATCTCACTGCAACCTCTGCCTCCTGGGTTCAAGCAATTCTCCTGCCTCAGCCTCCTGAGTAGCTGGGATTACAGACACATGCTACCACACCTGGCTAATTTTTATACTTTTAGTAGAGATGGGGTTTCGTCATGTTGCCCAGGCTGGTCTTGAACTCTTGACCTCAGGTGATCCACTCGCCTCAGCCTCCCAAAGTGTTGGGATTAAAGGCATGAGCCACTGTACCTGGCCTGTCTTTCAATGTTTCTTGTGATTTCACGCGTTTATGTAGTGATTTGCTTTGATTCTTTTCTCTTTATCTTTTGCATATCTACTGTAAGTTTTTGTTTTCTGATCACCATGATGCTTATCTATAACACTTTATAGTTCTAATAGTTTATTTTAAGTTGATAATTTCAATTTCATTCAAAACTCTACATTAAATTTTTTACCCCACCCCTATATTTTGTTTTTGATGTTACTTTTACATATTTTTATATTGTGTATCTATTAACAAATTATTTTTGGTATAGTTATTTTAATAGTTTTGTCTGTTAACCTTTATTCTAGAGATATAAGTAACTTATATATGACTATTATAGTATTAGGATATTCTGCATTTGAGTAATCCTTTTGCCAGTGAGTTGTATATTTTCATGTTACTAATTATTATCCTTTAATTTCAACTTGAATAATTCCCTGTAGCGTTTCTTGTAAAGCAGGTCTATTGGTGATGAACTCTCCAGTTTTTGTTTGTCTGGCAAAGTCTTTATTGCTTCTTTATTTCTACAGGACAACTCTGCCAGGTAAAGTATTAGCTTTTTGTTTCTTCTCCTTCTGAAATTCCTGTAAAATAAATGTTAGTTCTCTGTATGGTGTTGCATACATCCCATAGGCCTTCTTTATTCTTTTTCATTGTTCTTTTCTTTTTTCTCCTCTAAGTGGATATTTTCACATTCCCTGTCCTTTACTTCACAGATTCTTTCTTCTTCTTGATCTAATCTGCTGCTGATGCTCTCCATTGCATTGTTTTTTAATTTCATTTTTTTGTATTCCTTAACTCTAGAAATTTGTTTGGTGCTTTTCATTTCTATCTCTCTGTTGATTTTCTAGTTTTGCTTGTGTATTGTTTTCTTAATTGAATTAAGTTGTCTGTCAGTGTTTCCTTGCAGCTTGTTGAGTTTCCTTATAGTAATTTTGAATTATTTGTCATGCACCTCATAGATTTCCATTTCTTTGGGGTCAGCTATTAAAATATTATTGTGTTCTCTTGGTAGTGTCATGTTTCTTTGTTTTTTTATGTTGGATATTTTTAGATACATAATTAATTACTATAGTGTTACAGTTACCTATAGTATTCAGTACAGTAACATACTGCATGGGCTTATAGCTTAGGGGCAATAGACTGTACCATAGAGCCTATGTTTTAGTAGATTATATCATCTAGGTTTGTGTAAGTACACTTTATGATGTTTGCATGACACCAAGATCACCTAATTATGCATTTCTCAGAAAATATCCCCATGTCAAGTGACACAACTCTAATAGAAAAATAAGAGAGAAAAAAAACCACTTCCTAACTAATTTCTATGAAACCAATATTTTCCTAATGCCAAAATCAAAGACATCACACACATAAAATTATAGACCACAGATCCTTACAAATATAGATTCGAAAATTAGACACATATACCAAACTACACTAGCAAACTGAATTTAACTGAATCTGAAAGGATTATATACCATGACCAAGGTGAATCTTTCCAGGAATGCAAGGGTATTTCAATGTAAGAAAATCATTTAGCATAATATATATCACATTAATAGAACAAATAAAAATCACCACATGATTATCTTAATTGATTCAGTATACTTTTTCCGTTATAAATTTTTTTCTACTTTCTTGATAATTGTATCAGTCTGTTTTCATGCTGCTGATAAAGACATACCCAAGACTGGGAAGAAAAAAAGGTTTAATTGGATTGGACTTACAGTTCCACATGACTGGGGAGGCCTCAGAATCATGGTGGGAGGCAAAAGGCACTTCTTACATGGTGGCGGCAAGAGAAAAGGAGGAAGAAGCAAAAGCAGAAACTCTTGATAAACCCATCAGATCTCATGAGATATATTCACTATTATGAGACTAGCATGGGAAAGACTGGGCCCCATGATTCAATTACCTCCCGCTAGGCCCTTCCCACAACACATGGGAATTCTGGGAGATACAATTCAAGTTGAGATTTGAATGAAGACACAGCCAAACCATATCAGTAATGTTCTCTGATGTACACAGTTTCTAATTTAAAATAAGGCTCAATTTATCTATTTTTTCTTCTGTTGCTTTGTATCATATATAAGAATCGACTTCCAAATCCAACATCATGACAATGTATTCCTCCTAAATTTTCTCTTAAGAGTTATACAGTTTCAGTTCTTACATTTAGGTTCTTGATCCACTTTGAGTTAATTTTTGCATATGGTGTGAGGAAGGGATCCAACGTTATTCTTTTGCATGTAGTTATCCAGTTGCCCCAGCACCATTTGTTGAAGAACAATATTTCAGAAAAAGCACTTGACAAAATTCAGCACACTTTCATGATAAAACTACTTAGAACACTAGAAATAGAAGGTAACTTCTTCAACATAATAAAAGGCATTTATGAAGAAAGAGCACACAGCTAACATACTCAGTGGTGAATGACTGAAAGCTTTTCCCCTAAAATCAGGAACAAGATAAGGATATCTGCTTTCACCACTGCTCTTCAAAATTGTACTGGAAGTTCCAGCCAGAGAAATAATGCAAAAGAAAGAAATAAAAGGCATTCAAATTGTACAAGTAAAACTAAACTTCTCTATTTGCAGATGACATGATTCTATATAGAAAAGCCCAAAGAATCTACAAGAACTGCTAAAGCTATGTAAATAATTCAGCAAGATTTCAGGGTACATAATTGACACACAAAATTTTGTCTATTTCTATACACAATGAACAATGAGAAAAGAATTTTAAAAATTTTTATTTACAATAGCATCTAAAGGAAGAAAATTTATGGCATAAATTTAACCAATGTGGTAGGATACTTGTACACTGAAAACTACAAAACATTGCTGAAAGAAATGAAAGAATACCTAAATAAATACATAGGCACTCCTTGTTCTATATTGGAAGACTTACTGTTGTTGATGGCAATAATAATCATAGCTGTATACAAATTTAATCAATCTCTGTACAATTTCCAATGATCTTTTTTACAGAAATGGAAAAGCTGATTTTCAAATTCACATGTAATTTCAAGAAATACTAAATAGGATTATTATTATTACCATTAAAAATAGTAAGTCTTCCTCAGTATAGAACAATGAGTGTATTTCTATTTACTCAGGTATTCTTTGTATTTTTTCATTTCCTTCAGCAGTGTTTTGTAGTGTTCAGTGTGCAAGTCTCCCACCTCATTGGTTAAATTTATACATGGGCATTTTTTTCTTTTGGGTGCAATCAAAGACAACATTGAAAACTAAGAACAAAGCTGCAATAATTACACTTAAAATTTTAAAAACTTACAACAAAGGTACAGTAATCATGACATTGTAGTACTGGCATAAAGATAGGCATAAAGACAAATGGGATACACTTGAGAGTCAAGAAATAAACAAATACATCTGTGGTCAATTGATAATGGCATGAAGACCATTCAGTGGGGAAAAAATAGTTCTTCAACAAATGGTGCTTGGGGAACTGGATAACTACATGCAAAGTAAAGTTAGATCCCTTCCTCACACCATTTGCAAAAAATTAACTCAAAGTGGATCAAGAACCTAAATATAAGAGCTGAAACTGTAAAACTCCTAAGAGAAAACTTAGGAGGAAAACACCATCATGATGTTGGATTTGGCAGTTGATTCTTATAAATGATACAGAGCAACAGAAGAAAAAAATAGATAAGATGAATCTTATTTTAAATTAGAAATTTTGTACCTTAAAAAATATTGTCAAGAAAGTAAAAAAAACCCTAAAATGGATATAAATTGTATATCTGATAAGGTCTGGTATGTAGAATATCTATAAAGAGCTCTTCTATTACAACAACAAAAACATAAGCAACCTGTTTTAGTCTGCTGGGGCTACTATAACCAAATACCTTAAACTGGGTAATTTATAAACAATGGGAATTTGTTCCTCACAGCTCTTGATTAAAGATCAAGGTGCCAGTAGATTTAGTGTCTGGTGAGGGACTATTTCTCATGGATGGCAACTTTTATATGGCCTCACATGGTAGAATTGGCAAGGCAACTCCCTCCAACCACTCTCATGCTTTGTTTCCCAAAATGCTTTGCTTCTTAATATTATCACATTGGGTATTAGGTTCCAGCATATGAATTTTAGGGGGATGTTAACATTCAGACCATAATACAACCCAAATAAAAATATGCAAAGGACTTGAATAGACACTTCTTTAAAGAAGATTTACAAATGGTTTAGCTGGGAGTGGTGGCCTGCACCTGTAGTCCCAGCTTCTCAAGAGGCTGAGGCAGGAGGATCACTTAAGCCCAGGAGTTCAACATTGCAGTGAGCTGTGCTTGTACCACTGCATTCTACCCTGGGCATCAGAGTGAGACCCTGTCTTTATTTTAAAAAAAGAAAATATACAAATGGTGAGCAAGAACATGAAAATGTGTTCATTATATATAAAAATATAATAAAATTCAGAATATAATATGTTATTATTATATCATAACAGAATATAATAATATAATAATAATGACAGAATATTATACAGAATGTATACCACAATTTATTTATTCAGTCTTCTGTTGATAGACATTTTGGTTGTTTCCACATTTGGCTACTGTGACTAGTACTGCAATGAGCTGAATATGAACATATTATTATTACATAAATATGCTACAATATAGATGAACCTTGAAAATATTACACTAAATGAAAGAAGCCAGGCACAAAAGATCACATATTATAAATATGATAAATTAAAGAAGATGGAACAATTTGATTTAAATATGCATAGTAATAATTTTCATATTTATTATCTATTCTAATATTCAGTTAGATTGCTGTAATGTAACATTCAATACATCTAAGGTACTGCTTTTAAAAAATAAATAATGCTTGCCTTGGACTGAAGGGACTGAGTCAATAGGAGAAAGAATCAGAAGATTTGTACTAACCTTTTCTAAAACCAGACAAGAACCCTAGACAATTGTCGTCAGGCTTTTCCCAGTTGTTTTCTACTGGCACAAACCAACAATGTTTATTCAAATAAGCATATCTGATTCTACTTTGGCAATCCATACACATTGTCCTTTTTCAACTCCAAAGGATCATCTGTGATTTTTGCTGCTTGTAGTTTATTCTCTAATTCACTAGTTAAATCCTTTTTCAGAGATACATAAGCAGATTAGGAAACTTAACTGTCATGTGAGAAATTATCTTAATACAATGGTAGTCTTCAAGCTACCCCAGAGATGCTCACAGACTAAACTAAGATGCTTGAATCATTCAGTTTATTAAATCAATTAGAAACACAGAAAGAAGAAAGAGAAGTGGGAGGTTAACACATCAAGTCTAAAAGGCAAGCAGGGCAGAAAGACCACAGAAACTAAATTTTCTTTTAATCCATGTTTATATGATCTGCCTCCTCTGCTGCATTAGGATTCCTTATTGATCTTGGAGTAATGAGGACCAGAGTGGGTTTATAAAGACCAGAGTTAAAGGTAAGCAAGAGGGCTTAGCAAATGGAAAGTGTTCAGAGTTAACAATATACACAATTGCTCTAGCAAACAGACATAGGGATAAGTAGTGTCCACAGCTGTTGTTCACCATCTGGCTTCATGAGATGCTATCAATTTTATTTGTACTTTTGGCCAGAATGTGTGTCAACCTGGATGGTTATTATAAGGTGTCAGAAATGCTGAGTGCTTAATATGTCTAATGTATCATTATATCATAAATACTAGGTGCCTTTTGGTCCTTCAATCCTTGCTTCTTTATCTATGGTCCATGTCCCATATATTAATGTCTGGCTTATCTGTGTTAACTCACGTAAGGACTTCTGACCATGTCTTAAAAGCCACTTGCTTATTCATTATTTATACCTATACATTTGGTAAGTTTCACCTATATCTTACAAACAACTAATTTATTCATTATCTATGTTTAACATGGATTTTAAGTTTTATTCATCCTATTTTTTCTTGTATTCCATAACAAAATGAAATATTTCAAGTTAATGCATTAAATGCACATTATAATAATTAATGGAAAATGTCACTTAAATATGATTAACTATGTCTAAAGCATTACATGTATTATACTTGTAATAGAACTTACTTCAGGATTTTATCTGATGAATACAAATGAGATCACATTAAATAGTGATAAGCTGCATTTTACTAGCTAATGCTCTCATCATGCTAATACAGGACCTCGTCCTATCCAAATTTTCTGACAGGTAATTTGGGTGGCCCTCAGAGTTCCTCAGGTAAACTCATAAATAGTCTGCTTCATCTGAGTATTGTGCTTCTCTGGTGGATAAAATGTACTCATGTGTTTCAGGTATGCAACACACTTACTCTTTAGAAGGTGTATGAGCCACCAACACAGATACTTATATTCTATTGTCATTTAGCATTTATTTTAAATTCTCTTCATCCATCTCTCTGTGGTTCTTAGATATGAGTCCAGTGTGGAAGCTAGGTAAAAGCAGATCTCAATGATTCTGAGTCATTCTAAGAATAGTACAGTGTCTGGGGTAGCCTTACCAGATCAAACCCAATCTTGAAGCTTCCTTAAGAATCACTTTTAAAGACACCATTACTCTGTTCTAATGAGCATCTTGCGGTTTTACTCCACTGATTCATTAGGAATAACTCTTTAATTGTGTAAATGGCTGGCTCTTGCCGAGACATCCCACATCCACACATATATCACAAAATAATTATTCCAAATCTTTTTAATGACCTTGGATGATACGTAACATCACAGTTGAGAACCTAAGTTTCCACAGGGGTAAAGAAACTCCCCCAAGTATTATAGTCCCTGCTAGGCCTGTCATGCTTCTTCTTAATTCTTATAATACTGAAGGTGACTGCACATGTGCTTATACCATCTCGAAGTGACTGAGGATGGCAGATGTTGTTGCTAACATGTAACCTCCTAACAATAAAGCAAGATGGCAGTAGTGGAGAAAGAAATTGTTTCTGGAACCTGATGGTTAGCTCCAGGTGAGGGGCCTTGTACCATCCTATCAGGCTGATGGTTGTAGTATAGGTTGCCATTAAGTTGGTGAGCAAAAATTGGACAGATGATCAATACGACGTTGGTTTCAAGGAGACTCTTCTATGATCCTTGACAGCAAGGAAAAGGAAATTTTTATAAGACTTTGTAAGTATCAGTTTCTATCCTTTAGCCACAGCTGTGATTCTGTTGACTGTTAGAAATTTTGTAGCCAAAGACTAACAGTCATTATCTGACTAACAGAAGTTTTAGAATTAACAAAAAGAACTCTAAATAGTAGCCCTCTCATAAAGACCTATCTACTTGGGCATGGCAATTTGGAGCCTAAAAAATGGTCTATTTCCTTTGAGAAAAATTTTGGACCAAGATGCAACATTTAATGAGATCCCTGGAACTCAAAGTCAATGGCATAGTTCAGAACAATCAAATTAAATATGGTTTGAGGTTTTGCAATAAAATCTCATATGATCTTACGCAAAATATGAAACTCCCTTCCCAAAGTCTAGGAAAGAACGTAAACTGATGTTACTAAAAAATAGGTTAAACCAAACCAAAGGAAACAGACAGTAGGATGGGAGGTTCTGCCAACACTTGATGGACTGGAACAGATAGTCACATATATTATCATTTTCCAAAACATCCTCTCTCCTGGAAGCCAATGTTACCACTTGGCCTTCCAAAGGCCATGTGACCAGCCATTAATAACAAACTCAGATCAACCATATCCTATAAAGTCTTAACCCTTGAATCTCACAACAGTACCATTTAAAGATGCGTTGGCATATTTATTTGCTGAAGGAATTTGAAGATCTGAGGTAGCCTAGAAGAAGAAGTTGTTTCAAGGGACATATTTCTTTCAGAAGTTACGTTGTCTGCTTTCAGGAGGACCTGAGACTCTTATGTTTTATGTTCAACAATTCAGGGAGGGCATTTACCATTTCATTGTGTGTATTGTAGCTCAAAGCTACTTCCATGATGAGAAATGAAGCTGAATGTTAACTTTCTCATATCAGAAGATGACAGTTAAAAATTTGCCTTGCATTTTAAGCCAATCACAACAATTTATAAGAAATTCATTTCTGCATTCAAATATTCCTCAATCAATGTTTTTTAAAAGAGGCATTTTACGTAAACACATGAAATAAAAATTTTATTAGGTACTAAAATGCTAGGTTTTCCTCTCTAGGTAAACATTGCACTTGAAATTTTAATCCATGTCTTAATTTAATCCTACAAGTAACTCTGCTATGCAACATAGAAAGTTGGAGAAATCAAGCCTCAGAGGGGCTAAGTAATGATTCCATTCAGTATAGGGGCTTGGTTTCTGCAATTAATGTCTCCTTTTCCAGCAATACTCATAATATTCCCAGGGAAAATATAATCAAATTTTCTTTGAAATCGAAATATGCATTTCCCAGTGAACTTCTTTTTCAATTTTTTTTTATTGTGGTAAAATTCACATAACGTAAAATTTACCATCTTAAGCAAGTCCAAAACTTATTGGACTTAAAACAGTCCAATAACATTAAATATGTTCACAATGTTGTACAATCATCACCACCATCTATCTCCAGAACCGTTTCATCTTATAAAACTGTAACTCTATACCTATTAAGCAATAATTCCTCATTCTCCCCTCCCTTCAGCCCATTACCACCACCATTCTAGTTTCTGTCTCTATGTATTTGACTACTCTAGGTGATATGGTTTGGCTCTGCATCCCCACCCAAATCTCATCTCAAATGGTAATCCCCATGTGTTGAGGGAGGAACTTGGTGAGAGTGATTGGATCATGGGGGTGGTTTTCCCCAGTCTGTTCTCATGATAGTGAGGGAGTTTCGTGAGAGCCGATGGGTTTAAAGTGTGGCACTTCCTCGTGCTCTCTCTCTCCTGCTGCCTTGTGAAGAGGATGCTTTCTTCCCCTTCATCTTCTGCCACGATTGTAAGTTTCCTGAGACCTCCCCAGCCATGCAGAACTGTAAGTCAATTAAATCTCTATTGTTTATAAATTACCCAGTCTTAGGTAGTATCTTTATAACAGTGTGAAAACAAACTAATATAGAAAATTGGTACTGGGATAGTGGTGTACAGCTATAAAGATAACCTGAAAATATGGGGGCAACTTTGGAACTGGGTAATGGGCAGAGGTTGGAACAGTTAGGAAGGCTCAGAAGAAGATGAGAGGATGTGGGAAAGTTTGGAACTTCCTAGAGATTTGTTAAATGGTTTTTACCAAAATGCTGATAGTAATATGGACAATGAAGTCCAGGCTGAGATGGTCTCAGATGGAGATGAGGAACTTATTGGGAACTGGCGTAAATGTCACTCATGCTATGCTTTGGCAAGGAGACTGGTGGCATTTTGCCCCTGGCCTAGAGATCTGTTGAACTTTGAACTTAAGGAAGAGTAATTAGGGTATCTGGTGGAAGAAATTTCTAAGCAACGAAGCATCCAAGAGGTATCCTGGCTTATTCTAAAGGCAGTCAGTTATATGCATTTGCAAAGATGGTTTGAAATTGGAACTTATGTTTAAAAGGGAAGTAGAGCATAAAGGTTTGAAAAATTTGCATCCTGACCACGTGGCAGAAAAGAAAAATGCATTTTCTGGGGAGGAATGTAAGCAGGTTCAGAAATTTGCATAAGTAATGAGAAGCCAAATGTTAATAGCCAAGACAATGGGGAAAATGTCTCCAGGGCACGTGAGAAATCTTTGCGGCAGCCCCTCCCATCACAGGCCCAGAGACCTACGAGGGAAAAATGGTTCCATGGGTTGGGCCCAGGATCCTGCTGCTCTGCACAGCCGCCTCAGGACTTGGTACCTTGTGTCCCAGCTGTTCCAGCTCCAGGCATGGCTAAAAGGGACCAATGTAAGACTCAAGGTGTTGCTTCAGAAGGTGCTAGCTCCAAGCCTTGGTGGCTTCCATGTAATGTTGGGCCTGCAGATATGCAGAAGACAAGAGTTGAGCATTGGGAACCTCTGCCTAGATTTCAGAGGATGTATGGAAATGCCTAAATGTCCAGGCAGAAGTCTGCTGCAGGGCCGGAGCCTTCATGGAGAACTTCTGCTAGGACACTGCGAAAGGGGAATGTGGGGTTGGAGCCTCCACACAGAGTCCCCACTGGGACACTGCCTAGTGGAACTGTGAGAAGAGGGCCACCATCTTCCAGACCCCAGAATGGCAGCTCCATTGACAGCTTGCATTGTGCACCTGGAAAAGCCACAGGCACTCAATGCCAGCCCATGAAAGCAGCCAAAGGGACTGTAACCTGCAGTGCCACAGGGGTGGGGCACTCCAAGGCCTTGGGAACCCACCCCTTGCAACAGTGTGCCATGGTTGTGAGACATGGAGTCAAAGGAGATCATTTTGGAGCTTTAAGATTTAATGAATGTCCTGTTGCATTTTGTACTTGCATGTGGCCTGTGGCCTTTTTGTTTTGGCCAGTTTCTCCCATTTGGAAAGGGAACATTTACCCAATCCCTGTACCCTTATTGTATCTTGGAAGTAATTAATTTGCTTTTGACGTTACAGACTCATAGGTGGAAGGGACTTGCCCTGTCTCAGATGAGACTTTGGACTTAGACTTTTAAGTTAATGCTGAAATGAGTTAAGACTTTGAGGGACTGTTGGGAAGGCATGATTGCATTTTGAGATATGAAAAGGATATGAGATCTGGGAGGGGCCAGGGGTGGAATGACATGGTTTGTTGTTGTTCCCCACTCAAACCTCATCTCGAATTGTAATCTCTATGTGTTGAGGTTAGGATTAGGTGGAGGTAATTGG
The DNA here is from genome assembly GCF_000001405.40 of Homo sapiens. Lineage (NCBI taxonomy): Eukaryota > Metazoa > Chordata > Mammalia > Primates > Hominidae > Homo > Homo sapiens. Next base: position 38,080,757 of record NC_000007.14, on the reverse strand, counting down.
ATCATGGGGGCAGTTTCACCCATGCTGTTCTTGTAGTGAGGGAGTTCTCATGAGAGTTAATGATTTTAAAGTGTGGTGTTTCCTCGGTCTCCCTCTGTCTCTCCTGCCACATTGTGAAGAAGGTGCTTGCTTCCCCTTCACCTTCTGCCAAGATTGTAAGATTCCTGAGGCCTCCCCACCCATGCAGAACTGTTAGTCAATTAAACCTCTTTTGTTTATAAATTACCCAATCTCAGGTAGTATCTTTATAGCAGTGTGAGAACAAACTAATATGCTAGGTATCTCACAGAAGTAGAATCACATGGTATTAGTCTTTTGTGACTGGCTTATTTCACTTAGTATAATGTCCTCAAGTTTCATTTATGCTTTAGCATATGTCAGTATTTCCTTCTTTTTAAAGGCATATAATATTCCATTGTACGTACATATAACATTTTGCTTATCCACTTATCTATTGATGAACACTTGGGTTGCTTTCATACTTTAGCTATTTTTAATAATGCTGCTATGAACAGAGTACACAAATATCTCTTCAAGAATGTGCTTTCAATTCTTTTGAGTTTATACCCAGAACTGAAATCATTTGGCATTAAAAAAAATTTTTTTTAAGAACTGCTATGCTGTTTTCCCTAAAATCTGTACCATTTTACATTCCCACTAACAATGCACAAGTATTGTATTTTCTCCACATCAAAGACAACACCTGGACACCGGTTATTTTCTGTTTCTGCATATATAAACAATATATATTATAATTATATATTATATTATAATATAATATATAATCACAAGTAACATCCTTATATACATGATTACATGTAATAATTATACATCTATATTATCATATGTAATATATGTTATTCATGTAATTATATATGTAATATACATGTAATATTATTGCATTATAATAATACAATATGTATAATATACATATATAGTAGCTATCTTAGGGTGTGTGAGGTGGTATCTCATTGTAGTTTGGGTTTACATCTCTCTGATGATCAGTGACGTTGAACTTTTTTTCATGTGCTTATTTGCTATTTGTACATCTTCTTTGAAGAAATGTTTTTGTAGGTTCTTTGCCCATTTTTAATCAGGTTGTGTTTTTGTTGTTGAGTTACAGGAGTCATCTGTATATTCTGGATACTAATCTTTTATCAGACATATGATTTGCAAGTATTTTCTCCCATTGCATAGGATGCTTTTTCACTCTGTTTATAATGCATTTTGATGCTTGAAAACTTTTAGTTTTCATGAAGTTCAATTTGTGTATTTTTTTGTTTGTTGCTTGTACCTTTGGTATCATATCTGAGCAATTATTGCCAAATACAATGTTGTGAAGCTTTTTTCCTGTTTCCTTTTGAGAGTTTTATAGTTTTAGCTTTAATGATTAGTCTTATCCATTTTGAGTTAATTTTTAATTTTATGTTAGATAAGGGTTTGAGTTCATTCTTTTGTAGGTGGATATCCAGTTTTCTCACTACAATTTTTTGAAAAGACTTTTCTTTCTTCATTGGTGATCTTGGCACCCTTGTCAAAATGAAATCCTATTTTCATATATGCAAGGGATTACTTCTGAGCTCTCTGTTCTAGTTTATTCGTTAATGTGTCTGCTGTCTTTATGCCAGTATCACAGTTTTTATTACTGCAGCTTTTGAAATTAAGTTTTGAAATCAGTAAGTGTGAGTCCTTCAGATATCTTCTTCATTTTTAAGATTGTTTGGGCTGGCTAGGTGGGGTGCCTCACACCTGTAATCCCAGCACTTTGGGAGGCTGAGGCAGGCAGAATGCTTGAGCCCAGGAGCTCAAGACCAGTCTGGGCAACATAGTGAGACCTCTTCTCTACAAAAAATTAGCTGGGCATAGTGGTGCGTGCCTGAAGTCCCAGCTACCTGGAAGTCTGAGATGGGGGTTTGCGTGACCCCAGGAGGTCAAGGCTGCATTGAGCTGAGATTGCACCACTGCACTCCAGCCTAGGTGACAAAGTGAGACCTGTCTCAAAAATAAACAAATGAAAATATTGTTTGGGCTATTAAGGGTCTTTGAGATTTCTTATAACTTTTAGAATAAATGTTTCTATTTTTGCAAAAATTTATTGTTGGGATGATTATATTTAATCTACAGATTGCATTGAGTATTATTGACATCTTAATATTATTAAAACTTCCAGCCCTTGCCTGTAATCCCAGCACTTTGGGAGGCAGGTGGATCACAAGGTCAGGAGTTCGAGACCAGCCTGGCCAATATGTTGAAACCCCATCTCTACTAAAAATACAAAAATTAGTGGGGCATGGTGGTGCACAACTGTAGCCCCAGCTACTTCGGAGGCTGTGGCAGAAGAATTGCTTGAATCTGGGAAGGTGGACATTGCAGTGAGCCGAGATCGTGCCACTGTACTCCAGCCTGGGAGACAGAGTGGGACCCTGTAAAAAAAAAAAACAAAAAACAAACAAAAAAAACTTCCAGTCCATGAACACGGTGCATATTTCCATTGATTTTTCATCTTTAAATCCTTTTGGAAGTGTTTTCTAGTTTTCATTGTACAAGTTTTTGCCTCTGTCATTAAGTAAATTCATAAGCTTTTTTAAGGCTATAATAAATGGAGTTGTCTCAAATTTCCTTTTCAGATTGTTCTTTGTTATTACATAGTACTGCAACTGATCTCTGTGTTAAATTTGTATCCTACCACTTTGCTTAATTCATTTATTAGTTCTAAGAGATTTTTGTGTGGAATCTTTAATGTTTCTACATATGAGTTCATATCATCTGTGAACAAAGGTACTTTACTTCTTTTTCAATTTTGATAACATTTACTTCATTGCTTGCTTAATTGCTCTGACTAGGACTTCTAGTATGATGTTGAATAGAAGTGGTGAAAGGAAGCATCCTTGGTTTGTTCCTGATCTTAAAGGAAAAGCTTTTAGTCTTTTACTACTCAATATGGTGTTTTCTGTGGGTTTGTCATGTGTGGCTTTTATTATATTGAGGTAATTTCCTTTTATTTCTAGTTTGTTTTTATTTATTCCTAGTTTTTATTATAAAGTATGTTGAATATTGTCAAATATTTTTTTCAATTGAAATAATTATGTAGTTTTTGTCTTTTATTCTGTTAATGTGGTGTATTATATTAATTGATTTTTTAATATATGAACCATCCTTACATTCCCAGAATAAATTTTACTTGGGCATCATTTATATTATTTTTAAGATGTTGTGGAATTTAGTTGACTAGTATTTTGTTGAAGATTTATGTGTCAATTTTTGTAAAAGATATTGGTATGTAGTTTTCTTTCCTAGTATCATCTTTTTCTGATGTTGGTATTAGGATAATGCTGGTCTCATAGAATGAGTATATAAGTAGTCCCTCCTTTTCAGATTCTTATAAAACTTTAAGAAGGATTGTTCTCAGGAAATACAGATGATTCTTACAAGATTCTACACAAGAAGTTCATCCCCAAGACACATAATCATCAGATTTTCCAAGGCCGAAATGAAAGAAAGAATGTTAAAGGCAGCTAGAGAGGAAAGGCAGGTCAGTTACAAAGGAAACACCACCGGGCTACCAGTGGACCTCTCAGCTAAAATCCTACAAGCTAAAAGAGATTGGGAGTCTATGTTCAACATTCTTAAAAAAAAAAAAAGTCAACCAAAAATTTCATATTCAGCAAACTAAGCTTTCTAAGTAAAGGAAAAATAAGATCCTTTTCAGCCAAGCAAATGCTGAAGTTTACCACCAGACCTACGTTACAAGAGATTTTGAAAGGAGCACTAAATATAGAAATGAAAGACCACTACCAGCTAATAAAAACCCCCACATTAAAACACACAGACCAGTGTCACTATAAAGCAACCACACAAACAAGCCAACATAATAACCAGCTAACAACACAATAACAACACATATCAACACTAACTACTAACCTTGAATGTAAATGGGCTAAATGCCCCCATGTAAAAGGCACAGAGTGGCAAGCTAGATAAAAAGCAAGATCCAATGGTATGCTGTTTTCAAGAGATTCATCTCACATGTAATGACATATACGGGCTCGAAATGAAGGGATGTAGGAAAATATACCAAGCAAATGGAAAACAGAAAAAAGCAGGGGTTTCAATCCAATCCTAATTTCACACAAAACAGACTATAAACCAACAAAGATTAAAAATAAGACAAAGAAGAGCATTACATAATGGTAAAGGGTTAAATTCAACAAGAAGACCTAACAATCCTAAATATATATGCACCAAACACAGGAGCACCCAAATTCATAAAACAAGTTTTTAGAGACCTACAAAGAGACATGACTCCCGCTCAATAACACTGGGAGATATCAACACTCCATTAACAGTATCAGATCATTGAGGCAGAAAAGTAGCAAAGATATTCAGGACCAGAACTCAATATTGAACCAAATAGATCTGATGGAACTCTACAGAAATCTTCACACCAAAACAACAGAATATACATTGTTATCATTGCCACATGGCACATTCTCTAAAATTGACCACATAATTGGACATAAAACAATCTTCCTCAAATGCAAAATAACTGAAATCATACCAAACACACTCTTGGAGCATAGTGCAATAAAAATAGAAGTTAAGACTAAGAAAACCACTAAAAACTATGCAATTACATGGAAGCAACATGCTCCTGAATGGCTTTTGGGTAAATAATGAAATTAAGGCAAACATCAAGATGTTCTTTGAAACTAATGAGAGGAAAGATACAGCATACCAGAAGCTCTGGGACACAACTAAGGCAGTGTTAACAAGGAAATTCATAGCACTAAATGCCCACATCAAAAAGTTAGAAAGATCTCAAATTGACAACCTACCATCACAGCTGAAAGAATTGGAGAAGCCACAACAAATCAACCCCAAAACTATCAGACGACAAGAAGTAACCAAAATCAGAGCTGAACTGAAGGAGATTGAGACACAAAAACCATTCAAAAGACTAATGAATCCAGGAGTTGGTTTTTTGAAAAAAATTAATAGGATAGATAGGCCTCTAGCTAGACTAATGAAGAAGAGAAAGAATCCAAATAAACACAATTAGTAAGATGAAGGCAATATTACTACTGATCTTACAGAAATAAAAATAACCATCAGAAACTACTATGAACACTTCTATCCATACAAACTGGAAAACCTAGAAGAGATGGATACATTCCTGAACACATACTCTGTCCCAAGACTGAACCAGAAAAAAACTGATTTCCTGAACAGACCAATAATGAGCTCTGAAATTGAATCAGTAGTAAATAGCCTACCAACCAAAAAATGTCCAGTACCTGATGGATTAACAGCTAAATTCTACCAGATGTACAAAAGAGAGCTACTACCATTCCTACAGAAACTATTCCAAAAAATTGAAGAGAAGGGACTCCTCCCCAACTCATTCTGTGAGGCCATCATCATTCTGATACCAAAACCTGGCAGAGACACAACAAAAAAAGGAAAACTATAGGTCAATATCCTTAATGAACATACATGGGAAAACCCTCAATAAAATACTTGCAAACCCAAACCATCAAATTAGCACATCAAAAAGCTAATTCACCACAATCAAGGAGGCTTCATCCCTGGGATCCAAAGTTGGTTCAACATACACAAATATATAAGTGTGATTAATCACATAAACAGAACTAAAGACAAAACCCACATGATTATCTCAATAATGCAGAAAAGGCTTTCAATAAAATTCAACATCAATTCATTGAAAAACTCTCAATAAACTAGGTATTGAACGAGTATATCTCAAAATAATAAGAGCCATCTGTGACAAACCCGCAGCCAACTTTATACTGAATGGGCAAAATCTGGAAGCATTCCCCTTGAAATCTGGCACAAGTCAAGGAGGCCCTCTCTCACCACTCCTATTCAAAATAGTATTGGAAGTCCCAGCCAGAGCAGTCAGGTAAGAGAAAGAAATAAAGGGCATCCAAATAGGAAGAGAGGAAGTCAAGCTATCTCTGTTTGCAGTCAACATGATTCTATATCTAGAAAACCCCATAGTCTCAGTCTAAAAGCTCCTTCATCTGATAAACTTCAGCAAAGTTTCGGGATACAAAATCAATGTACAAAAATCACTAACGTTCCTATACACCAACAACAGCCAAGCTGAGAGCCAAATCAGAAATTAGATCCCATTCACAATTGCCACAAAAGAATAAAATACCTAGAAATACAGCTAATCAGGAAGGTGAAAGGTTTCTACATTGAGAATCACAAAACACTGCTCAAAGAAATCAGAGATAACACAAACAAATAGAAAAACACCCCATGTTCATGGATAGAAAGAATCAACATCATTAAAATGGCCATAAGGCTCCAAGCAATTTACAGATTCAATTATATTCCTATCGTACTACCAATGACATTCTTCACAGAACCAGAAAAAAAATTAAAAAATTCATATGAAACCAAGAAAGAGCCCAAATAGCCAAGGCAATCCTAAACAAAAAGAGCAAAGCTGAAGGCATCATATTACCCACTTCAAGCTACATTACAGGGCTATAGCAACCAAAATAACATGGTACTGGTACAAAAATAGGCACATAGACCAATGAAACAGAATACAGAGCCAGAAATAAGGCTGTACACCTATGACCACCTGATCTTTGAAAAAGCTGACAAAAACGAGCAATGGGGAAAAGACTCCCTGTTCAATAAATGGTGCTGAGATAACCGGCTAGCCATATGCAGAAGACTGAATCTGGACCCCTGCCTTATACTATATACAAAAATCAACTTAAGATGGATTAAAGACTTAAATATAAAACTGAAAACTATAAAAACTCTGGAAGGCAATCTAAATAATACTATCCTAGACATAGGAATGAACAAAGATTTGAAGACAAAGATAACAAAAGCAACTGCAACTAAAGCAAAAGTCGACAAACGGGATCTAATTAAACTTAAGAGCTTCTGCACAGCAACAGAAAGACACTGTCAACAGAGCAAACAGACAAGATACAGAATGGGAGAAAATATTTGCAAATTCTGCATTTGACAAAGGTCTAATACCCAGCATTTTTAAGGAACCTAAATTTACAAGAGAAAACCAAACAACCACATTAAAATGTGGGCAAAGGACGTGAATAGACACTTTTTTTTTTTTTTTTGAGATGGAGTTTTGCTCTTGTTGCCCAAGCTGGAGTGCAGTGGTGCAATCTTGGCTCACTGCAACCTCTGCCTCCCGAGCTCAAGCGATTCTCCTGCCTCAGCCTCCCGAGTAGCTGGGATTACAGGCATGAGCCACTGCCCCGGCCAACAGACGTTTTTTGAAAGAAATACATGATGCCAATAAGCATATGAAAAAAGCTCAATATAACTGATCATTAGAGAAATGCATATCAAAACCACAGTGAGATACCATCTCACTCCAGTCAGAATGGTTATTGTTAAAAGTAAATAAATAACAGATGCTGGTGAGGTTGTTGAGAAAAGGGAACATTTATACACTGTTGGTGGGAGTATAAATTATTACAATCATTGTGGAAAGCAGCATGGCAATTCCCCAAAGAGCTAAAAGCAGAACTGCCATTCTACCCAGCAATCCCATAACTGGGTATATACCCAGAGGAATATAAAACATTCTACCATAAAGACACATGTATGTGAATGTTCATTGCAGCACTATTCACAATAGCAAAGACATAAAATCAACCTAAATGCTCATCATCAGTAACAGATTGGATAAGGAAAATGTAGTTCACATCCACCATGGAATACCACACAGTCATAAAAAACAAGATTATATCTTTTGCAGAATTATGGATGGAGCTGGAGATTCTTATCCTCAGCAGACTAACCCAGGAAGTGAAAACCAAATACCACATATTTTCAAGTATAAGTGGGAGCTAAGTGACGAGAACTTATGAACACAAAGAAGGGAATAATAGAAACTGGGGTCTACTTAAGGGTGGAGATTGGGAGGAGGGAGAAGAGCAGAAAAGATAACTATTGGGTACTGGGCTTCATACCTGGATGATTTAGTAATCTGTACAGCAAACTCTCGTGACATAAGTTTACCTAGGTAACAAACCTTCACATGTACCTCTGAACCTAAAATAAAAGTTAAATAAAAATAGACACTCAGTTGAGCACATTAAATGTTCATATTTGCAAACAAAGCACTATGAGGAGGATTCGGTCTATACAACAGATGAAAGAATTAATAATTCAAAACTCAAAAAATACAGGAATTGAAATAAAACATTGATGGATAAATTAAATAGTAGATGAGAACAGATAAAGAAAATTGATACACTGAAATGATGGTCAATAGATATTGTGTCTGCAATTTTTTCACATTTCTCCATTTAGCTCTTTCTTCTGATACGATAATTAATTTATGCCTTCACCGCTCTCACCAAGTTTCTTAACCATCACAGCTCTGTGCTCATTCTTTAGTTCATAGAAAATGAGATGACTACATTAAATGCTCTTCACAATGAAGAAAAACACATTGAAAATTAAAATGTAAATAAAGCTGGAAAAAGATTTGTAATATTTATATTGAGCAATGGGCTATTTTTAATGTAAAGAAAATGGTTGGCTGGGCACGCTGGTTCATGCCTGTAATCCCAGCAATTTGAGAGGCCGAGGTGGGTGGATCACCTGAGGTCACTGGTTCGAGACCAGCCTGGCCAACATGGTGAAACCCCGTCTCTACCAAAAATACAAAAATTAGCTGGGTGTGGTGGCGCATGCTTGTAGTCCCAGCTACTCGGGAGGCTGAGGCAGGAGAATTGCTTGAACCTGGGAGGCAGAGGTTGCAGTGAGCCAAGATCATGCCATTGTACTCTAGCCTGGGCAACACAGCAAAACTCCATCTCAAAAAAAAAAAAGGAAATGATTAGAGATAAATAAGAAAAAAAAATAACGATTTTAATTTTAAAAATAGAAAAAGAACACGATGATCCATATGACTGGCTAAGGGTTGGATGAGACCCTTTTTCATCAGTTGATCTATCCAGCTCTGAGCATGGAAGGGTCTTGCTTGGCAAGTACAGAGGGAAATTGTTTTTCTCTGCAGCTGGCAGAAATGAAAATTGTCTTCCAAACAAGTTGTACCAATTTATATACATATTATAAGAATTTTAAATTTAATTCCACTTTTAGGAACCCATCCAAAAAGTTTGGAACTGATTTTGGCTCCTAATTTTATAGGAGAAAGTCAAGATAGAATACAAAGCTGAAGCCTGAAGTTTGAATAACAAGTATTTCTAGAGTTGAGGATAAATGAAATAAGCCAGTCAAGACAGAAAAGAGATGTTCAGGCAGGTAGATGGAAACTAGAAAGTGCAATGTCGAGGAAATCAGAGAGAAAAGTGAAATTTCAACAGGAAATCAACCGTTAGTATCAACTTTTATAGAGAATCAGATAACGTGATTTTCAAGCGGATGAAATTGGCTGACCCTTTTAGAACCTAATATTGGAATACTGTCTAAAACTTGTTTAACACTTAATATCATTTTTGGAAATTGTAAAATGCACCTGGTGCTCACCAATGGTTTAAACCTTGATGAGGAATACATACACACATTTGCTTTTGTCTTCTAAAAATCTCATTTTCAAATCAAACCAAATGCAAGATGGATCTAAAATCTGAATCTCAGGCTCTTAGACAAGGCAATACTGCTTTGTTATTTTGCTTAGATAGCCCATCAAAATACAAACCATTCAAGAAGTCAGCTGCTGCTATAAAGGTCATCTGGAAAGCCCAGGGAAGGACCATGTGCTGCTGCTGGGAAAGGAAAATTGTCCTCTGGGCTCGTGAGCTGGTGTGTTTGTCTGCTGAGTGGCTTCAGTGGTTTTATCTGTTGCTGAAAGAGCCAGAGAAAGGGATAAAACAGGACTGTAATCTACACCACAATGAGCTGGAGGAGAACAGGAGCCAAGTGAGTGTTTTGTTTGTGTGCTGCCTCCTCTGGCACATTGAATTGGTGCAGGAATTGTATGAGTTTTTAATCATCATTCAGATATGAGTGATCCAAGCTTGGCATTCATTGGGTTTTTATACAGCTTGCTAATAACCCCAAAGTGCTAGCATCTGCAACTCCCAAATTACAATTTTCAAAGCATAGTGATATCATAGCATGAAGGGTAAGTGCCTCCCACAAACTTATATCACATATACATTCATGGAATAGTCTCAGAGAAAATACTAGATAGAACTGATTTTTGCTTTCAGTTAGACGATCTCTCTGCAGATTGTCAGCATCCACAGATTTTGATACATGTGGGGGTCCTGGAACCAATACCCTGCAGATACCAATGGATGACTGTACTGATTGCATTTCAAATCATGAAAATAGGATGGAGATCTGTCATGGTTTCGATCTTTGAAATTCAGATGGGTTCTGAGGTTCAAACACTGGGCATTGAAAATTCTCTCCTCTTTTTTTTAAGTCTTTTTCTCTTGTTGCTGAAAACCTCAGGGATTAATCTAAATAATAAATGATAAGGGTATTCCATTAAAAATATCAAACTGATTAGCAAAGATGACAAAAAGAACAAAACTCAATCTTTATGGAAATATGAGGAAGTAGATGTCTTTTCTTTAGTAAGTGAGAAAACTGTCCCATATCTTCAGGAGGAAAACAGTGCAATAGGAACCAAATCTGTAATTCTTTATTGAGTCAACATTGATGTTGGTAGGAATTTATCCTAAGGATCTAATAAGTCAAGTGTCTAAACAGCTAAGTGTAAGATGTACTATAAACTTTAAAAAAACCTACATGTTTAACAGTGATGGTATTGTATTCCATTCTTTAGGTGTTGTTGATTTTATGTCCTTTAAAATGTTGTGGGAGCATATTTGACATAGAAACATGTTGTGTTCTTTTTCTTACTGACAGTTGAATATGAAAAACATTTAAGCCCTCAGAAAAATTGAATGAATTGCACAGAAAACACCCATGTAATTACACCTAGATTCTTTAATTAAACTCTCACTATACTTGCTTTATCACAGATCTGTCCATCTATCTTTGTCCATCCATCAATCCATCTTTTGCGTAATGCATTTCAAAATAACCTGCAGATATCAGTTTACTTCCATCTAAATAGTTTGCATATGATTAACTGATATCAATTTTTTTATACTTTTCTAGGTAAAATTCACATAAATGAAATACACAAAACCTAAGTGTATCATTAAATGAATTTTGACAAATGCATACACCTGTGTAACGCAAATCCCTGTCAAGATATAGAATGTTACAATCACCTAGAAAGTTTCATTGCCTATTTCTCACTTTCTGCCTTGTCCTGCCACAGCAGACATTCTTCCAGTTTTTCTATCATCGACAAGATTTACCTGCGCTAGAACTGCATATGAGTGGACTCATAAAATGTGTACTCGGCATGTAAAGCTTTTTTCACTCAGCATTATTTTTTGAGCTTCGTCCATATTGTTTGTGTATAGGTGGCTCATTCCTTTGTACTGCTGAATCCTACTCCAGTGTTTAAATGCACCACAGTTTATCCAGTCTCCTGCTGAGGGACACCTGGGCTGGGAAAGGTGTAATGTGCACGTGTAATGTTTTCTTAAATCATCAACATCACAACAGGGAATCTCCTGGGTGGTAGATTTTGGAGACCAACTTTTCTACTTACATGCTTTCTAGGTCTTCTACAATTAACCTTCAATAATTAACAAATAATTTACCGTTTTGAATTACTAGACTGCATGTGGTATACTGTAAGGAGCTGATAACAGTCAACATTGAGCTATAAGCCGAGTCTCCTTCCCTGAAATCACTGGGAAGAACAAAAATGTAATGCTTGGCTGGAAGAGCCACCACAGATGACCGTCTCCCCACAGAAGCCTGTAAAGCCACCAAAGTGCTATCTGTGGAAAAACATCTTGTGAAAAACTCTTTTCTAAACAAAGACTCAGACTGGAGCCCTGTGCCTGGATTAGAAAGCCACCTCGTAAAATCTCCCAAAGCTATTTTTTCTCTTTCTTACAAAGATGGTGAATTGACCTTTTCTTGTTTCCTAGGGAGAACAGGATGAAAAAAGAAATAAAGTATTTTACTAAAGGTGATTGAGAATAAATAATGAAGAGGGGAAGCGGGAAATCTAAGCTTGTATGAAAGGGCAAAAAAATTAATGCCCACTAAATGCATTACCTCATCTCATTAAAGCCATGTGAGAAGCAGAGGGTTTTAGTTTCACTGACAAAGTGGGAGTAGTCAAGTGATATGACTTGGCAAAAATCATGAAAAGTGGTAGCTTATTACTTGTGAACCATAAGTCTTGTGACTTTATTCATAAAGCAAAATTCTTGTGCCTTTATTTGTAAACCAAAACTCTCCCTGATTTATCTGAAGACCCTCAACTGTGTAATTAAATTTACATTTTTAAAAAGTTGTATCTTAATTTGAGGCATTGTGACTTTTGTTGGTCATTGAATCCAAAAGGCAAAACAGGGGTCATTTGCAATGAACAACTACCTTGGTGGTCTTCAGGTGGATTCCCAGAAGCTCAAGCCTTCCTGAGGGACCCAAATAGGAGAGTTTCCAGTTGTTGGAAAATGGGATTGGAGGCTGAGAGCCAGTCCTGATTTTTCACCCTGACTGCTCTTACTCAGAATGGGAATGATTCAAGAGCACAGGATTACTGATGGGGAAGGAACAGAACCTAGACTTTCTCACTTTTGATTTGAAAGTCAAGCCATTGGATGAAGCTTAGTTAGGACCACAGTGAGGACCCTTGGACACTGTGGTTCCATGGTGCCCCAGGCCTCCTTCTGCACTTATCCCTTTTTACACAAAATGAGCTAGAATGAGGCCTTTGGTCAATCTGCTGTGTGAGGGCCTCAGAGAGCAGGCCTGAGCCACAGGAAGACCAAGGGATCCTGCAGTTGTCTGGGTTACTCTTCCAAGAAGGCCTGAGAGAAGGATCACTTGGCAGAATAGTAAGCAGAGCCCTGGATATGGAATCAGCAGATGGCTTTCAACCCTAGCTCTACCCAAGGGGTTAGGGCTTACCTCTTGAAGGCTCAGTTTTCCAATATAGGTTGACAGTATACCAAAGAAAATACTTTACTATGTTAAAGCACTTGCTACAGATCCCAGTTTTAATATCCTCAGTTAGAACAATTTACTCAGATTTTTCTTAAGCACTCATTTACTTAACACTTTGTGTTAGGCATTGATGATTGTATAAAGACAAATAATTTAATGATTGAAAACTTAGACTTTAGAGTCCGACTATCTCAGTCTGACTTCCAGCTCCACTTGTGGTAAGTGGAGAGAGATTGGAAAGTTATTCAACCTGTCTCTGCTTAGTTTTCTCATCTGTTAAATAAGAATGACTAGAGTAACTTTCTCAGGGTTATCATGAGTATTACATGAGTTAATATTTGTAAACGACTTACAACAGCTCCTGACCAGTGAAAGTGCCATCTATTTTGCTACTATTAATGTTATTAGCCATGATACCTACTTTGAAGAGGGGAATGATTATAGAGATGAGAATAACAATATATTCAGCTGTTGTTCTGATAAAGTTATTGGTACAAAGGATACAGCAGTCAACTTGTGTATGAGCCAGAAAGTTAATAATAACTTACTTGAAATCAGAAGTAATCAATCAACCAAGAATTGCTATGGATCACCACCCCCTTCCCCACCAAAAAAAAAAAAAAATTGTAAAGAAGCTATTAATGTGTCCAGGCATTTCAGGTCTGGGCTGATGCAGTGTCCTGTTATGGAATAGGATCCACCAGGGCCCCAGAGCTCCTAAGTGGATCCCTTCAACTCCATCTACCACCATAAGTAGCATGGGTGAAGTGGGGAGCAATCCCAGGGAGAGAGCTGTGGGCCCCTTGTGGTGGTCCCCTTGGGGGTCAACTACTCAGTCCAGGCCAGCCGTCTGTATAATCCTCTCTCTTTTCAGAAGCACAGCAATCTATGCTGGCCTTTCCTATTGGACTTCCCCTTTCTTTTCCCAGATTCATTTCTCCAGAAAGAGAGATTAGGAAGAATAAAAAAATCGCACAACTCTTTCCTTTTCTGCCTTTGCTAAAATTATCCTGATGCGCTGGCCACAAAATACCGGTAACTCAAGAAGAGGAGTCGGCCAGGAGTGTGTTGGGATAGAAGATAAACACGAGGACCAGTTGGAGAAGGCAGGGCAAAATCAAGAAGGCAAGCCAGAGTCAGAGACCAGCTGTCAGCACTGCACTAACAGCTTGCAAGGGTATGGACACATGAAAGTTAAGCCAAAAAAGGGAACAAGCAGAGATAATTATTTCTAGGGTAATTTTTTTAAAAAAATAGTCATATTTTTAAAAAAATGTAATCAGCCTGCATTCATAGTTATCCTATGGGATTTCTTAAAGATACAATTTGCTAGGTTTGACACAGTGTGTGTGTGTGTGTGTGTGTGTGTAGCTCAGTAATAAAAAATATACATTTTATATATCTATAAATATATATTTACATAAATAAATACATTTTACTATTGAATTTTATGAAGAAAGTTATAGAGTCCAAAAAAATCATTAAAAATGTACAGTACTAGTCTTTCAAGGGAGAAGAAATTCTCAGTTTTTTCTCCCTAAATGCAGTTAACCATTATGAACAGACAGTCCATAGAGAGAAGCCCATAGAAGCACCATGAGGTTGAGTCAAGCAGCAGGGTAAAGTGGTGGGGGGTCTGGAGGCAGGATGACAGACCTCATGTGGCATCAGGATTGAGTGCCGTCCCTCTCTTGACCCAGGTGGATACCGAAAGCCCATTCTCGCTAGTCCTCACTTGCAGGTGCAGAAGCTTTCCTTTCCAAACTCCATTGCATTTCTCGATGTCAACGCCCCAACGTCTTTTTAAGAAACCTTTATGGATGTCTTGGGCCATTGAAGAGAGGGAAGTTCTGATTGAGGACACCTGGGATAGGACTGTCTTGGTTCACAGACAGTTCTTCCTGCTGAATGATCAACAAGTGATAGGTGGGTGTTTATCTTTGTATGATAGCCAGGAGAGTGATCGAAGTCCTCCTCAAGAGATGTGTACAGAGCTGTCTTAAAGGTAGTGGACCCTGCAATTATTGGCTCAGCTTGGAATGGATTGCCATGTCTCTGGCAGAGGTTGGGCCATCTTCCAACTCCTTTGCATCTGGTCCCTTCAGGTGTGGTCCCCTTGCATGGGGGTCCACTGACTTCCTCCCGGGTCATGTGCCCTCCACATCGCAGGCCTAGCTTCCCTTATGGGGAGATGGTGTTCAGGTTTTTCACTGAATCTCCTTGTAGGATAATATTAATGTCATAAACTCTATCCTCGATTCCATCAGGACCTAGTATTTTTTACTCTTAAAGTCTGTGTTGGCAATGTTCTTTTAAGAACTTGTTAATTTCTGTGCCGTTTGTCGGGCTGGCTGGCTGGCTGACACCTGTGCTGGATCTTCATTTCTGTCTCCAGCTTCTTGCTCACAATCCCTCCATAGAATCCCACATATATCAGAATATGGACTGTCTTTGGCCGTTTTTACACAGCTTACCCTGCATGTTGAGACCTAGAGACCCTCAAGCA
Organism: Homo sapiens; assembly: GCF_000001405.40. Taxonomy (NCBI): domain Eukaryota; kingdom Metazoa; phylum Chordata; class Mammalia; order Primates; family Hominidae; genus Homo; species Homo sapiens. The sequence continues at coordinate 38,065,207 of NC_000007.14, read as the reverse complement.
AGAACCTGAGAAAAATAACCTTCCATTCCAAGTTCAGGCACAGCCTCCACAGTAGATAACTCCTGGGGACAGACAACTATGTTACATTCAATCAAATATTCTATGTTTGAAATACAACTTCTTCAGAATTGGAAGAAAACACTTTCAAATATTGAATTTCCTTCCATTAGGTTAGCATCATCTACTTTAGCCCTGGGCCTAGGGCTTCATCCTAACATACCCAAGCATTCTGGCCTCTACCTCGATGATACTAAAGTCACATCTTTTGCTTTTCATTATTTCTGACCCAAATTAAAGGAATTAAGACAGTTTCTCTTGCCTTCAGATTCCCAAGAACCACTGCCATGGCCCTCCAAGATTTCAATGGATTCAATATTTTAGGGTTTAGAGAATTTAAGAAGTGGAGGGTGAGATGCAAGAGAGAACAAAGAGAAAACAAAGACTTTATCCTTGCTCCCAAGCCATAGCCTCTCTCTTTCCCCTCATTCTCCTATTTATCAGCCTGATTTTCCTCAATAATTCTCTTCATTTGGATGATTAGGAGTTTTACCAGTTCCTTCTTTATGACTGTGTGGAAAGCAAGTTCTAATTAACATAAGGAGGAGGCCTGGCCCCTGCTCAGGCCTCAAGAGACCAAACCAGGACTTCTTCAGTTCCTCAGATTTTGGGGCGTATGGGAGCTCTTCAAATCCCAGCTTCATTATGTCATCTTTCACATTTGGAGAATATTTTTGAAGGAGTTGATCCCCTTAGGTGATTCTGGTGGAGGCTGGTGTGTGGGGAGACTTCTCCCCAGCTCCTTGCTCTAACTGCCCTGGGTGTGGCTGGAGGTCTCAGGAAGGCCTCGAGTCAGGAAGAGTACTGAAGCCCAAATTTTATTTTGTCCACTCCAAGGGCCATTTTGAAGTAGAGTGGTCACGTTCTGCTAAATCATTTGGGAAACATTTTCTGAAATTTTAGCTTGGGATTAAATGGTAGGAGGAGACCCCGATCTCTGGTGAGTTGAATGGAAATACACTTTTCCAAAACAAGTGGGAAAACTTCTTCAGCACATAACTGAAGACTGAAATATATGTCCTAAATATCTTCCACAGACTAACGGATTCTCCTCTGGCTAAAAGACCCCAAAATGCTAAATTCCTGGCCATGGCAGGACAAAGGCTGGCCATCTCCCATTTGCCTCCACCTCCCTTCTTGATAAATGACTGCCGGCTGCAGACTGGTTTCAACTGGTCTCCAGAGGATGCACAGTTCCTGGACTTGTTCCCTACATTTCACCTTTTACCATGTAGGACCTATTTATAATGCATTAAAATGTTAAATCTCCATCCCAAAGCGAACATGGGTCATTCGTCGCCATATGTCTCATACACATAATATGCATATGTTTGGTGCTTTTCATGAATATTCATAACATGTTCCTATATCCTATTGAATGTGTATGTTCTGCCTCCCCACTTAGCATAAATAACTACTTCTTCTTTCTCTCATTTGAATCATGGCTTTACATTCAAGGTTGGAGGCTCGCTTTCCACCTGCAGGACATACCCCCCTTAGAAATAAAGTTCTCCTTTGCATTTGCTGGCATTGTGACTCTTTTTTAGTTACATACATACCTCATTTCACTGTTGACCCAATCTGAGCATGGCATAACACATCCTATTTTTAGACCTGTGATGCTAATTTAAGACACTGATTTTACGTTCATTTATTCAGTTAACAGAAGAGCCTAAATTCAAGTGAGGGCACTGCCTTCAGTGCAATAAGACAGTCCTTGCAGTCCCCTTCTAAAACAACTAATTTGAATGCATTGCCTAAGCAAACCTTTTGAAGTTTCATATGGTGTAAATTAGGAAAGCAGTGGAACATAACATCATAAAAGCATTCCGAGAACTTGAGAATGAAAAATAATCTTATAAAGAAAGAAACAGAGTCCTAAAATGAGAACGTGAGACTAAAGTCATAGATTCACCAACTTCATAGCTGTCAAAACTCGAGAACCCATTCTGATTTTTATTTTTTCCTCTTTAAGTGATGAAATATTTCAAACACATAGAAAAGAGTAGAGAAGAACATATTGAACATTCTTCACATAAAGTGTTGCCCTATTTTAGCACAAAATCTTTCAACCTGAATTTTAGAGCCCTGTATACCCCTCACTGTCTCTATTTTTCTTTCTTCCTCCTCAGAGTTAACATCCTTCTCAGTTTACTGCTCATCATTTCCTGACATGTTTTTGTTTGTTTGTTTTTTCTGTTTTGAGACGGAATCTCGCTGTGTCACCAGGGTGGAGTGCAGGGCAGGATCTCGGCTCACTGCAACCTCCGCCTCCCAGGTTCAAGTGATTCTCCTGCCTCAGCCTCCTAAGTACCTAGGACTCCAGGCGCCTGCCACCATGCCCAGCTAATTTTTGTATTTTTAGTAGAGATGGGGTTTCACCATCTTGGCTAAGATGGGCTCGATCTCTTGACCTCGACATTTTAAATATAAATGGAGGAGCCCATGAAGAAGCCAGAAGAAACAGGAGAACAGAAGAAAGATTAAGGAACGTGATGTTGTCACAGCGCATCACTGAAGAGTTGAAGTGGTTAACACTGTCAACAGGAACAGGCGCTGTTTTAGGAAGTATTATGAGAATGCTCAGTTTTCATGTAGGAAGGAAGAGGGGAATCGAAGAATTTATTCTACCACAAGGAAGAAAAGCATTCAATCTTTTTCTCTGCCCACAGCCCCTAAAGCACACAATTAAGTTCTTTCGTTTAGAGAAATTTATGTGACAGTGCCCAGAATAAAAGAATTGCAGACTTTATAAATAAACTACACATGAATAGTCTCTGTGAAATAGTTCAGAGTACAGTTTCTTCTTATCTGTTAATATTTCCACCTATAAGAATATCACTTCAAAAAACATTGCTTATCAAAACTAAACCCTGTACAAATCCTTACCCAGTATGTTTTGTTGCCTTCTCCAAAAGAAACTTGAGAGTTGAGGTTTGGAGCCAGTTGGAATTCCATCATCAGCACTTCACTGGGCAACATTGGACATGTTATTTAACCACTATGAGCTTCAGCTTCCTCTCTCTTAAGTGGAAATAATAGGTTTGTTTTGAGGATAAGTCAGTTAATACATGTAGTAAGTGCTTAACAAGTTGCAATAATGCTAAGCTCTCATAGATATTTTAAAATGTCATTGCTTTTCCTTTTGGTACCTCTTCTTCTCAACATCTGTATCCAACTTTTCTATGTTTGCAACCTATGGCTTTTGTTTACATGTACTTATTTGTAATTGCTATTCATATAAACAGTGTGATGTCTGCTTGAAATAGTCGGGCTCCTGCCCGCCTCAGAACTTTTTTTTTTACTCCCAGCACTTGTATGGCATCTCACTCTTAGTATGTGACACAATAATAGACTGAAGAACAAAATCATGATAATCTTGGCAGAAGAAGAAAACGTGTATGATGAAATTCAACATTCATGATTTAAGAAAAACACATACTCTTAGCAAACTAGGTTAAAACAGACCCTTGATAATCTGAAAAAGAATATCTACAAAAAACCAAAAACAACAGAACTTCAGCAAATGTCATACTTAGTGATAAAAATAGAATTATTCCCTTTGAAACTGGGAACAAGGCACAGGTGTTATCTTTTCTATGCAGCATTTTGCTCAAGTTCATAGTTAAATAGTCAATATAATAAGGCAACAAAAAAGACATGAATGGTATAAAGTTCAGAGATAAAGAAGCAAAGGTAAACTTCTGATATATGCAGTCAATATGATTCTATGTAAAAATTAAAGTAATTCACAGACAAATCATAAGAATTAGAAAGAGTATACAGCAAGATTGCTGTATACAAAAATATTTAAAGATCAGTTCATTTCTCTATATTGAAAACTGTCAGAAAATAAAATTTAACAAATGCTTTTATAATAACATCACAACGTCATATACCTAGGAATAAATCTTAACTGAAGTTGTGTTAGGCCTCTATACAGAAAGCCACAAACATTAAGAGAAATTAAAGAAAACTTAAACCTACACTGTGTGTTATAAAATATGAATGGATTATAACACTCCATCTTATATCAATTATCCTCAAAATGATGTGATTAAAACTCTTATAGGCTTAAATCTTTTGTATTTTGGCAAGCTGATTCTAAAGTGTGTAAGGAAATTCAGACGAATTAAGATAGCCAAGACCATCTTAAAGAAGAAATGCAAGATGAAAAGACTTATTTATCAGACACCAAAACTTATCATAAAGCTACAGCAATTAAAATAGTGTGGTATTGTCACATGAATAGGCAAATATATCAATGTATATTAGAAACAGGCCAGAGAAACCAGAAATCATCTGCTGCCTATGAGAACAGCTGACACTGCAAAATACAGCTTCTCAGATCTGGCTGGACTCCACCTTGCACTGGAGTATTCTGATTGATTAGGGGTTCTGGGGACCAGGAGCAGCTGTGTTGGGATATGCTACACCTACTTCTGCTCAGTTTGGCTGCCTTGCTCCCATTACATTTCAGTGTCTTTGTCTAGAAAATTGATCTATAAGCCCATCTGAAATTACTTCATAAATGTTATTGGTGTAATGACCTCATCACTTTGTCTACAACTGGGGATGAATTCCAAGATTCTCTAGGAGAGAAGGGGAACCAGAGGATGTCAGGTTTAGATACAATAGTGCACGACAGGAGGCTGCTGGTTGTTTGGGGTCAATTTTTGTGAGCAAGTCATATCAGTTGAATTTGTCTACTAAACCCCTAAATTCGACTGGTAGGGCTTTGGGGATAAATAAAGAAGGACAATTGCTACAAGGAATAGATAGATACCCCTAGCTCCCAATATTGGTAGCGAAATGCTATGAGCATAAATCACCCAAGCTTGAAGGATGATTACAATCTCCAAAGGAAGTTGAAACAGCAAAGGGAGGAAAGACTGGAGTTCAAGTTTCACAAGCAGAAGTCCCATCTCCGGGAGCCTGAGATGATAACATTAGGGAGGAAGGAAGATCTGAGTCTCTCTCAAGTACTTGGTGAACTGGCATTTGTGACTTTTCAATTAGAGAGTAATAAATGCTAGAATTGTGGATGCAGGAAGATGTGAGTGGAGCTTTCATTCCCCCTAACCCAACTCTCCATCTAGAAGGGGCTAGACATTCAGAGGCTGACTACAAGACAAAATGGAGGTTTTAATGCCTGTGTTACTTCTTTTAGTTCAATAACCTTGTTTATACATGGAAGTTAATCTTTTTATTCTTCCCAACAACTCTTCTGCCTTTTGAAAAAGAGCTGGATGAAGCTCTCAACTAGTTTCTATAAAAGCATTTTGAGCTGTATGACATTTAAAAAATTTGTGTTCAGATGATAAAGTCTCAAATAGTTTCCTATTTGGAAAAGATACTCACAAAGTGGAACATTAAGGAATTTAATGAAGACATGGATCATTTATTAGTAAAGTACAAATATTTTTGATAATAATTTTTAAAAGGGAAACATTTTATTGCTGGATAAGGACAGAGGAAAAGCAATAGAGAGAAATATGCCAAAAATAGATTTTAAAAAGTTTTTCATTAAATGAAAAGTATGAGAATGGTTTCCGGTATAGCTGAATCCACATACTCTCATAACATGACCAGAAAATGATCTGTATTCATCTCTCATCTCTGAATTTCTTTTCACTATTTTCATTCTCTGAAAGACCCTTACTGCCTGGTGATAAAAATGAACCTGAACAACTTAAGTCTTCATTCTCCCAGCTTCGCAACTCCAGTGAAAAGAGTGCATTCCTGAGTCATGTAGATAAAAAAAATGTGAAGGAGGATTTTCCCAAAGTGATGCTATGCTGATAAACATATTTTTTCTACTGCAAAATAGTTATTCACTAAATGGAGCTGCTATAAACATCTCTCTTAGAAAGTATTTGCCGTGTTTGTAAACTTCATCAGTCTTGCCAGTATACCTTCTTTACTCTTGGAAGATACTTGGGTTGTCTTCACTCCTGACATTTGCCTCCTTTTTAGATCTTCACAATTTCAGGTGGGTAGAGGTCACTGAAACCCATGGTGTATCATGTTTTTTCCAGGGATTTTTTTGTGGTTTTAAAACCAGTGCTATGTTTCCAGTTGCTCTTTTCCTATTTAATAAAATATTTAATTTATGGAATTTTAAAGATGTGGCCCATAATTATTTGGCCCATAGTTTTGGCCAAGTCTGTCCTCAAAAGTATGTTTGGTGAGTTACTTTAATTCCAAAAGTAAACTTCCCCACCACTAAGTCATTCAACAGCCATTTACTGAGTGCTTGCTAATTACTATAACTATTTAGGCACAGAGTCTATTCATTAACAAATTAGGATCTCTGTCCACAAGATCCCAGAGTAATGAATCTATTTCCCCGACTTCAGATCTATTCCTTCCTTCCCTAATGAAACCTTAGACTTACCTCTAAGAAATTCAAACTTTGTCCCCAAGAGTTTGATATTTCATGTTAAAAAGTTATATTTTAAGGCAAGTATCAATAAGTGGGGTCTGATATAAATGACACCATTCATAGCAAACAGAAACAAGACACTTGCCAGCTTTGAATCGTGTTTTGGTAAATTGTACATGCACCCAAACTCTCATCCCCATGTAATATTTATGCAACTTAATTAACATAGTAAGTGTTAGAAACTCCTTAAAGCTAGCTTACATATGAGAAACTCTAACTGAAGTGGTCTTACCAGGCTCTGTGGTAATTCTATATTCTTCAAACAAGCTATAACAAAAGATATACATAGATAGACAGATAGACAGATAGATGTTTTTTTTCTTCTGCTATCCTTGGTTTTCAGGAAGACACAAAAGGCAACCTAATGAATTGGAGACAATTGGTGGTAGTTTATAATAATTTAGTCCAAAGGTAAGTTGGAGTTTGTAGAAAATAGCATGGAATTATCTCCCTTTGTTCCTGCCTAGGCTCTTGGTGGCTGCCAATGTTCTCAGTTCTCTTCAGGTCAAGAAAACCTGCAGACAACTAGAAGAATGCAAGTCACAGCATCTAAAACATACAGTTGTTACAGTAAATACAAACACAGTCAAAGACTACTGCAAATTGGCATTTTTGAAAATAGACACATCCACGTGCCATGCTCGGCAGGGGGCATATGGGCAACAATCCAGGCTGGCCACTAAGTGAGAAACCAGCTCTCTTTGGTCTTGTTTCAGGGATCAAATTTCCTTTGCGGACTCTGGGTAAGCTTTGAGGACTCTGGGTAAGCTTTGAGGACTCTGGGTAAGTCTTGCCTGCCTGGCTGACCTGGAAATCTATACCATGCATCAAAGGAACTGGTAGGTGATGAGATAGGGTTCAGATTTTTCGTCTTCTAGATAGGATCTCTCCACTTCATTCCAGAAAAAAGTCAAAGAACTCACCCTCTGCAAAACTGACAGAAGGTTTTCCAAGGGAATACAAAATCCAAGTTCAGCTTAGATTCAGAAAGTCACTGCACCAAAGAGTCCATGAACCTCTCTCCCTGCAGAATCGAGGGAAGCAGTTCTGGGCCAACCACGGTCACATTTCCTAAGCAAAATGGCCTGCCTTCCTTTCACCTTCTTGTGTTTGCAGCTCTGAGTTCAAGAGCAAGCTGATGACACCAGTCTAGAGGCATAGAGGGCTGTTCCTATTCATTGTTGGCATCTAAGACAGTAGATATCAGAATGGAAAACTATTAAATTCAGAGATTTCACCCAAATGTCTGTTATACGCAAAGCACTTTTAATGACAAAATGCTGGGGAGGATTTGATGAATGAAACCAACCAACTCACTAATGCATTTTTAAATCCCTCTTTCATTCATATTCATTTGTACAGTGAATACACTTGATAAATTCAAGCAGAGGCACCCTGAGATTTCTTAGAATAATTCATAAACAAGTGGTTTTGCTATTATATCACTATTCCTGATGACCCCCAGTCTAAGCCTTTCTTTGTATATTGTACCCCATTATTATTTATTCTTTCTATTATGTGACTTGCCTTTTCAGCCTTTTCCTCCAAATAAAACAAACTTTAGCTTATGGCTTTGGCATCTATTTAAACACAAGTTCTCATTCAGGTATTAATCAATATGATTACTCTTTTCTGCTAAGATGTGAACTTTAGTATCCTATCAGCTGGGTATAGAAAAGAATAATCAAAGGCAGGGCCCAAAATAACCCCAACCAAGTTCACCAATTTGCAGACTGCCAACTAAATCTGTACTGAAAATATTTTGTTTGGCTGGCCCAGTTATTTTTGTTTTGTTTTGTTTTGTCTTGGTTTTGTAATTGAATTTGAATGACTTCTGGCAGAAGATACTTTCTCAAATTTCATAGGCCCACCACTCTCTATTGCCTTATACCCCATCCTGGTTCAAATATTTATGTAACCTTCATGAAACTTACAGGTATTTGGGTTTGTGATGCCTGTTCTATACAGTAAGGAGTGGTAGCATGTATCCATATTTCATTCCCAATCACATGAGTAAAGCTGTCACCTCTCACTTTAATAAGATTATTTTTTGTTTACATTTGTATGTTTTTGAGATGCTCATTATGAGATTTAAAAATCTTTCTATTTCTAATGTACTATGTATGAGTCACTATGAATGTGTGTTGAATTTTACCATGCTTTTCCTGCATACATTGAGAAGACTATATAATTTTTTTCTTGTTAATTGCAAAATTACACTGCTTGATTGTCAAATGTTAAACCAACATCATATGCTCAGAATAAGTCCTTCTTGCACATGATATATTATCCTTTTTATATATAGCTGGATTGTGTTTGCAAGTGTTTTGTTTAGAATTTTTACCTAAGTTGAAGAAAGAGCCTTGTCTTTAATTTTCCTTTTTAGAAAAGAGAATGTCTTTGTTGGGTTGTAGGAATCAAGAAAATGTTTAGCTCTTAAGTAAGTTAGAAGGCGTTTCCTCTTTTTTATTTTCTGGAAGACCTTGAGTAAAATTGATGTTATTTCTCAGTGTGTGAAGGGTTTAAATTTCAAATTGAATTTCTTTAATAGATATAGAGGTATTTATAACTTCCTTTACTTCATATGACAATAGCAATTGTTTTTCTAGAAATTTGACCGTTTTGAAAAATAAATTTTAAAATTGGTATAGTGTTCTAAATAATATCCTCTCATTATCTTCTTGATGAATGCATGATTAGTAATGTTTTTCCTTTCTAATATTGGTAATTTAGAGTTTTTCTCCTTATTTTTCATCACTCTTGCTAGCAGTTTATTGATTTTATTTATCTTTTCTCAGAACCAACTTTTGGCTTTATCTTCTCTACTATATTTTTTTAATTTAATTAATTTTAATTCCTAATTACTCAGATACAACTGTGCCATAAGACATAATTAAGCATCCAGATGTTTGCAGTTACATGTAGAGTCATTATGAATGTGATAGTACAAATTCTGCCAACACAGGCATGTTGTGTAGGTAGCCCAAATATCCTGAGCAGCATTGCTATCAGTAACATAATTTTCTGTTATGGTGAACAGCTTGAGAAAGTTGTCAGAGTAAAAATGAAGTCACTAATACTAAGAAAACCCAACTGGGCATGATGGCTCATGCCTGTAATCCAGCACTTTGGGAGGCTGAAGCAGGTGGGTCACCTAAGGTCAGGAGTTCGAGACCATCCTGGCCAACATGGAAAAACCCTGTCTCTACTAAAAATACAAAAATTAGTCAGGCATGGTGGCACGCGCCTATAGTCCCAGCTACTGGGGAGGCTGAGGCAGGAGAGTCACTTGAACCCAGGAGGCAGAGGTTGCAGTGGGCGGAGGTTGCAGTGAGTGGAGATCGTGCCACTGCACTTCAGCCTGGGTGACAGAGTGAGACTCTGTCTCAAAAAAAAAAGAAAACCCTGACAAATAGAGCCAGGGAAAGGCATGAACAGAGGCTTCTCACACTTGTGTGCCTGATAACAAAAAAGACGCTAGAAAAACCACAAAATTGAACAAAGGCCATTTGCAATCTTATACAAAAAAATACTTATGCAAGTACATCCGCACAGCAACTGCCTGTCCAAACTTGGCCTGGCATCACCCTCCTTATTGCTCTTTCTAGGCAATTAAAATAATTACTTTAAAACAATTAGGTAATCCTCCTCATTTTTTCCTTTAAAAACCTTTGTCTTTCTTTACCTCCCTGAATACGCACATAGTTTGCATATTCCTATTGCAATGTCCTATTCCCAAATAAACATCTTTTCTTTTAGAAACTTCTCTTTGTTATTTAGGCTGTCAAGTTTATGGAATCATTCCAATCAATCCAAACACAATCTTCTCTCAATTTACAGTTATTGTTGGAAGACTCAATGTATGCTCAAACTATACAACAATATTTTGTGTTTATTTATAAAAGAAGTTGGGCTCTAGGCTCAGAAAATATAGGTAGAATTTACTAATCTAGGTAAACATCTAGTGAGATAACTTGGAAGTTGTGCAGTCTGTAGCATAATTATTTGATTGCAAGATGCATTATATCCCTGACTTTTCTCACTGAATCTCAGCATTTCTGAGTCATTGTGACCAAAGGAAAAAAGCTTCCTAAAATTTTGAAATGTCCCTGGCTGGCTCTACCATCTCCATTGAGGTATAACATCTGTGATAAGGAGAATTTATGTGGCAGATTACCCTCATTTTTTCATTGTCAAAAGCTGCTCTTCCTTTAACTCCTCTATATCCACTATCCTTTGGCATCCACTACTTGGCTCCACTTTGGCTTTTGTGCTAGAACATGCTGTGATTTCCCAAGGACTGCCATAGCAGCAGCTTCCTCTAGGATATATTCCATCCTAACTAGGTAACAGGGCTTGCTCGCTGCTGCTGCAGGGAAGCTAGTATAGTCTCTTCCCAACCTGCATTTCGGTCCCTCAAGGACCTTCAGTGTATGCTTCCACTACACTTCTTTTTGGGCCTTCCTAGATTGACTTCCAGTATACCTCGGGCCCTTTCATTGCAGCAGATGGTCCCCTCCCTAGAGACCCTGGGTGATTTACAGATCCAATATTTGCATCAGGGCTGAGTGGAGAATCAACAGGGTCCTGACTGGGTTTCATGCTTAATTTGGTACTCATATTTTAAGTACTCATATTTTAAGAACATTACCATGGACTGTCTGTCAATTTCAACTTCCTTCACCCATGCTTTAACCTGGTTACTACTTGTGCCTCTTTTGGCCCTTAACTACCTCCTTTCTCAGGCCAATGTGGTACTGTGTACCAATTACAAAGCTGGCATTCTCTAGGCTAGTAGCAAATTCTAGGATGATGATAACCCACCAAATTACAGGGACTACAGTTTCCAGTACCATAGCTAGCTGGGATTTCCCCCACTGTGGGTCCCTGCCACTAATGAATTCAACATGTGCTTGATACTAGTTGATTCCCTGACACCCTCAGCTCAAGGACTTGTGGCACCACTTGTATTGGGACAGGTTCCCTCTTGCATGACGACCTACCCAGATCATACACCAACTCTCTTCCGACCTTTTCCTTGACATGAGTTGCTGCTTTTCTACCAAGCTAAACACGAGGCCATCATTATTAGCAATTTGACCAGTGGCTTTCTGCTGCATGGGCTATCCAGGTACTCACCTGACCTCATGAAATTCTTCCCTGGGGGAATAAACAGCTATTCCCCATTGACCCAGAGATTCTTATAGCCAAGCAAACCATGTCACCAGTTGCTCACCAATACATTGCCAAAATCAGAATTAAAAGAAAGTCTGATCTTTGCAGGAGTATCAATTTTTGTTTTTGCTTTTTCTTTTAGTTCTGCTTTTCTCATCCCACTTTCTTTTTGCTATGACCCAGCAGCAATTATCAGAGTGATCTACATAAACCAATTTCAACACAACAAATGGCCGATAAATTGTTGGTCTTTCCCCAAATGTAAGCCTGGCTCATAAGATGAGGCAGACCTGGGTAAAGCATTTTTCTGTAAGGGATGCCAGTTATCTAGGCAGGTTTTCCGATACCAGATCCTTGATTGCACTTACATTCGTATCACCTTTTTTCATGTGTGTCTCTGCATTTTTATTAACTGTCCTAATCTTCTGTATCCTAAGAAAAATACTAAGTTCTGGAATTCAGGTCTTAATCTACCTCCCCCCTTGCCAGGGTTGGCACTATTCATCTTCTATCAAGTGCAGACATCCAGGCCATGTGTACAGATGCCACATGTGAGTGGCCTGTTGAGAAGATTGGCTTTATTCCAATTTTGGCCACTCCTCTTGTGTGTAAACTGCTCCTAAATTAGTTGTTTGAGATAGGCAGTACCAACAATGCATTATGAAATGAGAACATGTCGAATGGACTCTGGGGAATATCAGTATGTGTAAGCTACATAGACACTGACTACATCTTTTCTTTGTAAATGTTTTCCCTATAGTTAGTCACTAAAAATTACAGAGCTTTGGTCACCAAAAATGTATTTCTTATGCATAATCATTGACCAGAAATGTAACCTGATTCTGAATTTGAAACAGGGCATTTTATTCTGGTTTTCTTCATGGGAAGTGGCTGAATTTGGTAGAGTAGAAATAGAAAGTTAGGAGTTTATGAAGAAGAACGAAAGATGCATAATGCACGAAGTACCCATTGTAATGTTCAATATATCAAATTTTATATTTAAAATTCGAAAGGCTAAAGAATATTATAACACTGGCTTTTAAAAGAACCAAGCTATACCTGAGTCAAACTTTTGGCTGCTCAAAAGCTTTCTAAAATATCTAGGAGGGGCTTTGAGATGTCTAACCTGAAGCATCTGGTACTTGCCTTCTTCATAAAGGGGAACCAAAATAGCACGTAGAGAATTACACTTCAAATACATCATCTAAAAGAGAACATTCGAATTCAACAAAGAAGTGACACAAAACATCAAAAGCATGGAAGGAGAGGGGAAGCAAGGCAGCCTGCTTGCCGGGGATGGGCTAGGAGTCTGAAGAGGCTCTCCAAAGTGAGGAAGGGGTAAGTGAGAGACCTCTAATGATTTACATTCCCACCACGAACTCCTAAAATCCTTGCCCTGAAAGAATCCCTTAACCACCATGAGCCGTGAGATTAATGTAGGGGGCTGCCTGGAGACCACACAATTGCATTGATCGAGACAGGGAGCTCACACTGTGTCCTACACAACTCTGAGTCCTAAGTAGCTACAGCAAGGCAGCCCCTGAATCTCCATATCCCTGGAGACTCATTGAAATTCTCTGCTTGCAGCTACTGCTGTGGCTGACTGCTGTTGCCAGGGCTGAAGCATGAGCCATTGACAGTGACACTTATGCCCCAAGCAATGGAATCACCATGCATTTTCACATGGCCCAGGGACAGACTCTCTTGCCCACAGCTGCTGGCACCAAAGGGCAAGCCACTGGCAGCCACGCTGCTTCCCCTAGCAGCAAAGCCACCACACATTCATAAGCACCCCGAGGATAGGCTACCTCACGTACAGCGAACACTTGAGGCCAAAGAACACACTCCCCACCTGCATATAGCTGCTGCCACTGAAAGAAATCCCACACTCCCCAGTAGCAGGACCACAGCACAGCCACTGCTGCCCCCAGTCTCACATTCAACCATGTGTCTGGTGATCACCCCACCTGCCTACCACAGCCAAAGCCTCACGTACCACTGGGAGGCCTGAGGACAGGTCAGCCAGCCCAGCCTTAACCACCACTGTTGGGACCTGAACACTCCTCCCAGGAGCCTGCGTTTGGCCCTGCCTGAACTGCCACTACCACCATAGCTGGCACCCACCTGCCCCTGCCACCTGCAGGCCTGGGTATTGGTCCACCCAGCTGATCACAGCCACCATCACACCCTGCATAGATCACTTGGGAGACAGGATTCTCCCACATTGTTACTGCCATCGCCCATGCAGCATTTCAAGGGACCTGAGGGTCCACCTACCCACCTAGCCCACCATTGCCACTACCTACACCTTAACAAGCTGCCTGGAGGCCCAAGAATCAGCCTGCCTAGACCTGCCAACACTGGTGCCAGCGTATGCCACCTTGGAACCCAAGAAAAGGTATGCTCAGTGCACTGCTGCCACTCCTTGAACTCAAGAACTGTTCTTCCCAACTTGTTGCAGCCACCTCCAACACCAAAGTGGACAGTTTTGGTTCCAGTGGATTGCTCCACCATTGCTACTGACATAATTCACATCACATCAGCTGCTGAGGGGCTTGAGAACCTGACCACACACTTGGCCTACTGCTGCCACTACCAGCATCTGAGAAACCCACCTGGAGCCCAAGAATCAGCCTGCTTAAACCCAGTAACACTTGTACCAGTGTAAACCACACTGGGGCCCAAGGACAAATATGCTCAGTCCACCATTGCCACTGTGTCCAGAATTGGTGGGTTCTTGGTCTCACTGACTTCAAGAATGAAGCCGCAGACCCTTGCAACAAGTGTTACAGTTCTTAAAGATGGTGTGTCCAGGGTTTGTTCCTTCAGATGTTCAGATGGGTCCAGAGTTTCTTCCTTCTGGTTGGTTCGTGGTCTCCCTGACTTCAGGAGTGAAGCTGCAGACCTTCGTGGTGAGTGTTATAGCTCATAAAGGCGGCACAGACCCCAAGAGTGAGCAGCAGCATAACTTACTATGAAGAGCGAAAGATCAAAGCTAACCCCAGCTGGAAGGCGAGGGAGCGGGTTGCAGCTGCTGGCTCCGGCAGCCTGCTCTTATTCCCTTATCTGACCCCACTGACATCCTGCTGATTGGTCCATTTTACAGAGAGCTGATTGGCCCATTTTACAGAGAGCTGATTGGTCCATTTTGACAGGGTGCTGATTGGTGCATTTACAAACCTTGAGCTAGACACAGAGTGCTGATTGGTGCATTTGCAATCCTTTAGCTAGACACAAAAGTTCTCCAAGTCCGCACTAGATTAGCTAGACACAGAGCGCTGATGGTACCTTTGCAAATGCTGAGCTAGACACAGGGTGCTGATTGGTGCATTTATAAACCTTTAGCTAGATATAAAAGTTCTCCAAGTCCCCACCTGACTCAGGAGGCCAGCTGGCTTCACCTAGTGGATCAGGTGCTTAGTGGATCCCACACCCGACGGAAGGTGGGGCTGCCTGCCAGTCCCATGCAGGCACCCGCACCCTTCAGCCCTTGGTGGGGGGCGGGGATCCTGCAGGCGGGCTGCAGGTCCTGAGCCCTGCCCGGCAGGGAGGCAGCTGAGGCCTGGCGAGAATTTTGAGCATGGCGCCAGTGGGCCGGCAGTGCTGGGGGACCTGGCGCACCCTCTGCAGCTGCTGGCCTGGGGCCATCACTGCCTGGGGCCAGCGGCACTGGCCGGTGACTGGGAGTGCAGGGCCTGCCGAGCCTGCGCCCACCCGGAACTCACGCTGGCCCCGGTTCCTGCCATGCCTCTCCCTCCACACCTCCCCGCAAGCAGAGAGAGCCGGCTCCGGCCTCGGTCAGCCCAGAGAGGGGCTCCCACAGTGCAGCAGTGGGCTGAAGGGCTCCTCAAGCGTGGCCAGAGTGGACGCTGAGGCCAAGGAGGCCTGAGAGAGAGTGAGGGCTGCTAGCACATTGTCACCTCTCACCACTACTGGAGCCTGAAAACTGGCCCACCTGGAATCCTGGTTTCCAGAACAACTTTACCACAGCCTCTACTGCAACCACACCCAATGCCACTGCAGAAATCACAAATACCACTGATGCTATTCACAGATAAATAAATCATTCAGAATGATTTGGCCCCCAGAATCAAAGTCAAAGTGCCCTGCACAATTAACACCATAAATACACCTTCAGGAAAATGTCCTGCCCTACAAAAGCAAATTTTTAAAAAATGGAAGAAGTCATTATTACACTAGATGCACAGAAATAAATATTAGGACAAAAGGAACATGAAAAAATCTAGGCAATATGACACCTTTAAAGGAACACAATAATTCTCCAGCAAAAAATAAATTTATGAAATCCTCAAAAGAGAATTCAAAATAATATTAAAGAAGCTTGGTGAGATACAAAAGAACACATAAAAACAGTACAAAGAAATCAGAAAAACAATGCAGGATATGAATTAAAAATTTACCAAAAAGATAGATACCATAAAAAGAAACCAAACAAAAATTCTGGAAAAAAAAATTCATTGAATGAAGTAAAATTACATTCAAAGCTTCAACCATAGGCTAGATCAAGCAGAAGAAAACATTTGAGACCATGAAGACATGTCTTTTGAAATAATCCAGTCAGACAAATATTTGAAACAGAATGAAAAAGAATGAGCAAAACTTATGTGACATATAGGTCACCATAAAGCAACCAAATACTCAAAATTTAGGTGTCCCAAAAGACGAATTTAAAATAAAAAGAATAAAACAAATCTATGTAATGAAATAATAGCTGAAAAATTCCCAAGTCTGGCAAGAAATTTAGACATCCAGATAAAGGAAGCTCAGAGATCTCAAAAGAGATACAATTTCAAAAGGCTGTCTCCATAGCACATTATAGTCAAATTGGTAAAAGTGACAGACAAAGAGAAAATTCTAAAAGTAACAGGAAACCATCTACTTATGTGTAAGGAAACCCTCATCAGACTAACAGAGGATTTCTCAGCAGGAATCTTACGGGCCAGTAGAGAATGGAATGATATATTCAAAATGCTGGAAGAGAAATATCTAAGGATACTATACCCAGCAAAGTTATCCTTCACAAATGAAGGAGAAATAAAGTCTTTCCTAGACAAGTAAAAGCTGAAGGAATTCATCATCACTAGACTGGTCCTATAAAAAATGCCTGAGGGAGTTCTACACCTGGAGGAAAAAGAATGATATCTACCATCATGAAAATACACAAAAGTATAAAACCACAGGTAGAGCAAATTTGTGTTTAAGGCAAAGAAATGCAAAGAAGGGACTCAAATTTACCACTACAGAAAATCACCAAACTACAATGATAAACAATATAAGAGAAAGAAGGGAACAAATGACATACAAAACAATCCTAAATCAATAAAATATCAGAAATAAGTCTTCATGTATCAATAATATTGTTGAATGTAAACAGATTAAACTTGCCAATTAAAAGGTACAGACTGACAGAATGGACTTTAAAAAAAAAAACCCATATGACTATATGCTATGTAAGAGAAACTCATCTCAATTGTAAAGACACATATAGACTAAAAGTAAAGAGATGAAAAAAGATATTCCATGCAAATGGAAACCAAAAGTGAGCAGAAATAGCTATATTTAGATAAACTGAACTTTAAGTCAAAAACAGTAAAAATAGACAAAGAAGGTCATTAGATAATGATAAAAAGATCAATTCAGCAACGATATAACAATTCTTAAACATGCATGCACCCAACACCAGAGTACCCAGTGTTAGATCTAGTATTAGATCTAAAGGAAGAGTATATATCCAATATAATAATACTTATAGACTTCAATATACCACTGTCAGTATTAGACTATCTAGACAGAAAATTAACAACAACAATCAAAAAATCATTTTCCTTAAAAGGTACTTTGGACCAAATGTACCTAAAAGACTTTTACAGAACATTTCATCCAACAGTTACAGAATACGCATTCTTCTCATCAGCCCATGGAACATTCTCCAGGATAGACCATATGTTAGGACAATGTCAATAAATTTTTAAAAATCAAAATCACATTAAGTATCTCTTCAGATAACAATGAAATGCAACTAGAAATCAGTAACAAGAGGAATATTGGAAACTTTACAAATACATGGAAATTTCACAACATGTTTCTGAATGACCATTGGGTCAAAGAAGCAATTAAGGAGAAAATAAAAATTTTTTTGAAACAAATGAAAATCAAAACATGACGTACCAAAACCTATGAGATACAAAAAAAGCAATGTTAAAAGGAATGTTTATAGTAATAAAGGCCAACATCAAAAAAGCAGAAAAATGTCAACTAAACAATGTTATAATTCACCTTTAGGAACTAGAAAAACAAGAACAAACGAAACCCAAAATTAATAGAGAAAAGGAATAATAAATATCAGTGCAGAACTAAATAACATAGAAACTAAAAAATACAAAGGATCAACAAGACAAAAAAGTTTTTTTAAAAAAGGTAAACAAAATCAATAAATGACTCTCTAGATTATCCACAAAAAAGAGAGAAGGCCCATATAAATGAAATCAGAAATGAAAAAGGAGACATTACAACTGATACCACAAAAATACTAAACATCTTCAGAGACTATTATGAACAACCACACACTAACAAACTGGAAAACCTAGAGAATATGGATAAATTCCTGAACACACACAACTGCAAAAATTGAATCAGCAAAAATTTAAAAAACTTGAACAGACTAATAGTGAGTAATGAGGTTGAATCAGTAATAAAAAGTCTCCCAACAAAGAAAAGTCTGGGACTAGATGGCTTCACTGCCAAACTCTATGAAACTTATAAAGACCTAACACAAATTCACCTCAAACTATCCCAAGAAATTGAAGAGATGAGAATTCTCTCTAACTCATTATATGAGGCCAACATTACCCTAATACCAAAATCAAACAAGGACACAACAAAAATACAAAACCACAGGCCACTGTTTCTGATGAACATAGATACAAAAATCACTAACAAAATACTAGCAAATTAAATCCAACAGCACATGAAAAAGATAATACACCATGACCAAGTGGAATTTATTTCAGGGATGCAAAAATGATTCAATATATGAAAATCAATAAACAAGATATATCACATCAACAGAACAAAAGACAAAAACCATATGATCATCTCAATAGATGCAGAAAAAGCATTTGATAACATTTAGCCTACCCTTACGATAAAAAAAAAAAAAACTCTCAACAAACTAGGCACAGAAGGAACACACCTCAACATAATAAAGTCCAAATAGGACAAATCCACAGCTAACATCTTATCAAATGTAAAAGCTGAAACTTTTCCTCTAAGAACTGTAACAAGAAAAGGAAGCCCACTTTTACTATGCCTATTTAGCATAATATTGGAGGTCCTAGCCAGAGCAGTCAGTCAAGAGGAAGAAATAAAGACATCCAACTTGGAAAAACGAGGTCAAATTGTCCCTCTTTGCAGATGATATTGTTTTATATCTAGAAAAACCTAAAGATTTCACAAAAAACTATTAGATCTGATAAATTCAGTAAAATTGCAGGATACAAAATCAACATACAAAAATTATTAGAGTTTCTACATATGAATAATAAACTAGCTGAGAAAGAAATCAATAAGGCAATTCCATCTATAATAGCTAAAAAAAATTCTAAGAATGAGTTTACCCAAGGAGGTGAAAGGCCTCTACAAGGAAAACCACAAAACATGGATGAAAGAAATTGAAGGGGATACAAACAAATGGAAGGACATGCCTGTTCATGGACTATTAGAATTAATATAATCAAACTAACCATGTTGCCTCAAGCAATGCAGATTCAAAGCAACCTTTATCAAAATACCAATGTCATTTTTCACAGAAATAGAAAAAAAATCCTCAAATTCATACAGAACTAAGAAAAACCTTAATAGCCAAAGCAATCTCAAGAAAAAGAAACAAAGCTGGAGGCATCACACTATTGTACTTCAAAATATATTACAAAGCTTTAGCAAGCAAAACAGCATGGTATCAGTATAATAGAAAATACATAGACCAATTAAACAGAATAGAGAACCCAGAAATAAATCCACATATTTACAGCCAACTGATTTTTGACATAGGCACCAAGAACATACATTGAAGAAAGGACACCCTTTTCAATAAATGGTTCTGGGAAAACTGGATATCCATATGAAAAAGAATTAAACTGGACCCCTCTCTCTCACCATATGCAAAAATCAACTCCAGATGGATAAAATACTTAAATACATAGACCCAAAACTATAAAACTACTAGAAGAAAGAAAGCACAGGGGAAATGCCAGGTCTAGGCAAAGACTTTTTTTAAATTTTATTATTATTATACTTTAAGTTTTAGGGTACATGTGCACAACGTGCAGGTTTGTTACATATGTATACATGTGCCATGTTGGTGGGCTGCACCCGTTAACTCGTCAAAGATTTTACGGCTAAGTCCTCAAAAGCATAGACAACAAAAACAAAAATAGAGAAATTGGAGTATATTAAACCAAACAGCTTTTTCACATCAAAGCAAACAATCAAAAGAGACATGGTTGACTGAAAGAAACTATTTACAAACTATTCATTTGACAAGGAACTGATATTCAGAATACATAAGGAACTAAAGCAACTCAATAGCAAAACATAAATAATTCATTAAAAATGGGCAAAATACATGAATAGACCTTTCTTAAAAGAAGACATAAAAATGACCAATAAGTATATGAAAAATGCTCAACATCACTAATTGTTAGGGTAATGCAAATCAAAACCACATGAGATATTCTCTTATCCCAACTACGGTGGCTATTATTTTAAAAAAATAGCAGATGCTGGTGAAGATGCAGAGAAAAGGGGACTTACACACTGTTGGTGAGAATGCAAATTAGTACAGCCGCTGTGGAAAACAGTATAAAAATTTTTCAAAAAACTAAAAATAGAACTACCATACAATCCAGCCATGCAACTACTGGGTATTTATCCAAAGGAAAAGACATCAGTATATCAAAGGGATACCTTCACTCCCATATTTATTGCAGTACTATTCACAATAGCAAAGATGTGGAATTAACTTCCATCCATCAAAGGATGACTGGATAAAGAAAAGGGATATATATATATATATATATATATATATATATATATACAGATTATATATACACATATAAATGTATATACAGATTATATATACACATATATGTATATACAGATTATATATATACATATATATGTATATATGTATATACATGTATATATGTATGTATATACATGTATATATATATAAAAGGGATATATGTGTGTGTGTGTATATATATATAAAAGGGATATATATATATATATATATATATATATATATATATATATATATGTAATGCTGTTTGGTCATACAAAATGAAATCCTGTCATGTGTAGCAACACAGATGGAACTAGAGGTCATTATATTAAGTGAAATAAGCCAGGCATAGAAAGAGAAATACTGCATGTTCTCACTTGTTTGTGGGAACTAAAACAGTTGATCTCACGGAAGTAGGTATTAGAATAGTAGATAGCTGAGGCTAACAAGGGTATGTGGGTTGAGGGAAGATGAAGAGAAAGGTTGGTTAATAGGTACAAACATACAGTTAGATAGAAGAAATGTTCTGATGTTTGACAGCAGAATAGTGTGACTATAGTTAACAACAATGCATTGTATATTTCAAAATAGCTAGGAGAGAGGACTTGAAATGTCCCCAACACATAGAAACGGTAAATACTCTAGGCGATGCATACCCAGAATACCATGACTTGGTTATTCAACATTCTATGCATGTAACAAAATATCACAGGTACCCCATAAATATGTACAAATGTCATGTATCAATTAAAAAATTCTAGTCATATAGATTCACTTGCTCAAACACAGCCAACGTTGCAGATGCACTTGTAAGGTCACGATTCCAGATCACACATATTTCTTCTCGATGTCTTTTTATATTCCATGACTCTGTCACCAACGGCCAGAACTGATATCTGACAAAACATTTTGCCATGTGACAGAAATCCTTTTTAAGGAGAATTGCAGACTAAAAAAAAAAAACAAAAACAAACCATGTCACTAACAGAAAAGTCTGCCATGGATATAAGAAAGTCTGCAATGAAAAGTCAATAAAGTACTCGTTTTTTAAGGAGCATAAACTGTGGGACATTAGGAAAAACAATTTAAAACATACAAAAATTCTACTTCTAAGAATTTTGACACATATTTCCTTAGTATAAAGATATATATTCAAAAAATCAACAAAAAATAATATATGACAGAAAATTGGTTAAGAACATTCATACTCCATACAACAGAATACTATGTTATGATATTTCTTAATGTAGATCGATATTAAATGTTTTTGAAAATATTTAAAAGAGTATCAAGTGAAAAAAATAAGTCATGAAACATACCGGGCTGGTTAAAGTTTTATAAAATATATTCATATGTTTTTATAATATCTGAATAGAGATACATCAGTACGTAAAAGTGGTGATGACCTCTGAATGGTGGGGCTTTAGGCAACACTATTTATTTATTCTCTACTACTTTTAATTATTCTGCAATGAATTTGGATTGTTTATATAATAAATATGCTGAGTGCAATAAAAAAGGATATTTCCCAGCGCCCAGTCCTTAGTCACTATGAAATGAAAGTAGGTCCATAAATTTGTAGAGTAACCTTGTGGCCTTTCTAACTTTTGTGTAAAGTACCAGCTCCTTTGCTTTGGAAACTCCTGTCCTACATTAAATGCCAGATGGGTCAACAGAAAACCCTTGATGGCCTTAGCTTTTACTGTAAGTGAAACGACCTCATTTTAACATGTAGTTTGAATAAAATTTACAGTCTAGATATAGAATGATTACCTCCTCTTGTTTTTTTTTAATACAATCTCACTCACATCTGTCTGTGGGATTTAACCTCTTCCTAGTTCCCTCTTTTTATTAAAACATTTTCTCCTCAACACGGACAGGAATACTCATCACCACTCACTGAATTCCATGATGGAGAGTAAAAAGGCTTTTTTTTTTCCCTGCATATTTATATCATTCAATACAGTCAGAATGGGAACATGATCTGTTTCAGAAATAGAAAATTTTCTGTGCATGTGTACTTGTTTTCAAGAGAGAACGTTTACTTATTTAATGCTTTACAGTACACTCAGAACTAATCCTAAGAGATGGGTACATTTAACAAGTAAAATAAATAAAGCATAAGGAGATTTTTGCCCATCAAGCTAGAAAAGGGCAGATCAAAAAAGACTTGATTGAGCTCATATCTTCTGATTCTAAAGTAAATTCTTTATACTATATAGCAATGATCAATCAAGTGTATACTTCATAGAAAGCAGTCCAAAACAGCTGGTTACAAGCATAGCCTGAGGTTATGTGCCTTAAGGTTGCTTCAATGTGTTTAATTGCATTTTAATTATTCACTGCTGATTTTAAAACAAAAGACCAGGAAGAGAGGCCATTTCCTACATATTTAGCTTAAACTATGCAGTGTGGCATATTCTGTATTCTGTGTCCTTTAGAACTAAGGCAGGGCTATATTTTCTCTAATAGCATAATCTAGTGTACTTACCTTTGCCTCCCTCTTAGTATTAGTTATCTAAATACTGAAATATGAAAACTCATAAATACTTCAGTTTTAATAACATATAATTATATAAAAAACCACTAAATTTAAATTTTTTTACTATAAGAGAAAAGTTATCTGTCACTATTGATTTGTTTCAGGTTTTTCTTCAAGAGGTTGAGTTGATCGTCTATAGGAGCACCAAGTAGTGATATTTACATAAGGAGAAAGAGGTCTAATATCCAAAAATGCCTTTACTCAAAGTCAAGTGGCGGAAGTTGCTGATCATAAGAAAGCAAATGTGAAAATGACCATTCTTCCACATATTGAATGTATACTGTAGGCTATGTGCTTTAGGCATTATCTTTAAACCTCACTGCAATAGTGTTTGACAGGTGAGGGAAGCAAAGTACAAGATAAAGAATACCCAACTCAACAAGCTGAGAAATGGCAGAGTCAAGATCTTAGACAATTTTTGATTGATTTCAAAGTCCCACTTTCCATGAAACTGAAGAACCCCTATAATTCCACCCGGCCCCTACAGTAATTCCTATGCTTTTCCCAATGTTGTCACATAATAAATATTTTACATATTTGTTGCTGAGATAGCAATTAAAACAAGTGTTTATCATTATATTCACATGTATGGCCAATGGGAATTTCTGCAACACACAAAAATCTAAAAGACATGAAATTTTTGTTACTATAAACATAAATCCTGCATATTCTTTCCTGAAAGGTGTAATACAAAATATTTAAACTTGCTGATTGAGAATAAAGAAGTTTTCTGTTCAGCTTTGAATCAATTCCAAACCAGTGAAACTCTTGTGTTGCGGTTTGAAACAAAGCGCTGAAATGATACATGTCCCTTGCTAGACTGTAAACCGCAGTCCCTCCATTCAGATGACCTCAAGGCCTGACCAGAGAGTACTCAGCTGCTTCTTCCGGTTACCTTTTTATGCTGGCTTGTCCTTAATATAGCTAATGCTCCCCAGATGTATCAGCCACTGGCCCTCTTTAACCCTTGCTGGTCTCTCATGCCTCACTGACTGCTTTTCACAGAAAATGGAGAAAATAGCACATCTTTTCAGTGCCCTGGGGGCAAGGCAATGGCATGTAGGAAAACCTACCAAATGCATGGGTTTTTATTTTAAAGATTTTAATTTTGATCATTTCAAAAATGTAAAAAAAGGATCAGATAATAAACCCCCTATATGCCATTATCTAGCTTCAGCAAACTTGTTTTATGTATACCCTTACTCGTATTCCCCATCCCAAATTATTTTGCACTAAATCCAGACATTTTACTTTATAAATAAACATTTCAGTACGTAACTCTAAAAGGAAAAATTATTTTCTTTTGACATAACAACAATACCATTATTATACCTTAAAAATTTAATTCCTGAATATCATCAAATATTAAGTCATTGTTCAAATTTCCAATTATCTTTTTTTTTCTTTTTGAATAAAAGGAAGAAAAGTACACTTGGAAGAGGGCCAAGTGAGCAGCTTGAAAGACAAGTGACTCCAATTAACTTTTTAGTGTTACAATTTTTTCTAGTTTCTTTGAATCAGGATCCAAATAATGCCTACATGTAATCCTTAATATGTACTTTATACACTTTTTAAATCTTTTATCACCTATTGGTTTCCTCTTTCCATCTTTCTTTCACCCTTGGCAATTTATTTGCTGAAGAAACACAATTATTTGTCCTGCAGGATTTTTCTGCTTGCAACCCCATAATGTAGTTTAACATGTTCTCTGTCCTTTGTATTTTCTGTAGTTAGTAATTGCATATAGAGGACTGATCAGATTCAGGTCTGCTTTTTCTGAAAAGACTCCTTTATAAGAGGTGCTTTGTTTCTCCATCAGGAGGCATCAGATATCTGGTTATTTTTCCCTTTTTGATATCGGCAATAATTGATGCTTCATGCCTACATCCATAATTCATTTTGAGTTACAAAAAGGCACTATGCCAACTCTATAATTTATTTTTCATTAATTTGCTGAAATGCCACAATAAAGAAAATCTTGCTCTTGTCTACTATTTGATTACCCAGGGGTTCTGTTGTCTATGAGTTTTCAAAATAATGAGTTGGTTCATTAATGTCTCCCGGTTACTAACCAATGCTTTTTCAGTATTACTTTGAACTCACAGGTTTAAATTTATTTGATGTATTTCAGTCTTTTGCAGTTTTTCCCTAATTGATCCTCATATTACCTCATCTTTGACAGTCTCTGTTAGTTGACTCTCAAGTCTTTGACCTAAAGCTAGTAATCTTTGATAGCTTCCTTGTCATCTGGTGTGACAAGAGTTTCCAAGATGATCTTGTATATTTCCTGTCCCCAACCTGGCCGTAGCCATTTCTCTGGGGAGCTCTGGTTCCTTTTTGAAGGAAATTGGATTTCAACACCAAACTTTGAGTATTGAGGGCACTTAATGCTACCGAGTGTGTTAGTATTTCTAGGCCTTTTCAGTTGAAAAATTAGAATTTTTTAAGCAGAAAATGTCATCAATTTAATTGATATTTCAAATTAAGGAGTAAAAGGTCCTACTGAAGACAGCTTTTCTCAAATGAGCTTAACTACAAAGCAAATGCTGAGGCTTATAGTGTTGATCGTACAGTCACCATGGTTGCTGCATCCCAAGGACATGGTCACTTCCTTAACTACCTAGCCTGCCTGACTACCACCTATATATTATTACTGAAAACTGTCTGTACTTTCTGTGGATGACATGGTTTGGCTGTGTCCCCACCCAAATCTCATCCTGAATTGTGGCTCCCATAATTCCCACGTTTTGAGAGGGACTTGGTGGGAGATAATTGAATCTTGGGGGTGGGTATTTTTCATGTTATTCTCGTGATAGTGAGGAAGTCTGACAGGATCTGATGGTTTTATGAAGGGGAGTTTCCCTGCACAAGCTCTTTTCTCTTGTCTGCTGCCATGTGAAACTTGCCTTTCACCTTACACCATGATTGTGAGGCCTTCCCAGCCACATGGAACTGTAAGTCCATTAAACCTCTTTTTGTATGTGTGTGTGTGAATTGCCCAGTCTTGGGTATGTCTTTATAAGCAAAGTGAAAATGGACGAATACAATGGAGTATTTTTTTTGTCCTTAGGGAATATATCATTAGAGATGTACAGTTACACACTATTTTTTAAAGTTACTTGGATTAGTTATTTTCTGTGTGATTATGCCAACAACTAGTTACACATTTATATTTATTTATTTTATTTAAATATTTTTAGGAATTTTTAAAGTGCACTTTTTATCATGTAAAATGCTTACATGGTTTCAAAGTCAATTCTGTAAAACAAGATATATTCAGTGAATCCATCTCCTATCCTTGTTCCTTCACCCTACTCACTCTGTGCCCTTAGAGTGAGATAGCAACATTAGGATTGGTATGTATAACTACTACATACTATATTTTTTATTTTATTACAATCACATATTCATAGTGCTACAATTAACTATATACCAATGCTCACCACCAGACCTTAAGTTGATACATTTCTAGTCATTTTAATTGTCTGAAAGTTACTCTCTAGGAGATACTTCAGGAATAACTCATTGGATGTCCATAAAAGTTTGGCTTTACACTTGAAAACCAGTTATAAAATACTTGGCTCAGATTTTCTTTTCTTTTTTTTTTCTTTTTTCTTTTTGCTTTTTATTTATTTTTTATTTTTTTTTGACGGAATCTTGCTGTGTCGCCAAGGCTGGAGTTCAGTGGCACCATCTCGGCTCACTGCATGCTCCGCCTCCTGGGTTCACGCCATTCTCCTGCCTCAGTCTCCCGAGTATTTGGGACTACAGGCGTCTGCCACCATGTCTGGCTAATTTTTTGTAATTTTTTTAGTAGAGCCAGGGTTTCACTGTGTTAGCCAGGATGGTCTTGATCTCCTGACCTCGTGATCTGCCCACCTCAGCCTCCCAAAGTGCTGGGATTACAGGTGTGAGCCACTGCACCCGGCCCAGATTTTATTTTCTAGTTTTCTCTAGAAGGCATAAAGTATTGCTATTGAAAATTTTAAACAGTCTAATCTATTTGTTACAAGTGACTTAGATAGTTTGTACAAATACAAAAATAATTCATTAACTTTTTTAAAATACTAATCATTTTAGTAGAAGTTTCTCAGTGTTCTCAGTCTACTTTCCCAAATACATGATGTGACTTGTTAACATATATATATATACACACACACACACACATATACATATGTATACACACTTAACTTTAGGAAAGTTTGTTTTTAATTATAGATTTTTTTCATATTTCTCTAACTTCATTACTTGGATTTTCTTTTTATTATACATATGTTGTTTCTTCTTTTCGTATCTTCTATAAGACCAAATGTGTCAGAAGTTTCCAGAGGGCTGATATCTGAATTGTGCCCATCAGTAACCCAACTTTGAGTGAGAAAGCAAATTTTTGTGAACATAGTCCAAGTATAGACACGATTGACAATAGGGTAAGTTGAGTGCATATTCTCTATGACTCAGACAACCAGCAGGCTGTTTCCTAGTAATCTTATGTCTTCTTATTTTGTTAAGTGGTCAAAATAAAAAAGTACATGAAAATTGCATTTGAGATTATACAGAGTTTCCAAAGTAAAGTTTACTAAACAGTCCCAGGGGAAATTATTTATAATTCATTTCTAAGCAAAACTTTGTTTTTCTTAAGTGCCATGTTTCCTTCTCTTGATGACAGTCATCATAACTAGGCTTTCCGTTATCCCCCCTGGCTGCTAGAAATCTTAGCCAAATTGTGGCTCAGTCTTGCAATAATAAACATAATTATGCAGAGATTCTTGTTGCATGCATGTATTCTTTAACTTGGTCCTAGCTTCTACTTCAAAGATTTTTCAAGCTTGCAGAAAAGTTGTTATACAATATTTAGTTTGAATATGTATTTTTTGGAGGGAAAGTCTGGATATTTCACTAGATTCTGGCTCCTAGAAGGGGTCTGTGATGCAGAAAGAATGTTTTTATATTCATTATTTTACTTATGAAACAGAAGCTTCTCTTCTAGTTTAATTTTAAACCCTCAATGATTTATATCAAGAAGAGTGGTTTACTTTCTGAATTTTGTTTCAACCAAATATAATTAATAATGAACTGATGAGTTTACAGTTTCAATCACTGAAAATAAAGTCATGCTTTTATAAGTCTAGACCATGTAACACAGGGAGAAAAAACACTAAGCTCTTTCACTACAAATATTATTAAGAACGTGATAAAAATTTATCAACTGGATTCAGTTTTCTTTGGAAAGAAGGTTAGTATTACATGTGCTTATTCTAAATAGTATCCTCCTTAAAATAGGTTGAGACATGAAGCACTTCAATAAAGTCACTTATTTCTACATAAGTTAATTCTATAGTCTTTTTATTCTAAATTTCTCTTCCTCCTATCATTGCATTGTGTTTCCTTGAGCATGGATACATGTCTTGCAGTCTTTTGGTGAACATTTATTGCATTGGTCACGGACTTATTACCATATATCAGAAACCTCTGGAGAAATGCTTCCATCTACTTAACCAAAAATTTAGGTCTACAAATATTTCCCTTGTTTCATGATGAAGACAAAAAACATTGCAAGATAGCGTCCTTAATAGAAGGGTGTTACATCAAATATATATCTGGCTCTTACAATGACTATATCTAAAATTTGTTAATTTTATCCCCAGCTATATTTTAATATGGTTGCTTGTTTACAGACCATAATACTCTGAGACAAACTGAGATGTAGTAACAAAATATTATCTGGAACATGGATTGATAATGTATCAAGCTTCAACCTCATCGAAGAAGAGAGTTAGACATTGGCAACTTGGAAATCCAGTGATCAAACATTAATTTATAGATGTCAGTTAGAATGTGTAGGCAGTAACCTCAAATACGTATGATGAATTATAACAAACACTACAATTCTATTATCTATCCATCTCTCTACCTACCTATCTATCTATCTGATATCTCAGAATGGGTGGAGAAAGGCATGCAGTACTTGTTAAATCAATGCTGACCTAACTTGGAAGGTATTAATTAAGTATCTCAACTAAATGTGTAATGGAATGAATTCACTTAGCTGGAATGCATTCATTTGTGTTTCACCAATTATTTATCTTTAACTATTTGTAGCAACCTTTTCAGTCTTTTTCTAAAAAATTGACTTGTGATTGACAAATAAAAAATTCTATTTATTTGAGGTATATAACATGGTGTTTTGATATATCTTGTGTAATGATTCTTACAATCAAGCTGACGTATCTATCACCTGACCTAATTATCATATTTTGTGGTAAGAATACTTAAGATCTACTCTCTTAGCAAATTTCAAGTATATGATACATCACTATTAACTATATACCATGTTATGTATTAGATCTCTAGAACTTATTCATCTTAAAACTGGAAGTTTGTACTCTTTGAACAACACTGCCCCAGTCCCCCAGCTCCCCAGCTCTGGTCAAGCACCATGCTACTCTCTGTTTCTCTAAGTCTGACTATTTTGGATTCCACATGTAGGTGATATAATGCAGTATTTGTCTTTCTGTGTATGCCTTATTTCACTTGGTGTAATGTCCTCCAAGTTCATCCATGTTATTGCAAATGGCAGGATTTTCTTCTTTTTTAAGGCTGAAAAATTTTGCATTGTACATATATACGTACGTATGTTTCATAATTTCTTTGTCTACTCATTCATTGATGGACACTTAGATTGTTTTCTTATCTTGGCTATTAGTATACAATAAGTTTGTAATTCTGTGAACAACAGATTAGCATTAAAAAAGAGGTTTGTTCACTTGAGAAATAATATTAACTTCTGATTTTGAACCCATTGGAAATACAGTTGTAATTCACATTTTCCTTGGAATAGCCTAAGAAGTTAACTCTGAATAATTTCTTCCTTCCTTGCTACTTGGTGCAATTAGATTAATCTCTTTAAAATTTAGATAATTTAGATTTGCCCTGACATTTCGAAGTATTTAGAAAGTGGCTGATGATTAAATGTTGAATAGTATTAATATATATAATTTTCCATGACATTAATAAAAACATCTAGGTAGAATTTCCCAAATCAGTTGCACTTTAAACAAATGGTTACACAGTTTTAGTTTGTTGAGTTATTCAATTGACTAGAATGAATAGTTAACTTGTAATTTGATGGACCTGAGGTGGGGAGAAAAATATTTGAGGTTGGAATTTGTTTATGTAAATTTTTAAAATAAATTGTTGAGTCAGCTTAAATGCCAAAAGTGGACTCTGACACTGACGCTCTTTTCTTTCTTCCTGCTGATTCGATTCACGGAGCCAGTGGCACTTAAGTGGCCAGATAGTTAGGTTACAAGCTTATTAAAGTAAGCAAAGGCTCACCCATTGCTTGTGGTGAGACATGTGATTTTAATTATAGGAGAGGTCAATAAACATTGATGCTATGGTTAGATAGGAGCTCATTAGAGCTTATGGCTTGCCAGTTTACACATACACAAACATAAGTACTCTGAAATAAAGGCTGGTTTCTGTATTTCTTTCTCTATTCTACCGATAATCTTCTAGAGGGATCATACAACTTCAAATGTAACACTGTATTAAAAAAGTGAAAATACAAAGACCAAACATGGACTAGCTTTCAGTTTACCTCTCTCACACCCATCCTCCAACTCCCACTCCTAAGTCTCATTGGGGCCATATTACTCAGTTATTTATCCTTAAGTCACATGATCCAATTTCTCTACTGCTTCACATTTTCCCTATCTGTACTCTAACTCCAGCCAAAAACAAAAGACAAAAACATCAAATCAAATAAAAGAAAACTCCATAAAAGTTTGGTTTAACTTCCCTCCGACTCCTCCTCTCATCAAATGAATTCCTTAGGAGTCAGATCATGATAAATAATGCTGGCTTTCAGTAGAATCATTCTACTAATTTAACAGAAATCAGAATAATAAAGATGGAAAATTGGCCGAGCGCGGTGGCTCACGCCTGTAATCCCAGCACTTTGGGAGGACGAGGCAGGTGGATCATGAGGTCAGGAGATCGAGACCATCCTGGCTAACAAGGTGAAACCCCGTCTCTACTAAAAATACAAAAAATTAGCCGGGCCTGGTGGCGGGCGCCTGTAGTCCCAGCTACTCGGGAGGCTGAGGCAGGAGAATGGCGTGAACCCGGGAAGCGGAGCTTGCAGTGAGCCGAGATTGCGCCACTGCAGTCCGCAGTCCGGCCTGGGCGACAGAGCGAGACTCCGTCTCAGAAAAAAAAAAAAAAAAGAAGGAAAATTGAACGCCGTTCACATTTTCTTATTCTTCTGCATTTTATGCTATCGTCCTAAAAAAAAAGGATCCCAGATTTTTACTGTGTCATCCCTACATCTGAAGCACAGCAGAGAAAATTTATTAAATGTAACTTATTTTTCAGTAGCCTCATCTGGCTTAATTGATGTTATTTTTCTTTTTTTTTGATTTTATTTTATTTTCAATTGACAAGTAATAATTGTATTTATTTACGGGGTACAATGTAACATTTTGATATGTGTTTACTAAGGAAGGGGAAGAAGAGCAGGCATTTGAAGTTCAGGAAAGCTTCAAAGAAGAGTTGGATCTTGGGCTGGTGTTTGAAGGAGGCTGCTACTCTTTCCCTTCTCTTCATTGCTGGGAGGAAAATAAGTCTAAGTTGGCTGCCCATACTCCTTTACTTTTCACTCTTTATTGTATCAGCATCTTGTATCTGGTTTTAGGACTCCACAGAAAATTACATTTTTTAATTACCAGAACCAATCACCTGCCCTCGATATTAATCTTCCTCGACCCCAACCTTTTAAACAATTTTCCCTCTTTACCAGTTTTAGGTGTCCAGTTCCGTGGTAATAAATATGCTTATGTTCTCTTTTTTTTCTTTCAACCATCATCAAACCCAATTAAAAATTATATGCTTACTAAATAGAGTGTGGATAACTTTTCATCTCTATTTTCTACTTCTCCATACTTTCTGTAGTCCCACTATCCAAAACTAAGCACTGCACAAAAGTTTCCAAGGCTGTGTGATATTGATCAGCTTTTTGAACACAGGAGATAGGCAGGAAGTATATGCCACGTTCTATTGCCTCTGAGTAACCATGTGCACAACTGACCATCACTGGCTGAAGGAAGGCTCTGAATCCTGCAGACAAGATATCATGTGTGGTTACAGACACCATTTGATAGATTAGATGAGCTTTCATTTGCTTTGGGCAAGCTATGTAAAATAAATCTGTTCTAGAGACTCCACCTGCCACATAGGGTGGATTATACAGTTTTATGTAAAAACTATCAGTGGGAAACAAAATCCTATTACAACGGCTAAATTTCAAACAGAACACTTGCCAGTATAATGCATGTTGATTCCCACATTGTTATCTGCTTTGGGAGGACCTGTAAAACCACAGTACCCTTAATAGGGTGAAGTCTACTGTATGTAAATTATAGCTAAACAAAAAATTTATAACTAAGTACACTGGATTCAAGAAAAGTTATACACACATCATCTGTTCATACTAAAATACTTGAAAGTACAGACAGTGTAGCAGATATAAGGCAGTAGGTTGGCTTTGCTACTTTTCCAAAATTAAGTGGCAGCAAAACAGAAAACACATTTCTCTATTTTACCAGATGTGCTTCTGTAATTTAAAGGCATCAGTAGTGGGATCCTCTGTTAGCCAAGGCTACAGGAGAAGAGAGAGAGAGAGGGAGAGACAGTGACCAGAACCTGGCAGCTGAGTGGGGTTGTTCATGAGCTCATGGGTACCACATGCAATACTTGAGAAAGAGGCCTTATGGACACTACATTTGCAGGTGGGCAGCAGATATAGGCAATTGTGTCTGTATTATAACGTTTGATGTACTTGTTTTCACAATTCTTCCCTATGGTCAGAGAAGTTTATTTAGGACTCAAAATACTCAAGGCTGTGCTATAAGTGGTAACAAATACATGGAAACAAATTATTTTTCCACTGCCCACACTCATATTTCTTCAAGGGAGATTCTGAACACAAAATTACAAAGTAGAAAATAGTTTCATCATTTTCCAAAATATGGAAAAATGTTCAAAAATACATTCATATAGTGTTGAATATAAATTGTAACTAATATGATAAGCACTTATAGGAATGCATAAATAAAATGCTTTCCCAAAGATAATGTTATCACTTTGAGTAATAGCCATTTGGTTGCTGCCTTTGCTTTTGACACAGTGATAGGAGCATGTTATGGTCTCTGCAGTTTGATAAATGACTTTCCCATCATATTTTCATTTTGTGGCTTTAGGTCAGACACCCTATTGTGACTTGGTTGGTGTGGAGGCTGGTGTTTCACTGTATTTTTAGAATATTTAGTCTATTTAGAAAGTTTACATAATTTTGGTTACAGTGACTAAAGTGACTAGGATTAAAATAAGACTGGCTTTTACAAAAACAAACTCTTATAGCATTAGAAGATGGCAGTTCAAGCCAGTGTGCTTTTCAAAGTCCTTCAGATTCCAGGATTCAGTGCTTGAGATTGCAAATAGGGGTGCCCAGGGAGAA
The DNA here is from genome assembly GCF_000001405.40 of Homo sapiens. Classification (NCBI taxonomy): domain Eukaryota; kingdom Metazoa; phylum Chordata; class Mammalia; order Primates; family Hominidae; genus Homo; species Homo sapiens. The sequence goes on along the minus strand of NC_000007.14, from coordinate 38,031,390 downwards.
GAGACAATGCTTTGTCTCTGTTGTTATAGGAATGCAATGTTCCTGAGAGGCAAAATGAAAAAAAAAAGTCTATTTGATCAGGGTTTTTGGTCTAGTGTAGAGATGGCAAGTGAGTTTCATTTGTTTAACCAACTCTGAAAAATTGATAGTGGCTTCCTGAAGTATTCTATGGAAAAGGACTGAGATAGAGATTTACTAGAAAAGATAGCTACCAATGGTTGAGCATTAGAAGACAGTCAGGCTATGTGTAACATATTTTGATATTTCTGTACTAATGGGAAGCCAGAGAGGTAAACTCAAATACTCCATTTCTAGCTGATCTTTTCTGGAGAGTTGATGCCATACTTCAAATCTATTGAATTATAAATTCCCTGTGGGCTGATTTTTCAAAATAAATTCTCATATTTATAATGTATAAAGATGTAAAATATACATTCACAGCTATTACCTGTATATGTGTGAATGTGTGCATAAGTTACATATATGTATGATGCATATATTGCTTGCTTTTTAAAAACAGTAAAATACTTTTAATTTTTTAAGAATTGTACTTGAAAAATCTAGTTGAGATGAAACCAACTTTTGCTTAACAGTTAAATTAAACGGTATGTTAAGAGTATTTTTTTAGATGAGATTTTAGTGAGAGTTGAAATCGCTGGAAATTATACAGAAGGGTTCCTAGATGAGCAATATGTATGAGTGGTGGTCTATATTCAGAGTCTAAAAACCAACAAGCACCTTTTCTGCCTCAATGGGTATATATCTAGGTAATATAAATTTTTAGACACTTCCAGTTGTATTACAAGTTGTTTCTAAAAGATTTATGTTCATGTTACAAAATATGTCTGCTCATGTCTTTTTTTATTATAGAAGTGAAAGTGTTAGTGTTTTCTTAGTCATTTATAAGATTTCCTTATATATGCTGGTTACCAATCCTTTGTAACTGAGAATTTCAAATATATTTTTCCAGTTTGTGGATTACTTGTTCATTCTGTTTATGGTGACTTTTGATGACAAGAAGTTCTTAATTTTAATATAGTCAAATTTCTTCATCTTCTTCTTTGTGGTTTATGCTTTGTTGAACCTTGTTTAGGAAATTCTTCCCTACTCTGATGTCATAAAGATATTCTCTTATATATGATAAATGAATTCTCAAGACACAGTTACTAAACAATCTATCCTTCCTTCAGTGATATCTGAGGCACACTGTTGTGAATTGAGTTTCCACATATGTTTAGGTATTTGTCCAGTTCTCTATTCTTTTCCATTACTTATTTATCAATTTTGGCAGCAGAATTATACAGTCCCATTTCCTACAGCTTTATAAGTCTTCATATCTGATATTGCAGGCCCACTTAATACCACCACCCATTTCCCAACATGGTTTGTCTTCAGAAGTTTCTTGGCTATTGCTGATTTTGTACTTTCATATAAATTTTAGGATCAGCTTGTCAACTTCCATGGTAAATGCTTGTCTTTGCTTAGGTTCCCTACAAAATGGACTCTGAGATGGGAAACCCCTCTGTGCAGGGGTTTATATTCATGCAATCAATACCAGAGGAGTGAGACAAATGGGAGAAGAGAGAAAAATTGAATTGTGGCACAGATGCATCAGAGGCCTCAGTGAATATCATGGGGAGCTCTGGAGCTGGGAAGATTCTTCAGAGAATACCCAAATCAGGTTAAAGGGGCCAAGTGTCTTAATCCCCATATCTATGAGTCATTGCATGTGGACTGCTTCTGCGGAGGAAATAATATTTGGCAAGGCATAAGGTGTAAGGAAGGGATCCAGTTTCAGCTTTCTACATATGGCTAGCCAGTTTTCCCAGCACCATTTATTAAAAATCAATTCAAGATGGATTAAAGACTTAAACGTTAGACCTAAAACCATCAAAACCCTAGAAGAAAACCTAGGCATTACCATTCAGGACATAGGCATGGGCAAGGACTTCATGTCCAAAACACCAAAAGCAATGGCAACAAAAGCCAAAATTGACAAATGGGATCTAATTAAACTAAAGAGCTTCTGCACAGCAAAAGAAACTACCATCAGAGTGAACAGGCAACCTACAACATGGGAGAAAATTTTCGCAACCTACTCATCTGACAAAGGGCTAATATCCAGAATCTACAATGAACTCAAACAAATTTACAAGAAAAAAACAAACAACCCCATCAAAAAGTGGGCAAAGGACATGAACAGACACTTCTCAAAAGAAGACATTTATGCAGCCAAAAAACACATGAAAAAATGCTCATCATCACTGGCCATCAGAGAAATGCAAATCAAAACCACTATGAGATATCATCTCACACCAGTTAGAATGGCAATCATTAAAAAGTCAGGAAACAACAGGTGCTGGAGAGGATGTGGAGAAATAGGAACACTTTTACGCTGTTGGTGGGACTGTAAACTAGTTCAACCATTGTGGAAGTCAGTGTGGCGATTCCTCAGGGATCTAGAACTAGAAATACCATTTGACCCAGCCATCCCATTACTGGGTATATACCCAAATGACTATAAATCATGCTGCTATAAAGACACATGCACACGTATGTTTATTGCGGCATTATTCACAATAGCAAAGACTTGGAACCAACCCAAATGTCCAACAATGATAGACTGGATTAAGAAAATGTGGCACATATACACCATGGAATACTATGCAGCCATAAAAAATGATGAGTTCATGTCCTTTGTAGGGACATGGATGAAATTGGAAATCATCATTCTCAGTAAACTATCGCAAGAACAAAAAACCAAACACCGCATATTCTCACTCATAGGTGGGAATTGAACAATGAGATCACATGGACACATGAAGGGGAATATCACACTCTGGGGACTGTGGTGGGGTGGGGGGAGGGGGGAGGGATAGCATTGGGAGATATACCTAAGGCTAGATGACGAGTTAGCGGGTGCAGCGCACCAGCATGGCACATGTATACATATGTAACTAACCTGCACAATGTGCACATGTACCCTAAAACTTAAAGTATAATAAAAAAAATATGTATTTGGCAAGGCAACTTCCTTCAGGCAAAGGCAGTTCTTACAGAAAGAGTCAACAATAAACTCTCAGCAGTCAACGCTGAAGGCAGCTTGGAGAAAGATGTCTTAGTCAGTACAGGCTGCTGTAACAAAAATACCATAGACCAAGTAGCTTAAGCAACAGACATTTATTTCTCACAGTTCTGGAGCCTGGGAAGTTCAGGGTCAAATTGTCAGCAGGTCTGGTGTCTGGTGAGAGCCTGCTTCCTGGTTGGCACTCATTGCTGTCGGTGAGTTCAGTTCTCCAGTAACAATTCCAAGCTTAGAGAGAAGAGTTTCTCAGTGATGCTGCTGTCTGGCTCATGAACAAACTATTTATTGTCTAACAGTTGGAATGTCCTCAAGGCCCGCCTGTGAAATCACGTGGCCTTATAGGTTTTTGAGGGTGTGTTTTTGTTTTTGTTTTGGCTTTATATAGTGTATCCACTTTCACATGCCCACATCTCTAAACTTTTTGATCCTTTCTTTTGCTGTTAGCATTCCAGCATCTCTACTTTACTTGGTGGGTGCTACTGAATTTTCCAGGCATCCAAGAACTAGCATAGCAGTGTATTAACATTATTTCCTGGGGTCCTTGCTCAGTGATTAAATCATGTAATGTACAAATGTGTTTCCAAATTTGAAAAAGTCTCCCTCATTCAAATTATGACTGACTGGCTTGACTCAGCACCTTCAGATGCACTGCGTATGTCTTCCACCACCTTTGCCTACACATGTTGACCAAGCCCTGCAGCTCCACAGTGCTCTCTAGAACATTTTTTGGTATGAGGTTGGTGCAAAAGTAATTGCGAGTTTTGCCTTTGCCATTACTTTTAATGGCAAAACAACAACTACTTTTGTGCCAGCCTAATCTTTTTGGGGGACTGTTCATTGAATCTGTAGTTTAATGTAGGGAAAATTGAGGTTTTATTCAGGAATAGTTTATTTCTTTCCATTTGTTTAGGTCTCCTTGATGATTTTTAATCAAAATTTCATAATTTGCTATGTTAGGGGTTTGTATGCCTTTTAATAGAATTATTCCTAGTTATTTTTGTATCTTTATTTGCCACTGAAAATATCTTTCTTTTTTATTTTTATTTATTTATTTTTTTGAAACGGAGTCTTGCTCTGTCACTCAGGCTGGAGTGCAGTGGCATGATCTTGGCTCACTGAAACCTCTGCCTCCCGGGTTCAAGCAATTCTCCTGTCTCAGCCTCCCAAGTAGCTGGGACTACAGGTGCAAGTCACCATGCCCAGCTAAGTTTTGCATTTGTAGTAGAGATGGAGTTTCAGCATATTAGTCAGGCTGGTCTCGAACTCCTGACCTCAGGTGATCCACCCACTTTGGCCTCCCAAAGTGCTGGGATTAAAGATGTGAACCATGGCACCCTGGAAAATATCTCTTTTTAAACTGTTTATAACTGCTTGTTCCTAATGCAGAAATACAACCAACTTTTCTATATTTTCATTATCAAGAAACTTTTCAAACTTTTTTATTAAATTTCTTAGTTTTTCTGTAGCTTCTTTTAAATTTTCTACTTATATATAAAATTATATCACCTGCAAAAAATGAGAGTTTTGATTCTTCTTTTTTTTCTTATTGCTTTTATTTTTTTCTTATTTGATTGAACTATAGATTCTATAGTCAACGGTTGAAGAGAAGTGATGGTAACAGGTATCCTTATCTTTCTCCTAATCTTAAAGGAAATGCCTTCAACATTACAGTTAGGATTGGTGTTTGTTCTAATTTTTTTATTTATTTGTTTTTACTTGCCTTTTATAAAATTAGTGGTTTCCTTCTATTCCTAATATGCTAAAACATTTTTTAAAAATTATCTATATATATATATATTGAACTTTTAAAAATGCCTTTTCAGCATCTATTAAGATAATCATCTACCTTTCTCTCTTTAATAATGTAACACATGCCATTAATTGATTTTCTATTATCAAACTAACATTGCATACCTGGGATAAATTCACCTTACTCATGATGTACTAACTTTTTATGTATTGTTACATACAGATTGTTAATATTTTATTTAATTACTAATATTTTACATTTTTGTTTGAAAGTGTGGTTGTTGTATCCTTTTTCTTTATGTGACAGTTGTAGTCAGGTTTGGGCCTAAAAATGCTGAACTCATAAAATGAGATAGATGTGTTCCTTCTTTCTCTATTTTCTGTAAGAGCTTTATAAAAAAACTAAAATTATTATTTTTTCCTTGAAATTGTGGTAGAACTACTCTATAAAGTTGTCTGGGTTTGATGTTTTCTTTGTGGGAAATTTTTATTGACTTTGAGTCATCTTTGCTCAAGGATAATATGTATTTCTTGCTATTTTCTGAGACATTAAGGGACCGGCAGGTGAATCATAGTACTATTACTTTACCAAATTATACCAGCATCATTATCTATGAGAAAGAATATACTTACTGAAGTTCTATGAACAGTAGCTGGAAAGTACTGAATATTTTTGTTTCTATGGCAGAATTCCTGGCATCTCATTAGATACTACTTTGCAACTTACAGTCAAGTAACAAAAAATAAATTGTTAATGTTATCTGTATATTTTGTATATTTGCATTTGCAAAGTAGTGACGTTAGGACAGAAGATAAATTTCCTGAGTAGCAAAATTGTATTGGCATTATTACTGATTCAGACTGATTTTCAGATTTTTAAATCATTTTTATTTGTGCACGGCTTTACTTTCTTTTCACCATTCTCTGGATATGATAGCTAAAACTGGACTCTACTCCCTGGATGTGGGTAGACTATGTAAGGTCTACTGTCTCCTCACTATATTTAGGTACATATCTGTCATTATGATTTTCCAGTCTGACATGTAAAGAGCTTGGAAGTCATCACTCATCTTCTCACAAAAAGACAAAAACTGAACAAACTGAAAATCAACAACTCTTCTTAGAGGCATCAGATAATTGAGAGCAGACCGCTGCTGCAAACACTGGAGAGAGAGTCAGATACTAAGAATCATAGTTTACAGGAGCTGAAGCTGAGGAGCAGAAGCCAGAGGCTGGAGCCGGTGCTGGTAAGAACATTTAAACTATAATTGACAAATTGCTATAGGCTCAATGTGGATAAACTTGAGAGTTACAAACTCTGGGGGCCCAGCTCTGGGAGGGCCCACATGTTTTTTGTTTTACCTCCAAGAGCACCACCATGTTCTTTTGGTGAAGATTGGAGAAAAAAATCCCAGTCTTTCTGGCAGGGAGAGTAACCATTTTTAAATACACCCAAAGCTCTCTGTTCTCCTTAATAAAAGCCTGCCCTCAAAGGAGATTGTTTTGCCAGAGCCTAATCTACGGAAAGGGAAATACCCAACTCCAGCCCCCTTTAGCCTTCCCTTCTCACCTAAGGGATGAGGAAAAGCTGAGAAGCACTTGTGAAAGTCACAGTGCAGGGCACAGCCTCACTATAAAACTAAGACTTCATTATAAAATTACAGAATGGTTCTCTTCTTCCATGCTTTACCACCACATCAGTAGGTCTCCTGTATAATAATGATGGATTATGAGAAGAACTGCAGGGCTCAGAAGATATTTATGGAGTCTCTAGGGAAACACAAAGACAAGTGAAACAAAAACCAAGACACTGAAAAATAATTCCAGCCTCAGACACCTACAGCTACAGCAAACATTAAACATGACCTAGCTCTTAGACAGATAAAACTGTAATTCTAATATTGCATTGAACGTGTGTGGTCACTCCCATTTTGACTTAAAGAGGCAGTTTTTGACACTGTTGTTGGAGTTTGTTTTTGTTGTTGTTTCTTTTTTATCAGTGGTGCTAGTAAGTCACATCCTACATTTTATACATTTCATCTTACTTTTGGCTCTGCTTATTGGATATTTATGCTTGTTAATGATCAGTCACATTTTAAGGTTTCTTGGCTCTACCTTGACATTGTCTATTCCATGGACATCTGTCATTGTCCATTCCAGTTTTACATTGTCTGAATTAGATGAACATATTAACTTTATTAGGCTTTTAGATCTGTTAAGTTCTAGGAGCTCCTCTCTAAGCTGAATCAAGCCGATTAACAGCCCTCCTGCTTACTCATCTCCAGTTATCTTTGGTCATGATGGTAAGAATTTCCATAAGAGAGACTTTCTCAAGCTTCCTTGTTAAAAAGCTTGCTGAAGTTCAGATATATTGGGACAGTGTAAGTAGAATATACAATTAGCAAATTCCAATACAGAAAGCGATATGAGTTTAGTGTGACAAATACAAACTGATTTCAACATTTGGCAACTTCAAGTTCTCCCTAATCGGGTTGTTGTTTTCATTTTCAACGATAAGTAAGAATAAAGCCATACTGGGTCTTTGTGATAGATGAGAAAATTATAAAGAATTTTAGAAGACAGGATTCTAAGAAAAATATATGTCTAAAAATATCGGTAAAATAACACATATAGGCTTTGGAAGAATTATGTCTATTTTTATCAGGAGAGAATCAACATATATGTAGCTTACAGATGCTCCAGGGTCTGGGTTCTGAGAGGGGCTACCATGATTGTTAGTATAACAGCTTTGCTGCATCCAGCTGCCATTTAGACTTTCAGAAATGGACTTAGCCCCTGTTAATTTTCCATATCTGTGAAATGTGGATAGTAATAGTTCCTACCTCAAGGATTGCTGTGATGATGACTACTGGAATATAGCAAGTGAACAGTAGATGTTACTTCTACCAGTTTTCACAGAAACAGGGATGTCATGGTATGGACCATATTTCTGGAAGATAAGTAAAAATTGGTGCGGATGACAGGCAAGTAGCATGGTTAAAGAAGAATAGTAAGAATACTAGCATTAGCATAAGAATACTCATACTAATACCAAAAGGTATCAGGATCTAATTGCAGCTGGACAACAAACTTCAACAACTTGGGCTAAATTGTCTTGATTATATATCTTTCCAAGAGCACGCAACTGAATGGAGATGAGACTTGGCATGGTAGGGTGGGCAGTGGTGAGGGTCCATAACAGGAAATTCCAAGGAAACTTCCCAGGAGGAAATGAAAAGTTGTTTCATTCTTCCCATTTTATTACACAGCATTGCATTTCAGGACACCTCAAAATTCTATTGTGAAAAGAAATGACAACTTTCTCTAGAGACAACCCAAAGTAGATTAAAAACCCATCTCCACTAAAAATACAAAAAAATTAGGTGGGTGTGGTGGTGCGCGCCTGCAGTCCCAGTCCAAGGGGGCTGAGGCAGGAGAATTGCTTGAACCTAGGTGGGGGGAGGTTGCAGTGAGCTAAGATCATGCCACTGCACTCCAGCCTGGGCAACAGAGCAAGACCTATCTCAAAATTATAAAACAAAAACAAAACAAAACAAAACAACAAACCAAAAAAACAAGTGGAAACACACACACACATGCACACACACACACACACACACACACACAAACCAAAAAAAAAGAATGGCATCTCTCTAGGAAGAAAAGTTAACTATAAACCACCTAATAAGAAAAGTTGTCCAGTCAGTGGCCTTAGCTATCCAAGACTCTAGGTCATCACTCAGCCAGGGCCCTTGGAGTAAACAAGTAAACATGAGGTGATAGGCCCATGGGCCTATCTAATTTGTTTTAGGATCAAGAACCCAATAATGCTGCCACTTGCAGCTAAATTGCCTTAGTTATTTTGTTATAACCTGCATATCACCCTTTAGTGGATGTCTTAGCTAAACATGGATGCTGACACAAAGGCTAAGAGGGAGCTTATGGGGACCCCGAAATTTTTGGAAGCATGATGCTAATGTGATGTTTTTTTAAAATCTTTCAAAAAAAGCTTATGTAAGATCCTCTGTAGTACTAAGAGTTATATGATATTTTGAAAAATATGCAATTTCCCATTTTTCCTTGCTTTTTATTATTCATGAACTTTTCCCAATCCACCTATTATCTATGAGAATATTAAGTACAAGAAAACAGTGCTCAGCTTTGACTTCAAAAGCAAACTCCCCAAAACTGCCTAAAAGAGCATACAGTTTAATAAGTGATGGGTGGAATGCCTCAGTTGGGAGATAAAGGATGTGAGTGTTTGCCTGGAGGCCTGTGAGGAATCTTCTGGACTTAGAAGAGAAGAACAGAATTAGTATTCAGAGTCTGCACAGCCTTTGCTCTGTCAGCTCTATGCAGCACTAAGGAACCTTTTGTGAGCCAAGCCAATGATGCCCATGGGCCATCAATGCCCTCCAGGTGAGCTCCCACTGCAGGTGTCTGCATTGCCCATTGATTGTGCAAGAGGAGAGTTCCCTGCTGCGCTGACGGTCAACTTGTCTAAATTACCTCAGTAAGCAACCAACCCGTATGCCCAGGATACTTCCAAGCCCCCCAAATAGAGAATGGTTTTAAGATACTCAAGGAAGCAGTGGAAATATGGAAAGTTTTGGGTGGTATTGTTTAGATCCATCTCAAAAACCCTTCACCTGCCCCACCACCAGCCCCCAGAAGAGGGAAGCCTTTGGCCCTGATGAAGGAATCATAATACAACCATGAAAGAGCACAGACTTTCTTTTATCCTGCTAGTGTCTGTTTTCCAACCATTCTGCTGTGAATTTACTCTAAAAAAAATAGCTACTGGAATTGGAGTGGACATGAGTGGCAGAATATTTAATATCAGAGAGGACATATAACTTGGTAGAAGCACATTATTTAATATTTAAAAGTACACATCTTGAAGCCAGGATCGTCGTATTCTTAGGTTTCCGGCTTTGAGTGAACTACTCATATGAGCCTGTGTTTTCTCATTTGTGAAAGGAAAATAATGCTGTCCTCAGCCTTATAAGACCTAAATGGGATGTTACACCCACACACCCATACATAGAGCCACACAGTAGACCTGGTCACATCATGCTCATCTGTTGTCAACACGCTCATCTGAATTTGTTGAGCACATATTATCTTCAGCTGCTGTGAATTGCCTGTAATGGAGATAAAATTCTAAGATACCAGCAAGCACAGGGATGCCTTAGTGTTCCTGGATCCCCAGTATTCACATGCCTGAGGTGTGCTTTCCCTCGCAGGAGGAGTGCACTAAGGAGAAGGTGCTAATGGACTACTGATTTCTTATCCATTCTGTGCTATTTTAAGAGTGTGCACAAAATATTCTATGGCCCTGGATATCTATTTGGAACTCCAGCCAATAACTCTATCACCTTGGTCTCAAGTTTTGAGTGAGTTGGGAAATGAGAGATTTTGTACAAAATATTTTATTTTATGAAGATCTGCTTTTGAATATGTTATTCTATGTGTAATAGGTACATAGTATATCAGAAGGTAGAAATGACAAATACCCTGTTTTGTCTTTGAGAATCTTACAATGCAGTGGGAGAAACTTATTTGGTACTTTCCAAACATGCAAAATAACCATAAGGCAAGGAGATTTAGATTTTTTTTTCAGTGTTCAGTTCTTCTGGACACACATCCTAAATCAAAACTGTCATTTTTAAAAAGACACAACTTACAAATGTCCTTTCCTGAGTACGTTTTCAATGAGATTGCAATAAAAGGTTAAAAAAAATGTATAAAGAAGAGTAGACTATTCAGGGCAGAAGAAACAGATCTCAGGCCTCTACCTATAACTCATTCATCACATGGTTGGTCAAAACCACAGCTTTGAGGGAAGAGGCAAAGAGGAAGAACACTCTAATTTTACCAGAGCTAAAATCATAAAAGTGTCTTCCTCTGAGGGAAAAGAGAGAGGATAGGGAAGAGAGAGAGAGAGAGAGAGAGAGAAAGGAAGGAAGGAAGGAAGGGGGAAAGGCTGGCATTATTTTACTTGCTAATTTGTAAGTGCAATTAAGGTTAAAGTCATACTTCCCTTCACAAGAAAACATGACCCAAAGCTGAATGAGCAAAGAAAGCTTTGTTTGTAAAGAACTTTTCAAGACGCTGTTTTTCTCCTGGAAAATGTGGTTTATCTAATTGATGGCTGAGGAAAACCATCTTTTTAAACTTCCCACTCAGTGAGTCACTCTGGGGTGTGTCTGCCTTGTAGCATCCTGTGAGATCCAGTAATCTAAATTGGCATGACCCAGGCAGCCCCAACCTCATGCGTCAAGCCGAGCTACCAGCGCTGGGAAACCAGAGAGAGCCCGGTTTTCTAAACAGAGTGGTTAACAAAATTGCATGTTATGAAATGGGGTTTCATCCTTTAAAGGATCATTACCTATTTTTAAAAAGAACCTGTCGAATAATTCCTATCACCCCCAGATGTCTACAGTTGCCAGGTCATTACCCCAATGGAAGGGCAAGTATTATTTCCTTAGGGTTTCTTCATGTTTACCTTGAAGATAATTTCTATGCTGCCAACAGTTGCATTGAATGGAGGTGAAATGGAGAATTTGGACATGTTCTTCAAACTTAACTTGAGACGCCGACAAAGCATTATGAATTCTGAACCAGACAGCCAATGGGACATCAAAATCTGGGGAAATAAATGCAAAACTAGTCTGAAAGTCTTAGCCATTAGTACAGAGTCTTGTCCGGTACAGCAACTCAACCATTTTTGACAGCTAAAAATTTTTAATCACCAGAGTGTTGTAGCTGATGTGTATGAAAGTGCAATGTGCATGGTGGACCTTAGGAAAGAACAAAATAAGGGGATTAAGTTTTCCGAAAGAAGAGATGTATGTGCACAGATGGCTTAGGGGAGTTATTGGTGGAGGGTGTCCAGGTTCTTGGCTTTTTGAAGAAAGAATTGGACAAAACACACAAACAAAGCAAGGAAATAATAAAGCAACAAAAGCAGAGATTTGTTGAAAATGAAACCACACTCCACAGGGTGGTAGCAGGCCAGAACAACCAGCTCAAGGACCCAGTTAAAGAATTTTCTGGTGTTTAAATACCCTCTAGAGGATTCCTATTGGTTACTTGATGTACACCATAGGTAAATGAAGAGGATAAAGTAAGGTTACAAATTTATTTACTTGGTGTACACCCTATGCAAATGAAGAGAATGAAGTGAGGTTACAATGTTATGTACTTGGTGTACACCCTATGCAATGAAGAGGATGTTTCCTGCCATAGCTGAAGTAGAGTTACAAAGTTATTTACCTGGGCTTAGAAAGTTTAATTTAATTCCATTTAAATTAGTTCCAGGAAGTCATTAGGTTCCCTGCCTCCAGACCCTGTTTCCTGCTTCAGGGGTTTCTGGAGGAGAACAGAGAAGATAAGGGGTTAGAAATAATGTCAAGCCATCCTTTCTGAAAAAAATAGTCTACCTTCTTCATTATCTTTATTATCTGGGTATCATATGAGAATGTGGAAAGATAGTACTTTGGATTCTTTGAAATTTATTTAGCCAAACTTCCAGGGTTAATTATTTGGAATAAGATGTAGAGGCTGCAAAGTGAGCCAACAAAATTTAAGTGTTACCTTGGACTGGAAAGCCTTTACTCCAATCCTCAGGGATTAATGAATGAGGTAAGGAACGGTCTTGGAGAGAATAAATTGAACACCAGATAAGTTATACAAGATAAGTTATACCAGATAGTTTAAGTTTTAATCGAGGTGCTTAAGTCTGTATGGGATGTTCTTTTGGGGAGATGGCAATGTATAAGGGCTGTCTTTAACTTCTCTCACCTCTCCCACATGATTAGCACTAAGAAGAAAATGTAGTAGACATTGGGTAACAAAGTTAGAGAAGGAAATGAGTTGAAAAAATAGCGTTGCTATGTTAGATAAAAGAGGTGTGACAAGAAAAGTTCTCAATGTTGGAATGAGATAAATAATATGATCACAACCTGAGAACTCTAGGAACCTTATTATAACATGCAAATGATGAGCCTCTATCCACTTCAGGCAGCATTTTCAGCACATTTGGGTGTTTAAAGCAATCACCACATTAGAGACCTAGAAGGATTCTCCAGAGATTTAGGCTTGAGAAAACATATGTTTTTTGGTTTTTTGGTGTTTTCCTGACTTCTCATTAGCAACAGTGTAATTTTCACTGCTCTTCCATCCAATAAACATCACAATTATATCCCCAGATCACAATGATCAGCTCTGGGGACCGATGTGGAAACTCATGGTCACCATGAGAGACTGTGAAGTCATAGTTGGCTGCTGGAAATGAAGACAGAGGACTGGCAAAGTACTCTATTGTGACTACAGATAGAAGTCCTTTAGGATTGTGAATGTCTAATGAGTCCTTTATACTGGCTTTTGAACCTCCTCCTTAATATTTCCAAAAAGCATTACTTCAGATTATCTGTTTTTCTCTGAAAGCATGACATACATACTACTGGTAGTAGGCAAGATGGTTTTATGTGGTACATGATCACATTAAAAATAAGATAATGATGAGTTTAGATAGAGAATTCAGATAGGGAGATAGTAGGTGAATAACAATACCAATGGTACTATGGATATGACAAGAATCACACAATTTTTGTGTGAATGGCTGAAATCTGTCCTGTTCTATACTTTTTGTTAGGTGTGTCTCATAGTTGTATAGATGGCAATTTCTAGACTCAAAATTATGAACTCCTAAGCAACTGGAAAATGAGCAAAGCTGGAAATTTGAACTTGATCATACAAGCCTTCCCTGCAGACTGACAGAATTAAATTTCTTATGGAGAACCACAAGTCCTTAATAATTAATCACATATCATGAGCTTCTTATTAGACAGGGAGAGTGGGTTGGGGGAATGTCTACTTTTGTAAACTGAGCTGGACAAACTTCATAAATCGGTGAGGGTAGATTTTATTCAGTTTCAAGTTTAATTTTATTATCCCTGGATTATTGTTGATTTTGTTTAAAAGTGTGTTGTACTAGCAGAATTGCATTTGCACATGTGTTTCCAACCCACTTGGATATGACCACATGTGTTTCAATGGAATCATTCAGATACAAGAGTAAAGTTAATCAATCAGCAAACACAGATCAAAGTCCATCTTGCCCATTTCCCAAAAATGAGAAATGTTTTCAGCAATTTCAAGCCTGATGAAATGAAATTGGATGGGGGAAAAGGAGACAAAGATAGAATAATTTATTCTACCAACATATGCCATGAGAGAAAAAATATAATTTCTATCAAGTAGTTAGGGAGTTACCAAGTTGTCCACTGACTTAGACACAAGCACTTTCCTCACTAGAACTGCCCTACCACTCTCTCTCATCCCAATCCAGTTAGAACTTGTTTAGTGAGAAGGTACCTCCCTGAAAATTGTTGATGTATTGATGATGACTGTGGTGTGGCTGGTGCAAGTTCACTGATCTCAGATAGTCCCTATAAGTAGGTTTTAAGTAGGGATGAGAGACAGGAAGAGCTGAGTAGCTGAAGCATTAGAAAACAGAGCACAACTTTCCTCATGTCAGCCACCAGATCTCATCATGATGGTCTTGGATTATATTGTGATGTTTCTCAGACTGTAGAGAAGCGAAAAATTACATTGCTGCTATTGAGTAGTCAGAAAAAACACTGAAGAATCAAGGAAACTTAGTTTTCTCAGATTCAAATCTCTGGAGGTTTCTCCATTCTAGGTGAGGATCATCCTAACCATGCTAAAAGATAGAATGATGAAACACACAGAGAGTATCAGAGCGAGGTTGTGAAACAGAAAGATATATAGACTCTTAGCTGTGTCTGAAAGACTGTCAGATAGTAGGGGTTGAGCTACAAGGTTTGAAAAACCTGTTGCTCAGTTGTAGACATGAAGAGGAGATTCACGTTGACTTTGGTTTACCTTTCACATGTAAAAAGCTTGGAAGTCACCACTCCCATCCTAAAAACAAGAAATAAATCTGAGAAGACTTAAAAAATCAATGACATTTATTAGAATCACCAGAGACTTGAGCTCACAAGACAGACCACCACCTCGAAATCTGAAGAGACAGATGAATACAAGTAACTGCAGCTGAAACTTTTGTACCAGAAACGAAAGCTCTTGAAGATGTATACTGATAAGATGGTTAAATGTGAATTTTAATAAATTCTTTGAGGTTGAGTGTAGATTAGCTTGAGAGTAAAAATCCTGCTAGGCCAGTCTTAGTTTTCCCCACACTTTGATGAGTTTTAACTTCAGGATCCCCAGTGGTTTCTCACAATGAAACCTGGAGAAGAAGAAACATCAGGTGATCATACTAATTGTTTCACAAAAAGCATTTGACAAAAATCCAATACCCGTTCATGGTTTAAAAAAATAAAAACCTCTCATCAAACTAAGAACAGAGGGAAACTTTCTTAACCTGTTAAAGAACATCTATGAAAAACCTACAGCTAACATCATACCTAATGGAGAGAAAAACAGATGTTTTCCTCCCAGTTGGAAAGAAAGCAAAGATATTCTCCCTTACCACTTCTAGTCAATATTGTACTGCAAGTCCTAGGTAGTGTGACAAGATTTGTAAAAAGAAAACAAAAGATATAAATATTAAGAAGGAAGAAGCAAAACTGTCTTTCCACAGATAATAAAGTTAAAAAATAAATAAAGTAAAAATAAATGAAACTGTAAAAATAAAATAGAAAATTAAAAAGTAACAAAAAAAGTAGAAAATGAAACAAAAAATAGAAAAAAAAATCTTGGAACTAATAGCAGATTATGGCAAGGTTGCAGGATACAAATTAATAGATAACAGTCCATTGTTTTCCTATATACCACCAATGGAAATGTTGGAATTTTCAAAGAAAAACACAATACCATTTATAATAGCATGAAAATAAAACACTTACATAGACATTTAAGAAAATATGTACAGAATATCTATGCAGAAAACTGTAACACTGTAATTAAAGAAATCAAAGAAGATCTAAATATATAAAAAGATATTCCATGTTCATGGATTGGAAGACTCAACTTTTTTTTTCCTCTGAGATGGAGTCTCACTCTGTTGCCAGGATTGAGTACTGTGGTGTGATTTCGGCTCACTGCAACCTCCAACTCCCTGGTTCAAGCGATTCTCCCACCTCAGCCTCCCAAGTAGCTGAGATCACAGCCATGTGCCACCATGCCCAGCTAATCTTTTTATTTTTAGTAGAGAAGGGGTTTCACCATGTAGGCCAGGATGGTCTTGATCTCCTGACCTCGTGATCTGCCCACCTCGGCCTCCCAAAGTGCTGGGATTACAGGCGTAAGCCACCACGCCCGGCTGGAAGACTCAATATTTTTAAGGTGTCCATTCTTCTCAACTTAGTCTAGATATTCAATGCAATTATAATCAATATTCCAGCAAGCTATTTTGTGGATATTGAAAATCTAATTCTAAAGTTTATATCGAACAGCAAAATACATGGAGTAGTCAATGCAATACTGAAAAAGAACAAAGTCAGAGGACTGACAGTGCCCAATTTCAAGACTTAATGTAAAGCTAAATTAAGACAGCATTGTAATGATGAAAGAACAGACATTAGATTAATGGTACAGCATAAAGAGCGCAGAAATAGACCCATACTGATATAGTCAACTGATTTTTGACAAGAGCAAAGGCAATTCAATAGAGAAAGGATAGTCTTTTCAACAAAAGATACTGAAATAATTCAACATCCATATGCAAAAATAAATAAATCTAGACAGGAATTACACCTTTCACAAAAAAAATAACTAAAAATGAATCCTTGATCTAAATATAAATCATAATACTATATAACTTCTAGAAGAAAACATAGGAGAAAATCGAGGAGACCTTGGGTTTGGTGAGTTTTTAAATGTAACACAAAACCACCATCCATGGGAAAAAAATAGTTGTCTTTATTAAAATTTAAGTGTTTTGCTCTGTGAGAGGCAATGTTAAGACCATCAAAAGACAAGGCATGAAGTAGAAGGAAATATATACAAAACCCTTATCTGATAAATAATTTGTTTGTAAAACATATAAACAACTCTTGAAACTCAACAAAGAAAATAAGCAACCTAATTAAGAAATAGGCAAAAAATCTGAACAGAAACCTTACCAAAGAAGACATTTAGAGGCAGACAAACGTGTGAAAAGATGCTCAACATTATACGTCATTAGAAAATTGCAAATTAAACAATAATGAAATACCACTACACACCCATTAGAATGGCTAAAATAAAAACAAAAAACTGGCACTACCAGCTACTGGCAAAGATGGAGAGCAAAAGGAACTCTCATTCATTGCTATTAGAAATGTAAAATAACATTGAAACCTCAGAAGACAGTTTAGCAGTTTCTGACAATGCTAAAGACAATGTTACAATCCAGTCCCACAATTACGCTCCTAGGTAATTAAACAATTGAGTTAAAAACTTTTGTCTGTACAAAACCCTGCATGCTTATGTTTATAGCAGCCTTATTCATAATCACCAAAAACTTCAACAGGTGAATGAATAAACAAACTATGGCATATCCATACAATGAAATACTATTCAGAAGTTAAAAAGTAAGCTATCAAGCCACACACACACACACACACACACAAAATATATATATGTATAAACCTTAAATGTAGCCAGGCATGGTGGTGCGCACCTATAATCCCAGCTCCTGTGGAGGTTGAGGCACGAGAATGGCTTAAACTTGGGAGGTAGAAGTTGCAGTGAGCCTAATTGCACCACTGCACTTCAGCCTGGGCGATAGAGTGAGACCCTGTCTCAAAACAACAACAACAACAACCAAAAGAAACAACAAGAACAACAACAGCAACAACAAAACCCCAAACAACAACAATAAAAAATCTTAAATGCATACTGCTAAGTGAAAGAAGCCAGTCCTAAAAGATTGCATACTCTGGGGGTTCCTCCCCAGCCTGTGCACCTCCCATCTCTGAAAAAGAAGCCCCAGAGCCCCACCTTTTCCCCACCCCTCCAGGGCTTGTCTGTGGACGGTGACAGGGTTTGAGGAGTGGTGGGGACCGCTGAGGCAGGTGTCAGAGGGCAGTCTGGTGGTTCTTATTCTAGGAATGAGTCGGGGCTGGATGGCAGTGGCTGCACCTGTGGCCAGTCAGCTGCTGCTGTCCATACCACAGCCCTCTCCCTCATGATGGGAAGGGAATGGTCAGGCTGGCTGCTGCCATTTTGTCCCTAAAAAAAAGAAAAGAAGGAAAAATGAAAAGGCTGTGTATATTGTATGATCCAATTACAGGGCATTCTGGAAAAGGCAAAACTATAGAGGCAGTAAAATGACCAGTAGTTGCCAGAGGTTCCAGGATAGGATGAAGCACAGATGATTTGGGGGAATTTTATGTATGATATTACAATGGTGGACATAAAACCTTATATATTTTTCAAAATCCATAGAACTTTATAACCCAAAGAGTGAACACTAATATCTGCAATATTTTAAAAACAATTTAGGACCTTGGGGATCTCAGAAAGGAATACAGACTGTGACGAGAGCATCTAACTGTAATGCAAATGATGAAACAACTTCCCTGCAGGGGACGGAGGGAAGACGTGCTGACCTAAACGAGTAGAAATAAGTGGAATCTAAGGCTAAAGGCAAAAGAAACTGCACATAAAAGTTATATAAGTGGTAGCTAAACAATAAGAACACATGGACACATAGAGGGGAACAACAGACACCGGGGCCTGCTTAAGGGTGAAGAGTGGGAAGAGGGAGAGAATCAGAAAAATTACGTATCAGTTACTACGCTTATTACCTGAGTGATGAAACAATCTGTATGCCCAGCCCCAATGACACACAGTTTGCCTGTATAACAAACCTGCTTATATACTCCTGAACCTAAAAGATTTTTTTTTTTAAATGAAGAAGTAAAAAGGCTCTACAAGACAGTTAATCACTTCACTTGTAGGAAAAGTCACAGTATTCAATATTTTATGGCAACTGAGAAGAATGCAGGATAGGTATTTTTGTGCTCACTAGAGAAATAGAAATCTTTTGAAATGTTCACACATCGTTTTTTTGCATTCTATTTGATAGATTAAATTCATATATAATTTTTTAAAAATGTTTTCAAGGTTGAGGGGACAGAGTTGACCACAACCCAATGTTAGACAGCTAATATCCTGGGCTTTCCCATTGTTCACATTTTGGAAATTCCTGTTGCCTAGTTACTGTTTTTCATTCCCTGTATCTTTCTTGGTCTTTGTTCATTCACCAGTCTTAGTGCATTTTATTGTCCAGTCACTTTCTAATAAAAACTGCATAAAAGGCAAATGTTCCAAAATATGCATGTCTCTAAATATTATTACTCTACACTCACCCTTGTTTGGTCCAATGGCTGTGTATAGAATTCAAAGTTGGAGACGATTAGTTGTTAAAATTTTGCAAACATTCATTCCTTGTTTTCTTATTTCCAAACTTGCTGTAAAGGAGTTCAAAGCCTATTTCCTTTGTATTTGACCTCTTTTATCTCACTAGAAGATTTAGGGATATATTTAATCCATTACTGGTTGTGGAGTCATATTTTAATTATCATAACAGACAGTTGGTGAGCCTTTTAACCTGCAAAGTCATGTCATTCAATTATGGGAAAATGTATAATTGCTTTGATAATTTGATCTCCATGTCTCTTTTGTCCATTTTTTCTTCTGTAACTCTCATTTTTCAGATGTTGGACTTCATGGGTTGCTCTCATAATCTTAAGTTTCTTCTATTTTCATTCATTTTTTTTTTAATTGTGCATGCTGAGATGTTTTCTCAGCTTCATCTTCCAATCTTCTACGTATAGAAAAGAATGCACAAATATATATATAGCCAACTAGTATGCATAAATTAATGTATATGAGTGTATGTATATATGTAAAATTTTCTTCCTCGCTGTATTCACTTTCTCTCCCTTAATCTGTTTCTCCCTTTCTCTGTTTTCTCTTCTTTCTCTTCCTCTTTCTTCACTCTCTTTGATTTATCCTTCTTCTTTTGGTTTTTCTTACTCTAATTCCATGACTCTTTCTCTTTTAAATTTTTAAAAAATTGACAAATCACAGCTGTATACATTCATGTAATATGTGTACAAGGTGGAATGATAAAATGAAGTTAACATATTCATCATCTCACTTAACTCTTTGTGTTGAGATGTTTGAAATTCAGCATCTTGTTTATTTTGAAATATGCCATCTTACTTATTTGGAGATGAATAATACATTGTTATTGACTACAGTCACCCAGCTGTGCAATAGATTTAAAAATTTATTTCTCCTGTCTGACTAAAACTTTGTAAGCTTTGACCAACAACTCATTTTTCTCCCTTTTTTTCTCCCCAAGCCTCTGGTAGTCATTATTCTACTCTCTACTTCTATGAGTTATTTAGATTTCCCCATATAGTGTAATTGTGCAATATTTGTCTTCTTGTGCCTGCTTATTTCACTTAACATAAGTGAATATGTCTTCCAGGTTGATCCATATTGTTGCAAATGGCAGGAGTTCTTTCTTTTTGCAGGCCAAATAATATTTCATTGTGTGTATATACCTCATTTTCTTTATCCATCTGTCGTTTGGTGGACACTTGGGTTGCTTCCACTTCTTGGCTATTGTAGATAATTCTGTATTTTCTACAAAAATGACAAGAACACACAATAGGGAAAGGACAATTTTAAAAACTAAGTTGTGCTGGGGAAATTGGATATCCACATGTAGAGGAATAAAATTAGATCCTGATCTCACATCGTAGAAAAAAATTAACTCGAAATGGATTAGATATTTAAACATAATACCTGAAATTAAAGAACTGCTAGAAGAAAACATAGGAGGAAAACTCCATGACATTGGTCTAGGCAAGGATTTTTTGGAGATGACCCTGAAAGCACAGGCAGCAAAAGCAAAAATAGACAAATGAGATTGCATCAAACTTAGAAGGCTCTTACAGAAAAAAAAAAAAAAACGATTAACAGAGAAAATATTTTCAAACCATACATTTGATGAGGGACTAATATCCAAAATATATAAAGAACACAAACAACACAATAGCAAGAAAACAAATAATCCAATTTAAAAATGGGCAAAGGACCTGAACAGACGTTTCTAAAAGAAAGACATAAAAATGACCGGTGAGTTCATAAAAAAATGTTCAGCATCACTAATCTTTAGAGAAATGCAAATTAAACCCACATGAGATATCCCCTCACACCTGTTAGAATGGCTTTTATAATAAAGATGAAAGATAACCGTTGGTGAGGATGTGAGTAAAGGAAATCCTTGTACACAGTTGGTAGGAATGTAAACTGGTACAACCACCATGGAAAATGGTACCGAGTTTCCTCAGAAAAACTGAACATAGAACTTCCATAGGAGCCAGCAGTTTCACTTCTGGGTGTATATCCACAGGAATTGAAATCAATATGTCTAAGGTATATCTGCACTCCATGCCTCTCTCTTTTAATACTTTATTTCAATCTCTCTCTTTGCTTTCTACCTGGTTTGACCTATGTTTTTGCCCTTATTCATTTTTCTCTTTTTGTTTTTTTCCACTATTTTCTCCTTTTGTTTCCCTCTCTCTTTTTCTCTCACCACTGGTTCCCTTCCTCTTCTTGTCTCTAATTTCCTGAATCCATGAAACATCTCCCCCACATCTGTTTCTGTCTTTATTTCTCCACTTTACTTGATATCCTCCCTCTCTCCTCTTAGCTTTACTCTCATTACCACTCTCCATGCTGTCCCTTCTCTCTCTCCATCTGCCCCTTCACTCTCTCTACACCCCTCTGTTTTCTCCCTTTCTCTCTTCCTTGTTTCACCACATCTCCCTGATTCTCATTTCCATAATTCTCCCTCTCCCATCTCTATTTTCAATCCACTATCCTTATTCACATTTTCTATATTGCTCTTGGTATTACATTTTTATTTCCAAAACCTCTTATGCATCTTCTGATTTTCTCTTAAATACATAAAGCATCAATGTCTTGTTTCATGGATTCAGGATTTTTTTTTTTTTTTTTTTTTTGAGACAGAGTCTTGCTCTGTTGCCCAGGCTGGAGTGCAGTGGCACAATCTTGGCTCACTGCAAGCTCCACCTCCTGGGTTCACGCCATTCTCCTGCCTCAGCCTCCCGAGTAGCTGGGACTACAGGCACCCACCACCATGCCCAGCTAATTTTTTTGTATTTTTAGTAGAGACAGGGTTTCACTGCGTTAGCCAGGATGGTCTTGATCTCCTGACCTCATGATCTGCCTGCCTTGGCCTCCCAAAGTGCTGGGATTACAGGCGTGAACCATTGCTCCTGGCAAGATTCAGGATATTCTTACCTTTAAGGATATTATTTTATCTGCCATTATCTCTTCATGGGCATCTTGTTTTGCCTATGCCCTCTATATTAATTTTTCCTATTTCCTCATTGGTTTTCAGCTCTGTTTTTCATATTAATGTTTTCTGATCCTACTTGGCAGTCTGTACCTGCTGATTTTTTTTGAGTTAACTTTTTTTAAATTTTATTGTTATTATACTTTAAGTTTTAGGGTACATGTGCACAACATGCAGGTTTGTTACATGTGTATACATGTGCCATGTTGGTGTGCTGCACCCATTAACTCGTCATTTAGATTTTTTTTATATTTTTTTCTTTCTTTTGAGGCTGGGTCTCACTCTGTCATTCAGGCTGGAGTGCAGTGGAGAATCTTGGCTTACTGCAACCTCTGCTTCACGGGTTCAAGCCATCCTCCCACCCCAGCCTCCCAAGCAGCTGTGACCGCAGGTGCAGACCACTATGCCTGGATAATTTTTGTATTTTTTGTAGAGATAGGGTTTTGCTATGTTGCCCAGGCTGGTCTCAAACTCCTGAGCTCAGGCAATCCACCTGCCTTGGCTTCTCAAAGTGCTGGGAATACAGACATGAACCACCACACCCAGCCTGTAACTGCCAATTTCTACTTAAGAGCTGCACTAAAAAACTGTTTGAAAGTTTAATGTGCAAGGATACGACTTGTTAATTAGTGGTTGTCACTGTAGGGTAACTGAGCAGGATCTGACAAGTATTTTGGGAACCTACAATGTGGATATCTATGGGCATTTTTCTTCTAGCCAGTCAGAAAGGAATCTTCAATAAAAAAATACATTCTTCAATCTTCTGTATACAGTATAGAAACCTAGATAATAGATTCTGGCACCTACAAAGAAGAGGACCTGCAAGTTTTACCATTTGTCATGTTGACTTTAATTTAAAGCTCCTTTTTTTCCATGTAGAAACTCACTTTTCTTTCAGCGCTGGCTGGGGTCTACAGGTCCAAACTATCTGGTTTATTCTTTTCAATGAATAAATATCCAACCTTCTTCTAGGTTAAAAGATGCTGTTTTAGCCTGGGTTCTCTTAAAATAAAAGCCTGAGACTGAGGCATAAATAAACAATAGAGGGAGAAAAAGTAAATGTTAGGGGAATTAGGCAGAGAAGATGGGAGAATAATAAGGAAGGACAAAAATATAAATTTGATGATTAATAACAAAAAGCACTGCCAATACACCAACATTGGAGTTAGTGTTGAAGTCTTTAACGTTTATATAAAAATTCCAGTGTTTAAAATGTTGCAGAATATAAAAATATGGAAGTTTTCTTCTTACTTCATAAAGCTACTACAAAGGACAGAAAAGAGACTGCATATTAAAAGAATGAAACAATGACCATGTAAAGATTTTCCTAGAATACAAGAATAGTTTAAGATTGGAAAATTAATAGAATGTGTCAGTCAATCAAGATCTCCACAGGGTTTTGATAAAACATCCATTCCTTTTATAAACTTCATAGTCTAAGAATGAAGAGCTCTTTCCTTAATAATAAACATTCTTAAGCCAACATTCAATATAAACCTTAACAATAAAACATTGAAGGCATTCCCATTAAAGTTAGAAAAAAGATATGAATGCAGGCCATGACTACAGCTTAATTTTGGTCTGGAAATTTAGAAGAACCCGTGGGTTCTTTATCACTGTGAAGGTGATATTAAAAGGTAAACATCTGCAAGTGCCAACTCCTCTGATCATATAATTACTTTCTTTCTGAGAGGCTCTATTTTCATTGAAGACAATTCTATGACCTCTCCAGAGCTTTCTAAAAGTACAGAGGAAAAGGGTGAGGGAATGCACAGGTCATTTAGGAATTTAGCAAAAAATAGTTTACAGAGTGAAGGTCTTTATGTGCTGAGACTGAGAGCCAACCACAGCAATTCCATGATGACTGGATAATTGTAGGCTTTACACACACATTCCAGACACTCCCCAGGCCCTATTACAAGCACAATTAGAAGCATCCTTATGTGATAGAATAGCATTCCTCATTGGAATTGTGACTAGTTGTGGAGAGTTGTCATGGGTGCATAAAAAGAAAGTCTTAGAATTTTTGAAGGTAGAAAGGGAAACCCTAGTGCCTCTTTTGATGGATTTAAATATAAGATGTCAGTCAAATGGAAACAAGACTTGAAAACCACTATGAGAGATGGGCAGATCACGAGATCTTTGAATTAAGAGCTCTGGACTCAAGATTATCTATTTGCTGTCTAATGTTGGATAAGTGAATTACATGCCTTCTTGGACGAGTTGTCAGACAGGTGAACATCTGGCTCACAAAAGCCCCAGTATTAAATGGAAAAAAAAGTTTCTCCAGCTGAAATATTAATTCTAATATTTTTGAGAAACATTTATTTGATTGTTTTTTCCTTTGTCACCGCAAATGTAACAGAGATTTCAAGAAACTGGTAGGCCTGAGTCAGAGCTGGGACTGCTGAGGCTGCAAAATCCTATGGTGTAAGATTACAGGTTCTGCCCACCTGTAGACCAGGTTCTACAAATTGAGGAAGACAGTCTTTGGTTTCAGCAGCAAATCAAAGGGCATAATGCTAAAGATTCTGAACAGGTGAAGCCAGTGACACCACAGATGGGGCCCGTGCTAGATTTTGTCCATAAGTTCCAATAATTCTTAGGAGAATAATGATGATGATGAAATAACTACCTACATTTATTGGTGTGCTACATAAGAACTATTAGTTTTGGGATTCAGTCCCTTCAACTCTGAATTTCATGGCCTGAACACTTGTTAGATTCATACCCTCCAGTGAAATTGGAAGAGTAGAGGCAGACCACGCAACATGTAGGTATGACATTGGTAGATCTCTTCATAGGGAAAACTAAAGGAGCACAAATCTTGGAAATAGCTCCAGTTAAGCACATCGAAAAGATGTTGTTTTAAATGAGATTATCTCCATACATTAGCATATTAATTTTCATTTTGCTATCCCAGCAACTGTGTCAACTCCATTTCCAAACTGTAACCACGGTAACATGTGTTTAAGTACATAAGCTGATGTTCAAAATGTGAAATATGACATGTCAACCTGAGAAACTTTTTTATAGATCAGGTTTAGTTAGTACTGTCTTGGTTGATACATTGAATTTTTGAGGCTTTTTCTGCTTCAGTAACAATTTCTATGTAATCACCATTAGAATCTTTGATCAAAGTACAGTGCATTTAGTCTTTTAGTAATACAGAGCAGAAAATGATCATTCAACACTTAACTGTAGAGACTGGCTAGGGCAAACTGTATGAAATTACTCCAAGACATAAAGCAATTTAACTGTGAAGATCATGTCAGATAAGCAAACTGCCAACATCAGTTAAGTTGGAATGTAATAGATAATGTGGAACTTTGTGTAGTTTTGTTGGAATTATAAACTGGGAACATATTTGCACCAAATCTAAAATTTGTACACATATTGGCCATTACTTCATTTATTTTGTTCTATAGCTACATAAATCTTATTTCATCTTGCTTAAGTTTTAAAAAGCCAATAAATTTAGTAATATAGTCTTCACTGCTTGTAAATGTTATTTTCTACTGTTCTGATAAAGTAAGTGAAATCACTCTTTTATCTTCAGCATTAACCTTTCTCGAACAGATATTTTATTTTTACTTCAAAATGCATCCTCAGCATATGCTCTTTTTCTTTTTTCTTAACCTAGCTCTTTCACTCTATACTAAATGTTGCAATAACTCTCTCATATGATAAAAAATGAGGTACTCTTCTACTTTGGATGACTGAGAAAGTATTTAAAGATTTATTTTTAATTTAAAATAGCTTTAAAATGGGTAAATTCAAGTGTGAAATCAGTATTATTCAAAGCAAGACCATAACATTTGTGTGAAACTGTAGGAATAAAATTTTTATAAGTTAAAGTATTTTTTCATTTTTTGCTCAGATTTTTAAAACTCAAAAAATATACTTTGTTTATTCATACAAAAACCCGTGCATTGTGCTTTTCTTTTTTTTTTTTTTTTTCCTTTTTTAGATGGAATCTTGCTCATTTGCCAGGCTGGAGTGCAGTGGTGCAATCTTGGCTCACTGCAACCTCTGCCTCCTGGGTTCAAGTGATTCTCGTGCCACAGCCTCCCAAGTAGCTGGGATTACAGGCACGCACCACCACACCTAGCTGATTTTTGTATTTTTAGTAGAGATAGGGTTTCACCATGTTGGCCAGGATGGTCTCGATTTCCTGACTTCATGATCCGCCCACCTCAGCCTCCCAAAGTGCTGAGATTACAGGCGTGAGCCACCATGCCTGGTGCATCGTGCTCTCCTTATGGTAATTCTATGATAAGCATATTTCACTATGATTTCTGGGTATATTCTATTTTTTAATCTCTTTTAAATAAGCATATTTATTACAAATATCCACATTAGCTCAATTTATCGTGAGTTCAGATGTGTCCCAATGTTTTCCAGAAACTTTATTCCAACTATAGAGTCTCTGAGCTTTAATGATTTTCTGCACCAGAACTTGTGGCAGACAGGTCATTTAACACCAACGGAATGCCACATCTCCTTCTGGTAATCAAAAATATCCTAGCATATGTGATTATTAAATTTTTTACAGTGAACATTAATTTTGATTTAGCTAGTTATTGTTTGTTTTTACTAACCTCAGACCTTGTGTAAAATCAGAACTTAAAACTGCATCTATATGATTATCATATGTGTTATGACTAATGAAATTCACAAGGATGAACACCAACTTAGCCTTGACTTGCCAGATGAAAAACATGTTTTCCAACAGAACTAAACATTATTACTTTGCTAAATACTAACTGCAGACACTCAGTATTCTTCATGCCCCCTTCAGTTCTCTTGTATTTCTGGGACTAGAAGCCTGGGAGCTACACTCCCTAGACTCCCTTGCCAGTAGGGTTTTGAATTTATGTGGGGTTCCACCAAGGAGACACCCTGCCACAAGATTTAGAAGGCAGACAAAGCAGAAGCCATCTCTATGACAGTGGGTGTAAGTGTGGGTCTCCCAGGCATGAATGTTTGCAGTAGTTTCTGCATTCTCCTGCCATTCACCTTTCTGGATGATGGAGTTATAGAATCTGCAGCAGATTTCTGCAGGTCACTGACTCTGGATGGCAGTACCTCTGTCTCTGTAGCACGAAACCTACAACTAATATATTTTGCCAGTTCAGGCTCTTAATGGTTTTGCAAGCACCTAATTCTAACCTAGCTAATAAATAATAAATTCTGGCTTTTATTGGGAATTCTACTGCCATATGGAGCTAGGGAATCAAGATCTGGCTCTTGACACTTCTTACCATATAGAAGGCAAGATATTAGAATAGTTTTTAGCACTTAAAATGAATATGTCAAATGTTTACTTGCAACTAAACCTGATATGCAACCTTGTTAACTTCATTGTTTTTCTGCTGTGTAATGTGATATTTTAAAAATATTGGATTAAACAGTTTAAGTACATCCTATTTCTCTAACCGAATGCACCCATAAAACCCATAAAGAATGCCTGGAGCAGCTATATGAAAATTCTGAAAGTAAGTAAGAGCAGGTAGACTGGAGAAGATGACTATAATTAGAAGTATTGCAGAACCTATAATGAGCTGATCATTTTTTGCCCCCCAAAAAAATTTTTGCTCTCTTACCATTTTTTGCTCTCCATCTGCCAGCCTGGGTCCAAGGAAGCCTGAATCCCAGAAGTGGGTATTGATATAGAAAGAGAGAGAGCAATGGAAGTCTTCTAGTTCTGGCTCAAGATGTGAAAAAAACAATCTTTGAGTGCTCAGAGAGAGTGGAGAAAACTTCTTATTTTTCTTTACCTTTGTCTTCCTTTGGTTATCTTGAATCCCTGCTCCATGGCAGTAGCAGTAAGGATATTGGTGACAGCACAGACCTGAAGGTGCCTAAACTCTGAGGGAAAAGAAATTTTCTCTGTGATCAGTGAACCTGTTGTCTCAAGAGAATGGGATGGACTCCTGTTGCTTTTTTCCCTCTCCGTCCTGCTGACTTTTCACCCAAATATGGGTGTATCTGTGGGAAGAGTGCAGCAGAGCAGGGCAAATAAAACTCGGGCTTTACTGCTGGAGGACTAAAAAAAGGAACTTTAGGGAATCAAAAAGTAGAGACAGATTATGGAGAGAGAGGAATTTGGGTAAATGAACTCTATAAATTTGCTTACGAACTCCTGGGCTCACTCCTAAGCTGTGCATGCATGGAACCAGGCCCAAACAGCATACCAATAACTTTTCGAATTGAACTAAGGGATTACCACTACCCAGGTCTCAGACTGACTGCTTGGTGACACACATCCAATACCAATCCAAATAGCACTACAAAGTCAAAGTCTTTAAAAATAGAACAGACATTGAAATCACCACCCACAGAAGGCTAGTTGGACCTTGCAACACGAATCTAACTGGACTGATTGCCTAATAAAAGAAATGCCCTGACTTTTATGTTATAATTTTCAAAATTATACAGGATACAATCCAAAATTATTCAGCATATGAAGAAACAGAAAAATCTCAACATACATGGAAAAAAATCAATAGCTGCTAGTGCTAAAATGACACAGATGTTAGAATTTACTGACAAAGACTTTAATGCAGCCTTTAATGCATTGTTATAAAAATACTCCGGAATATAAAGTCAAACATTCTTGGAATGACTGCATAAATAGAAAGTCTGAGGAAATAAGTAAAGGATATAGAAAAGAACCGAAGGAAAATTTTAGAACTAAAAATAACCTGAAAAGATTCACTAGATACACTCAGTAGTTAAATAGAGAGAACAGAGGAAAGAGTCAGTTAACTTGAAGACAGACCAATGGAATTATTCATTGATAATTTAGCAGGGAGAACAATATTAAAAACAAAAAATTAGTAGAGCCTTAGGGACCTGAGTGACAATACCAAAATATCTAGTGTTCATGTCACTAAGGAACTAGAAATAAAGGAGAAAGATGCAGTATAGGAAGAGTATTTGAAGAAAATATATTTGAAGAAAAGTTTTCATATTTGGTGAAAGATTTAAATCTATCTACTCAAAAAGCTAAGTAAACACCAAACAGGATATATCTTAAAACCATAAAACAATCAAATTCTGTGAACCAAATGTAAAGAAAATACCTTGAAAGTAGCCGGAGACAAGGCATTACATATAGAGAAACAACAGTTTGAATAACTGGATTTGTCATCAAAAACTACATGGAGAAACTAGGAAAGAAAGCGAGACAACAGTTTTCAAGTGCTGAAAGAAAAGGACAATCAATTTAGAATTCTACGTGCAGCAAATATATCTTTCTGGAATAAAAATTAAGCAAAGACATTCTCTGCTGAAATAAAACTAAAAGAGTTTTTTTTGCTAGTAGACCTACACCAAAAGAATTCCTATAGAAATGTTCTCAGATGGAAAATTATACCAGAAGAAAACTTGAAACTTTGAGAATGAAGAAAGAGCAATAGACATGGCAAATAAATGGGTAACTCCAATAGACTATTTTTCTCCTCTTGAGTCCAAATATGTTTGATGATTAAAAGCAAAACTTTTTATATTATCTGATGGTATTTTCAATGAATATGAAAATACACAGGACAACTACAACATAAAAGAGGAAGGGTAAGACCTGTATTTTAGGTACTCGTCTATATTCCACTTGATGCAATAAAATATTGATTTTAAGTAGAGGGTGAAAAGTTAAGTATGTATACTGTAATGCCTAGATTAGCCACTAAGAAGTCTATATGGAGATATAATAGAAAGCACATAAATAAAATCGAACACCAAAAAAAAATAATTTATGTAACCTAAAACAAGGCAGAAAAGATAAAACATGGGAAAAAACAGAGGTAGCTAACAAAAATAAAATAAAATTTCAGGCCTAATTTTTAAAAACTCAGTATTACATTAAATGTAAATAGTCTAAACATGCTAATTAAAAGAAAAGATTGTCAAAGTAGATAAAATATGTGACTCAAGTATATGCTGTCTACATAAAAATCACTTCAAATATAATTTTATAGGTAGGTTAAAAGTAAAAAGATAAAAATATATAACATGTAAATAATTCTAACTTCAATGGTAAGATGTTTTATCTAATAAATAATAGCCCTCAAAGAGCCTGAGGATAAGGGGATGGAGATAGCAGGAGCTCCAGAGACTGAGTAGGAGCTATGGTGAAAGCTAGGATCCCATAAAATTATGAACCATTCCCTTATGCTCCCAAACCGTGGTCATGTAAGGCCAGAAGCTGACCAAAATAAATGGCTTAGTTATGGTCTCTCAAGAGAGTAAACTAATTTGTATGTATTCCCATCATCTCATCTTTCCAAAGACCTTTCTGAAGATTAAACAACTTTCTTTTTTCAACATTTAAAAAACTAGTATGCCATGGAAAAAAACACTCAGGTGCTCAGCTCCCTTAACCCCAGCTACAATGGAGCCTATCATGTCTCTTTGCCAAAGGTAGTTCATTTTAGTACAGTCCATCTCTGCAGAAGTTGCCTCTTTACTGAAGTTTATTGTTGCCATGCTTTTCTCCATCCCCCATCAGCATAGATTGAGGGTCTTATTTTCCACTCTCATATTTACCCTGCTATCTTCCAAGGAAAAATAATACTCTATTAATGTGAGAGAACAAGATCCTCTCATATTCTCCTTCTCCCAAAAACGTCTTGACCTAGATTTTGCCTGATTCATGATATTAGGAATGATAGGCATTTTAAGTAGTTTAGGGTCAAACATCAGTGTCATAACAGCTGGCTTAGCCTTCTTGTACTCTCACAGGGCAATCCAAAAAACAAAAAAATAAAGAAAAAAAACGCAAAGCAAGGCTCCTGTAGGATAGGGAAGCTTCAGAAAGACTTTGTCTAGTTCTGACACTGTTCACAAGGTCCAGAAGCCTGGAAACAGAGTCAAAGTTTAACGGGGTTAAAAGAATGGGCCACTGCCAAAAAACTGTGGTACTTAAGAAATGTGTTTGATAAAGATTTGACCTTCTGTCGGGCATTGTTAAGATTTGAGCTTAAATGGAATTTTGTCAGATATGTTGGTAGAAATCATATAGATAGAAGATTATCATTAAAACAAACAATCAAAAAACAGCATTAGCATGAACTATTGCCTTTTCCAACCACAGTTTTGCTAAAAGCATTGCTCGTTCAGATGGGGAAAGTAAACTACTTGCCCTTTCTAGGTATATATACTGTCATTACCCTGATTGGAGACTCTAGGCTCCTGGGCCAGCCTCAGATCCCGGCCTGAATTTTTGTAATAGTAGAACTTGGTATTTGAAAGGGAGTGGGGGAAAAGGTCATGAGCTGTACACATAGTCTTAAAATTAGTCTTCCTAAGAGCTCATTAATTCCTTGCTCAATCTCCCACTGTCTTCCCATTGAACTCAGGAGAAATTGCATGCTCTTTAAACTGGCTTTCCCTCAAAGCAAACGGATTTTGCTGTCCTTTGAGCAACTCATGCTCCTTTGGAAGTTTGTTCTCTGTTTTTCCTGGTGTTGCCCCAGTCTTGAGAGTCTGGTTTTCCTCTGTCCTTCTCCAAGTCTTATCTATCATATTTATTTGAAAAGCAACATTTTTTTCATTTTTATAGCATTTGCATATACGTATCACAAAAAAAGGCACAGCCTGTCTAAGCTCAGTGACCTATTGCCTGTATATATCTTGGGTCTACAAGAGGATCTTAAATCCTTAGAAGCCATGGTCTCTGGCTTACATTTGTTTTCCTATTGCTAAGGCAAAACAATTGAACTCTTATCTTAGCAAAGTTCAAAAGCAATGCCAGCTTATTTGTGAATGCTATTTTAGTCCATGAATCATAGTTTTCTTTTGCATATGCACATTTATGCTACTGGTATGTTTACATCTTGATCAAAACATATACCCCATATGAAGAGTAAAACAATGACTTTCTTGTTACAACATGGAAAGTTGACACTATGGGTGTCATGGCCAATACCTGTTTTTAAAATGGAAAATTACTATTATAGACAAAGCACATTGGTGAATAGGGCTTTTTATTGTTAACAGATGTTATATATTTATTATTAATTTGCAAGAAAATATTCTATACTCTTTGGGACATTTTAGGTGACAGATAATATGCTGAATACTTTGCTGCCTAACTTGTGCCGGATTTGTATTTTATTACATTACCTTGAGGCTCACTGATTGCACTTAGATCCAGTGTTTTTGTTGTTGTTGTTTCAGGAAAACATTTGTAACAATAAGCTTTTAGTAAAGGTAGGTGCTTTAAATTAACTGCTAACTTTAAAATATGAGACATTTTAGAAACTTCTAAAGACTAAACGGCATTCTTCCCCTCAACCCTAGTCCCAGCAGTAAGCACTATGAACAATTCAGTATAGGAGCTAGAAAACTACAGTCTTTCAACTGTTTTTGTAAATAAATTTTAGTAGAACCCATTTATTTATGCATTGTCTATGTTGGCTTTCACATAACAACAGTGAAATTAAGTAGTTGTGACAGAGACTGTACGGCTCTGCTGTTACAAAGCGTGAAATATACAGTAACTGGCCCTTTGCAGAAAAAAATGTGCAGATTCCTAATTT
The DNA here is from genome assembly GCF_000001405.40 of Homo sapiens. Taxonomy (NCBI): domain Eukaryota; kingdom Metazoa; phylum Chordata; class Mammalia; order Primates; family Hominidae; genus Homo; species Homo sapiens. The sequence goes on along the minus strand of NC_000007.14, from coordinate 37,998,635 downwards.
GCTATGGCATATACACTTCCAGATTTTTCATGTATGCTCAATATATAACTATGCTTTAAAAAAATCTTACTGAAGTGTAACATCCATACTCCAAATTGCACAAATCACAAGTGTATAATGATGAATTTTTACAAAGTGAATATGCCCCAAAAAACAGCACTCAGTTCAAGAAATAGAACATTACCTCTTTTCCTAATCGGGAAAAGAGGAAGTCAAATTGTCTCTGTTTGCAGATGACATGATTGTATATTTAGAAAACCCCATCATCTCAGCCCAAAATCACCTTAAGCTGATAAGCAACTTCAGCAAACTCTCAGGATACAAAATCAATGCGCAAAAATCACAAGCATTCCTATACACCAATAATAGACAAACAGAGAGCCAAATCATAAGTGAACTCCCATTCATAATTACTACAAAGTAATAAAATACCTAGGAATACAACTTACAAGAGACATGAAGGACCTCTTCAAAGAGAACTACAAACCACTGCTCAACAAAATAAAAGAGGACACAAACAAATGGAACATTCCATGCTCATGGATAGGAAGAATCAATATCGTGAAAATGGCCATACTGCCCAAAATAATTTATAGATTCAATGCTATCCCCATCAAGCTACCACTGACTTTCTTCACAGAATTGGAAAAAACTACTTTAAAGTTCATATGGAACCAATAAAGAGCCCACATAGCCAAGACAATCCTAAGCAAAAAGAACAAAGCTGGAGGCATCATGCTACCTGACTTCAAACTATACTACAAGGCTACAGTAACCAAAGCAGCATGGTATTGGTACCAAAACAGATATATAGGCCAATGGAACAGAACAGAGGCCTCAGAAATAACACCACACATCTACAATCATCTGATCTTTGACAAACCTGAGAAAAACAAGAAATGGGGAAAGGATTCCCTATTTAATAAATGGTGCTGGGAAAATCGGCTAGCCATATGTAGAAAGCTGAAACTGGATCCCTTCCTTACACTGTATACAAAAAATATCTCAAGATGGATTAAAGACGTAAATGTAAGACCTAACACCATAAAAACCCTAGAAGAAAACCTAGGCAATACCATTCAGGACGTAGGCATGGGCAAAAACTTCATGACTAAAACACCAAAAGCAATGGCAACAAAAGCCAAAATAGACAAATGGGATAAATAGAGCTTCTTCTGCACAGCAAAAGAAACTATCATCAGAGTGAACAGGCAACCTACAGAATGGGAGAAAATCTTTGCAATCTACCCATCTGACAATGGGTTAATATCTAGAATCTACAAAGAACTTAAACAAATTTACAAGAAAAAAACAAACAATCCCATCAAAAAGTGAGCAAAGAATATGAACAGACACTTTTCAAAAGAAGACATTTATGCATCCAACAGACTTATGAAAAAAATGCTCATCATCACTGGTCATCAGAGAAACGCAAATCAAAACCACAATGGGATACCATCTCACGCCAGTTAGAATGGCAATCATTAAAAAGCCAGGAAACAACAGATGCTGGAGAGAATGTGGAGAAATGGGAATGCTTTTACACTGCTGGTGGAAGTGTAAATTAGTTCAACCATTGTGGAAGACAGTACGGCGATTCCTCAAGTATCTAGAACTAGAAATACCATTTGACCCAGCAATCCCATTACTGGGTATACACCCAAAGGATTATAAATCATGCTACCATAAAGGCACATGCACATGTATGCTTACTGTGGCACTATTCACAATAGCAAAGACTTGGAACCAACCCAAATGTCCATCAATGATAGACTGGATTAAGAAAATATGGCACATATTTTCCATGGAATACTATGCAGCCATAAAAAAGAATGAGTTCATGTCCTTTGCAGGGACATGGATGAAGCTGGAAATCTCATTCTAAGCAAACTATCACAAGGACAGAAAACCAAACACCGCCGTGTTCTCACTCATAGGTAGGAGTTGAACAACGAGAACACATGGACACAGGACAGGGAACATCACACACTGGGGCCTACTGGGGGGTGGGGGGCTTGGGGAGGGATAGCATTAGGAGAAATACCTAATGTAAATGATGAGTTGATGGGTGCAGCAAACCAACATGGCACATATATACCTATGTAACAAACCTGCACTTTGTGCACATGTACCCTAGAATTTAAAGTATAACAATTAAAAAAAAATAATAAAGATAAGTAGAACATTACTAGACCCCCGGAAGTCTCCTTCATTCTCCTTTCCTGCCACGACCATTCCTTGACTTTATTCTGCTTTCTAGCATTGTAGGTTAATTTTATCTGTTTTTGGACTTTATATAAGTGGGATTGTAAATTATATGTTCTATGCCTCTCTTCTTTGGCTCAACATTAGGAGTCATCCATATTATTATGTATGGCAACACTTTGTTCATTCCCATAACCTATAGTATAATATTTTACTAGATAAATATGATACAGTTTACTTACCCATTGTACTTTTGGTGAACATTTGTGGCATTTTAAAATTTGGGTTATTACAAATAATGGAGGAATAAACATTTTTATGTGTCTTTCGGTGAACATATGTGGGCTTTTTGCATGCATTTTTTTAAATGATTAATAAACACCCTGTTCTGCAAGAATGTAGAGCTGCCTGAGTCTGTAACAACTGCATAGTATTTAATTGTATGATGTCCTGGAATATATTTCCCTGTTGGTCATTCAGTCACATGGCAAAAACCACTAGTTGTTGCTAAAATTCATTCTCCCTTTCTTATATGGCAATATACCCTCCACATTTTTAGCTAGGCAGATGGCTGCCTAGAATAAAGGTGCAACCATGTTACTAAGTTCTTAATAACAGGATGTAGGTAGAAGTATGGCATGGCAGACTCCAAGATCCTTCCTAAAGAGATGAATGCCTACACACTTTGCTTTTGTATCTCCCTTCCACAGTGCTGCCTATAAGCACATACTGCCATCCCCTACCTTGAGGTTGAGCTTCATACAGTGACCACAAGACAGAAGGAGCCTGGACCCTGATATAATCATTTGTTATATATACCTTAGACTGCCTATCTGGGCTTTGACAAGAGAGAGAAATGAATATTCATCTTGTTTGAGTTACAGTGGGTTTTCTACCACTCATAACTGAAATAGATTATAACTTACACAAGTTAGTTTCAAATTTTTGCTATTGTACACTCTACAGCAGTGAATATTATGCCATGTATGTTTATATATATGTATGTATATATATATATATGTATGTGTGTATATATATGTATGTGTATATATATATATATTTATATATATATATTTTTTTTTTGAGACAGAGTTTCGCGCTTATTGCCCAGGCTGGAGTGCAATGGCATGATCTCAGCTCACCGCAACCTCTGCCTCCTGAGTTTGAGCAATTCTGTCTCAGCCTCCCGAGTAGCTGGAATTACAGGCATCCACCACCACGCCTGGCTAATTTTTTGTATTTTTAGTAGAGACAGGGTTTCTCCGTGTTGGTCAGGCTGATCTCGAACTCCCGACCTCAGGTGATCTGCCCGCCTCAGCCTCCCAAAGTGCTGGGATTACAGGCGTGCGCCACCACACCTGGCGTATCTTTGTATTTTTATATGTCTATTTTGTAGAAAAAAAATTCTACAGGTGGAATTGCTAGGTCAAAAACTAAGAGCACTTTAAACTATAGATACAGTACAATGTTCCCCCAAAATTACATTACCACAGACATAAGTGACATTTCTGTCTGAAATACACTGGGTGTCAAATTGCTAAACCTCTTATATGTGAAAGAGAAACAACCATAACAAAACAAAGAAGCAGTGATCAAACCCTAATTTCCTGTTTCACGTCTTTGTTGTTGGAAGAAAATTTAGAAGATTTTCATTTGAGGGGCCTATTTTTCTTTCCTTTTTTTGTGACTTGTCTGTTCAAATGCTTTGTCTAATTTTCCATTGTAGACTTTTTTTTTTTTTTTTTTGAGACAGAATCTCACTCTGTTGCCAAGGCTGGAGTGCAGTGGTGTGATCTGTGCTCACTGCAAGCTCCGCCTCCTGGGTTCACAGCATTCTCCTGTCTCAGCCTCCCGAGTAGCTGGGACTACAGGCGCCTGCCACCATGCCCTGCTAATTTTTTTGTAGTTTTAGTGGAGACAGGGTATCACCATGTTAGCCAGGATGGTCTTGATCTCCTGACCTCGTGATCTGGCTTCCAAAGTGCTGGGATTACAGGCGTGAGCCACCATGCCCTGCCCATTGTAGACAGTCTTTATAATTATTTTAACGAATATTTATAATATAGTTTGTCCTTTAATTTTGTTTTGATTAGCTTTATTTTTTATATATAATAGAGCAAACCTTTCCACATTCTTATCAAATATAAGGTATTCATACACATTTTTCTTCCAGAAGAAATTTGGAGTCAAGCACTCAACTTCCAAAAAAACTTAATAATTTGATTAAAATTTTATTAAACATAATTAATTTGGAGAAGGCTGAGATAATCAACATATAAATAATACTGAATATTCTCATCTAGTCAGATGATGTCTCTCCATTAGCTAGGTCTTACAGTCTAAGTAACATTCTGTAAATTTATCCACATAGGGAAAACTTACTTTTTCTAAGTGTATATTAAGATATTTTAGAGTTTTCAGTGTAAATAGAAACTCTCTGCTTTTACAAATTCAATTTGATTAAGTCTGATTCATGAGAATTCTTTTGAGTTTATTTTGTTTTCTATCTGTCCTCTTAACTCATTTTTATTAATTTTTTATTTCATTTTCTGAAAATTATATCAGTGGCTGTGTAACTTATGTTTAATTTTAATATGTATATCTTATTTTTCTTGTCATATTGCACTGGAAATAAAACCAGAACAGTACTGAATACTGTCAGTGAAAGTAGTCAGGCTTTTTCTCTTACTAACAGAAATTCCTTTAGTAATTCATCATTAAGATGTTTAATGCAGAATTCTTTAGAAAATCAAATCAAGATATTATGATAAAGTTTTAAAATGTCTTACTTTAATACATTTTTTTAGTTTAGGGTGTAACCATCCAAAACTAAGTTATCCTTCTTCTCAGTTAGGCATCATAGCGTTAGTCCAGTTACCCAGAAGTCTTAGCTTTGCTTCTTCTTCCCCTACAACCCACTATTAGAATGTCAGCAAGTCCTCTCATGATTTTCTTTTCTCCATTCTTACCGTCCTAGTTAAGGCTTTTATGTCTTGACCATGCAGACCACAAAGACCACTAAAAATGAGACAGATAATAGATATGGGCTCCCATTTCTGGTTTCTGGTACCAAAGTCTAATTCAGCATAATTCAGCTCAGCATAATGCTATCAATTGGTAGTGTGTTTAGGCCCTATTGAAAGAGCCTAACTCAAGTCTTGAGACAGAAACTGAAAAGGATTATGCTGGAAAATACTGTAGAATTCAGTAGTCTAGAAAGCTGTATTACAGAAAGCAACGTGAGCTGGAATTGTTTCACAGTCATAAAGAAAATGTTTTGGCCACTCTGAGGGATGTTTCAGGAACTAGTTTCAGTCTTACTCTAGCTATATAACCCTTTCAGGTCAGCAAAAAGGTCAAAAAACAGCCAGAGTTCAGAATGAACATGCATTTGAGATTTTTGAGAAGAGGAATTCACATCTAAAGTCTAGAAGAACAGATCTTAGACATTCTGGCCATAATTCGTTTGTTATTGATACCATATGATTGCAATGACATTCTATGGTGTAGGGGCAATACTTGCTGCCAAGACACAAAACCTTGTATGAAGTTTTCTGGTTTTGGCCCCTCATGTAACAAAGATGTAATTTTGGTTATTTTCATTTTTCTATTCCTCCAAGTGCCTTGCCATTTCTTCCTCTAATCTCCAGCTATTTCATGCAAAAATGATCAAGACAACTTTTTTTTAAAGATTTTTTGAGAGTCTCTTCTTTTAGATTACAAGAAGACAAGAAGTAGCAATTTAGCCTCTAATTTATCTCATAGGTGAAATTTTACTTCTTTCTTTTTTCTAAGAAGTACCGTCAGAATATAATCTTAAAATTTAATGGTTGTGAAACTTGACTATAGAATTTGCTTTCTGCTGATGCTATGGGGGCTCCCTTCTAACCCAGACCAATTTACTCTGAAAATGGCAAATGCTTTCCCCTCTCCCCAAGAAGATGGAAAAATAAGTTACATTCACTTGCTAAAGATAAATTAATTAATTAAAATTGCCTAGTGGCAATAATGTGTTGAATTCAAATAGTTGAAACAAGCAATTGCTGGAGCACGTACTTATGTCAGCCAATGGCTTATTCCTTGATGTCAATGTTTTGGCTTTATTTGGTGAACTGGTGGTTGAGTTGATCCTTACTTGCTATTCAGACTACCTCTGATCCTTCTGAAGACCAGAACCATCTGGATGGCTCATTTGACTTTGCTCAGAAAGGTCCTTAATCTCTAAGTACATCAGTTCAAGCACAGACTCAGACTGAGATGGAGAAATGAAAGATGGCCCACTTTGGGAGGCAGAAATGGGTAGACTGCTTGAGCCCAGGAGTTTGAGACCAGCCTGGGCGAAATGGAGAAACACCATCTCTATGAAAAACTGCAAAAAATTAGCCAGGCTTCATGGTGCACACCCATAGTCCCAGCTATTAGGCTGAGGTGGGAAGATCACCTGAGCCTGGAAGGTCGAGTCTTCAGTGAGCCGTGATTATGCCACTGCACTCCAGCCTGGGTGACAGAATGAGACCCTGTCTCAAAAAAAAAAAAAAAAGACTAGCAAAACAAAAAAAAGAATTCAAATATGCCACTCTCCCAGGATTAACCATTTGGCTACAAAGAGTAAAGAGACTTCTACATCTTGGCATTACTTGGTGAGGGTAGGAAATTATCACATCACATTCTGTTACAGTTTGGGAACTACTTCTAAAGAAATTTCTAATGCAACACGTTCACAAGTAAAGGTAATGTGATACCAGTGCTATCATTATATGGATTTGATAAGGGGAACAATTAATGCATTACAGCCTCTTCTCACTAGCATCTAAGGATGTGAAACACATGCAAAATTGCAGACACTTCCCTCTCCCATCCACATGGAATCAATCATTCACTATGTTCTTATTGACTTCACAAATTATCCATATCCATTGTGGTTATGTTAGAAAGTATAGATAAGGAAAGATAATTTACTGATCTCATAGCTCATATGATTTCAAGTATATTACAGGTTCAAGTGTTCTTGTTCCAGCTGCAATTGTTGCATAACAACTACCTCGATCTCAGTGGCATACAATTGTATTAAAAATAACAACATTTGGGCCAGGTGTGGTGGCTCACACCTGTAATCCTAGCACTTTGGGAGGCCAAGGCAGGTGGATTGCCTGAGGTCATTCGAGACCAGCCTGGGCAACATGGCAAAACCCCATCTCTACTAAAAATACAAAAAATTAGCAGGGTGTGGTGATGCACACCTGTAGTCCCAGCTACTTGGGAAGCTGAGGCACAAGAATCACTTGAACCTGGGAGGTGGAGGTTGCAGTGAGTCGAGATCATGTCACTGCACTCCAGCCTGGGTTACAGAGCAACTCTTTCTCAAAAAAAAAAAAAAAAACAAGAAAGAAAGAAAGAAAGAAAGAGAGAGAGAGAGAAGAACGAAAGAAAAAGAAAGCAGGAAAGAAAGGAAGAAAGAAAGGAAAGAAAGAAAGAAAAAGGAAAAGAAAGAAAGAAATGAAGGAAGGAAGGAGAAAGAAAAGAAAGAAAGAAAGAAAGAAAGAAAGAAAGAAAGAAAGAAAGAAAGAAAGAAAGAAAGGGAAACAACAACATTTGTATTCACAGATTCACAGATTTTATGGGTCAGGAATTTAGTCTGGATGCAGGGCAGATGCTTATATGTCTGCTATGCCACATCGGGGGCATTTGCTTGGCAGACTCAAAGATTAGGGGTGACAAGAGCTGGGAGCAGGAATCATCTGCTTGCATTTTCACTCGCACCTCTGGTAGTTGATGCTGATTATTGGCTGGGACCTCAGATGGACTACTGGCCAAATTGGCTCTGCACAGCCTCTGCACATGGGTTTTTCTGTCCTTCCTCATAGCATGTCTAGCAGCTGGGTTTTAGGAACAAATGTCCTAAGTAGGCAAGGCCAAAGTGCAAGGTGTTCTTATCATCTAGCCTTGGAAGGCACATGGCATTACGTGATTATACTCCATTGGTCAAGATAGTTACAAAATTCTGCCAGCTTGACACTATAGGTTTTTCTTTGGGGGCTCAGAATAAAAAGACAAAAAAAAGCCTCTGACCGTTTATCTCTTATTCTTTTGAGGTAGTTTTGTGTTATATAAAAGAAAAATTTAGGGATATTGTCCTATTTCCCAGTGACTGAAGGAGACTGTGAATAAGAGACGTTGACATCTCTCTATAGCAGTGCCAAAGAGAGAGGTATCCTTGTCTAAATAAGCAAGGCAGGATTACTCTTTCCAGACTCTGATTTGAAAGACAGCAGATAGAACGTCAGGTGGAAGTACCTCTGTCGGTGTCGCCTACAAAGCAACATGTTTGAAAACTCTGTGTGTTTCAACTTAGGAGCTCAGCAGTCAGTCTCCCAGATGTGGAGCTATTTGGAGAGCAAGCTTGTGAAGAAGGCCCAGGAAACACAAAGACAGCTCTTAGGATACACTTTACTGAAGATATCACTCAGACAAGATGCCCAGGAAGTTCAGGATTTAAAAAGGTCTAGAGTCTTCTAACTCACTTCCTGTGGAAGTTTATTGTGAACAATAGTAACAAAGCAGCCTCAATTCTCTAATCCTGCAGAGGGTTAAAGAACACCTATTATCCCCTGGAGCTTAATAGAGATGAAATATTAGGATATAAGTATAAGTGCTTAGGAGGACCAGGAAGATGGTTATAAACACGTTATACCCAGGTTTAGGTGAAAACTACATGTAAACTATTGTGAGGTCCTTGATTGGTTAGATGACTAAGATATTAGTTATCTTGGAAGAAAATCTGGATTGATAAATGTGAGTTGAATTAGATGCACTAAACATAAAAATAGAAGACAGAAAATTGTCCTAGTAATAATCAGCCCATCCTTGCTTAGCACAGCTCCAGTATTCCAAAGATTTCAGTTGCCACAGTTCAGTTCAATGACATCAGTCCCCCAACAACCACAGTTCTGATTTCAGTTGCTATAGTATATTAACTGTGAGTAATTGCATAAAGGAGAAACTTCACTTCTAGATCTTCAACCCACAAATCACTACATGCCTACCAGATGTGCATATGATCAGTGACCAATCATGCCACTTCTTTCAATGTCTATTGGTGATTGGTCTCTGCACATTTTTTATTCAATCCTTACACTGGCAGCAAAGCATGTAGTTGTGTTTCTTCCTTTTCTTCTAGTGATAAAACTGCATAACATTTTCAAAAATGGCTAATCAAAAGAGAAAATTGGCCAACAGATGAAGTGTCACAAAGATCAAAGTACAGCAAAGAAACAAAAATAGAGAACTCTATATGATGGTTAATTTTATGCGTCAACTTGGATGAGATAAGCAACGCCCAGGCAGCTGGTAAAATATTATTTCCGGTGTGTCTGTGAGGGTGTCTGCAGAAGACATTAGCATGTAAATCAGTAAACTGAGTAAAGATCAAATCACCCACACCGATGTGGTCAGGCATCATCTAATAGAACAAGAAGGTGGAGGAAGGGCAAATTTACTCTCTGTTTGAGCTGGGATATTCGTCTTCTCTTGCACCTGGACATTGGGACTGTGGTTCTCAGGCCTTTGGACTTGGACTTTTGGCTGAATTACTCCACTGGCTTTCTTGGTTCTCCAGGTTGTAGACGGTGAAACTTTGCAGCCTCTGTAATTGTGTAAGCCAATTTCCATAATAAAATAAATATTCATATATATACACGTATACATCTTCATGTATATTATAAATCTTCACATATATAAGATAAAATAAATCTGTGCATGTGCGTGCTTGTGTCTCTGTGTGTGTATGTGTGTGTGTGTGTGTGTGTGTGTGTGTATTATTTCTCTGGAGAACCCTAATACACTCTGAAAGTGAAATTCAAGTTGAGTATTAATGGAGTTATGGAAGAAATAGCTATCGGAGGGAATATTGCCACTGTTTGAGACATTCCAGAGGAACTTAGGGAAGGCAAACTTAACAACATAAATGAAGAAAATGGATGTGTTCATCCATTTTAGGATAAAGGTATCCTGGAAAAGTTACACTGGCAAAAAAAAACTCACATTAAAGGAACTCTCAGAGGCATTTCATGACATTGAAAAAACAAAGAATAGATAGTTGGAAGCTGATTCAAACTTAGAAAGGAGTATGACAGTTTTTCAGGGCATAGTAAAGATGCTCACTCCATACACTAAGTCCTACAATGAGAAGAGGAGGGCAACCTCATTCAAACTATACTCCATATTTACAAATAAATAAAATACTTTATTTCTTCATATTTCTGATGTTTTAAATTACAGTATACTAAATAATTATTAGTTGTACTATTTTTAAAAAATTTCCTGTGCATTTATAACCTACAACAAAGGAGTTTTTAATGTTTCAACAAAATATTTTTAAAGGTCCCAGAACAATTGTAAGTTTCCCCTTCGATGAACAAGATCACATTCCAGTTTCTGTTTGCACAGTCATATCTGTGGTTCCTCATTAGTGTGAAAAGCCAGAACTGCCTGTTCTAGGGAGTGGCAGTGGGAAGGGAAATGAAATGGTATATATGGAGTGAAGCAAAACTGTAAGGGCCATGACTGAGTGGCTGTAAAGAACAAAGTCAGATGTGGTGACAGTATGCCTAGCAGAGAGAAAAAAATAAGTGCACTGTTATTAGAAGAAGAAAACTGGGAAGAGACCTTTGTGTGAAGACAAACTCCAGGAGAAATATAGTTGAGAAAAAGAGAGTTGTGAGCTTTGGGAACTATAATTACTTAAGACAAAATCAGATGTGTGAAATATGGGATGCAGTGGTGCACCAACATTTGACAATTTGTGATACGATTGGAGGACAAGAACACAGGCCATTGTGGGTATAGCTAAAAGGAATACTTCTCATTCTCATGCCATCTCCTGTGCCAGTTACCATGAATTTAGTGGGGCAAATTGATTTTTTGAAACCTACCTTTAAAAAGATTTTTAAAAAAAGCTCTGAATCTTTTAAATTTTGCTGGTTTAGACATGATTTTTTAAAGGTAGGGTTGTCCTCATTGAGGATTTGCCTCTTTGATGACAAATGTCTTCTTAAGGAGATGTTAGTTCAGTGATGTTGTTTCAGCATTCAGGCCAACAAAGGCAGTTGAAGAGGAATGCATGCCGGGTGTCCTAGAGTTCAGCAAAAAAGGACTTGCTCTAGGGGAGGAATTATGAACAAGAGGCTCCAGCTGAGCTAGAAGATGGTGCCCAGCAGGAGGGAAGTGGAACAGACAGATTCCTGCTCTTTTAGAGCTTCAACGATGAAGTCTATTGTTCTGTGGTTTGAGGAACACTCATCATTCACCATAGCTGGTTGACATCATTTACTAAGTTGAATCAAGTACAAAAGGAAAAAGTTCTTTATGATAGGCCAGATTCCATGAGTGGGAATTCCTTGGAGTGAAACAGGGAGAAAATACGCCCCAGTGTTAAAGACTTTCCAGAGATTTTTTCCATTCCACTTTCCACCCCTCCCTAAATCACTCGCCAAAGAAATGCTTTGCTGGACACTAAAGTGGCCACAGCTGTGCTCATAAGAAAACATCAGAATATAAAATTAATCGTTGTATTTTTTAGTTAACCTTTTTGGAGTGTGTGTGCAGGGTTAAAGGACAGGTGCTATTAAGATGATAGACATCTTTGAAATGTTTGGAAGTACTGCCAGTTTCTATGACCAAAAGCTTTCCAAACAGCTGTAATTATTTGAAGGTCAATGAACTAAAAGTTTCCCTGTATTAGCTTTAGGCAAAAAGGTCATTAATGCTTTAGGGGACTGTAATAAATCTGAAAGAAGCTGGCTTGACCCTCCCCTTCTGCAGTTCTCTATCTGATCACCCTGAGATCCTTTTCAACTCCAGCTTCCTGGGAGGCCAGAGATGAGCCAGTGACTGACTCCTTGACCAGCCACACAGGGCCTAGAGTTGTACCCTACCTGGATTGGCGAGGTCTTCCATGACTTATGTAGCCTCATCCTCAGATGAGGACCACCACCCAATCCCCTCAAAAAGCCTGAAATCAGTCTTCTATGCTAGGTGTGAAAAAAAGAGAGGTAATTACACTGTTTTATTCCATCAGTGTTTGAAAAAAGTGCACAACTTCTATGCAGGCATCCCAAAGCATCTAGGATTGCAGGGATGGATAGAAAGTCCTTCAATCACAACAGAATTCCTATTTGGCTCTTTAAAAAAGGAGACAGGACAGGCTGACAGATGCTACGGTGCTTAGACCCACATGTTGTCCACAAAATTGGGATTATCCTCTAATTCTAAAGGTATAGCTTTGGTGACCGTTTTGCCATTGGTGCCATCTCTCAGGAACCTGATAATAAACTACAATGTTTTAAACTTGTACTATATCCAGGAGCTATGTAGATATATAAAATATTTTCTTATTTAAATTCCACATGTGTACAATGTAGGTATTATTTTCATTGCACCAATATGATAGATGAGACAATAATTTTCTCAAAGACACTCAATTAAGTTGGCTGACTGCAAAGAGTTTTAGGCAATAAGATTTACATTCTTTACCTTTAGCTTATCATCTTCCAAAGATGATGCTTTAATCATTGTCAGCTGGTTATTGATCATATTGTTCTTTGAGCCCATCCCCATGGGATTTGAAAAATCTGCTTCTAAGCATATCTGGAACTTTTTTACATTTTCCTTTTTTTTTTTTTAAGATGGAAGTCTCCACTATGCTGCCCAGGCTGGAGTGCCATGGTTATTCACAGGAGTGATCGTAGAGCATTATAGCTTCAAACTCCTGGCCTCAAGAGATCCTCCTGCCTCAGCATCCTGAGTACAGCGTACAGGCATGTGCTACCATGCCCAGCCATATCCTGAGGTTTTCACTTACAATAACTGAAGCTCTTACCTTGCCACCTCAGGCCATCTACTAAAAAGGCATAGATATTATTTCAGGGAAAGAAATGCCTGGCTGCAAATATTTTCCTTCAACTGACTTGATAGTTCTGTTAGTGTCTTCCAAGCATAGTTTTCAATTCAGGGCTCATGCAATACTCTTTATCTATTGTGTCTTTGTTTTCAATAGTAATAATATATGAACTTAGAATAAATATGCTCTTCTTTTAAGAATTTACAATTGTGTGTGAATACAAAGACTGCAAAATATATTAAAGAGATTTATTATGTAAGAGATTCATTATGAAAGAGTTTAAAGATGAAAGAAATTCATCAAAGCGTTTGTATATTTCAAGAAGAAAGTATGACATCATCCAAATACATACATATTGCTAGGTTAAATATTATTTCCACCACAAGATAAAAATCTATCCTCCTCTGTGCTAGTGTAAAACTCAGGAGTTGGCTTCTTCAGCTGCCCTTGGCTCTGAAATCTTCAACTGGCCACCCTTAGGGTTCCAAACACACACCCAACCTCACGCCCCACGCAGAGTTACTTTGCGTCCACACAGCTGAGCTCCATGTGGTGTTTTAACGGTCATAGGATCTAATTCCCACATCCTCTTCTGAGAGCTGAGATTTATGATCCCAATAAAGATTTTGACAGAAAGATGAGAAGAACTTAGTTTAAAATGTTGCCCTGAAATTCCCTACTCATCACCCCATTAATCACAGATTAAAATAAAAGCACATATGAGCTAATATCACAGGGTCTAACAGGGTGAATATGTTTTGGAATTAGCAACAATCCCTTAATAACAATGTATTATCTCTGAAATTCCCTTTCAGAACAGTGACCTTGGTTTGAAATTTAAAAAAATATATCAGGCAAATCTGTTAAGACATAATAAATAGGGAGTGGCTAAGACACTCTGAAAACAGATATCAAGGACCTTACCTTCTTATGTTTACGTTTAATCATTTAACAAGGAAGCAAACTTTACATGATTAGTGAGGTTCTGGTGTAAGAGATGTTTTCATATTCCCTGATGAAACCTCACAAGGCTTCCCACTAAAACACAGCAGGGATGAGAGTGCACCTCACCACTTCACAGCCCAGAATGGTAGCTTACCTCGTTTCAGAATTTGGGAACAGTTTCCACCATCTGTCCTACCAAACTCTCAAACTCAACCAAGAAACACAATTGGTGGCTCAGACCTAGAAATGGAGTAAATCTGTTGGCCTGAATAAAAGGTCAAAAATATTCTGTACATTTCTGCAGAAATCTCCTCTTCATCTATTGCAGGCCTTGCTTTTCCAGGCAAACAGAATAAGGTTTCCTGTGTCCTTCTGATCCCCACTCACCTCTCCAAAATCCTAAGTCCGTTTCTCATATATAATATGTCCTATTTTTTACATCTCTGTAACAGTTTTAAAAAGATAATTGTGGAAGTAATATATGCTTATTTGGAAACATCTGGAAAACTAGAAAACTACAAAAAGGAAATCATCACCAGAGACACCCGATGTTCATATTTCAGCCACTTCACTATTAAGCTGTTTAGCAGCGCTTGCCCTTCCCGTCAGTCCTGGTCTCCTTGTTTGCCCTTCCTCCTAGATGACTATTTCACATTCTTCTCTTCTTCAAATCTCAACATTTCCTCTCTGCTTCTCACTCTCAGCTGAAGGCTTCTGTTTTTATATAGAAGGAATCAGAATGGATCATTCTACAAAACGCAGCAGGTCTCCATCCACTTGGGTTTCCCCGTCTCCTAGGGCCAACCCCCTACTTTGCACTAGAACCTGTTCCCCGCTCCTACTCAAAGGCTTTGCTCCTGGAATTATTTCCATTCCCACCTCATCATTTTTTTTTCTTAATGGGTCATTGCCAAGAAAAATGATGTACCATAACATCTTGAATTGCAACTTTTAAAGACTTCCCATTTTTCTGATTCCCCAACATCTCCAGAGAAACAGGCTTGTGGGCACTTTTCCCAGATGACCAGGTGCACCAATGTGACAAGGCTGGTCTTGCCACAAGTCCCCCTTCTTGCTCTTCCCTGACTGTGGCCTAGTGACATTCAAGCATACCCATAATATTCCCTCCTGCGTTTGCTGGCAAACCCCATCCTGATGCCCAATAAGGGTGCTTGTCCACAGGTCCCTACTTTCTCTTGGCTCCTCCACTGCTTGGTTGAGCCTGCTCCCTTGGTGCTCCCTCCAGGTGACTCCTGCAAGGTATGTTGTGCCTCCCTTTGTAGAACCTGTAAATACAGTAAATCCTTTAATTCATATGGCTCCCCAGTGTAATCTCCACAGCCGTACTGGACTGTTGCTTAAAGATTCCACAAAAGGTGCTTACTCCCCCATTTATAACACTTATCTCCATCTTAAAAAAACCCTCTCTTGACCCTGTATCTTTCTCAGCTCCTACCCAATTTTAAGCTTCTCATTTCCAAGAAAAGTGCTTGCAAGAGTTATTCACATTCAACATTTGTTCTTTTCTTTTCTCTTCAACTTACTGCACCATGGGCAACAAGTATACGCAAGTTGCTAAATCCAATGATCAGTGTTCAGTCCTGAGGTAATATGACCTTGCATCATCTTTTTGAGACTGTGGGTCATGCTGTCCATCATCACACAATTTGTTCCCTTGACTTTTATGACACCTCCTCACACTTGCTTGGTTTTCAGGTTACTTCACTGGCTCTTTCCTTTCGTAAGGTTGGATCCTTATGTTTCCAACCAGAACCTGCTACATAATTTGCAAGGTACAGTGCAGAATGAAAATGCAGCGCCCTTGTTAAAAAATTATTAACAGTTTCAAGAGAGTGAGAGCAGAGCATTCAATCAAGCACCGGTTCCTCCTAAGCAAGAGGTTTTGTGCGACTGCCAAGATCATGTGGCCATGAAGCAGGCCCTGTTCCCATCCTCAGAATGCAGCAGAGCACTTGCTCAGTGCTCATCTACAAATGATCTCATCCACACCAGTTGGCTTTAGATGCCACACTCAGCAACAAGCCACACATCTTAACTTCAACACTAATCTCTCCATTTAACTCCAGATTCAAATTTCAACTGTCTATTCTCTATGTGTACTTGAATATATAGAATGCACTCAAACTTAATATGTCCAAAATGGAACTTTCATTTCCCACCCAAATCCTTCCCACAGTTCTCCCTATTTCAGTAAATACCAGCTCAATTTTTCCAGTTATTCAGGCCAAAATCATTATAGCCATCCTGAAATATTCTCTCACATCCCGCATTCCATCCAACAGATCCTGCAATCTCTACCTTCAAAATATTTCCCAAATCTGACTAGTTAAGATATTCAACCACTTGCACCCTGGTACAAGTTTCTGTCCTGAGTCACATGCTATCATGTGATTTAAATGTTCGAAAAAAAAAGATAAGGGTGATTAGTGATGACTAGAACTATTGCAAAAATCATTTTGCAATAAAGGCAATAAAGAAGGGTCAGAAATTCAGAGCAATGTCATAAAGAAATGAACTGATCTAAAAGGCAGACCCATCACAGGGAGGAAATTTCAAAGGAAGAAGACTGGGCCTACCACCCTGTTACCTTGGAAATAAGTAAGACCAAAGGGTGGGAAGGGAAAAGACTTGATTCTTTTCAGAGAACAAAAAAGTCTGTCTTCATTATGCAAATACATGCAATGCACAGTAGTTTGAGGAACACTAATGGAATGTTTTTATTGCTTTTCTTTGTAAATTACAAATTGCTCATTCCTGAAGATGAAATTAAAATGAGCCATTGAGTAAATTACTTCCAAAACAAGTTAGTGGAAAATGTGTAAACCTGTGAGTGAGTAATATTAAATCCTTATATGTTTCATAGGAACTTAAACTCTAGGCACACACAATGTTTTATACCTACAATGACTGTACTTTTTTTAACTTATTACATAAAATTACATATATTATAGTCCAAGCACAGTGGCTCACACTTGTAATCCCAGCACTTTAGGAGGTCAAGGCAGGAGAATGGCTTAAGGCTAGGAGTTTGAGATCAGCCTGGACAATACAGCAAGACCCCGCCTCTGCAAAAAAATAAATAAATAAATTAGCCAGGAGTGGTGGCACACACCTGTCATCCTAGCTACTTGGGAGGCTGAGGTGGGAAGATCACTTGAGCCCAGGACTTCAAGGTTACAGTGAGCCATGATGGTGCCCTTGCACTCCAGCCTGGGTGACAGAGCAAGATCTTGTCTCTTAAAAAAAAATGTGTTATTGAAAGTTTAGAACATAGCTATAAACATAAGAAGAAAATATAAATCAAAACAAAACAGCCAATGTAAGCGTTTTGGTTTATAATATTCCAGATTTTTTCTACTAAGTAAATATATGATTATAAAAAATTGTAGTTATTACTACTTAATAGCCTGTTTTGTTGATGAAATAATTTTTCATGAATATTTATCAATGTAATTATGTTATTGTCTCTTGTAAGCTATTAGCATAATTATATAAATAACACATTATTAGAAATTAAACCATTTTACAGTTTAAAAGTTAAAGAAAAAAATAAAATTCAAAGAGGTCATGGCATATTAGTATTTTAATTTGAGGCTGGATTGATTTGCTAATATTTTCCTTATAATTATAGGTTTGTTATTGTGGGATATTTGTCAGGTATTGATTTCAGGACTATGCTAATTTATAAAATAAACTAGGATATTATACATAAATTAGAATTGTTTTCTATGCTTTAAAACAATGTTTTTCAAATTATCTGTGGTGAAATCCTTTATTTCAATTTCCTATCCATCATGCACTGCTATTTTGGTTAAAACAAAGCAAAAAGAAATTACTAGAAAAATAAAACAAGAAGCCAAAAACAATCGAAATAAAAGCTTAATTTCTTTATGAATAGATTCAATAGGCATCAGGTTACTCTACCAAATTGCTGTAAAAGTTTCTAAATGCTGACTATTATTGCCATATTTATCTTGACCACGTAACAAATAGTTGATGACCACCAGCAGTCCATGGACCACATTTTGAATAGCCCTACCTGTAAGAAGAGGCTTATTCTTTTTAATAATTCACATTTATCAGCAAATTTGCTGTTAAAATGTTACCATATTATATGCATTTTGATTTATTTACAAATCATATCTCTAATTAAAATTATTTTAATAATATTCTGGATGCTTAGATTTTAAGTACTCAGCATCCTGAAGACCTCATCCTTTTATAAACTAATTCACAGGTACAATATACAATTAAAATAAGGTTTGCTCTTGCCGATACTGTGTATGGATCTCTATTTTCCAGTAACATTCCTGATCATTTAAAATTATTCAGCCAATGTTTTTAATATCTGATGAGGTCATAGTTGTGTCTGACTCATAATGTGACTGATGAAATCTTTTCTTTGAACAATCAATAGTAAAAGCATCATTTAATAGTGCTCTCTCTTCAATCTGTGGCTTCTCTTCAGGAATATAATCATGCCATTTGTCCATTTTGGGAGGATTCCTTTAATGACAACTATATGGTAGAACCCACATAGTTGCAAATTGCAGTGCAGTGTATAAGAGCAAACACACTGTTGAGGGGACCAGGTGGCACCCATACTTTCTTTCAAGAATATCTGTGGGGCCATACATGTGCATTGGCCATTTGACCATAAGAACTCAGAGAAGGAGCCAGGTCAATC
Source organism: Homo sapiens (assembly GCF_000001405.40). NCBI lineage: Eukaryota > Metazoa > Chordata > Mammalia > Primates > Hominidae > Homo > Homo sapiens. Next base: position 37,979,880 of record NC_000007.14, on the reverse strand, counting down.
AGTTAAATAAATGCTATTACAGTGAAATTGAAATTTCTTTCTTTTATTAAGAAAAATAAAGTTCTATTTTTTAATCCATCCTAATGGATTTTTAATGCAAACTTCATATTTAAAAAGACCATGGCTTTAGAACAGGCTTCTCAAAGGACAGTATTGTTCTCCGAGCATCTGTTTATTTAAAATTCAGATTCCCAGATCCCATCCCACAGCTACTGTATCAAAGTCCCAAAGAGAAGATGGGGAGAGGAGAGGAGAAAGGAGTCCATGTGTTTAATAACCTCCCCAAGTGATTCTTGTGCACATATATATATATACATACATGTAGATATGTGGGGGAGGACAGAGTCTTGCTTGTTGCCCAGGCTTGAGTGCAGTAGCATGATCTCAGCTCACTGCAACCTCCATTTCCCAGGTTCAAATGATTCTCGTCCTTTGGTCTCCCAGGTAGCTGAGACTACAGGTGTGTGCTACCACACCTGGCTAATTTTTGTATTTTTAGTAGAGATGGGTTTTGCCATGTTGGCCAGGCTGGTATTGAACTCTTGACCTCAAGTGATCCACCCGCCTTGGCCTCCCAAAGTTCTGGGATTACAGCCGTAAGCCACTGTGCCCGGCCAATATTTTGAACACCAATGCTTCAGAGCAATTTTAAAAATAATCATAGGCATTATGTATGATTCTCAAAGGCATCTTGCATAAAACTGGGCGGGCACCTTTATTGTGAAGCAGTTTCATACTTTCTCATCTTTTTCAGCTTTTTTCCCTATCATTTGAATTAGCCTATTCTTTCTTCTGTTTCTTCTTGAGTCAATGTTAGTAATTTTTTATTCTCCTAGGATATCATAATTTTAGTTGGCTTTTAATACAATCATTGTAAAAATTATATTTAGAAAATAATATAATATCCTTTTCTTTTCCATACCTGTCTGATTATGTATGTCCCTATATAGAGACACAAACTCCTAGCGATATCTTCAGTTTAAGGAAAATGGGAGAACAGATGTTTAAAATTTATTTAGCTTGAACACAAAGAGAATACAAACTGTTAGAGATATCTTTAAGGGGAATTTGAGAAGAGAGGTTTAAAATTTATTTAGCTCAAACACAAAGAAAAACAAAGACAGTCAAGTTTTTGAAGTCCACATAAAAGATGATAGTTTTTGAAAGCTGTTAGTTGATAAGAGCCAAGATTTTTGAGAGAATAATTTTTGGAAATCAAAAGGCAAAGATTTGAAAGATAAAGGTATAAAGTTAGCCTACAAATAAAAAATTAAGAGTGCAGTTTTCCAGGGAGTCAATGGGATGATAGAGAACCTGACAAGAACGGAGGTCAGGGTGACCTTCTGCATGGCTTGGAGGGATCACACAGAGAAGAGCAGAGATCATACTTGGAAAGAACTCAATCTCTGCCCTGAAGAAGACCATTATGGCCAGCCCAAGGGCAGTCAACAGGCGACAGAGCTAAGCCATGCTGAAGGCTGTCTGTCATGTTCAGTAGAGTGCTGCACTCTGTCCTGCCAAAGACAATTGCTAGCGTTGCTTTTCATTGTCCCCCGTGAAGGTTCTTCCTCTGATCGCTGCTTACAACTCATCCCATGAGCACCCAGTAGAAATGTCACCCGTGTACATCCTGATGTTTCAGTCAGCCCATCTCAACTGTACTATAAACATTTATCAATACCCCAGCACTTTTTAAGGCCCGTATAAGAAAGGGTAGAACTGTGGACACGGGAAGGGACCGGGTAGTGCAGAAGGAACCAGCAGCTCAACTTGGGTGGTTTCAGAAAAAACAAAACAAAAAAACAGTTCAAAACTTCACTTTGAGCCAGGACAGTGGAAAGAGCCACAGCTGTACCATTAGTGTCAGTATTTTTAGCAGAACCTACCTCCCTTAGGCTTCAACTTCTCTTACTGGAAAATTGCAACCACTCGTTAACTGATCTCCCTGAATCTGTTCTCTCCACCCTCCAGTCTTTTCTGTACATTGCTTGCAACAATTATCTTCCAAAAAATCAAATGTGGTCATGTTGCTCCTCTAGAAATTTTTATTACCTTGTTGTTACATACAAGAGGAAGGCCAGACTCAGCAGCATTAACTGTACTGCCCTTCAAAACCGAATCCCAGTCAAAATTTTAGCCTCATCCTATGCTGGTGTTTTAACTTGTATTTCAGCCATTCCAAACAGGGGAGAGCTTTTTCATACAATTGAATATTCACTTACTGTTCTTCCTCCTAGATTATCATGAACTTGGTTCTCTGCCCAGCAAACTCCTTCCCATCTCAACCTCTTCTCATGAACCTACAAAAATTATTTCCTTTCTCTGCCATTTACCGAGGTGCTTCATTCAGACTCACTTAAAGGCATCTGTCAGATCCTTGTATCATGATTTGCTCATGTGTCTCTCTCACCACTGGACTGACAACTTGAGAGCAGTGACTTCCTTCCACTTCCTCCTAGGAGCCACCCTATAAATGTTTGTTGAATGACTTAGTCCACAATGAGTGATACAGCTGACTAATATGAAACTAAAATGACCTTTGTTCACACAACAAACTACATTATTTTGTTGTTATTGTTCTGATCCAGTTTTTTTTGTACTTAGAAATTTATTTTATTTGTTCATCATGCATCGTTTCTCCAGATTTGGCCAATCGTTCCAGCCTGACAAGATAGTTTTATGTATCACCTTTTTAAAATTTTGAGTGTTATCCAAGGAATAACATCTCTTTCAGCTGCATCTTCAGCAACATTTATTATTGTGCCATCAATTTCCTCATCCAAGTTATAAATAACAATTCTGGACAGAGTGTTTTACATGACATTTATCTTATCTTCTCTAGGATTATACTTATTTCTTCTTTTCTTTTATCAACTGGATTGTGAACTCCTCAAGATGGGCATCATAGATCTCTCATGTTTATATTTTTTTAACTTTCTTGATTTTAGTAAATGCTACAGAATATCCAATGTCCCTTGATAATGGTGGCAGAAAGCTGATTCTGGATTCAGATGACCTAGGATCAGATCACAGTTCCCCACCTGGGTGTCAACTTAGACAAGTTCTTCAAACCCTTCAAGCTATCGATATAACATTTTCTCATATACAAAATGTGGAAAATAGTAGTACTTACATCATAGAATTGTCTTGAGTGAATAAAACAGATAATGTATATAGAACATTTAATACTATACTTAATACAGAGTAAATGTTTAATATAATAATAGAGATTATTAGAGGTGTTGAATAAAATAAATAATGGAAATATCAATGTCATCAAATCTGCTAATTTATTCATCACTGTCTATTTGCTAGGGCTGCCATTACAAAGTACCACAGTCTGGGTGGCTTCAGCAACAGAAATCTATTTTCTCACAATTCTGAGGCCCGATGTTTTGAGACCTTTATTCTTGGTTAGCAGATGGTCATCTTTTCCTTGCATCTTCATGTGGTCTTTCCTCTGTACATGTCTGTGTTCTACTCTCATCTACTTATAAGGACCCCAGTTTTATTGGATTACAGCCCACACCAATGAACTCCATTAACCTTATTTATCTCTTTAAAGACCCAATCTTGAAATACAGTCACATTCTTAAGCACTGAGGTTTAGGATACCAAACATGAATTTTTTGGGGTGGAACACAATTCGGGCTATGACAATCCGCAATAGAGGTCACACCCATTATAAGTAATATCTAAGTAGCCATAACCAACTGTATAACCAATAACAACTTCCTGGCTCTTCTTTTGTTTCTTTGTTTTTTTTTTGAGATGAGGTCTCACTCTGTCACCAGGCTGGAGTGCAGTGGCATGATCTTGGCTCACTGCAGCCATAATCTCCAGGGCTCAAACGGTCCTCCCGCCTCGGCCTCCAGAGTAATTGGGACTACAGGTATGTGCCACCACACCTGGCTAATTTTTTTATTTTTTAAATTTTTTGTAGAGACAGGGTTTCCTCGTGTTACCTAGGCTGGCCTCAAACTCCTGGCCTCAAACAATCCACCGACTCTGGCCTCCCAAAGGGCTGGGATTACAAGCATGAGCCACCATGCCTGGCCACTTGCCCTTCTTTTAAAAGGATTATATGTCCCCACCTTCTGCAATTTGATTGGCAGTGCCTCCAATGGAAGGGATAAATATTCATGCCCATTGCCGTCAGGCTCAGCCATGTGACTTGATTTGGTCCACGCAAAGTGAGTGTGTGTGCACACTTCACTACCAAGCAGAAGTTTTAAGAGCCATTGATTGTTTTCTTTAGCTATCTTACTCTTTTCTGTCTGCCACAAGGACCATATATCTCAAATAAGCGCTGCTCCTTCAGCCTAGTGCCCAGAATGAGCACTTTTTAGCTTTCAATGAGACATATTGGGCAGAGCTGCCTAGATAAGAAGCTGCTGCTAATGCACAAAGTCAAGTGACAAGTATATGGTTTTGGTTAAGTCACTGGGATTTGGAGGGATTGCTACTGCACTAAAGCTGCCGAATGTGATAACCAACAATGTATTATCCACAGATGCATATATAGCTCATTCGTTTTCCTTAAATTAATGGAAGGAATAGAAACCTGATATGCCATTGATAAGGTAATTCTAATAAACCCACACTGCAAAAAGAGGAGCAGGGTATCAAAAATTTCATGAGGGATCAAAGACTTATTTATTGGACATTGGACATTCTTAGTACTTTTCCCATTTATATTATATGTAAGAACATGGGAGCTTCCCTCATGCGTAAATTTTCTCTCGAATATACAGGAATTACAGATTTTGCAGGCAGAATGGCAGCTTTTCAGCCCTGCTTTCCTTGTTCTGGAGAGAAATCTTCTTCTGTTCTTGGAGAATCACAGTGGATACAGAAAGTAGGAACTGTCTGCTCTCACTTGGCAAACACAAAGGCTCTGTAATGCGGTAGCACTTCACTCACACCAGTATCAAATTTACCAAAACACATGCTAGGTTCACAACTCAATTAAAGAACCATTCTTCAACTTTCTCTTATTTCCCAGTTTCTAAGTGAACGTGACAACTGAGCCAAAATGTAAGGAATGAGCAGGATTTGAGCTGCTCAGACAGGAGAAAGACATTTAAGGCAGATGGTGCAGCTTAAACAAAGGCACGAAGTATGTTGGAATATAAGCCGTTGAGGGTGGTTGGAGCAGAGGGTAGAGGAGTGGCTACAGATAGGATTGACAACTTAGCTGGAGGACCACCCTTGGAGGCCAGTGTCCTTGGTTCTACACCAGAGCACAACTCAACAAACAATGGGTAAACACTTTTAAGTTTTATGGATCATAAATTTATATGTTTCTACCTGATTTTAAAATGACTTCTCCATAATAAATACATCATTTTGCATAGCAGTTAAAAACATGGGTATTTTCAGCAGACAGCTGAATTCCATACTATAGCTTCTCCATGGGTGTGCCCTACTGAACCTGGGTACATTGATTAACCTACCTGAGGCTCAGTTACTTCTTCTGAATAATGGTGGTAATAGTGATCATCATCCTTCTATAATGAGGATCATTGGCTATAAAGATGCATGTAAATTCTTGGCAAAATATCAGTGTCAAAAGTAAAAGTTCCAGAAATGGTGCTTTCTGAAACTGTTGTTATCACCATTGTTCAGAAATGAAAGCTTAGTCATATGCCCCTATGAGGTTTGACCACCTACACCCCTTAGTCGTGCTCTGACATTCTAAATACTGCTTCTTATCTGTCCTACAAGGTGCTTAAGACAAAGTCAGGAAGAGACATGACAATTCCTTGATTGATGTGGACTAAATGCAGAGCCATAGTTATGCCTCTCAGTGCCTGTCTCAACTCAAACAGGGCTAAGCTCACACAGTTCAAAGGCAGCTCAGCTGAAGGCCTGTCTTTCCATGGTGACCACACCAGATACAATCATGGAGCAGGAAAGAAAGAGAATGTCCCTGATGACTCCTGTTCTGGAGACTCTCTGGGAAATCAGTCTTCTTGGCCACTATCAAGGCTTGGGGGCAGCTTGGATTGAAAACTGTGGCACTGCATTAGTAGGCAACTTTCCTCCATGAAAATATTATTTTTCTTTCCTTTATTGAATTACTGGCTTCATTATTTTGAAATTTATTTGGGAGAGGAAATTTCTGCCTTCCTTGAATTAAAACCTGTGGTTAGGCAGCGGTTCTTTTGTACGTATGACGTTTGCTAGGGTTTTGAAGAAAGGAAGGGATGAAGGAAAAGAAAATGATGAGGATAAAACCACCAGTTGTCTTATTTCTTCTTAAATATTTTCTAGTTTCAGATGAAAGTGTTTGATCACTGAGTATTTAAAACAATATTGTACTGTGAGAATTTTGAGAGAGTGTTGTCAGAGAAATGAGGAATGGCATGATCCAGAATCATTTTTCCCTTTTCCCACAAAAATGAAAACATGAGCACAGGGCTTAAATGGACAGTAAACATTGGTATTTTTTTTTTGCACTATTTCCCCAAAATCTAACCAGAAAAGTTACTTCCCTTATCAATCACATAATCTTAATAAATTATATTGACCTAGTTTATGATATGGAATATCAGTTGGAGTGTCCTAGCTGCTTTTTTATTGCTGATGGGTTGAGTGTTCCCCTTAAATAACACATTTCTATTAGGTGATACTGACTATTCTAGATAATGTTGTTTTAAATAAATGAATTACAGCAATCAGTTCTCTCTCTCTCTCTCTCTCTCCCATATCTCCTCTATTTTCCTCTCTGTCTGTCTCTTCTTCTTCTTTCCTTCTGTTCTCTTTCTGAAATTCTTTTGTTTATCTACCATTCATTCATTTAATCTACATTTACTAGCACTTAAAGAAGCTTGGAGAACAGAGCAGGGAAGACTTGGAAAGAATCATAATTCAGAAAGATACAGCAGCCCCTCATCAATCATAAAGGTAAGATTTCTCAAAATAGTCAAGGGAAAAAATTAAGTTCTTAAAGGCATAAATCAGATGAGTGTTTTGAACTAACATGCAGGCCTTTTAAACTGCCTATTTTTATTACCTGCAATAACCAAAATAGAATGTCCTCTGTTTTTCCTATTTTCAAACTTCAAGTTCATGACTACCTCTGACTGGGTTCACTGAGTTTCCAGAGACACAGAGTGGTTTGACTTTTGGTGTGAAGGGTGAGAAAAAAATTATTTTAATAACTGGTTAACTTGGTTTGCTTATTAGGCAAATAAATTGATACATATCTCTGCCTAATTTTTAGGATATAGCATGATGTTGATGACAGGTGGGGAATTACCTGTTCATCATTGAAGCTCCAGAAGATGTGAGATGCTCAGCTCAGAGTCTGTTTGCCAGGTGTTTCTTCTCACATGGCCTGGAGGGAGGGGTGGGATGACTTATAAATATGCTTCTGCCAAGGAGACAGTGAATGCCCAGACTGGAGTATATTTCTTAAAAAAAAAATACCCGCAGAGTTGGATTAAAGGAAAGATATGTGTTTACATCCATTTTGGTGTATTACTACCCTATTAACAATAAATGCTTTTATGTTTATGTTCTGTTAAAAAAAATCATACCAGTAGTCAACTCTCATGGAAACAACTGACTTAATTAGCAAAATACCTTAATTAACCACTTGAGATTAGGAGCTGAGTCACTGAGAGCATTGGTTAGAAAACAACAGGACATTAAAGAAAGAGCTCAACTGCTCTCAGTTAGAAAAACACAGGAATATGGGAATGAGAGAGGAGAAAAGAAAGAAGATTTTTTTTTTAAAGAGATGACCAAGTCACGTGCCTACAATTTCCATGAGAATTTTCAGAAATTTTTATGTCCAATCTTAGGGTGCATTCTGTACTGCCTGTAAGCTCCTTCTATCTGCCTAAAATTGCAGTAAAGACCTTGAGTAATTTGTTTCTTTGTAAAAATAATAGAAAGGGGTTGGATCTATGTTCAATCAGTGCCAAGATGTGAATAACAAAAAATAGCAGCAAGCATGGGGCATGGAATGATTCACCGGTACCTGGAAGTCACGGCTAGAGCTTATTATGAGGACATAAACCTCCCCAAGAATTTAAAGTGCATGGGTAATGGAGGCAAAATTCTGGGCAGTAAGGAAAAGAAATCCAGAAGTAGAGACACATTTATTGGAATTACCCAACAAAGAAACTCACTGCTGGGGAGTGATTACTGTATATTCCTAATGGAGATTTGCACAAAACCTTTTGGAGTCCCCAAGGATAGAATGACTAACTGAGTTGAACAGAAAGGAATTCGCCCTATGTATGAGAATTTGGTTGAATGACCACTTGCTCAATGTAGTCCGTTAATGATGACTAAAGCAGACAGTTCTTGCTAGACAAAATTTCCTTCAAATTCCTCAATATAACACTCCTGCTAGGGGGATAAGTACAATCCGCTAATGAGAGCCATTGCTGGAGTGCCCAAAGGCCATTCTCTGATTGGATTCTCCTCTCCATGTCCTCTCTAAAATCTCCCCTGTCCTACAGGGCTTCAGCGTTGGAGCATCTGAGTACCAGCCAGGTAGACAAGTATGAGGAGTTTGCTTTCAGTCATAAAGCATTCAAGGACCTGAAATAAGTCCAGGAAGACCACCCTTTGGTGTCCCAGGAGGAAAATCCTTAATTAGTATTGAGTTAGAGCCAGTAAAAATAAGTTCCCACATCCAAGAGTATAAGCTGAGCCAAATCAGGAAGAGAAACCTAGACTAGAAGGAAAAAAAATTGTAATAAGATGGGAGAAATTTAAGGGATAGGACAGAGGAGATTGTCTCAGTTGAACTGATGGGTCCCTGGCTTATATGTATTTGCTGTCAGCCATTTGGTTTGGGTTTCTGGCTGTGTTGGTTCAACTTAAACGTACAGGTTCAGTACAAGTTGTGCAAAGAAAAAGCACAGAGAACTCAATGGTAGCTGAGTCCTCACAAGAGTGACAGAACCCAGAATGACACAGAAGTTCTGGTTAATTCCCCAAATCAGTGACCAAGGCTTTGTGGTATAGTTGAAAGAAGATCAAATTTAAAGGAAAGCAAGAATGATTGATTCCAAACTTGTTGAAAAAATTACTAGTTTTTTGTTTGTTTGTTTGTCTTTAGTTCAGGAGACCTGCTTCATGGATCTGAGCCTATACAAATTAAAATTTTAAAAAAATACCTACTTTGCCAGGCTGTCTGTAAGGATTAAATAAACTACGCCTGTGAAAGTAAATCATGTAGTGTTTAGCAAATATTCATTTGCATCTTTTTCTCCCTGCCTCTTTTCTTCCCTTTCTCTCTTTCTTTCTCTACCCTTCCTCTTTATCTTCCACAGTAGATACCTGAGAAGTATTTCTGCCTGAGAATCAGATGCACCAAGACTTTTACTGCAGTCTGATTTTCAGACATTGCCACAGTGACCTTCAAGTGCATTAATGTGTTGGTTTCCTTTCATGCCGTCTCAGCTGGGGGGATGCTTTGTGCCCACACAGATGTCAGCAGAGGGTGATTGGAGCCCTGAGTCAGGGTGCCCTGGGAAAGATGAGTGGAAACCTCAGCAAACTCAAAGCATGTGTTTTATATATCAGGAGAGCACACAAGGGCAGACTATCTGTCAACTGTTTCCAGTGATGAGCAGGGAGGCCTTGCGGCCAGCACCCCACCAGTCACTGTTCACACCTCCTCAGAGGTGACTTATTCTCTTCCGCCCTGTAGCAAATTTATCTTAATAGCTAAAATGATACCAGTTTGGGAACATCCTCTCAAAAGCAGTTATCCATAGAGTTACAAAACAGGGCTTAAGCAGACCATATAAATATTCATAAATATTCATGTGACAAAAATTGACGAAAATTGTGCATTATTTATTTTCTAAGCAGATGAAAAAAGGCAACTACAACCCAGGAAAAAGGTTTTGTAAAGGTATCTACAAGAGGATGGTAGCTGAAACCATGCAACAGGATGAGATCACTCAGGGAGGGAGTGGAAAGCAATATTTAAGGAGCAGACAGAGAAAAATGAGATTGAAAAAGCATAGCCAGAGTAGTGGGAGTATATCCAGAATAAAGTGGTATCTCTGAAGAATCAAGGCTAAAAATGTCAAGATGGCAGAGGGCTAGCAGGCTAAGAGTATAGATTGACATGCAGGTTGAGGAAGATGGAAAAGCCTTTCAATGGTGTCCCATTTCTCTTAGGATAAGTTCCTGCATTTCTCAAAATGCCCAAGTGTCCTTCAACCTCATCTCACATTGTTCTCATTCTCCCACTTCCAAGTCTCTGTTCCCATACCACTGGCTTTCTTATAGTTTCCCCAATATGCCATGTTCCCTCCTATCGCAGAGGCTTTGTACGTGCTGTTCCTCTGCCTGGAATACTCATCCCTTTAGATGCACTTTAATTCATTTTTCCAGACTCAGATGAAGCATCATTTCCTCAGTAAAGCCTTCCCTGGCCGATCCAGGTCAAGTCATATTCTTTAATTTTATAGAATCTTGCTTCTTTCCATCTTAGTACTATTCCCAATTTATAATTATGCATGCATATGTGTTTTTTGGTAAACATGTCTCAGCCACTGGATTGTAAACTTCATTAGAATGAGACTTGAGAAATTCTTAACACAGCAAGATTTTAACCAAACAGCAATGGTTACCAACTGGTATAAAGTTTGATGTAGAAAGATACTTCCTGTACTTTTTTCCCATTAGCACGTGCATAAACAACCCCATCACAATTGCCTTGGTGTTTCTCCATGATTTGGCACTCAAGACGTACCATGGTCCATCTCAAGCCTACAAGCTTGCTGGTTAGGTTGGTATTGGATAAGCCATAAAGTAGATTTTACAGTTACTAGTTCTTAGTCTTTGGAAGGGCCATAAGCCCCGTTAAGAATCTGATGAAAACTGTATTCTTTTATGAGTTGAATTGTTTCCCCTCAAAAGAAACATTGGAGTTCAAACCCCAGTGCCTATTAATGTGACCTTATTTGGAAATAGAATCTCTGCAGATCATTAAGTTAAATGTGGTCGTTTGGGTGGGACCTAATCCAGAATAACTGACGTCCTTATATAAGGAGGAAATTTGGACACAGAGACCAAATTTGGATGCAAGGAGACAACCATCGACAAGCCAAGGATGCTTGGCACTACCAGAAGCTAGGAGAGAAGCCTTGAATAGATTCTTCCTCACAGCTCTCAGAAGGAACCATCCCTGCCCATATCTTGATTTCAGACTTCTAGCCCCCAGAACTGTGTGGCAATATGTTTATGTTTTTTAAGCCACTCAGTTTGTGGTACTTTGTTAAAGCAGACCCAGGAAGCTAACAGAGACACTTTCTGTAGAAATAAAGTTACTTGAAGACATACCCAACTTTGCATGCAATTTCCAGGTGTTTACAGATCCACTGATGACCAGATTAATCATTTTATAGTATCAGATATGCTATAAAATTCCTAAACCAAAATCTCCCAAGATAAAGGCAAAGGAAAGAAGAAAACTGGCATCAGCAACTATTTGTTACATGTTTGGCCCTTGCCTAGGCATCTGGCATATATTACTTCACTAAATTCTCAAAGCTACTCTATGAAATAAAGGGAAATAGAGACCCAGAGAGACTGAACATCATGCAGAAATCAGCACATCTAGAGAGTTACCGTGCTGGGAACAGGGCCTGAGTTTTCTTTTCCCCTGAAACTAGTGTTTTTTTCATTCTTGCCCTGCTTCTGAGCATGAGTGACCTGTAAGAGCCAAAGCACATGATATGTGGCTTCCTGGATTGTGAGGTTACAGTGAGACCAGGGTTATGTGTGTGTCAGTGGCTTCAAGGGAAATCGGAGAAGAGTTTTTTTAAATTAAGAAGGAAAAAAAGACCCTTCTTTTTGACTGCTCCGCATTATTTTTTGGCATTATGATAACTTCTTTGGAACTCTCTAAGGATTTTGGTATATAAGAATTTTGGTTCTTGCTAGGCAAGCATGGAGACAACAAAGTCTTAAGTCAAACTGATAAGTCAAACTGATGAGGCCAATTATCAGCAAGAACTTTAAATTAGGATTTTCAGAGTCAGAGATGGGATAGTGGGGGAAATGACACAGCAAAGCAAAAGAAATTCAAGTTTTTGTTCATGCAATGATATTTATTGATCACCCATGTGGAGAAAGGCTCCATGCTCTGTGGACAAAGTCTGGCCACATAGAGCCTTGTGTCTAGTGGGGAGACCAACAGCTCCATCAGTCAATACAATAAAGTAAAATGTATGATAAGCAAAGAACAATGTACTACAAAGCAGATTATATGAGTAACTGCCAATTTCTTGTTGGGGAAAACACTGGATCTAAGTTTACCCTGAAGTCTGAATAGTGATTGTCCTGGACAGGGAGATAGGAAAGAATGGTTCCAGGCAGAGAAAACACATGTAAAAGTCCTGAGGTGACAGAATATAATACACTTGAAGACATGAACACAATTCACCGTAGACTAAATGCAGAATGAGAATGGGGCAAAAAAAAAATAGTAATTTCAGTAGAGAGGTACTGAGGGGCTGGTTTCTGCAGGGACTTGCCTGCAGCTATGATGGAGATTGTATTTCCTTCAGAGAGCAGGGCGATGCCTTTAAAGATTTGCACCATCCTGGAGAGAGGGCTACTGGCTGTGGGAATCAGGCAAGTCATTGAATCTCTCTAAGTCTCAACTGTCTCATAATACAGGATAATAAGGGCCATTGTGAAGAATAAAGGGGTCATTTCACACAGTACTCTCAGAACAGTGCCCCAGGAAACATAAGCCTTCATATTAGAACGATGACACAGGCAAGCCCTGCTGGAGCCCTGCCTTTGTCAGACACAGTAGTCATGCTTTTCATTTCACCTGCTCTCCTTAGAACCACTCCCCAGTGGCAAGTGTGGCAGCAATGCCCTGTGCATGGTGTCTCTGGATCATATAGAAGTTTCAACAGGTTGGTCCTATTCCACATTGGTTTTCCTGCCACCATCTTCAGGCAAAGTCTGCAAGCCTCCAAGTCTACTAGGATGTAGGCAATGCATTGGGGCAGGGCAGCGGGCAGAGCCCAGGGCACTGGGCATTCAAAGGTGAGTTGTTGGCCAGTGGCTGGCCTTGAAGCCCCACACTCCATCTTAGCTTGGACTCACCAAGGCTTATCTCCTTTGTGAGTTGTCATGGGCTTGCAGAGACTTACTCTGGAAGTATGCATGCATCTGCATCTTCATGCCCCATAGTTTTTTGTTTTGTTTTGTTTTGCAGCTTTTGAAAAGTTTGAAAAGTTTTTGAGTTTGGTTCACTGAGGCCTGGGGATGGTAATATTTAAAATATCACCCTGTCTCTCTGCTATAGACAAATCCTGGAAAATTCAGTTTAGTTGAGAGCTTCCTTCTTGTCTCTTTTAGGTGCAATTTTGACTCAGTCAAAATGTGTATGCGTGTGAGTGACAGCTCTTCTAAACACAGCATGCCCCAGGACACAAGGGATGTTCTCACCTTCAGCCACAATGCCTCTAAGGATGGGTAGAACACGTAGATGTATGGGGCCAGAGAATGCACACCTCCTTTGTTGTGAAGATTTCTTCTCATAAGGACAGAAACTCACATGTGCCGAGTACACGTGCTCAGGGGACTGTTGTAGTTGTTTGTGCATACATATTATCATTTTACTTTATGAAGTCTGTGAAGTAATTATTAGGATCCTTGATTATACCTGGATGAAAAATTGGGTGCAAAGACATCTATAGATTGGACCAGAATTTCACAGGGGTCCTTTGATTTGGAGCCTGTGGCTTCCTGGTATTCCATTGCAGTTCAGCAGCATGGCTTTAAGCCCACAGCTCGGCATAGTGGTTAGAGACTGACCAGCATAAATCCCAGCTGTATTACTTCCTGGCTGACGTTGGACATGCTACTTAATCTCTCTGTGCTTCAGAGCTCTCAACTATAAAATAAATAATAAAATAGGACCGTTATAAATTAAATGAATTAATACTTGTCAAATACTTAGGACAGTGCCTTGTGATTAGTAAGTGCTATAAACAAGTTAACCATTATTATTACTATAACTGGAAAGGGCACCAAAGCCCCAGCTTCATCAGGGGAAAATAGGATATTGCCCAATGGCTGGGATAAAAGTAAATACATATATAACCACATAAGTACATAAAAAAGAAGGAGACAAAGAACATTCGATACCCAACCTCAACAGCTTTTTCCAAGAAACCTTCCCTAAAAAATAAAAAAAGAAAACCTCGAGGCCGATACATGAGAAATGTTGGCTTTTAAAAATTGTTTCCCAGGCAGAGATAATTCCTTTATTTGCATCTCTCACATTCTCCTTCTCTTTCCCCGCAACTTCATTAAGAACCGGCATGAACTGAATAATACTATCCTCATCCCATGATCATCATTATTATTGGCTTCTTCAAATAAAGTCCATCCAGGGACTCTTAGAGGAGCTTTACCATCATTAAAATCTTCAACCTCAAAGTTTATCCTCAGCTACAACTGGGATAATGGAAAGATGGGGATTTAGTGACATTTCTTAACTGGGCTAAGCACCAAATCCTAAATTGCAGCTGTGGCTACAACCCCAAAACTTTCTATGGATTCTCTCTTTTCAGGGTATGTTTGATTTATAAATTCAGTTCAGAAGCATATCTCTACTGATCCTTTACCTGTGCAAATAACTATGGGGAATTAAAAAAATGTTTAAGATGGAAATTTGCCCTTTAGGAAAAGAAAGTCTAACTGGAAAACCAAGGGCTGGTCTCACATTAAAAAGTAGTAAATGATTGTCAGAGTGTGGCTAGGATATTGGTATGGCACCAAAATCTCTGTCGCACACTAGCTGATATGTGCTTGAAATAATTCTATCATAGTTTCATGTTTTTAATTCAAAATTTTGGCCCCCTCAAAAACCAAGTGACTACTTGTCCTGCTCACCTTAGAAATACTTTCCTCTGGGCCAGGGGTTCTCCACCAGCATCAGCATCACCTGGAAGCTGGTTAGAAAGGTGAATTAGCAGGCCTTTCCCCAGGTCTACTGAATCTGAAACTGGGAGCAGGGGACCAACAAACTCTTCTATCAACTCTCTCAGGTGATTTCAAGTCATGGCACCGTTTGAGATCCACTGCTCTAGGAATTTTACGCTAATCCACCATTCAAAATTGAACTAAAGGCTTGTGATGGACACAGTGTATTTTTGCCCAAGCATGTGCATTTTGAAGGAGTGAGAATCCAAAGATTCTGTGGCTGGTAAAGAGGAGACCCCTGATGTGGTTTGGCTCTGTGTCCCCACCCAAATCTCATTTCAATTTGTATTCCCCATACCCATGTGTCAAGGGGGCCGCTTAGTGGGACTTGATTGGATCATGGGAGTGGTTTTCCCTATGCTGTTCTCATGATAGTGAGTGAGTTTTCATTAGAGCTGATGCTTTTAGAAGAAGTACTTCCCCCTTTGCTCGCTGACACTCTCTCTCCTGCCACCTTGTGAAGAAGGTGACTGCTTCTCCTTCTGCCGTGATTGTATGTTTCCTGAGGCCTTCCCAGCCAGGCATAACTGTGAGTCAACTAAACCTCTTTGTTTATAAATTACCCAGTCTCTGGTAGTATCTTTATAGCAGTGTGAGAACAGACTAGTACAACCCCCAAAGTTTCAATAGCCCATCAGGTCGAATTCATATCCTTGGATGGAAGATTAAATACGGTTGGATAAAAGATTCTCCAACTCTCAAAGATAATCTGAGGAAAGACCAGTGTTTTCTTCAAAAGCAATGTGAAGATGACTCCAATAAATGATCAAATGATTCATTAAAACTTACGTGTTCTAGAGCGCACATCTGGACTGCAAGAATTTAGCTGGAATTATGTTTAAAGTTTGCAATACTTAAATGCCCATCTCAATAACTAGGGGGTGGGAGTGGGCAGATGATGGCATAAGAAATTTTATAAGGCTTTTAATTTGTATCACCAAAATGCTTTCTAGAAATGTGCCAAAGAATAGGCCAGCCATATAAGAGTGATATAATGGACTTTGGGGACTTGGTGGAGGAGAAGGTTGGGAGTGGGGTGAAGGATAAAAGCCTACATATTGGGTACGGGTGTCCACTGCTTGGGTAACAGGTGCGTTAAAATTTCTGCAATCACCACTAAAGAACGTATCCATGTAACCAAAAACCACCTGTATCCCCCAAACGATTGCAGTTTCTCAAAAAAATAAAGAAAGGAAGAATAGGCTAGCTATGGCATATGAGAGTACGTATCATCAACCCTTTCATATCTCTGGGGATTATAAACTTTTTAATATTTATAAATCATAGAAGTGAGAATGGCATTATGTAGTGTTTAACCTGCATTTCTTTGATTATTACTGAAGTTGGATATTTAAAAATCTTTATTAGCTTTTTGTCTTCTTAAATGTCTCCTTGTATCTTTTATCTATTTTTAATAAGCTATATTTTAATTGCTTAGTAAAATGTCATGTTATGTAGGAAATATACTAAGATTTTTCTCCAGTTTTAAGTTGTATTTATTATTATTATTATTATTTATTATTATTATATTCGAGATGGAGCCTCACTCTGTCGCCCAGGCTGGAGTGCAGTGGTGCGATCTCGGCTCACTGCAACCTTGCCTCCTGGGTTCAGGTGATTCTCTCGCCTCAGCCTCCTGAGTAGCTGGGATTACAGGCACTCTCCACCATGCCCAGCTAATTTTTGTATTTTTAGTAGAGACGGAGTTTTACCATGTTGGCCAGACTGGTCTCAAACTCCTGACCTCAAGTGATCCCCCTGAGTCGACCTCCCAAAGTGCTGGGATTTTAGACGTGAGCCACTGTGCCCAGACGTAAGTTGTATTATTGTTATTGTTATTGTTGTTGTTGTTGTTATTATTATTATTATTATTATTTGAGACTGAGTCTGGCTCTGTCATCCGGGCTGGAGTACAGTGGCACGATCTCAGCTCACTGCAACCTCTGCCTCCCAGGTTCAAGTGATTCTCCTGCCTCAGCCTCCTGAGTAGCTGGGATTACAAGCATGTGCTACCATGCCTGGCTAATTTTTGTATTTTTAGTAGAGACAGGGTTTCACCACGTTGGCCAGGCTGGTCTCGAACTCCTGACCTCAGGTGATCCGCCTGCCTTGGCCTCCCAAAGTGCTGGGATTACAGGCATGAGCCACCGTGCCTGGCCTGTAAGTTCTATTTTAATCTCTTTTATTTTTATATGTACATATACATATATAGGGCTTTATAGTGTCAGTTCTTTTTTTTTTTCTGTGTGGTTTTATTCAATGCTTTTTATTTTCTTTAAATTTTTTCAAACCAAGATCAGGATATGTTGGCCTATTTTTTAGTTTAGCAGCCTTAAGAAAATTCTTGAGTGGTTTTATATTGTTTTTACATCTATCTCTTTAATGCATTACAACTGATTTCAGTGCATGGTCTGAGTAAGTCTCCAGCTAGACTTTGTTTCTGAATGAAATAGATAATTTTCCCAATATATTTTGGTAAGAAAATCCATCCCTTATATGGCCTTAGGATGCTTTGCTATGAAATGTTCAATTCGTGTTTCTTTTTTAAGGCCATTGTGTTCAGTGACTTGTCTGTGAACTCTAGAGTCCATGCAGCTTTTTATGAACACTTTGTTTTGTACCTAGCATTTCACAGGGAGCATCCACAACTCTGCTTCCTTTTATTTTTCTAGTCTCAACTGTTCCTTTTTCTAGTGAACCTGGAAATTATTTTGTCAAATTGCAAAGGAAATCTTTTTGGGATTGGAAATAGATATTTTAACCCTATATTAAGCTGAAAAATCATATTTTCATATATTCAATATATATAAATTATATACAATATTTAGTAGATAGATTTAAAAATTGGTTTAAAAAATCATTACATATTATTATGTATTTATAAAGTACATTTTTTAAAAAATAGAGGTTTCACAAATTTCTTGTAAGGATTATTCCTGGCAGTCTGTTTTCCTAATGCTCATGTAAGTATAATTTTTTTGTTTTGGTTTTATTTCCAATTATTTCTGGTATTTAGAAAACTATTGATTTTTAAAATATTTATCTTCAGGCCAGGTGTGGTGGTGCACGCCTGTAATCCCATCACTTTGGGAGGTCGAGGCAGATGGATCACGAAGTCAAGAGGTTGAGACCATCCTGGTCAACATGGTGAAACTCTATCTTTACTAAAAATACAAACATTAGCTGGGCATGGTGGCGGGTGCCTGTAGTCCCAGCTACTCAGGAGGCTGAGGCAGGAGAATCACTTGAACCTGGGAGGCGGAGGTTGCCCTGAGCCAAGGTCACGCCACTGGACTCCAGCCTGGCAACAGAGCAAGACTCCGTCTCAAAAAAAAAAATTATCTTCAAACTTTTTTCTGTCTAAGCAGATGCTCAAGTGAGTAACAAGATGCTAGTCTCCCCAGAGGATGGACAAACATATTCAGTTTCATGAGCAGAGTGGGGTAGGGATGGCAGATGCACTTTTGAAAACTGCACACCCAGCGAGACTTACTTCACATTCCGTGGCTTAAAAGAAGGAGGATGAGATATATGCAGGAGTTAGTGGTAGAGCCAAGTCTTCATTAGTGCCTCTCAGTAAAAGCAGGAGGTGGCTGGTGGCTCTCTAAACATTGTCCTTGGCTTTGAGCCATGAAAACAGGAAAAATTTTGTTTGATATCCTATTATATAGCATCACAGACAGACACAAACTTGCATATATACACATTTTTCATAATTAATAGAAGTTTCTTCATTGTTCTAATAGCATGCACACACACGGTATTCCACTAGACACTAGATTAAGAGGTTTCCTCCTGCTGCTGTTATCTAGTTCTCTGAATATTATGTAAATTTAATCACGACAAAACTCAACTGGATTTCCTCAACTCCTCCTTCCTCCCTCACCTTACCACAGCTAATTGAACAAGTCCCACTTACTGCTTCCAAACATGCCCTGACCCTGGTGCCTTTTCCCCATTCCCCTGCAGCCACCCCCTTGAAAGCCACCATGCTCTCTCTCCCAAGCTGCTGCACTCCTGCTCACCGGTCCTCTCACCTTCTCTCTCACACCCCTTCCATCCATTTCCACACGGCAAACAGGAGGATCTTAGAAAATATAAACCAGATTTTGTGAATCATCACTGAAAACCTTTCAACAACTTCCCATTGGCCTTAGAATGAAGTTTAGACTCATTGCTGTGGCCACTCCAGCATGTGAGGTCTGGCCTTCCCTTGTCTGTTTTGTCTCATCTGGATCCACTCTCCTTGAAAGTCTCAGCCACCAAACTCCATCTACTTGGCCTGTACAGTTCCTCAAACAAGATGAACTCCTTGCAGCCTCAGCCTTTGCTTTAACTGTTCCCTCTACCTAGAATGTGACCTATTGGATCTTCTCCTGACAAGCTTCTTTCTGACATTGGAAACTCAAGTTAAAGGGCACCTCGTCAAAGAGGCTGTACCCGACCATCCCCATCGTAAGGTGCTATTTATTCACCATATTCCTTTAGCCTCTTTCCATTAACTGGGTGATTATTGTCATTCTCTGGCTTTTAAAATTCTCTGTGTGTCATCTGTCTCCTTCTCAGCAGAATGCAGGCTTCCTGAGGGCAGGACCTTGTCCTTGACTGTCTCCCCAGTGCCTAGAAGACAGTCTTGCATGTAGGAGGGCCTCAGTAATGCTCAATGAATGAATGGATTCTTGATCATTTCAAGCAAGTGATACTTCTTTAGTCTGAAAACTACAATCCTCAGATCTTCTTCTCTCTTTTGGGGATTTCATTAACTGTTCACCAGTGGCCCCATTGCCTGTCCTATTTCACTCTTGGTTGCTGCTAGAATTTGTATTATCTGACATCGATTCAGGGAAAGAGGTGCTGTTGAACAGTAGTGGGATGAAAATTGAGGATAAAGGGGTGGCTTCAGCTGCCCCCAGTACAACTCTCTCAGTAAAAAGATGACTGCTGGCTTTCTGATTGATGGGCCAGACTTTTGGCAGAAGTGGCAACAGTGCATGCCAACATTTTTCTACCTTACTCCTGCTTGCCCCGGCACCTTTCAAAGCCTGGAAATGGAATGGCCATGACCTTGCTGAGCCATGACCCTTGAGGGCCAGTTAGTGAAAATTCTTGCACAGGTTGGCATACTGCTGATGGGTACTTCTTGTTTCTGGTGCCAAAAAATAACTTAATATATTGTGACTCTACACCCTTTTTGTGCTTAAATGGAAGTGTGACCATGAAGTTTGGGGAAAGTTAAGGTTTCACCACAGCGTAAAAGCCTACAGGCATTGCTGGCAATCTAACAAAGGTGATATTGAAATAGTTTTATTTTAAGCTCATATCATTCAAAATCAGCTTTAGAGAAATGTTTTAACGTATTCCCCAGTCTTTTCTTCACTTAGTCAACATGACTTCTATAAGTAATGCACAAATAGCATGCAACCAGTAAATAAAATCATAGTTGAAAATTATTATCAATTATCCTCCCAAGTCAAGTGCATTTGATGTGGACTTCTGTCTTCTAATCTATGAGATGGGCATAATAACAATAGTAGCTAATTCAAAGATGGTTGTTGAGGTTGAATAAAATAATCAGTATAAAACTCTGGAGAGAATGTGACACAAAACAAGTGCTCACTGATGTAGATTGAGGTTGATACTACTGTTATTTTCTCTATCTTAAAAATGTTGGCCGGGCGCGGTGGCTCACGCCTGTAATCCCAGCACTTTGGGAGGCCGAGGCGGGTGGATCATGAGGTCAGGAGATCGAGACCATCCTGGCTAACAAGGTGAAACCCCGTCTCTACTAAAAATACAAAAAATTAGCCGGGCGCGGTGGCGGGCGCCTGTAGTCCCAGCTACTCGGGAGGCTGAGGCAGGAGAATGGCGTGAACCCGGGAAGCGGAGCTTGCAGTGAGCCGAGATTGCGCCACTGCAGTCCGCAGTCCGGCCTGGGCGACAGAGCGAGACTCCGTCTCAAAAAAAAAAAAAAAAAAAAAAATGTTATGTGCAAAATGCCAGGGTTCATGAGAGATGTATTTATTAAGGGGAAGTTGCTGGGGTTTTTTTTTAAACTACATGTATATTATACTTGACGTTGCCTGAGCATGGCTAGAGGTGGGTGCATGTTTCTGCACACGAATGTGAGCAATGAGGAACAGACAGAGATACCTTAGGGAATGGTTTAGCTGACGGGTCCAGCAGAGCCCACTGAGGGCACTGCCTTTGTAGGCCTCCAGGACCCTGCTCTAATCCATAGCAGATTCATACAGTCATACAGGTTTGATTTTGTTGGTCCATGGAGGGTTGATCAGGATCTCAGGGGGAAAGAAGCCAGAGGTAGAAGACATCTAATATTTTGAGTGCTGATTGCCTGCAAAGCTGTGTGCTACACACGTTCTAATGCTATTTCATTTAACCCTAACAACCCCCATATGCCACCTTTTTTGTTTGTTCGTTTGTTTGTTAGAAGTGGAGGAAACTTAGGTTCATAGACTGTTCAAATGACTTGTCCACGGTAACACAGTGGTAATGGCGGACAGAATCAGCATCTGAACTCAGGTAAGTATGGTTTCAAATCCTCATCCTTTCTACTACACTGCACAGCCTCCCTTACAGACTGACATGCACTAAGCAATTTAACTTAAGAGACTGGGAAATAAATCAGAAAAACATTGCATTATTTTGCAATGATGTTTTAAACTTTTCCAGTGAGTGAAATACTTAAATCTGCCATTTTGGATATTCAGTTATGATTTTAAAAAATTACTTGAGAAGTAAAATTTCTAATCAGAAGAAAAGTTACCTAGTTTGGAGGGATCATTCTGAGCTTATTGGATTCTGCTTGACCAACAGGCCTGGCCAAATCTCTCTGTTTTGGATGTTCCTCCCATGCAGGTTAGCTACTGCTCTGACCAGCCCAAGGTCTGAGGAAGGCAGCATTGGGCACCAAGGCACAAACTTCTTTCCTTGTCCTTGCTCCTTTTCCTCTGTCGCCAGTGGGTCTACTCTGTGTGCCCTTTTGCTGACCTGGGAGCGGTAAGATCTACTTGTGTTGGGACTTGCAGTAGAATGGACAGAACTAGTAATTTGGCCTGCTCTGGCCTGCGGCTACTTTGGCCTCCACTTCCTCCAGTTGGTCTAGCCTGATTGACCAGACGTCCACAGAAGTGCTCGGGGCCAGAGCTCCAGCTAAGTAACGGTGATGACTTGCTTTGCTGTCTCCTGACCTTGCTCTGTTGTGGATCCCTGACAGGGAGAGTGAAGTGAAATATTCCTAAATCTTAGGCAAAATAATGACACATGACTTTAATCTCATAATTGTCCCCAACATTCTGTATATGACTGCCAGATTCCACATTTTTCTCTCCTGGACACAGTTAGATAAACACTGCCAAATCCTTGGTTTTAAGATTCCCTAACTAAACTCCATGTAAACCAACATCCTTCTGCGAAAACACTTCATTTTCAGACGAAATTACAACATTCCAGTGTTCTTTTACATCAGCCCCAATTCTGATTAAACTTTGATGAGACTGCATTTCAATGGCAATCTTGCTTTCATCGGACTTCATGATTTCTCCAGTTTTATAGCCCCAAACTTGAAGACCTTCTCTTTCTGTGATGTATATCTCTAAATAGCTACTTTATCCATTTATTAGGTATCAGTCCTATATTTTCAATCACAGAGCTTAATCTTATTTCCAACTTTGGGGCACCTAAATTTAGTCTATTTATGCCTGACTTTGTTAAGTTGATTTGTTGATGACCACTCTTCTAGAGACACATGGAAAATTTGTTAACAAACTTATTTTTGAACAGGATGGTTGTACTGAATGATTACATATGGCAGGAGTCTGGGGAAAATTTTTACTTATCTCCATTCTAGGGACATCTACTGCAAATTCCATAATAGACTCTCATTCCTCTATTATCTGAGCTATTTGAATTACCTCAATAAAGCTGTTTCCTCCTCTTTCTTCACTCAGGAAATACAGAGTTCTCATGACTGAACAGGGAAAGTAAGAGGTTTAGAAAGAATAAGATGGATCTGAGAGTTTTCAAAATCACTTGATAACCCATTATTATCCAAAGACTACCTACATAATCATATACTTTCCATACAAAGTTAAACTTAAAAAGTCCTTTGAGGTTCAATACCTACACACTTGAATACACCATAATACTGAACTTTAGTTGTTTTGAGAAGACAAAATAAAACTCATTTTAAATGTATTGAACTGAAAAGGCAGAGAAATTATTCCCTGAACAAGCAGGCTTTCTTTTTAAGGCTATTTTTATTCCTCATTGAATGTCAACATGTACTATGAGGTACATAGACATGGAAATAATTCTAAATTTCTGACAGGCGGGGCCAATGGTTCATGGTTCAGGAAAGAACGTTTAGTCTGGAAATGCTCTAATTTAGAGAAACTTAAAGGGGAGGCAACTGAACTGAAAATCTCTAAAGTGCTGCTCCATTGTGGCTTGTGCTACTCTCATGTTTATTCATCTGTATACATCAACAGCCCTTTGGACTGAGAATTTATGGTGATAAATGTTTTCTCCTCCTCCCCTACATCCTTCTTTTTTCTTCTTCCATTCCTCTTCCTTCTCTTTCTTCTTCTCTTCTTCCTCTTCTTTTTCTCTTCTCCTTCTCCTTCTCCCTCTTCCTCTTCCTCTTCCTCCTCTTCCTCTTCCTCCTCCTCCTCCTCTTATTCTTCTTCCTCTTCCTCTTCTTCTTCTTCTTCTTCTTCCTCTTCTTCTTCGTGTCCTCCTCCTCCCCTTCCTGCTCCTTCTTCTTCACCTCTTTTTGCTGCTTGGGATATAGTTAGTTTGAGCTAGATAGGATTATAGGATTGCTATCATCATGATATTTTTTGTATTAAGGATAGGACATATATGGATCTAAGTAACGTCTTCAGTCCCAAGATGTTTGAAGTTTTAAAATACATCTAAACATCTTTGCAGTGCTATTAGTTATTTTTTATGTGATAAGAGTTATGGTGATAGGAACATAGGTTTACCTGGAGGAAATTATGAAAGGTGTTAAGTACAGGGAGGTTTAAGTTATAAGAAACATCATAAAAACATACACTTTTCCTGGGCTTGAGATGATGTCATTTTGCCCACTCCCATTATTCTAATGTCCACTTTAAGGTTATTAAAATGTCCTAAGATCATTCAAGACAGGGCAGTCTACATCTTCACTTCATTATCCCCAAGCCCTCAGAGATGCCACAGCTACTGAGACAAGGTCACCTAACACTTTAGAATCAGAAAGTTCTTTAAAAGCAAAGGGCTCTTCTGAAAAGAGACTAAATTGCAACTGCTTCCCGTATGTGCCCATCAACTAATGTGATCACAGAACTGCTTTAGAAACAACTTTTATCTTAGTTTTTTCCTCATCAAAGATTTTCAATTTAGTTTTTACACATTTTAATTTTTCTTAAAAAAGAATCCCCCATTTTATAATTGAATTTAATATAAAACTAAGCTTTGCTAAAATGCACTTATATAATAAGAGAGGACAGATATACCACGATCCCGCAAGAAAGGTATCATTTCTGGTATCAGGAGTGAAACAAAACCAACAGACCCTAAGTTTTTCTAATACATATATCAATACCCACATGTCTATCCCAAAACTACACTTTTAATTAAGCAGGTTTGTGTATTTGGTTAACTGGGGACTTTTCAATAGTTAGATTGGTGCCTCCTGATTGGGAAACTAAGACCAGTGATTTCCCAACAGGTATTCTCCCAGGCTGACTGAGAAACTAATCAACTAGGGCTGAGAGGTTATTAAGTAACATATTCTAGGCTTGAAAACCCATTTCTCACAATAACAGATAATGCCTTGACTTCTTTTTTTTACATAATTTTCTTTATTAAAATCATAGAGGTTATGTAAAAATGGCAATAATGCTAGTAATGTTTAAGTAACAAGAGTACCTATTTTGCCATCAGTTATCTTGGTGAAGGAAAGGAATACTTAGCTGTGTGATTTAAACAGTTGTATGTTAAAATAAATATACAATATGCCATTGGGAATGATATAACTGCAACCACAACACAACACATGCATATACTCAGATTACTTAAATCCTGAGTGTGTTGTATTCATTGCACATTATTTCTTTTTAAAAAAGTTATTATTATTATTTATTATTATACTTTAAGTTCTGGGGTACATGTGCAGAACGTGCAGGTTTGTTACATAGATATACACGTGCTGTGGTGGTTTGCTGCACCCATCAACCCATCATCTACATTAGATATTTCTCTTAATGCTATCCCTCCCCTAGCCCCCCACCCCCTGGCAGGCCCCAGTGTGTGATGTTCCCTTCCCTGTGTCCATGCGTTCTCATTGTTCAACTCCCACTTATGAGTGAGAACATGTGGTGGTTGGTTTTCTGTTCTTGTGTTAGTTTGCTGAGAATGATGGTTTCCAGCTTCATCCATGTCCCTACAAAGGACATAAACTCATTCTTTTTTATGGCTGCATAGTATTCCATGGTGTATATGTGCCACATTTTCTTTATCTAGTCTAACATTGATGGGTATTTGGGTTGGTTCCAAGTCTTTGATATTATTTCTAAATTATAGGATAGTTATAGCCCACTCCTTGAATGCTGAGACTACATTATATTTTCCAACTTTAAATATGAAATAAATATTGAAAATAAGTGTTCATTTTTGCTCTAATGAAAACAGTATAAATTTTAAAATTAGGATATCATTAAGGGAAGCATCTCTCTCCCTGAATAAACTATACAACAAATCATAGGCCCAGTATTTTTTCTACACATGCAGTTGAGCTAATAATTCTGCTTTAAAACAAATAAAAATATGTTCTAATCATTTATTATCTTAGCATCATTCCAAAAAGAGATGGTTGTTGATATCAGAATATCCATAAATAAAGTTAAATTTGTCTCTTAAAGAGGTGTTCACCTACAAAGCCTTCAAATATCACCAGTTATTCACAAGTCTTTGGCTGAGGAGGCTTACTCTGTCATTCAATATAAATTATTTTCACTCAACAAGAATGACAAGAATGGCATTCCTGCATTTGAGGTGCTTTCTGTGGATGTAGAAAGACAAGATCTACGTAAGTGGAAAAATGTAAAAACACCCCATATGCTGCAGGTAGATATATAGGCAAAGTGATTTAAAATAACAGAGGCAACATTGAGAAAATGAAGGCTTTTATTTGTTTGTTTGTTTGTTTGTTTGTTTGCTTATTTGAGACAGGGTCTCTCTCTGTTGCCCAGGTTGGAGTGCAGTGGTGCAATCTTGGCTCACTGCAATCTCCACCTCCTGGGGTCAAGCGATTCTCCCAGCTCAGCCTCCTGAGTAGCTGGGACTGCAGAGAAAGTGGATTTGGTAAAGGAAACCCAGCAAGAGGTGAGCGTTTTGTTTTCAAATTATGTCAAATTTAATTTGGCGGGAAATTATTAGTAGTTAATTGAAAAATTTCCCAAAGACCTAAAATTCTTGGCCTTCATTAAATATTTAAAGAATTTTAAAATGTGTCCCAATTTTAGGAATCTCAATTAGCAAAGCTTATGGTAAGAAACTCACCCTGATGACAGAGCAATTGGGGACAGAAAGGCTGGGCCTCCTTGACTCCACATGGCCCATGAGATAGGGGGAGTGAAGGCTCTGTCGTAGAGCTGGGCCTTCAGGGTGGCAGAGTTGAAGGCAGGTGTATGTCAAGCACACCCTGGGGCTTGCCTGGATCCTGGCAATTTGGAAGTGGCAAGGCTTCATTTGGAGAAGTAGAAGTAAATTGTTCCAGTGCAGCATAAAGTTCAGAGACATATGAGGTGGGGTATCCACAAAGTGGTACCCAGCCCTGGCTCAGACCACTATCAGTGATACCACCTCTGCAGATGAGTGAGGCACTGGGATACTGCACTTTATTAATAGGTACAAGTCCACACCTATTTAATAGCCCTCTTCGTTGTGACTCTGGTGGCCACTAGAAAGTTTTTACATAAGACTGCAGAGTAAGGAAACCTTCCTGCCACCAAGAGGTGACCCAGCCATTACTCCTCAAGCCCTTTGGGCATTTAGGGAAAGAAGAAACTGTGCCAAGGAGTGAGGCTGGGAAGACTCAGAGGCCTGATGAAAAAGGGTGTGTCCACCATGCTATGGGGTCTCCACTTTACTTGTAAGCAGTGAAGAACCACAGAGGCAGGGCGCCATCAGATCAGATGTGACCAGATGTCAAATCCTTCTGGACTTTTTACTCCTTTCTGTGAAGTGGCTTAATAACCAAAACAGGCCAACTGAAAAACAAAAGGGTACCCACTTTGCATGGGCCTCCATAAAATAAAAGGAGTTTCCTTCTCTCTCTGAGTAAGGTTGTGGCCTGCAATGGGCAAAGACAAAGTCCCAGGGCTAAGGAGAGATGTGCAGCTTGGAGAGGAGAGGATCATTCTGTGGTTGGGGAGACAGGAAGTGTGGCAAACATGGTCACAAAGGCGTTAGCAGGCTGGGCCACCTAGAATGCAGCTGCGAAACTCTTCCCTGTCTGTGAGGTTCAGATGCCTGCATGGCCAAACTTCACAATCCTCTGCAACCCCAGGAACCTGCATGGGCACTGGAGGGAGCAGGTGCTTAGTACTGGCTTGTGATTTGGCTGACCAAGTGAATGAATGAATGAATGAATGAACACAGGATGGCTTCTAGAGAAAAAAGACGAGGGCAAGGACAGAGGGTGTGAAGATCCTGCAAAGGCCAATGATGTTAAGAGCCCAGAGCTGGGTGGTGGCTGAGGGAGTGGAGAAGAGGCAGAAGTTTTAAGAGCTATTTTGATAGGACTCGGGATATTGACTGCCAGTGAGGACTGAGGGAGACAAATGGATCAAGAATGACTTGGAAGCTTCTGGCCTTGGCAAATGGACACTGGAGTTTAGGGAAGGTAAGAGGGAGAGCAGGCTTTTGAGAGAGGATAACAAATTTGATTTTGATCACATGAAGCACTTTATTTATTACAGCATTGTTTTAACTCCCTTATAACCAAGATTATCCATATTTATTGCAAAAGCAACAGTATCAAAGAATGCTTTAAAATGCAATTAAATTTGTTTAATATAGATAAACTATAAGTAATGAGATTGTTTTCATTATAATATAGGTGTCACACATTTCTCCTGGTAACTAAGAAAGATAAATGGGCAGATAAAACATAACAGTAGAAGCATCTAGAATAGTAAATTTTATTACTGGAAGTCTCTCCCTAGCAATGGACAAACTCAACCACATTCAACACATAAGGAAACCAGGGACAAGAGAGGCTGGCATTCTTCACTCTACGAATACTTAGGGCACTGACTATGTGCCAGGCACTTGCTTTGTGCTAGGGATATAAAAGTAAACATACAAGGTACCCGTACCCAAGGAGCTCACAGCCAAGATAATGGATGAGTGTCCTGAAAGCAGAAATTATCACACAGCTTAATAATTATTGTGAGAAATGCATGCTCAAGATGCAAGGTGCAACTCATCCAGGCTTGGGAGCAACTCTTGTGAATGAGCTGACCTGGAAGGAGATGCAGAAGTCAGACAGAGAGGTTATGAAGCAGTGTTCTAGGAAGGCCAAAGTGCGGGCAAGCCCAGTGCATTTAATGACCAAAGGAGTGACAGTACGAGGGAACTCTAGTCCTGGGTTTAGGAGACAATAGTCTCCTGACTCCCTGTTCAGTGCTATTTTAGAATACTGCCTGTGTATTGACAAGTCTGTGAAGATTCAGCACATACATCAATACTCTTGCATAGAAAAAAAAGAAGCTTACATGGCTCGTGCTATGCCAGTGTAGACATTAGGATTCTCTAAACTGCCTTGCTCAAAATGTTTCTTTAGAGGAATAATTACTTCCTATTTTAGCTTTTCATTTCCTTCTAAATGTTTATATCAATTGGGCCATGCCATAAAATTCTTAAGTCTGGAAGGGATTTAAGTTATCATTTTTTTGGCAACCAAGGGAGTGCAGGGACAGGGTGGAGTAGGGCTCAGTGGGAGCAATGCCAACCCTGGTGCAGCAATAAAGGGGGCATTCTCTGCAGGGAATTTAAGAATTAATAATAAAATTGACCAAAATCACTCTGCTTTTTATTATCACTAATTCTGAATAATGTCAACAATAAATACTTGCTGCCAAGGCAAACTTCTCTTACTGACCCTTCCCTATGTGCATGGCACTGCATTATGTGTATACCCGTGCATGCAGAAAACCAGCCCTGAACAGGCATTAGAAATACCCAAAGTGTCCATATTAGCCATCTAGTCAGTTCATATGGCCACACCCTCGCCATTCAATTTTCTTCTGTAAACAGAGCTTGAGTAGTCAAAATCAGACACATCAAAACCCCACATCAATGTGCATCTTCCTAAAATTATATTTCTCTCCAATTAGCATTCACATCTTGACTAGTCTCATATCCATCTCCAGCTGGGGCCGCAGGGGGCTGACATCCGATGCTGCCGCTTCCCTATGCACAGGCTCACCAGGAGCAGTCTTCGCTCATCTTCTCCAGTTGGGCCATCTGGCACGTGCTTGGAGGGGTAAACACCGAGGGGTCTTTAATACCCAGCTGGATGTCAAAAAACCGCGTAGACAATATCACACTGTAGTTTATGGTAAAGGTTTCCTGGACAGGATAGCAATCCTTGACTGTATAGATGCCAATCCAGGTTTCATCTATAAGAGGAAAAAAGTTGACTTTTAAATAAAGAAGACAGGCAAGAAGTTCATATTTTTTCTTATGGTGGTAAAATGTACATAACATAAAATTTACCATTTTACCATTTTTAAGTGTTTGGTGGCCTTGAGTACATTCACATTTGTTGACCATCAGCACCATCCATCTCCAGAACTTTTTTCATCTTCCCAAACTGAAACTCTGTCTCCATTAAACACGAACTTCCCATTCCTCCTCTCCCAGCTCCTGGAACTCATCATTCGATTTTCTGTCTCTATGAATTTGACGACTCTACATACCTCATGTAAGTGGGATTGTACTGTATTTGTCATTTTCTGCCTGCATTGTTTCTCTTAACATTATGTCCTCAAGGTTTACTCAGGCTGTAGCATGTGCTGGTGTTTCCTTCCTTTTTAAGGCTGAATAATATTCTGTTGTATGACTATACCAGATTTTGTTTATCCATTTATCTGTTGATGAACATTTGGGTTTCCACCTTTTGGCAATTGTGAATAATGCTGCTGTGGACATGGGTGTACAAATATCTGTTTGAGTCTCTGCGTTCAATTCTTTGGGGCATATATATATATACAGAAGTGGAGTTGCTGGGTCATATGGCAGTCTTATCTTTAATTTTTTGAGAAATCACCATACTGTGTTCCACAGCATGAATGCCTGTGTGGTAAAAACTGTCTTGGGATAGGCGTATATCAGCAGCAGGGCAGAGAATGGCTTCACATAAAAGTAGGCTGGTTTGCACACTCAGCATGATGGGAGTAGATTTGACCCCTGCAACTTTAGGAAGTGGGGGAAAGAAAAGGAGGCACCCAATTCAAATGTGTGCCTTAGACAGATGCCTTCCATGTCACAGACCTCGGGACGACCATAAAATGTCAAAATCAAGGCTAAGTTCACAGGAGCCAAAGTGGCAGAGAGGTGCAGGTGGCACTAGAAGGCTGAGGTGTTTCAAATATGAAGCTTAGATCCCGTTGCCACATAGTGAGCAAAGTAACCTGCAGACCTAAGTGGAGGCTTTAAAAAATTTTTGATTAAGCGGATGTTTCCCTAAAAACTACCTTCCTTAAAGGACTTAAACCTTTTTCCCCATCATGCATGCTGAATACAATGCTTAGATTCTTTGAACCCTTACAGGATCTAGCTGACTTTCTGTCCGACCACTCCTGGACGGTGATCTGCTCCTGAGGCCCCCCGATGGAGTACTGGTCTTCAAAGGTGGAGTTTTGAGGAATGTCAAGAGGATCCCAGGGCTGTGTCAGGGTCATCTTTGAGCACTGCTTGGTGGCTTGGTCAATCTGAAACATCACTCCATCCTTATACAGCAAAATATATTCAAATAATCTGAAACACAGATGGAAAGAAGTAGTTTGGGACTTCATG
Source organism: Homo sapiens (assembly GCF_000001405.40). NCBI lineage: Eukaryota > Metazoa > Chordata > Mammalia > Primates > Hominidae > Homo > Homo sapiens. Next base: position 37,948,800 of record NC_000007.14, on the reverse strand, counting down.
TTACCATCCTCGTGCCTTTTAACAGCACAAACACCTTTGATAGATATTACTTTTAAAATAGAAAGAAATTACTAGCTAGGCAATCACTTAACGTTTATAAACACTAGGCACATGAAACAACCTGCATATGAAATAATTAGAATTCACAGGTCAGACCGAGCATGATGGCTCATCCCTGTAATCCCAGCACTTTGGGAGGCCGAGGATGGAGTACGTTTTGAGCCCAGGAGTTTGAGACCGGCCTGGGCAACATAGTGAGACCCCTGTCTCTAGAAAAAAAATTTTAAAAATTAGCCAGACATGGCAGTGCACAGCTGTAGTCCCAGCTACTTGGGAGGTTGAAGTAAGAGGATCACTTGAGCCTGGGAGTTCAAAGCTTCAGTGAGCCATGATCATGCCACCGCACTACATACAGCCTGGGTGAGATCCCGTCCACCATCAAAAAAAAAAAAAAAAAATTGAGGTCAAAAGTGTATATTCACTGGGCAAATTTTGACCAAGGACCTAGTATATGCCAGACCCTGTGCTTAGCATACAAACATGGGGAAGATATGGCTCCGGCTGAAGAGCTGGTTTGTGAACTTTTGTTTACCCACAGAGACACAGGAGGACTTGACTCTTGTGTGGTGCATTTTCTCTCACAGCACTCAGTCAAGGAATTATGGGGGTATACTGAACATAGGACAAGAACACACTGAGGACTGGATGGACCGAGTGCCTGTGCTTCACTGCCTCCACTGCCGAGCAGTCATGAGTAAGGGGCTTTGATGCGCATAGCTGATCCGGCACGGGCGCAGCCCACATACCCTGCAGTGGCTGAGATGAGAGCAAAGACAAAAGCTGAGGCGACCCCAGAGCAAATGACTCCCTTAGCTGAGTTTCTCTCCATGCTCTCAGCCTCCTCCCGTGACCACCTGCTCACCCTTCCTGGGGAGTGACAGGGAGATATTCAGAGGCTGAGCCCAGGAGTCACCAGCCATGCAGTATTGGCATCAGTCCTGTATCTTCCTTAAAGCTGAGACATCTTGGTGTTGGGGGAAGCCTGCTGTGTTTCTATGCATTTCACTGTCAATCTAAAACTCAGGCCACAGCTGCTGGTCAAGAAAATGTGTCTTGCAGCCATGACCTCAGAAAGTGAAATCTGCAACACTTGAGGGCTGAAGAGCCTAGAGAAGTGACTTGTCATCAGCAAATAAAAATAGCCAACAAATTATCTGTGGCTTATGAGACCCAATGCACTAGAGGAGACTTCAGGGAAGACATTTGCTCTCCAGCCCAAGCCCGAGCTTAAAAACTATTTTCTTCGGAAAAAAATGTTAGAAATGGTTACTGTCTTTATAGTCAAAACACAGTCGTGCGTCACTTCATGATAGGCTTATGTTCTGAGAAATGTGTCATTAGGCTATTTCATCACTGCACGAACATCATAGAGTGCAGTTACACAAATCTGGATGGTACAGCCTACTACACAACAGGGCTACACAGTATGGCCTACTGCTCCCAGGGTACAAACCTGTACTGCATGTGACTGCACTAAATACTGGAGGCAACTGTAACACAATGGTAAGCATTTATGTATCTAAACATAGAAAAGGTGCAGTAAAAATATGGGATAAAATATAAAAAATGGTACGCATGTATAGGGTACTTGCCATGAATGGAGCCTGCAGGACTCGAAGTTGCTCTGGGTAGGTGAGTGAGTGAGTGAGTGGTGACAGAATGTGAAGGCCTAGGACATTTCTATACACTTCTGTAGGCTTTATAAACATTGTACACTTAGGCTACACTAAATTTATAAAAACTATGTTCCTTTCTTCAATAATACATTAATTTTAGCTTCCTGTAACTTTTTAACTTTATATACATTTTGATTTTTTAAACTTTTTGACTCTTTTGTAGTAAGACAGCTTAAAACACAAATTGCACAGCTATACAAAAATATTTTCTTTATGTCCTTATTTGATATGCTTTTTTCTATTTTAAAATTTATTTTATTAAAAAAAAAACTTTGTGTTAAAAATTACAACACAAACACAGATATTAGCCAGGCCTACACAAGGTTAGGATCATAAGTATCACCCTCTTTCACTCCCACATCTTGTCCCACTGGAAGGCTGTCAGGGCCAGTAACATGCATGGAGCTGTCACCTCCTATAATAACAATGTTTTCTTCTGGATACCTCCTGAAGGACCTGCCTGAGGCAGTTTCACAGTTACCTTTTATGTAAGTGGGAGCACACTCTAAAATAACGATAAAAGTATAATATAGTAATTACATACATGTGGCCAACAAACATAGGAAAAAAAGCCCAACATCACTGATCATTAGAAAAATGCACATCAAAAACACAAAAAGACACCATCTCATGCCAGTCAGAATGGCTATTAATAAAAAGTCAGAAAACAACAGATGCTGGCGAGGTTGTGGAGAAAAAGGAACACTTTTACACTGTTGATGGGAGTATAAATTAGTTCAACCATTGTGGAAGACAGCGTGGCAATTCCTCAAAGACCTAGAACCAGAAATACCATCAACCCACCAATCCCATTACTGTGTATATACCCCAAGGAATATAAATCATTCTATTCTAAAGATACATGCATACCTGTGTTCATTGCAGCACTATTCACAATAGCAAAGACGTGGAATCAACCTAAATGCCATCAATGATAGACTGAAAATGTGGATAAAGAAAATGGGGTACATATACACAATGGAATACTATGCAGCCATAAAAAGGAACAAGATCATGTCCTTTGCAGGGACATGGATGGAGTTGGAAGCCATTATCCTCAGCAAATTAACACAGAAACGGAAAAGCAAATACTGCATGTTCTCACTTATAAGCGGGAGCTGAATGATGAGAACAAATGGACGCGTCGGGGAAGCAACACACACTGGGGCCTGTTGGTGGAGCTTGGGGGAGGGGGAGCATCAGTAAGAATAGCTAATGGATGCTGGGCTTAATACCTAGGTGATGGGATGATCCGTGCAGCAAGATACCATGGCACACGTTCACTTGTGTAACAAATCTGCACATCCTGCACATGTACCCCTGACTTAGAATAAAAGTTGAAGAAAAAAAAGTATAATACAGTAATTACTTATATGCTAGAATTGTGTACAACTGACAGCACAGTAAGTTTGTTTACACCACCACCACCCCAGACATGTGAGTAATGCACTGCGCTACCACATACTATGGCTATGAGGTCACTAGGCAATGGAAGTTTTTCAGCTCCATTGTAATCTCATGGGACCACCACTTCATTGACTGAAACGTCATTATGAAGCACATCATTGTATTATTAGTAGCCGTATGCTTCAGGTTTCTATGAGGTAGTATGGAAATATAAACATGACATCATTTTACACCTTTATGTGTATCTTGTTTATTTCAGAAAAGATTTGAAACGGCTTACAAGGGTAAAAATAACCCAGACACATACCTTTAGAAATGAGAATGAATATAGAAAGAAATATAAGTGTGCATTTTATGAGATATTGCTCAAAAATGGAGCTAATTTTTTATAATATGCATGCAGGGTCAACGTAAAACTGTTAGCCCTTTGAAAAAGTTTGGGTTTGGATTGTCACTGTTTTCTCATAACCAGCTAAATCTCTGACACAATAGAGCCTAAGCACTGATTGAAGAAACACAGCAACATTAACCCAACTCTTAGAGCATTGTTCATTTGTAAATATGGGAATTGTTGTCCATACACAAATCCTGTCCTGTGATACTTTTAATGACCCGTGGGCCACCCAAAAAACAAGTTGTCTTCATTGTTCTCCTCACCACCAGCAATATCTTGTGCTTTCCCCAGTGCTAGATATCTGGGCTAGAAAGGCATTCCTAGCTTTTGCTGATATCCCTGTTGTGTGCTTCTCAGACTGCAATAGTTGTTCCCTGGAGAATATGTAGCCATGTGCAGGAGAGGGGGTTTCCTTCTTGAAATCATCGCCATCACTCCCCAAATCCACAGGATCACAGAAGTGTCATTAATATGGTTTGGCTGTGTCCCCACCTAAATCTCATCTTGAATTGTAGCTCCCATAATTCTCATGTGTCATGGGAGGGACCTGGGGGGAGGTAATTGAATAATGGGCACGGTTCTTTCCCATGCTTTTCTTCTGGTAGTGAATAAGTCTCACAAGGTCTGATGGTTTTATAAATGGGAATTCCCCTGCATAAGCTCTCTCTTGCCTGCCACCACGTAAGAAGTCCCTTTGCTCTTCCTTCTTCTGCCACTGTGAGTCCATTAAGCCTCTTTCCTTTATAAATTACCCAGTCTCAGGTATGTCTTTATTAGCAGCATGAGAACAGACTAATACAGTCCTCCTAGCCTCATATTTGTCATACATGTCATTCTAGCCTCATATTTACCTTCCTCACCAGAGTTTACTAGACCAGAGAGGAGACAATGAGATTCTTTCATCTCGACCTGTGTCATGGCAACCGAGGTCTAATAGTCAGCCTCTTATGTGGCTGGACATACCACATGTAAATTTCGAAGCTGAGGGAGGCTATTTTCCAAAACGCAAATGGAATAGGATTAAAGAATGAAGCAGAGAGAAGCACTAGCAAACTGGGATTCCAACAGCTGTTCATTTCCTGGGCTCTTTTTTTCTGAGATGCTTGGAGCACCCCCGCTTACAGAGTTACAATAAGCTTCCTTTGTTCTAATAAACTTTCCTTCATTTTTGGCTTGCAGCTTTTTATGCTACTCAGTTCTATCATTTCTGTTAGAATTGAGGACTCCAGTGCTCCATGGAGAGACCCGGGGAGCAGCTGCCAGCACAGCTGTGCTGGGAAAGGCCCAGCATGGCCCTGTGTGGCATCAAGGGCCACAGATGCCTGGTCAGTCACCTGCAACAGAAGGGCAGGGGACAGCAGGGAGGGAACACTCACAGCTTCACTGTTTCCCTGAGGCCCGCTCTGCCCACATACAGAAGTAAAATTTAATTTTAAAATGAGAATTTTAGACCCGGAACAATCACTATGAAATGTTAACATTTGCTAAATCTGGGTGGTCTGAACACAAGTGTTCGTTTTGGTGTTCTCTGTACTTTTCTATGTTTTCAAAATATTTGCTTTTTTAAAAGTAGACATCATCTGATATTGAGGTTATGTTGACTGTACCTCAAGTTAAACTGAAAATAATAAATTAATGGAAAACAAAATAGAACTATATAATTTGTTTTCAAAATCCCATGTGGATATAAATGCTAGTACTGCTCTATGACAAATTTTAGAAAACATTTTAATGATACTGTAGTGGCGTGTGTGTTTATGTGAACATATTAACAGTTAGGACATAAGTCTCTGCATCACAAATAGAATACAGGGCCTGTGGCCTGACAGGGACCAAAGGTCAAAATGCAAAGATCAGCCACGGTTGAGATGAGTAATCAGAGTGGGGATGCTGTACGGGAATAACCCGTGGACCCAAGGGATTAACAGACTTTGAGAGGAATTGGATTCCTGGAGGCGAGATCAAAGACTGGCTCTGTCACAGAGGCAATTGTGAGATGAGAGGCACCAACGCCCCCGCTGGGGCACAGTCAAGCAAGGTGAGATGCTGGAATTGGTGTTCAGGACAGGGAGGCAGACCAGCCCAGGTCAACAACAGCAGACAAACTTCGCCTCCTTGCTGGCCAGGCACCAAGCAAAGCATAGTTCACTGGGAGGGGCAGGCGAGTTCCCACAAAGGCCCTGCTGCTGCTGAGCCTCAGCTGTGAGCAAGGTCAGGTTGGCTAGGCCCTGCCAAAGGCTCAGAAGGCCAAGCTCTCCACGGCAACCACAACACACAGGACGGGCCAGCGGCCTGTTTTGCTTCTCACCATATGGGACAAAGGATTTTTGTTGCTTTTACTAAAATTCTCAGGTTACATTGACAATTTCCATTGTTTCCTGCAAATCCATTTCCCTAAAAAGTAGGCTCTCGAATCACCATGTTTTCTGAAACACCGAAAATCTGGGGAAGTTTTCTTGCTTTTGAAAATAGTTTTTTTTTAGTAAAACAGATTCATGATCAATATAAAAAAATTAAGCAATCTAGGGATGGAAAGGGAAGCAAAAATTGCCAAGAAACTCTAATTTACAGAAATAACAACTCTGTACATGTGTCTGGACATATATTCTTCTAAATATGTCTTTATGTACGTATTAATTTTTATATCTAAATTTTTATGTTTTAATTGTGGCAAGATACATGTGACAAAAATGTACCATCTTAGCCATTTTTAAGTGTACAGTTCAGTAATGTTAAATATATTCACATTGTGGTACATCAGTCTCCAGAACTCTTGCAAAATTGAAACTCTATATCCATTAAACAATAATAACCCATTCCTCCCTCTCCCCAACTCCTGGCAACCACCATTCTATGAGTTTGGCTACTCTACATAGCTCATGTAAGTGGAATCACACAATATTTATTCTTTTCAGTCAATATAATATCTTCAAAGTTTATCTGCGCTGTAGCATGTGTTGGCATTTCCTTCCTTTTTAAGGCTGAATAACATCCCACTGTATGTATACACCATATTTTATTTATCCATTCATCCACTGATGGATTCCTAGGTGTTTCCTAACTTTTGGCTATTGTGAAAAATGCTGCTATAAACATAGGTGTACAAACATTGGATTGATTTTTCAATATGTACTATACTCATTTTACGCAAATGAGTGCCTATCATTTATTTGTTTTCTAACTATGCATTTTAAATTCAACAATTTGCCCTTGATAATCTTTTAAGTAAAAAGATAAATCTAATTTTTCTAATTTTTATTATAAAATATTTTAAATATGCAGAACAGTTGGAGAACTAGTATAATGACCACTTTTATGTCTGCCTCCTAGGCTCAACAATTCTCTACATTTTACTGTATTTTTTCTAGTTTTCTAAATACTTCCTTAAAACAAGAGCTTCTGCCACATGGTCACAATAGGACTGTATCTTAGAAATAAAAATTCATTCCCTGATATCTGCTCCATATTCAAGTGGCCCCCCAAATACATCTTAAAGCTGGTTTTTCAAATCAGAGTTCAATTAAAGTTCAAGCATTATATTTGGTTATGTCTCTATCAAAAATCTGGAGCAGTACTCCTACCTTTTTATTTTCCAACATGACATTGACTCTTTGAAGAGTTCAGGTTTGCAGATATTCCACAATGTGGATTTCTTTGGCAGTTTCCTCATGGTGGCATTTAAATTGCTATTTGAGCGTTTGTCATTCTTATGAAATGGATATGAAGTCTAAAGGCTCTTTTCGATTTGAGTTCCAAGATGTTTGTAAATAACATGTCATTGGTGAGGTTGTATACTTTGGACTTTATCATATCTGAAGACAGGTGATGTACCTTCCCACTATTAATGCTGCTAACTTTGATCACCAAGTTATATGGTGACTCCAGATATCTGTTATAAAAGTGTTTCCTTTTGCAATTGGCAAGTAATTGATGAGTGATACTTTGTGATGTTGGAAATGTCCTGTTACCCAATAACTGTCACCTAATGGTTTTAGGCAAATCCGTTTCCTGAATCAATTATTTCACTGGGAGTTAGGATCATAGTACCAATGGTATAGTAAATGACATCCATCTATCTTAGTCTATTGAGTACCACTCTGGACTCATGGATTTATTATTTATTCAATGTATGACAAACAATTAAAGTCATTATTCCTTTTGATGCTAAAATTTACCCAAGTTTGGCCAGAGGGAGCTCCTTCAAGTTGGTACATGTATCTTCTGACATAATCCTATTAGTCTCTGAGTGCTTCCCGATGTTCTACGACACAAGGTGGCACAGGCTAACCTTGGACTTTCCCTGTCCCAGATCTGAAATCAGGCATTTCTCTAAAAAACTCTAGTTACCCTTAGTGGGGAAACAACTTAGAAACTGACATCAGGGCACTAGATGGGCTCATTGCCATTGAGATGACATTGCTTTGAATGCTTTTCAAGTGGTCAGAGCTTCCAATTAGAAAAAAAAAACTCGAATTCATATAGATATTTTCCATTTAAATTAACATTACAGGTTTTCCCCCCTATTTTTTGTATATCTTTTATATATCTTTCCTCTTAAAATAAAAATCATGCTTCCTAAAAACATTAACAAAAACATTTATTTGCTTTATTCTATGATTTTGAAATAATAACTTCAAAACTATTATAAATAACAAAATTGCCAAGTGAAGTTTAAGATTTCATTGTAGTTCCTCTTATCCTTAGAATATAATTCCCTAGTATCGAGAGTCAGTATTGTGTCAAAAATTTACTTAGAATAAGCCTATTCTCTGTGTGGTTATGTTTCCAGATTGATAGATCATTAGGTTCCTTTGTTTTAGTTTGTTCCCAATTCAGGGACTTTACACTTTTCCTCTCTGATTTTATTATTTAAATATGTAAAAATTTTCATATTTCAAAACTCAAAATGACAGAAAATGGTACGTTGAGGCAAGTTCCCCTTCCATCCCTATCTCCTCTTCCCTATTCCTCATGCTCCTTATAGATAACACTTTTCAACTGCTTCCATTTTATTTTTCCTGCATGCCTGTCAAAAAATAAGCAACTACATATGTGAATTATTATTTTCTCTTCTTCTTTACAGAAAGAGTAGCATGCCATATAGACCTTTCTGCATCTTGCTTTCTCCATTCTCCACTAATGCCTACAGACTATCCCTATTTTTTCATGGCCATGTAAATTTACTGTGTGCAAATATCATTATTTCTTTAGCCAGTCTTCTACCAATAAACATTGAGTTGTTTCTATTCCTTTGATATTAACAAAAATAATGACCTTGTGTTGTGCTGTTTTGGAGTTGTATGTTTAGGGTAAATTATTAGATGTGGAATTACCAGGTCAAAAGGTAAAAGCATTTGTGGTTTTGTTAAATATTACCAGATTTCTCTCCACAGGGTTGTACTATTTTGCATGCCTATCAGCAATATATTATAGTGCCTTTTTTCTTTATAGTCCTGCCAACAGAGCATGTTGTCAAACTTAAATTTGTGCTAATCTGAGGAATAAGAAATGGTATCTGACTACTAGGTTTTTGTTAAGAATATTTTTAGTAAGTATAACATCCATAAGAGGGGTCTTTAAAAAGTTCACGGAAAATGTGTATTATGAAAAAACTATGCATGGATTCCAACTTTTTTCACCAAAACAAACTCACAAAACTTGTTATAACATGCCTAAACAGGATCTAGTTTGAGGCACCAAGAAGAATAAGACATCAGTTTGGGTAGAGCTCCTATCAGAGCAACATGCATTCTGCTAAAATTAAAGCAAGAACAAATATTAAATTTATTATAAGGCTCAAGTGGCAGAATGGTGAAATCACTGATGTTTTACAAAAAGTCTATGTGACATTGCTTGAAAGAAGTCAGCAGTTACAAATAAATAACTCATTTTAAAAAGGTAGGAGTCAATATTAAGATTAAGATTTAAGATTTAAGCCCACAGTGGCAGTTCATCCACATCAATTTGTGAGAAAAAAAAATCTTGGGCCAGGCATGGTGGCTCATGTCTGTAATACCAGCACTTTGGGAGGCCGAGGCAGGCAGATCATGAGGTCAGGAGATCGAGACCATCCTGGCTAACATGGTGAAACCCCGTCTCTACTAAAAATACAAAAAAATTAGCCGGGTGTGGTGGTGGGCGCCTGTATTTCCAGCTACTCTTGAGTCTGAGGCAGGAGAATGGTGTGAACTCAGGAGGCAGAGCTTGCAGTGAGCTAAGATCCCGTCACTGCACTCCAGCCTGGGCAACAGAGTGAGACTCCATCTCAAAAAAAAAAAAAATTGGTCATGCCCTAATTGTACAGGAGACAATTGTATAGGACAATTGTACAGACAATTAACAGGAGAAACAATAGCCAGCACCACAGATAGCTCAATTAGTTCAGCTTATACAATTCTGAATGAAAAATTTCAGTTGAGCAGACTTTTCACTCCCAAGGGTACTGAAACAATTGTGGCGGCCCAATCAGCTGCAGAGAAGAGCAGACCCTTCAATGGAAATTTTACACAAGTGGTCAAGATCCTGAAGCATTTCTTTTACGAATTGTAACATGAGCTGAAACATGGCTTTACCGCTACAATCCTGAAGACAAAGCACAATCAAAGCAATGGCTACCAAGTGGTAGAAGTGGTCCAGTTAAAGCAAAAGCAGGCTGGATAAGAACAGAAGTCATGGTAAGTTTCTCTGGATGCTCAAGGCATTTTGCATGTTCGCCTTCTGAAAAGCCAAAGAATGATAACATCTTCTTATTATGAGAGTGTTTGAGAAAGTTAGCCAAAGCTTTAGCAGAAAAATGTCCACAGAAGCTTCACCAGAGCTTCTCCACCATATCAATGTTTCTGCTCATTCCTCTCATCAAACAAGGACAATTCCATGAGATTTTTGATGGGAAATCATTAATCATCCACTTGACAGTCCTGATTTGGCTCCCTCTGACTTCTTTTTGTTTCCTAATCTTTAAAAATATTTAAAGGCACTGGGTGTGGTGGCTCAAGCCTGTAATCCCAGCACTTTGGGAGGTCATGGCAGGCGGATCACAAGGTAAGGAGATGGAGACCATCCTGGCTAACATGGTGAAACCCCATCTCCACTAAAAATACAAAAAATTAGCCAGGCATGGTGGCTGACACCTGTAGTCCCAGCTACTTGGGAGGCTGAGGCAAGAGAATGGCATGAACCCGGGAAGCAGAGTTTGCAGTGAGCTGAGACTGCACCACTGCATTCTAGCCTGGGCGGCAGAGAAAGGCTCCATCTCAAAAAAAAAAAAAAAAAAAAAAATTTAAAGGGCACCCATTTTTCTTCAGTTAATATGTAAAAAAGACTGCATTGACATGGTTAAATTCCCAGGACCTCACTTTGTTAAGGATGGACTAAATGACTGTTATTATCATTTACAAAGCTGTATTGAAGTTGATGGGGCTTCTGTCAAGAAATGTTTATATTTTTTATTCATATCTTTTAATTCTATTTTCCTATGAACTTGCAAAAGTCCCCTTGTACAATAGATTGCATAGATTTAAGGTGTGGAACTTGAGAAACTTTTTAGGTGAACAATCTGAGTATCTCCAGCACAGATCAAAGATAAGGCACCTCAGAAGCCTCCATTGTGCCCCCTCAGTCACTAACCTTTCAAAGAGCAGTGTAATTTTAATTCACCTCCTTTCATAATAGTTGGTGGAGTGTTCATATATTAAGCATCATCTGATTTTATTTTTCCATGAACTGACTGTTCATTTCTCTGCACATCAGAATTTTTTTCTCTTCTCTATTTTCTATAGATCATTAATTAATTAGCGTTTTGTACTTGATATAAATTTCCCCTGCCATTTGTTGGTTTTATTTAAATGTTTTCTACAATGCAAAGGCTTTTTCATTTTTAAAAGCAAATTCCTTTTATTGTTTCTGGGTTTTGTCATATTTAAAAAAAGCTTCCTACTCTCAGATTATAAAGGAATGCATCATGTTTTCTATCATAACTGTGTGGTTTTATTTTGTTTGTTAGATCTTTAGTTTGGTTTGCAGTTTATTTTTATGTACGGTGTGAGATGTGGATTCAGTTTCATCTTTTCTCAGTTGTTCCAACAACACTGATTAATAAGTCCATCTTTTCCCCAGTGATTTGAGATGCCACCCTTATCACATACCTAATTTCCAGATGTATGTGGATCTATTTCAAGACTCTATTTTATTCCACTGAATTGCCTATTTACACATCAATGTCACACTTTTTAATTACAGAGACTTACTAGTGTGTTTCAACATTTGGTCAAATTTACTAGTCCTCCTCTTGTGTCCTTCTTTTCCAACGTTTTCCTATGTTTGGGCTTTTTAATTTTTCCATATGAAATTTAGCATCAACTTAGCTAAAATAAATCCTGCTTTTTTGCATTTATTGGAATTCAGTTAAATCTAGGAGAACTGATATCTTTATGATGTTGAATCATCCTATCACTCCAAAAAAGGGGTGTTTAAATTTTTTCCTATACAAGGTTTGCACATTTCCTTTAAATTTGTTTCTAAGTAGTTGATCTTTTGTTGTCACTGTTGCTGTTTTAAATGACACTTTCTCTTACACTATCATTCTAGCAAGGTTATTGTTTGTATATATGAAGACTATTGATTTTTCATGTTAATTTTACATATAGCCACCTTACTTTTATTGTCTGAATTAGTTTTATGTTCAGGTCTTTTGTGTCTTCCAGGAATACTATATCCATATCATTGATAGAGATGGTTTTCAATTTCTTCTTTTCTAATCCCTTACCACTAATTACTTTGTCTTCTCTGTCTATACTGGTCAGTAAATTCAGCACAATATTAAATAGAATGTAGGTAATGGGCATCCTTGCCTTCTTCCTGAGTTTAGCAGAAAAAGGGCTGTGGTTTCAAGTAAATTAAGAACTACACAGGTTGTGCTATGTTAAAGAAGCATCCATCAGTTCCTACTGAATCCATTGTATTATGAATGTTTGTTGAATGTTATCAACTGCCTTTCTGCCAGACTAAGGCTATAATCACATGATTATTTTATAGATATTTATGGATTTTCTAAAATTGAACCATCTTTGCATTCCTGGAATAAATCTCACTTGATTACAATGTATTTTTTTAATGTGCTGTTGGACTTAGTCTGCTATTAAGGAACTTTTAATCACTTATTATATCAATATTCATAAGTGAGAATGAATTACAATAATTTTAACAGATTCACATTTCCCTTGTGTATATATATATATATATATATATATATATATATATATATATATATATGCCATGATTTGCTAGTTCCCAAATCATGTCCGTTTAGATTATTTCTACAGTTTTGTTAATATTAATGATGCTGAATATGAATTGGAGATAAAACCTTTTACCTTTCTGTGTTTATATCCCAGCAAAAAAATTTATAGAATGGGATCATTGGATCAAATGAAATTCCCATCTCATATTTTATGAGATACTACTAACTGTCCCACCTCCCCACCCCTACCCAACAAAAACACTGGAATTTTGAACTAGATGTAGAGCTTCATTAATTTCTCTGCATTAGAAAAGATACTAAAAGTTTACCCTACTAGAAGCAGGGAAAAAAAACTTTCTAGTTTTCTTAATTTGGCATAAGGTTTACAGACAACGTAAAAGGTTAAAAAGCTTAGGTCAAAGAATCAAGCTTCCTCATTTGCTATTGATGAGCTGTATGATAATAAATGTCATCTCTCTACTTCTCATATGGAGAGACCAAAAATTTGAAACTTATGACATTCTTATGAACAGAATTTGAGATAATAGATATAAAATTGTTATATAAATGTAAGGTATCATAACCATGGCAGGAAAATCTCATATTTGTGTTTATCATCATCAGTTAACGTTTAACAGGGAAACAAATCATTTTACATGTACACATATGAATTGCTCTACTACGTAACAAAGAAGGGCTAATTCATCCAGGTGGGATAGAGAGATGAAGGACAGAACATCTGAGTGCTATGGTGGATCCCTTACTAAAAGACCCAGCAGGCATTTGTACCCCTTCTCCCTTGTCTGTCTCTCAATATAGAGGTTGAGAAAATCACACTGATTAGTCCCTCTACCTCCATGGAAGATTGGAGCCCTGTAGATACCAAAATTCACAGATGCTCAAGTCCCTTAGATAAAATGGTTTAGTATTTGCATATAACCTATGCATATTCTCCTGTATACTATAAATTATTTCTAGATTATTTATAATCTTTATACAATGTAAATGCTATATAAATAGTGGTTACACTCTATATTTTTGATTTGTATTATTTTTATTGTCATAGTTAACTTTTTTTTTAAAGACAAAGTGTCACTCTGTCACCCAGGCTGGAGTGCAATGGCATTATTTTTGCTTACTGCAACCATTGCCTCTCAGGCTCAAGCAATCTTCCTGCCCCAGCCTCCCAAGCAGCTGGGACCACAGGCACATGCCACCATACCTGGACATTTTATGTATTTTTTTGTAGAGATGGGGTTTTGTCATATTACCCAGGGTGGTCTCAAACTCCTGGCCTCAAGTGATCCTCTCACATCAGCCCCTCAGAATGCTGGTATTACAGGCATGAACCACCATACCTGGCCATTTTTAATTTTTTAAAAGAATATTTTCCATCTGTAGTTGGTGGAATCCATGGATATGGAATCCATGGATGCAGAGGGCTGACTGTACTCATATTCTTAGTCTCCCTTAGAGCTAAAGGTATCTGGTTCTGGCTTTGAAGATCTAAAGGAAAGTTTGTAATGAGAGATAATCCTCTGGAGATTCCTCCTTTTTCTCAAAGGAAAAAGAAAAAAAAAAAGAGGAGAGTCCTTGTTCTAGGGAAGCTACTCCCTTCACTTTCTGTCTTTGACTGTAGTTGGGAGAGGATATAATGCTAGGAGCAGAGGCAGCCATCTTGAAGCCATGAGGCAACAAGTCAACATGCAATCTTGGAACTACGAGCCATCATGCTAAGAATGGCAGAGTAGGTCGGGCGTGGTGGCTCACGCCTGTAATCCCAGCACTTTGGGAGGCCAAGGCAGGTGGATCAGGAGGTCAGGAGATCGAGACCATCCTGGCTAACACAGTGAAACTCCGTCTCTACTAAAAATACAAAAAATTAGCCAGGCGTGGTGGTGGGCACCTATAGTCCCAGCTGCTGGGGAGGCTGAGGCAGGAGAATGGCGTGAACCCGGGAAGTGGAGCTTGTAGTGAGCTGAGATCACGCCACTGCACTCCAGCCTAGGTGACAGAGCGAGACTCCGTCTCAAAAAAAAAAAAAAAAAAGAATGGCAGAATAAGTGGATGCAGATAAGCCTGGGGTCTTGATGAAACTGTTGAATCAGACCTAGGAACATGTATCCCAAGAATTCTGGAGTAAACAACGAATATTCTTATATTTTAGCATTTGCTAGTCAGATTTTCTGACACTTATAGCTGTAAATATCCTTAATGAAATGAATAAAAACCACTCCTTTATGGATAACATCTACTCAATTCATTACAAAATCTCTATGAGAGCCTTCCCTCTCAGAATGAGCAGGGCCCAAATATTTGACTAATCCTAGAACCCCAAATACCGGAGCTTGGCCTGGGTATAGGTGAACCTGAGCAGCTACTGCCTTAACAGTCAAGAGACAAGTGTTTTTCTGTCACAATTTGGAGTAGTCAGGAAAAAAAGAACACATCCAAAGCAGAGGTTACAGACTGGCAAATTCAGCTGGTTGAACATGTTATTAGCATTTTTATTTTTTTAACAGATGAGAAAATATGAGGCTCACAGCATAACTTCGTAGTTAAGTACGGGATCAACCAGACTCATTCTAACTCTTAAACACCATGTGCCTTCTCGCTCTCAACAGGGGGAAGGAGTGATTCTTCCCATCCATGTAGAACTGCTCAGCCATCCAAGATATATTAAATTACAGAAAAGGGAGTAGACAAATATTATATTGTGATTACAAAAGGACTTTGGCTTTTATGGAAAAAATTGAACAAACTTTGGATTTGTTTAATACGCACTATAATAGATTAGTAATGCATGCCGGCCATCTGACTCTCAAGAGGAAGAATTGAGCCGCGGCCACTTGCCATGCTGGCGTATACTAAGTTTGAGTTACACCCTGCAATGATTATGAGACATAAAAAAGAAAAAACACTATTTCAAAATTGTGTTAGATACAAACTCATTGTGCGCATTGTTGCCAATCACATATAACAAAAGGAAAATTAAATTACTTAAGAATGCAGCCTGAGGAAAAGCAAAATCAAAGAATAATTATGTTTGCCATTTAAGAAGCTGTAAGGTGATGGGCCTCCATGACTTGGATTCCAGTTCAAAAGATGAAAAAAGTGCTTGAGAAATTGAAGAGCTTTTTTTCCCAAAATATATCTGGATGAATATTGGCAATGTGTAGGCAAATACTCTTTCATCTGATGAAAGATAATAAAAAATTTCTCATGAGACAGTAGTGCAGGCTGAGTTTTGTTTCACCACCACAAAAAGAAATAGCATCATTAGTACTGAGATATCCAGGTTGCCATGGTGCTCAGTGGCTTCTAAAACGACATAGCAGGGGATGTCCTCTAAGAAGGATGGGAAGGACAGTGCAGGGTCAGCATGATGCCATTTAGCAGAAATAGATCAATTCCCACCATGTTGAAATATAAACTCACGCAAACCCTTCCAGCTAACATTTAATGAAACTCTGAAATATAAATCTTATTTTTTATTTTCACTGGGATTTGGGATAGACTGTGTTTACAATTGAAAAGGAATAATGTGTGACCACAAGGATAGCTTTCTGATGAAAAATATCATTATCAAAATAAAAAATAGTAGCAAGGGCCTGTGGTCCCAGATACTTGGGAGGCCGAGGTAAGCAGGCCACTTGAGCCCAGGAGTTTGAGGCCAGCTTGGGCAACATAGTGAGATGTCATCTCTAAATAAATGAGTAAATAAATTTTAAAAATTTAGAAATTAAAAATGCAGTCATGGCTTTGTAAAGCAGATTGACTATGGCAAAAACAACAACAACAACAAAAACCACCTCACAGGCAGTGACTTAGAGGGTATTATTGTAGAATTCAGAGGGGAAAAAAACATATTAAGTGATGAAAAGGCTAAAGCAAAGAAGACATTTGGAAGACAGATGTAATGTAAGAGAACCAGAACAGATAAGCAGAAAGAGATTCTGTAAGGAACCAACAAAAAAGCAGAGTATCAAACCTCCAGAAATACTAGAGGAAAGTTCCCGACCGGGCGCGGTGGCTCACGCGTGTAATCCCAGCACTTTGGGAGGCCAAGGTGGGCAGATCACGAGGTCAGGAGATCGAGACCATCCTGGCTAACACAGTGAAACCCTTTCTCTACTACAAAAAATAAATAAATAAATAAATTAGGCGGGTGCAGTGGTGTGCACCTGTAGTCCCAGCTACTCGGGAGGCTAAGGCAGGAGAATCACTTGAACCCAGGAGGTGGAGGTTGCAGTGAGCCGAGATTGTGCCACTTCACTCCAGCCTGGGTGACAATGTGAGACTCTGTCTCAAAAAACAAAAACAAAAACAAAACAAAGTGAAACAAAAACAAAGTTCCCCTAAAACTACACCTTACCTGGAGATGTTAATAAAATTCAAGGATAATAGAAACAACCTACAAAAACATGGGCAGAAAAAAAATTATTGAAACGAAACCAAATTTAGTTTGGTGTCAGACTTCTCTTTTTTTTATTTTTTTTATTTATTTATTTTTTTATGGAGTCTTGCTCTATCACCCAGGCTGAAGTGCAGTGGCGCAATCTCAGGTCACTGCAGCCTCTGCCTCCCAGGTTCCAGCAATTCTCCTGCCTCAGCCTCCTGGGTAGCTGGGATTACAGGCGCATGCCACCATGCCTGGCTAATTTTTGTATTTTTAGTAGAGATGGGGTTTCACCATGGTGGCCAGGCTGGTCTCAAACTCCTGACCTCAGGTGATCCACCCGCCTCGGCCTCCCAAAGTGCTGGGATTACAAGCGTGAGCCACCGCACCTGGCCTCAGACTTCTCTTTGAGAGCTGTAAATGCCATAAACATATTTAAGCAAAAAGACTATTTTTACCCAAATTGTATACACCAAAAAAAATCATTATTTAAATGGCAATAAGTAGATGTGCTTAGACATTGAAAATCTCTGAAAGTATGCAACCTTAGTGTCTTCTCTGAAAAAAAAAATTGAATAATTTCTCTAGCTGACTAAAACATGAATTGAAATAAAGGTAAATACGAAAATTAGTATAAAATAAATTGCAGTGAACTATGAAAGGAGTAAAATGGCTTGTTTCTCTAAAACAGAAGACCTTGTGACAAAGCTCCTTATAAACTTATGCAAACACACACACTATAAAAATTCCTCTGTGTTTTAACAACTGCAGAAATTGACCTTTTTGAGGCTTGATTCAGCATGATGAAAGAGGACTACAAACCACCAAAACACTTCAAATTCTTTTCAATATACTAAGTGGAACCTAAATAAATACTTGTCCTGTGCAAAAGGAACTGTGTTCTGATGTCCGAGAAGTGGATTCCCAAGCTTCATTTCCTAACTCCTTAAGGAGAGTTGAGACCTCAGAAGGGTGAGATCTCTGGGGTCCAAGGGTAAGCCAGGCCGTGCCTGAAGCTGGGCTAGGATGAGAATTTCTATTCAAAAGGACAGGGTGTGTGACAAGGGACAGGTGGAGGGCTTGACTGTGAGAAGAAGAACTCCCACACCTACAGGAAACACAATCCATGCCAAGATACAGCACCTGATGTGGCATTTCCAATGGATATGAAGTCTGGGGCAGATTCTCTTCCCCCATCCTTCACTCCCAAGAGTGCCTGCTGGTACTCAGATACTCCTCATAAGTTATATGTTACCTATTGCTGACAATGCTGCGTCAGGCAGAGCTGTGCCCTTGGCCCTGCACCACCGGCTTCCCATCTGCCACTGTCTTCCCTGGTGGCTTCTGAGATGCTCTGGAGCAGCGTCTTCCCTGAGAGAGCTGGGGCTGTGACTCTGGTGCCTCTTCCAAGGTGAGCTTTTGGCTGTCACTCATCGGCAGGGCCCACATTCTAGAACTCTACCAGAAGATCTAACTTTAAGCCACAACAAAAGCAGCCTTCTGTGAGCGGGCAGGAGTCATCCAAGGCATGTATATCCTTTTCCTCCAGGAGAAGTTGCCTTCTTTAGGGGAGCCATCATCCCAAGAGTTTCTCCTTTCTTTGGGGGGACTGAGGGTAACTTAGGCACCCTGCTAAGGATCTGATTCCTCTTCAGATGGCCTCCCGACTCAAAAAGGCACTGCTTCTGAGAAACTGTGGGTGCTTTAGAAATAAATCTCAAATGCCCACATTGGGTGAAATTCCCCAAAATTGAAATTGAGGCACAAGAGAGACACTGAAGACAGTGTTTGATGAGAGGGCAGTGGGGGAGTGGCTCATGGGCGAAAGGAGTTTGGGGCATCCACTCTCTGGAGGTGGTGGTGTGCCCTCCACTTCAACCCTACTGGAAAACTTTTCAAAACACTGCAGTGTAATTCGATGTCAAAAATCATTCTTAACAGAAAAGAGGTATAACGTAACATATAAATGAAAAACCATGAAACCATTACATAAATCTATCATTTTATTGTCTAAGAAATTTAATTATAAGGAAAAAAGGAAAGAAAATACATATCTATTATTTAGGTATCCTTCTACAATGAATGTATATTATCAGTTATTCATTTCCCTCATTCACTGATTCAAAAAAAAATAAAAATTAGTCAGGCCCTGCTCTTAGCAGTTAGAAAATGGAGCTTGGGAATCGCCTTCTCCGACATCAGAACACAGCTCTTTTCATATGGGACAAGTATTCGTTTAGGTCCCACATAGTATGTTGAAAAGAATGTAAAGTGTTCTGAGGAGTTAGAGACACAGCAACAACCATACAAAACCCCTGGCCTTACGGAGCCTTATTGTGCATGAGGGAAGGTGGGGGAGATGAAGGAACAAACTTTAACGTTAAACACTCTGCCAGATAGTCATAAGTGCCTTGGATATATTAATATAAAGCAGTGAGGGGGCACTGAGAATGTTGAGCAGAGAAACAGTTCAATTTGGGAGTAAGTCATGCAGCTTCTTAGGAAAAAGTCTTTCTAGGCAGAGGGAATGACAGATTCAAGTGCCAATGGGGTCAGCGTGCTGAGGCCAGGTCCACAATGAGTGAGCTGGTGACAGAGATAAGGTAGGGAAAAGGCTGGGGAGCAGATCCTGAGCCAAGAAGTGGCATGACGTATTTTCAAGAGAACCCCTGGGGTTTCTATGTGGAGAACAGACTAAAGGGAGCAAGGTCCGAAGTGGGGACAACTGTTAGGAGGCTATCATAAACATCCAGCCGAGACATAATAAAAGTTTGGGCCAGAATAACAGTAGAGGTATGGTCAGATTCAGTATATATCAAAATTAGGGTATAGGTAGGAACATAAAGAGATGAGAGCCTGAGCCCTGGGAGAGTCCACTATTAGCAGTCCAGAGAAGAGCAGAAAGAGCAAAAAGGCTTGAGGAGAGGAAATAAGGTGGGAGAAGGAAAACCAGAAGACTAGCATGTTGAAAGCCAAGTGAAGACAGTGCATC
The DNA here is from genome assembly GCF_000001405.40 of Homo sapiens. Classification (NCBI taxonomy): domain Eukaryota; kingdom Metazoa; phylum Chordata; class Mammalia; order Primates; family Hominidae; genus Homo; species Homo sapiens. Next base: position 37,928,634 of record NC_000007.14, on the reverse strand, counting down.
AAGATTGGGGAATTAATCTACAATAAGATGAGGACTGATCAAAGATTGGTTGATTAGTAATGTAGAGCTTCTTGCTTTTGACCAGAGTATTTTCAATAGAATGGTGACAAAAGTGATTGGAGGGTGTTCAAGAGAGCATGGGAGTACAAAAATTGTAGTTAGCATGAGATTTGCTTTAAATAGAAGAGGAGAATGAGATTTCAGCTGGTAAGATCAAGAGAAGTTTTTTTTTTTTATTTAAAGATGGGTAAAATAAAAGAAAATGTTAAGGGGGAAAATAGAAATTTTTTACTGGAATTGGTGAAATCTAAGACTATCATATTTATTCCAGGAAAAACAAACCACTAATTGGTGGAATATTTTCAGATCTTTGGGCACTTTGCCCCTGACCACCATCCTCAAGGTCAGAATCAGGAAGAAACAGCTCAAGGTTATTGGAGAAAGTAAAGATGTTTTCAAAGCAGTATAGTGACCACCTCTGGCTTCCATTCGTAAATTTGTCTTACATTCCATCAGCCTCCTTACTCTCCTGGGCTTATCTTCTTTGGATCTTTTTTCCCCAGTGCCTGCTTCTCCCTCCCCATCTCAGCATTAATTGTCTGAAATCCAGGGTCTATAGACACACTGAATTAAGTCCCTTAAATCAAACTTTGTGTGCTTCCAAGAAAATCTGTTTCTTGAAGAAAAACTCAAATATTGCGAAACTCAAGTATTGCAAATCAGTATGGTTTATTCTTTGAGGATCAGGAGGCCACAAGCAGTCAAGACTTCCTCAGCTCACAAAAGAATATGCTATCTCCAGCCATCTGAGACCAAAATGATGGAGTAAAGGTCAAAGGAGAAGTCATGCTCTTAATATTCACAAAGTCGTGATTTCTTAAAATGAAAATCCAATCCATGCAAGACAAGATTCATGATCAAATAGATTTATTGAGCACTTTATATTAGTCTGCCTCCCCCAGTCACACAGAAACACCCTCTGAGGATTTGTAATGATGACATACTGAGAATCCAAAAGCAATACAAACATATGTTAAGAACATAATTTCATCTACTCCTTTCTCTTGAACAATTTAGACTAAAGCCACTAGGTAGGACCAAGGAAGATAGGCTTCTACATGGGCTGGCCTGGAGCGCAGAGCCCATGTGTGAAGGAGACAGCGTAATGATACATGACTGGTTACCTACTGCAATTGAATAGTAAGCCAGTTTTCTCACTGGCTGAGAAGGGAGTAGCAAAAATGAAAGGAAAAAAAAAACTAGAATGAACCATGTAGTGTTGGATTAGAATGAAGGCATCAGTTTAAACACCTGTATGGATTAGAACTGGAGGTTCAGAAATAAATATAGATGTAAATGTGTATATATGTATGAGTGTGTGTGGGGAGGGATGTGTGTATTCAAACTTAACACCCCTTGCTTTGTCCATTGAGAGGACCTGGTAGCAGTGCCACCTGATAGCACTGAGCATGACCAGAGCACAGGTTCTAACTTCCACATATTATTCTCCAGGAAAAGTAACCAGGGCTTCTTGAAAAATGGTTTATCCTAGGACTGGGGCAGGAAAAGTATAGATGATCTTGAAATATCTTGCTGTGCCGGAAAGCAAGGAAGTGCCCAAACACATCAAAAGAACATAGAAACCAATTTGAAGAGGCTTCCACTGGCCAAATCTAGGACATTATGAACAGCAAAGTAAACAACGAGAGCAAATAGAACAAAATTAGAAGGCTTGAGTCCACACTGATACAAATAAAGTATAATTCAGAAGATTAATGAAGAATGGGATATGTACATGGTTTTAAAATATTTCCCTACCAAATCTTACTAATTAAAAAGAAAAAATGTATCATTTCACAGTGAAGAAGGCTGGCAGACAACAGTCAATCAGGTGATCAAAGTGAACATCAGGATGCAATTGGAACAGAGTATTATCCCTGATATTCCTGCCAAAGGTAAGTAACTTGAATCTAATTATGAGGAAACATCAGACAAACCCAAATCAAGGAACATTCTACAAAATAACTGGCCTGCAATCTTTAAAAGCACTAAAGTGCAAGGAAGACTTAGGAACTATTCCAGACAGAAAGAGACCACAGAGACACCACACTTAAGTGTAATGCTTGCATTTAAATCTTTTTTTTTTTTTTTTTTTTGCTATGAAGAACATACAAAGAACAACTGGCAAAACATGAATGACACCTGAATTTCAGATGGTCAAAATGAACTGGTGTTAATCTCCTGACTTTTATGGTTGTATTGTGGTTATGCAGGAGAATGTCCTTGCTGGGAGGAAATACACTGAAGCATTTGGGGATCGTGGGTATATCAGTTTGGCAACTTACTATCAAACAGTTCAGGCGAGGGGGAAGCTCTTTGTATTATAATTGCAACTTTTCTGTAGGTGTGAGATTGTTTCAAAATAAAACAAAATTATGTATTTGAAAAATAATCCTCATCCTCCTTTCCAAACACATAAGATTACTGAAGTTACCTTAGGTGATAGCAGCCCTGGGAATTAATCATCCACAGCTGATACTTGGACCAACACCCCTATAAGCAACACTATTCCATTCTTAGTAGGAAGGGAGGCTCAGTTGAGTGCAGAGCCTTCTGAGTTTGGGCCCGAGGCATTTCAAGGTAGCCTCTTCTCTTTTTCTACTCATAAGCACAGGCTTAGATGAAAAAGAGAAGGAAGAAAAAGAACTTTGAATTAATTTGTCTACACAATGGGACAGATTGAGAAAAAATTTAAAATCTGTGTCAAGTTCATTGCATTAGAAACAGTGAATCAGCCTGATATAATAAAAGTACAATTGGTGCCTTCAGGATATCATTTAATACTATCTGTACCTAGCATTTAACAAATGAAAGCCTAAAAGTGATTTAGTATCAACATTGTAGGCATCATTCAAATTAAATTAAAAGATGAAAAACACAGAGGTTCTGCAATGTTGAGGACCTTATTGGGGTGAAGGCAGGATTAGAAGCCATGGTTGTCACTCCATCATGGTCTAACATGAATGCCCCTGCTCTCTCCACTACAGGAGGCTGATTCTCTGTTTAAAAAAGAGGTTAATGCTATTCTCTTCTCCAAGAAATAATATGCTCTGGGAGAATCAAGAGAAGCAGACATGAATTAATCAGAATTTGAATAAGAATCCACCTGCTGCCCCATTTGTGACATATTTTTCATGTTTTACAAATACAAATCCTTAATAGAACATGTACGACTGGTGATGAAATAATATTCCAAGATACCAGACTGTGCATATTGTTTTACTGCCTCTCTGCTCACTCTGCATTAAGAGCTTCATTGATTCCAACACCCAAGCCACCATTTTGTAAGGGGGAGCCTATAGTTACTGGTGGCCTGAGAGGGTTCATTGTGTATCAACGCTGCTTCCCCTATAAAGTTCAACATGCTGCCTGAAATATGAAAATCATCTTCTTGATTTCCTTCAGTCTTTCAAATAAATACTTGTGAATTTAATCAAGGAGTCAGAAAAGACAGTTGGAATTAGAAAATAAAATGGTATCAATTACTAATATTTCCCATTTGCTGCTCAGGCTTGTCTTATCTGAAGCTTGTAAAGTTGTTTAATCTTTTCCATCATCTCAGGGAAAACAGAGCCTGGAAAATCCTAGTCATTCCACAGTAACTATCAATGGGATTTTCCATAACTATCTGGATGCAAAATGAAAATCTTAAGAAGTTGATCCAATTCTAAAACTTACTTCTCAACTTACTCATAAATATGAAGAGACAACTCATCCATATTTTCTTCAAATAACATCTGGTTGCTTGGCCAGACTGTTAATACCTGAAAAAGTTTCTGAGTTTGTTCCAACAAATCTACACTTAAAGAGCTTAAAAATGTGTTTATGCATTAAACATTCTTTTCCACATCTGACTTAGGGCCAGCGATGTGACTGTCAGAAAGAACCTTGCCAAGAACTCGGAAAGAAAGGGAAAACAATGTCTTTTAGAAGTTTAACTGTGAAACCAGCACCTATTGGATTAGGGCAGAGGAATGAGAAATCACCGCAAAGGGACAAAAATGCTTCTAAGCCAGCAAGAGTTGGCTGTGACTCCACTAAAGGTATAAAACACACATCTAAAGGCTATATTAGTCAGTCATGGAGTCATGGAAGAAGGGTTGCTCAGACAGACTTGAGCAGTACTCACCAAGGGTCCATTCTGAGTGGAAGGGGTCAGGAACAGCACAGTTGGGGTAGCACAGAACCACCACCAAGTCATCTCTATTGTGAAAATCAATGCATCACTTTGCCTTTGCCTGATTACCATTAAACCTTACCCCAGGCTGGCCTGTCTTATTCATGATGGAAAACTCCACATTGAGCATACAGCCTAACCTAGGGCAGGCAATCATTAGATGTTTGCTCAATGAATTTGCTCCAACTCTTTGCTCACAACTGCCTGATGATAATTTGGCTCCCCACATAGTTCTGACTACAGGGAGAGAATGACCTAGTCTGGTGGATTTGAGAATGCTGGTCCTCATGCCAGCAATAAGACTCATTGAAGTAGACAGGTTTAGCATTTGAGTTTCCTTACTCGAAGGTTGTTCCCAAAGGAAGGGTCTGTGTGTGCTGCTGTATCAAGTTTCTGAGCCCAAAGGGCTGGCAGCAAGTCTCTGGGCTATGGTAACTTTACCAGGATAATGATGATAGTGGTAGCGATGGGACCAACCTTGGCCATGAACAGAGCATCTTGTGCGTACTATCAGACATTGTACTGTATGTTTTATACACTTGAGCTCATTTAATTCCCATAATAATCCAATAAATTAGGCATTATAAGTATTCACATTTTGTAAATGAGGATACTGAGACTCAGAAAGCTTTATTAACTTACCCAAAGACCCATATTCAGAGTCTGGATTCAGATCCAGATTTGTCTGACTCTAAAGTCTAATTTTTTTAATTGTAAAAAAAAAAATACTACCTTTGGAGAGATGAACCCTTATCCTTCTCTTTGACACACTCCTCTGCTTCAGCAGTGTGCTCTCGGCCATCCCAGTCCATCTTCAATATGACTATTCATCAATGCGCCACTACTGTACAAGTCTTCACATAAAATTACATAGGATACCAATGCACCCTTAATTAGAAGTGCACAAAGTCAAGCCCTGTTGCAAGGAACAGCATCACCATCTACCCTATGCCATCAGTACCATTAGCTTCACAAGCCAAAAATGGGGGCCTCTTTAACGTTTTCCTCTCCCTCACCACGCCTGCCACAACCCGTCCAATCATGTACATTTTCCTCAGTTGAACCTCTTCAATACTTCCCTAATGCATTCACTTGCCCCCTGTTCACCATTTCCATCGCTACTACCCATCTCTCACCTGGACCACTACGACAATCTCCAAGATTGTGTTCTCACTTCCACTTTTGCTCCACATGGCTCCATTTTGTGTCCACATCTTGGGAATGCATTCTTAAGGACACATCCAGGGATCTTTATATAATCTAATCACAAATTCCACTGTTTAAAACTCCTCAGTATGACCCTTCGCCATGTCCTGGGCTTCAGCCCTAATAGTGAGTGGTCTGTGGTTTTTGGAATTTACTCAGCTCTAAAAACTCCGGGATGGCACACACATACCAGGCATGGATACACCTGCATCCCCCTGGACCAGCAGTCTCTCCACATCTCCCTGGAAAACCTGTACAGGTGTTTTGGAACTCACTCTCATTTCAGCTCCTCCAGGAAGCCTGGGTTAGGTGCCCAACTGAGTTCTTCTCATCACAACCCCAGCTCTCACCCCTCATCCCACTGTATGGAAATTTTTTTTATTTATGTGACTTCACCTCCAGACTCTGACCTCCCTGAAAGCCAGGAGCCATTCTGTTTATACACAGTGCCTAACATGAACAAATGCTTGTTAAATAAATGAATGAATGTGAACCTGGTATACCATAGGCGTCAGAACCCCCCCCTAGCTTCCTCAAGCATTAGCTGTGTGATCTTAAGAAAGTTGCTTAATCTCCCTAGACCTCAGAGTTATTGTCTGTAAAATGGAGATCATAAAACCTATACTGTCAAGTTATTGTGAGATTTAAACTAAATTATATAATAGATGTAAAGTCCTCAGTGTCATGCCTCATATATAATAAGTATGCAACTGTTAGTTGTTATTATTATTACTGTGCCCTTCAAGACCCTACTGAAAACATTCATGTTCTTGAAAGACTTCGAATCAATTCCCAGTCCACCATGATGACTGTGCTGCTCTGTGCTGCATTTCATAATGCATTATTTTGCACCCTTGATATTGTTTGAAAGGGTCTGCCCTTTCCGTACTTTCTTCAAGTCGCCTAATACTTGAACAAATGCTTTTAGAATAAATGATATTATCAAGTTTGGTTTTGTTCTATAAACTAATGGTGCCCTTTTGCTATAGATCTTACAGTCCATTGGCGTTTCAAACCATGGAAATTCACTTTGCAACTCCTAATGATGCAAATGCCATAAAGAGAGGCCAGTGAGAGGAACACACTTAGGGGGAACGGCAGGGCTCTGGAAGGGAGACAGGTGGTGATCCCAAATTAGAAATCAGGTCTTAAAGGGGCCACAAGCGAGATGACATCTCAAAAAGAGGGTTTCCTTTGTCACAACAGATGTGAAAAGGTGAATGGTCAGACCAATACTTAAAAGAAACTTACAGCTTTGCCCCTGTAAGCGATACTGTGCAGCCATTAAAAATAGGAGGCAAGCTAATAAAATGGCAAATAAGAACATATAAGGGACAATGTTAAGTTAAAAAAAGATTCAGATAACGTATGGCTTTTGATCATAGTATGTAAAATTTGCTTTAAAATAAACAAAAAACTTAAAAGGAGTAGACCAAAATTTTAATGCTGTAACAATTTGCTAAGTTTGTGGGTGAAATTTTCTTTTTATCACTTTCCCATACCGTTTGTAATCTTGCCATATTCTTTTAAAATACAAAAAGTATTTCTTAGAAAATACATATTCTGCGTGCCTCTCTAGCAGATGTCTCTAGAAAGAAATGAGATAGCGCAGAAGACACGCCCTAGACTGCAGGGGGCTCCATGAGCCCAGAGCCTGACTCAGCAGCGTGAGAACAGGGGCGAACCTGGGCATGGGGCACTCTGCAGCTTGATCCCGCCCTGGATGGGTCCCTTCTTTACCTGCCACCGCCTCGCTGGGTGTTACTGAGTCCCCCGCCAGCAGGCCGCCCTCGGTGGGCGCAGCGCCCCTCCCAGTCCCGGACCATGCTATCCCCAAGAGACCCTCCTCGCGAAAGATCTCTCTGGGAGAAGGGAGGAGCTGCAAGGGGCCGGAAAGAGTTACAGGGCGCAGGCCTCTGCGACCTCGCCCTCCCCATGCCCGCGCGGCTCCCTACTCCCGCCCCGCGGGCCGATGACCTGTACCTCTTGCAGGGGATCAGCGCCTTCCTCTCGTCCAGCACCCGCACGCGCTGGTTGAGCCCGTCGTAGGAGAGCAGGGCGCGGCTGTTGCGCCCGCTACTTTGCTGGTACATAACCTGGCGCCCCTCCCACTGCTGCGGCGCCTGGCACGGGCGCGGGGCTCCCACCGCCCCCAGGCTGCACAGGCCGCACAGGGTCCAGGCCCAGAGGCCGCCCAGCAGCCAGGCACCCAGGGCGCCCGGGACGGTGCGGAGGGGAGCGCGTCCTGGCATCGCGGTCAGCCTTCCCCGGCCCGAGGGCAAGCCCAAGCCCAAGGGGGCGCTGAGGCGTCCGGGATCAGAGTGGCTCCCGCCGGCTCTTTCCGCACTGTGCCGGGAGTGTGGTCTGGACCAAAGTGCTTCCTGTCCCTTCGGTGGCCTCTGCCGCTTTTGAGATCCGGACGCGCGAGTCCCGGTAGCCGGGACCAGGGCCCGGGGAAGGCTCCAGTGAATCGCGCGGGAGCTATTTCTGCCTGGGCCACTGCCTGCTGCCACTGCCTGCTGCCACTGCCTTCTGCCGCTTCGGTTTTCACTGCTCACTGCTGCCAACAGGAAATGCAGTGGCAGTGGTGCCACTAGCATCCTGGGAGGCATCGTGTTTTAAGAGGGGGGATGGGGGGAGACTGTGCTGAGAAGTGTGTTTCTCCACTAACTTCAGTGTTCAACAGGTAATCACACAGGGAGGGGCAAGTTCAAGGTCAAGATAGGAAAAGCAGAGCTGCTGCGTTTGCTGTGCAAACGTTTGCCCCGCCTACATTGCCCCTCGACAAAATTGCAAACTTCTTCCTCCAAATTAAAAGTGGAAAGACGAGTCTTTTCCTGAAGAAATGATACTAGCTATTCATCATGGCCGCTCCTCAGCTCCCATTCCCAGTGAAGAGTCTAGGAGACTAGTAGACAGCCCCTTGCATTGGGCCTAGGACTCATGGACATAGCCTCAAGGTCACATTGCAGTGAGACTGCTCCTCCCATCGCCTGGCAATACCACCAGCCGAGTGGTTTGGGTGTCTGGGGGGTTTCGCTTCTTCAAGAATAAGGTTAATTGGGTTTATAGTTATGTAATGTTAGGATCTATAATATGGAATGAGCGAGGCTCACACACCTGTAGTCCCAGCTACTCCTGAGGCTGAAGTGGGAGGATCGCTTGAGCCCAGGAGTTAGAGGTTGCAGTGAGCTATGATCATGCCACTGCACTCCATCCAGCCTGGGTGACATGGCGAGACCCTGTCTCTAAAAATATAGTGATAAAGTATGAAATCAAGAAAAAAGAAAGGAACTAAAAAAATGTATAGCGTCTTTCCATTTGAACTGCATTTCAAGGATGATTAAGATTGAGCCAGGTGAAAGTGGGAGATAACATTCCTGAATGAAGGGCATAAGGACAAGAAAAGAATAATGCTGGGGTTCAAGGACAAGGTAGAGGAGTACTCTGAAGCCATAGCACTCATTTTAAGGAATTTGTCATTGATATTGAGGACTGTGGGAACTATCAATCAATGTAAAGCTAGGGAGGAGCATCATCAGGCATATGCTTTAGAAAGCCCACTTAGACAACAGAAAGGGTAGGGCCAGAGGGAAGGCAGGGAGAGGAGGAAGCTACTGTTATCATCCTGGAAAGAGATGATCCTGACTCAGCTAAGGCAGCGGGAGTGGTCATGGAAAGGGTGGAAGACAGGTGGGAGCTGTAGAGAAGCATTTCAACTCAGAGAGAGAGGTTTCTGGTTTGGGCCACTGGGAATCCAGTCCTGAGTGAGGAGAGATGATCAATTCATTTTAGGATTGGTTGATCTTGAGCTGACTGTGGAGTATTAAGGTGGAAATATCCAAGGGACAGCTGGATAAATACTTCTGGAAACCAGCAGAGCTTTTGGATTAGGAAGCCATAGGTACATAGGTGGTAAATGAAGCCGAAGAGTAGAACAGTGGTTCCTGGGGAAATTTCACATCCCCCTCCCCAGCAAAGAAACATTTGGCAATATCTGGAGACATTTTTGATGATCACAATGTAGATGGGGAGGAGGCTACCGCTGACATTTTGTGGGTAGAGGCCAAGGATGCTACTAAACTTCCTACAATGTGCAGTACAGCCACCTCCCCTCTCCCAAATGAAGAGAAAATTATCTGGCCCCAAATGTCCTAAGTGTTGGGGGTGAGAAAACCTGGAGTTCAGGGGAGTGTTGAGTGTGAGAAGAAGGATTAGGATGGAGCCCCAGAGAGCTCCAGACATTTAAAGGATGGGCAAAGAACAGGCACTTGAGGAGACCAAAAGGAGTCACCAGAGAGAAGCCACTGAATGAGGCAACTTCCCGAGCCTTGTTAAATAAATGTAAGGCATGGAAAGAATGGACTGAATGCTGAAGTAGGGTGTTCTAGAATCACAGCCTCCCTGGAAGTCCCGAAGAGGAGGGACAGTTGACAGGTTTTCCTGATGCATCCTTCTCTGCTGCCCCCTGTCTGTCGAACCACCAGAGACACTACCAATGGGCCGAATGGGGCAGGCACAAAGCTTTAGGAAGAAGGGCTCTTCATTTCCTCTTACCTTTTCTTAAAGGGCATGCCTCAGAGAACATCAGGGAAGCCCATAAGACTTTGTGACTTGGTACTTACATAGTTAAACAGATGCAGCAGGTTCAAACTGGCTGCAGAAATTTGAGCCCTCTCCGAGTTTGCCCTGCTCAGATTCATAGGAAAAGTGTAGGGTAGTTCAGCTCTTTCTCTTGCTCCCCAGGTAGGAACTCCAGCTGAAAATCTTTTTCACCCAGTGAAGGGTTTAGACTCATTGGAGTTTACTGCTAGAAATGGCTTGAGATGTCATCTGGGCTTTCCTCCTCATGTGATATTTTACTAGCCTGGCTTGGCATCTTTGGAGGTGGAGACTGGTTCTATAGGAACTAGATTACCTTTCTAGAGTGGCTTGGCAGTGTAAGAACACCCTGGGCTTCCCCTAAATAAGAACCAGACTCTTTGGATGAATCCTGAAATGTATTTGTCTCATTTATCCTTTTCACTTACTATGTTTAATTCATGTTCCCTAAAAAATAAGATAATGCATTTAAAGTTCTTAGCTTCATACCTTGACCATTGTAAATTCCCAATAGATGTCACTTGTGCTTGTTGTTTCCTCAGCTGTTTTAATCCTTAGTCTTTAGTTTTAATCCTCAGTCAAAACTAAACTAATTGTGTAGGTTTAAGCTTTGGAGAGAAAAACCATGTGCCTTAAATTCAAGTTAAACTATGTTTTTAAAGATTAACATTCAGAGAACATGTTTCCATATTGCTGATGCCCTAATAAATAGCATATACCAGAAGTCTTACCACCTGAAGATTGATATACATCAATCTCATATAAATAAATCCTCCCTTTTCTGTAGATAGCTGAGCCAGCAATTGGACTACCTTTTCCTAATGCAAGTAAGATAAAAGAGAAAGCAAAACATACATACTTGCATCCCATAGTACACAGCTTCTTACTCAACTCAAGCAACAGTCTCTGAGCACATCAAAAATCAAGATTTTAGGCTGCTGAGGTGGAAATCCTTTGGCATGAAGGATCAGAGCAGGGGAGACCTTTCAGATTGTGGTGCCCAATGTTTTCTCCTGGGTTCCACTAATGCTGCAGAGGGGAACAGGGAGTTAGAAGGAAGAGGAAATGTTAGAAGACATTTCTGAAGCTGGAAGATGCTAGCACACCTTCCCCCAGTTCTGTTAACTTCCTGGAGCAGAAACAAACCAAGTGTTATACTGGAAAAATTTCGGCCCAAACTGTCTACTAGCAACAACAACAACAAACCACACTCCACACAACTAAGGGCGGAGTGGGAGTGATTTATACAACGTGACCCTCCTGTTCTGACATTCACTGCACTCTCGCCTGCCTTGCAGGACATTGTCCCAACTGTCCTCAGCGCTCCTCATGCCCCCTACCGGAGAAAGCAAATATATTTCAGAATTAGAGGGCAGCAGAAGCTCCTATTTTCCCCCAACTCTATACTTGGAAAAACTCTAAGGCAGAGGGAGCAAAGTTCAGTTTTCAGCCAAAGAGTGTCTTTCTCTCTCTTGAAATTCTCTCCCGCACCCTCTTGTATCCGGTGTCGAAAACAACTGCCAGAGGTTCTTTTTCTTGGTCCGAAGAAAAAAGACTGGCCAGACTAAAAAGGAGGGACTTTAGGGGGAAAGCAGGCTTCCAGCCCTGGGCTGCGGCCCAGAGGGGGTGATGTCACCGCTTCTGCACCGACGGGCCTGGGGGTGGGGCGGCCGAGGGGGAGCCCGCGCCGCGGCTGCAGCTGCCAAGGGAGCGTTCCGAGCCCACGTCAGGGGAGGTGTCGGGATAAATAGGGTCCCGCAATGGCCGTGGCTGGCTGCGCTCCGAGCTGCGGAGTCCGGGACTGGAGCTGCCCGGGCGGGTTCGCGCCCCGAAGGCTGAGAGCTGGCGCTGCTCGTGCCCTGTGTGCCAGACGGCGGAGCTCCGCGGCCGGACCCCGCGGCCCCGCTTTGCTGCCGACTGGAGTTTGGGGGAAGAAACTCTCCTGCGCCCCAGAGGATTTCTTCCTCGGCGAAGGGACAGCGAAAGATGAGGGTGGCAGGAAGAGAAGGGCGCTTTCTGTCTGCCGGGGTCGCAGCGCGAGAGGGCAGTGCCATGTTCCTCTCCATCCTAGTGGCGCTGTGCCTGTGGCTGCACCTGGCGCTGGGCGTGCGCGGCGCGCCCTGCGAGGCGGTGCGCATCCCTATGTGCCGGCACATGCCCTGGAACATCACGCGGATGCCCAACCACCTGCACCACAGCACGCAGGAGAACGCCATCCTGGCCATCGAGCAGTACGAGGAGCTGGTGGACGTGAACTGCAGCGCCGTGCTGCGCTTCTTCCTCTGTGCCATGTACGCGCCCATTTGCACCCTGGAGTTCCTGCACGACCCTATCAAGCCGTGCAAGTCGGTGTGCCAACGCGCGCGCGACGACTGCGAGCCCCTCATGAAGATGTACAACCACAGCTGGCCCGAAAGCCTGGCCTGCGACGAGCTGCCTGTCTATGACCGTGGCGTGTGCATCTCGCCTGAAGCCATCGTCACGGACCTCCCGGAGGGTGAGGCCGTAGGAAGGATGGAGGGAGGCGAGGAGGCGCCCGGGGCTGTGGCTGCCAATCGAGAACTGGGCGGCCACACCTAAGGCTGCCAGGGGCGTCTGAGGCTTGTAGGAGGTGGGAAAGAATGGGGGAAACATTTTCTTCAGAAAAAGTCTGGTTTCTCCCATAGGAATTTTAGGAGCTAGCGGAGAGCACTGCACCCCATAAAGAAAAAAAAAAAGATTTTGCTTACAAAGGGAGCCTTCGATGATGTTTGCATTTATAGTAATAACAGAAATGATAATAGCAGTAAACAGGTGTTGCTAGGTGTCTGAGCAAGTGTTAAACACATTACACGTTATTGACTCATTTAATGCCCAAAATAATCTCACCAAGCAGGTGCCAATACTCGTTCCATTTAGCGCTACTTCTTAAAAAGTTTTTTTTTTTCTGAAAAAGCAGTAACGGTCATTGCTTCCCACCAGGAGTGAGATTTGTAATTGCAGTTTCCCTGGAAAATTGTGAGGTCTGTTTCATAGTCATTGGCCCGGAGCCAACTACAGTGGCATTTTAGTTAACCCCATCTCTGCTTCCACTTCCTTCTTTTTTCTTTGGTCATTTGACTGCTTTTCTAAAAAGAAGGAGAGGTTTAAATTCACTTCTTGAAATGAAACCTAGGAATATTTTTGCATTCTTTTATCCAGGCTTTATCTGGCCCAGGTTACCCCACATTTAAACAGACTATGATATTGCTGTGCTGGAATCTCTGAAGTTATACCCCAGAGCATTGCTCTAAACATGAAGGAGGAGTGGTTAAGTGAACAGGGTAAATGGAAACTCCTCTCTAATTTAGAGTTTTAGGAAAGAAAACATATTTATTGTTTAAATTATATAAATAATAGAGGGTTATGCTTGGTTTTGGTTATATACCTGTGAACTGTTTCTGCACTGCAAGATATGAGGTAGGGATTTGGAAATATTTTGGTTATTTTGATTAACATAAACTGTTAACTTGGAAAATCAACATTTAAATATGACTTTGGGAGAGAGTGATGTGATTTATCCAGTTTGGTTGTATATACCAGTGAGGTTAAATGGATATACATTCACATCGATTTGTGCTTGGATAGGCAAATATTCCCCCAGAGGATTTCTTTCCTAAGCCCTGGATATCATTATGAAAGGAGAAGTCAACAATCACATGCCGTTTTTACTTATATAAATATTTTTTGTCTTGTTTTCTTTTTTTGAGATGGAGCCTCACTCTGTTGCCCAGGCTGGAGTGCAATGGCACAATCTCAGCTCACGGCAACCTTCGCCTCCCGGGTTCAAGCGATTCTCCTGCCTCAGCCTCTAGAGTAGCTGGGATTACAGGCATCCACCACCATGCCTGGCTAATTTTTGTATTTTTAGTAGAGATGGGGTTTCACCATATTGGCCAGACTGGTCTCAAACTCCTGACCTCAGGTGATCTGCCCTCCTTGGCTTCCCAAACTGCTGGGATTACAGGTGTGAGCCACTTCGCCTGGCCCATTTTTACCATTAAATACTATTATTTTGAGATACTGTTTTAGTTTATATCTTCAGAGGGCTCTTTATACCAGCTGGGTGAACAGACCAAATCACCAACCACGCCCATGTGGCCCTGTTTGTGTTTCAGATGTTAAGTGGATAGACATCACACCAGACATGATGGTACAGGAAAGGCCTCTTGATGTTGACTGTAAACGCCTAAGCCCCGGTGAGTTCTTTCTTCATGGACGTTCCCTCTACTTCTCCTCTCCAGAGTGATTTCTGTTCTTTTTCCAACTTTCTGCCTCTTCTGCCTTTTTTAGATCGGTGCAAGTGTAAAAAGGTGAAGCCAACTTTGGCAACGTATCTCAGCAAAAACTACAGCTATGGTAAGTCGTCTGTTAAAGCCATTTACTTTTGAGACTTGGTTCATTACAAAGCTGGAATCTCAATAAGGTCGCTCTCACTAAAGCTAGTCACAAAGTAAAGAAAACAAAAGGTTGACTATTTTTCCAGTTGATCATGTGAATTCTATTAATATATGGCACAATAACAACTGCAAAATATCTTGCTTTTCTGGATGAATCAAGTGCAAACAAAGGAAATGACCCAGGTGATAAAAATTACATGCATCAGATTGAAAATTTGACATCTTGATCCTCCTTGTCTTGGTGAGAAGTGCTTATCAGCCCTGATGGCACACCCCACCTGTTCTCTTCCTGAGGTTTTACTGCTGCAGGAAGAATGAGAGAATGATCCATGGATCTGATTATCTGAGAGTCAGAGAATTAAGGCCCATAGGCCCAGACAATTAAGATCTGCCTGCATATCCTTTTACTTGTGACTAGCTACAAATATTTAACATCTTAAATAAATTGTGAAAAAAATGTTAATCACAAAATCCTATGGTTACACTATCGAACTAGTTTAAATGCCCTCCTCTCTCTTACTTGAAAGAACCATTCAGCATTTTCTTCCATGAATAAGTCAGTCATGAAATTTGAAATGTTTTAAGTAATTTTAATTTCACAATTGTCATCTGAAAGTAAATTTAATTAACATATGTTCTTTTTCAATTCAAAAAGAAATGTAAAAGGCAGACATTTTAAAAATGTCTGTTTGGGCTGCCTACTTTATATTTCATTGCATGTCTTAAATCATTTCTGCTGAAATAACATAAAGTGGTTTTAGGGAAAATGCTTATTTTGTTTGCTGACTTAGTTTTCATCTTGCAGATTGAAATTTTATATCAGTAAGAAACTTTAGGATACATATCAGACATGAAAGTAGGAGGATCACAGAAATGTAGAAATCTGAAAAAAAATAAGCTGTTACAAAACTATCAGATTTAAGAATCATATTTAGCCAATGGGGGTAATTCAGCAACAACAAAAAGTAGTTTATCTTTTCCTGTAGCTTTTTTTCTTAAAGCCTGCTCTATGTAGCTACCATCCTCATCTGATTTACTTAGTCCCTCCTCTGCCAAGATCCAGCCTGAGATATTAATCTGAGTTTCACTGTCATGTCATTCTCTGGGGTGTTATGGCCTTTGAACGACCTTGATGAAGAAACCATTTTGTATTCAAGTCCTTTGGTGTCTTCATAAACTGGCTTCCTGAAATGGAATCCAAGACAGAGCCATATTAGGCTGATTACAACTCTACGGGAGGCAGTAATAGCAAGAGACCACAGAAACCAGCATTTAAAACTTGGTCAGAGACAGTGACATTAACAGCCATCTGTAATAACAGTTCTATCTCTGCTCACCATGGGTCTACTTTGTCAGTCTGTGAAGTTAAAAGATTGAGAACAGTAGTCCTCAGAGACTCCCTCCAGTTCAAAAATGTTATGACTAATGACTATCTCTGTAAAACAGAAGAAGCTCAAGCATCAGATGAGTGATTGAAGAAATGCAAACCTTAAGATGACTTCTGATCTGAATATATATGATCCCCACTTCAAATCACCACAAGGAAGAATACAAATATATGTTTCTGTGAATTTTTTACTGACCTAAAGGCAGAGAAAGACTAAAACCTGCTTTTCAGCTTGCTTTCCTATCTTGCAGTATGCCCCGGAACATTTAAGACAATGTTGACAATATAGGACACCATCCATTTAGCATATGACTGTGTGGGCTGTTTGCCTGCACTCAGGCCACTTGGACATAACCATAATTACAGGAGTGATTCTTTAAGAGAGGCTCAGAAGTTGGCATGAATACACCATCCCTAGTTTTTCCCCAAAACCTTCAACAACACTTTTATCTATTTTTAAATTGCAGTTATTCATGCCAAAATAAAAGCTGTGCAGAGGAGTGGCTGCAATGAGGTCACAACGGTGGTGGATGTAAAAGAGATCTTCAAGTCCTCATCACCCATCCCTCGAACTCAAGTCCCGCTCATTACAAATTCTTCTTGCCAGTGTCCACACATCCTGCCCCATCAAGATGTTCTCATCATGTGTTACGAGTGGCGCTCAAGGTAGGCACAAAGAGGCAGAAGGAACTGTATGCACACTGTTAGGAAGACCTCAATCTCAGTTAGCAGTCATGGTTTAAAAATATAACAAAAATATGCCAAAGTCTTTTTAAAAAAATTAGTTTAACAGATGCCTCTGTTTGAATAGCATATATTCTATCAATTAATTCTTCATAGAATGAAGGAAAAATCAAAATATGAGTATTTGAATAGAGTCTTTAAAAATCAGTTTCAAAATTCATTAAGTGACTTCAAAATTTACAGCAAGTCAATTATTTTAAGGAAGAACAATTCTTTTCAAATCATTCAAACAATTTTAGAGTGGCACATACTGAACTTTTAAGGCCACTTTAATAGCTTACAGATCAAGTAAGTAGGGAGTTGAGACTATAGTTCCACATATTTTCCATATAAACACTTCATAATATTTGATAGAGTATTGCAAACAAACACGCATGCACACACACACACTTTAAGGTGATTTCTGAATCGGATATGTGATTCTCAATTCAAATCATCACAAGGCAATGTATAAACAAATAAATATATGCTTCACACACACTCATACACATACACACAAATTCTAGCTGTGTGTATTTGTCTCCCTGGCCTCTCTTTCTTTCTTATTTTTTTTGGATATTGGTACATTACTTGTAATATAAAGTCAAACTCTTGAGCCCAGCCTCCATGTTGGGCCCCATAAGTTGATGCAGTATACTTCTCCAGCAAAATCACTCAGTTTTACATAACAAGGCATCCCTCCCATTCTCTGCTGTTAATGCTCATCTGTTTCTTCTAGATATAACCTAAGACTATTCCTCTGAAAAGAAACCAAAAACATCTTTGGGAACTAACTCCACTTTTCTGTATTCTATCAGTACTTGGGTGCCCTCCTTACAACATGGATATCACCTTGAGTTCTTGGTTTTAAAGCCAGATTCTGCGTATATCTTGTCTCCCTAAAGAAGCAATCAGTGATTCTGGACTCATCTCTACCAAGGTGTTTGCATCTGCTGCAGTGCTAGAGATCCAGTTGGGGATACCAGGTTGTTGGTCATTACATTCTATCTGGAGAGATGAATGGATTATAATCCATCCCAGTAAAAATAGTTTTGGATAATTGGGATTTATGTCCTCACAAATGATTCTAATAAATTGGTAAGGGTATGTAAAGACAATTCTGAAAATAAGAGAGGAAATCTGCCTTATGAGACCCGCAAAC
This sequence comes from Homo sapiens, assembly GCF_000001405.40. Taxonomy (NCBI): domain Eukaryota; kingdom Metazoa; phylum Chordata; class Mammalia; order Primates; family Hominidae; genus Homo; species Homo sapiens. Next base: position 37,910,899 of record NC_000007.14, on the reverse strand, counting down.
CTGGTGTAAAGTTACACTTGTTAAAACCATGTGATGCAATAGTAGACGTAAAGATAAATGAAACAGAGGAAAAACTCTTGAAACAGGTTTTAATGCATAAAATACAGCTTTTCATTATGAAGGAAATATGGCACATCAATAGAAAATGAATGTATTATTTGGTAAATGTTGAAAATATTCCTATTTGTAAAAAAATACATTCTTTTCACTTTATACTGTGCTTTACAATAACTTTCAAATGGATTAAATAGATAAATATTCTAAGAACTTTAAAAAAAGGACAAAATTAGTGACTAAATATGTTATATCTGAAAAGAAAAGTAATTTGTAAACATAAAAGTAATGTAAGAAATTACAAGGAAAAATATCAATACACATATCTGACTGCATAATATTATACATATAAAAATCACAAATAATGATAGAAAGGCAAATAAAAATTGAGAAACATACTTGAAAAGATATGAAAAAATAGTAATCTTACTAAAGAGTTCATAAAATTAATATTTAAACATTGAGATCATGATATAGAAATATATATACAGAAATTTATATAGAGAAGTTCAAATAGTAATACAAATAGAATACAGATAGTAAGTAAACATTTAAAAAATTATCTCCTTAATTCTAAATCCAAATAAAAATAAGATTCCATTTTCACCTAATTCTTAATGTTAGTGAATTGGATGAAAGTGCAACCATTTTGAAAACAACTTGGCACTATGCATTGAAAATCTTTTTAAAAAATACATACCCTTTAACTCAGTTATTCTATTTTAAAAATCTGTCCTAAGAAAATAATAAGCCAGTGCACACTACTGTATACAGGGTTATTCAATGCAATACTGGTAATCATAGCTAAGCAAAAGGGGAATTCAGCAATAAAGAAATGGATAGATATATTATGGATATCCATATTCATAGTATTATATTATTAACATTATATTTTTAAATTACTCTAATTACATCAGAAAATTTAGATCATATAATGACAAAAGGAAATTTGCAGATCAGCAGATCATCTCAATACACAATGTGATCTAATAAATATAATTAATATTGTTACAAGGAGGAATGAAAGGAAACACCAATAAAATATAAATGGTGGATGTGTGGATTATGGGGTAAAGGATTATTGAATAATTTTTTTACAATTTCTGTATTTTTAGCTGTTTACTTTTGTAATAAAAATCTGTTTACTAAGATAATTTTTTTTCAGGATGATGCTTCTTGAAAATTGCTTAGTTGAAAAATGGAGAGATCAGCTTAGTAAAAGATCCATAGTAAGTATCATGAACAATGCTGTGAAGATGGATGTAAGTGCACATAACAGATTTCTTTAGAGTTGGGGAATTCTTCCCATTCTCTAATCTCCAAGCTCTCATAAGAGCCAGCAATAGCAACAGTATTTGTCTTTTGAATAGGCCGTTAAGAGTGTAGCTATTCTCACTCAGAATTTTTACCAGGAATCTATCATTCGACTTCAAAGGTGATTTAGTTGTGTTCAATACTAAGGTACTGGTTATTTCCAAGTTAAATGAGCCTTTTGTTTCTTTATTACATGTAGTTGTTTTAGTGAACCATGAGATACTTGAGCAGACTTAATATCTATTGAGATTAAAACTGACATATATTTGGAGGGGTGAAATATCTAGTACTAAAACTTACCCTATCACTATACACAGCAGAATCTTTTCCTGTATTTATAATAATTTAAGACTTTTGTCAAAAATTATATGCAAAAAGTAATCGTTTTGCAGTCAAATCTATGATTTTTGTGGTAACATCGTAGAAATATTGGTAATTCAATTAGAGGAGTTAGAATAATTTTTTCCCAGAGATGTGAAATTATACCAATCTAAAGACACCAGGTAATTGGTTTTAAATTTTTAAAGCATCCTTCTTTGCAAAATATGTCATATATATTCAGAAGAATTTGTGTTTATAGGTTCACAAAACATATTGCTATTGCCTATGCTCTCTTAGTTTGCACCAATAAAGAGATCCAAGCAAGAGAAAAGTACATATTAACAATTGAGTTATGGAGAATGTAGTTAGAACACAGCCTCCGCTAGTCAGTGCGTTTCTGAATAAGAGAACCAAACACTATTGTGTTAAATCAGAGCTAAAAACTCATGAGCTGCTCAGGAGCATGCTTAGTTCTATTAGACAGGAAATTCTAGCAAGATTGGTTATCTGGTTTCCAGGACTACAGTAGATTAGAAGCATCAATACATGAAGGCAAGCAGACCATGAGAACCTGAGCTTGCCAAGAGGAAAGCATTCAATAATCATAGCTCTGGGGACCATTCAGTTTGGCAGCATATTTTCCAATATACTTCAGTAGAAATTTGCAAATATCACCACATGATAGCAACATACCATAGTGAGTTTATTATTTTAGAATAGACTAGAAGTGTGTCATAGCACAGTGGGGACAATGTTTTTCTTTTCTTTGCATTCCTAGTGCCTAGAATAATACCCAGCTGATGACTGTGGTCAAACTTTTGGCTGAATGAAATAGACTCTAGCCAAGCAGGCACATCTGCGTTAATATAAAGCAATGTCAATTCAAGTGGACTCACTTTTTTATTGTTCCTTACTTGAGCTATTTAAAGAATAAATTTTTTTCTATCAGAGAAACTTGATTTTTCAGAATGACTCAATTCCCAATGGTTCTGGATAGCTAGCACGTTAGCGGATGACTAGGTGTAGAAGGGGCCTCTGTCTTCCTTTGGATGTGGGAGAATGAAGTGAACAAACTCCTGACTTCCCAGTGACATGGGGTAAACTAATGCTAGTAGCCATGAAATAAGAGCCTTTTTAGAAGGCTTTGCACTGTAGGAATGTTGCATTATGGGGCTAGTGGTCAAAAGTGCATGGGTGAGGGCCTCAGGCTCTGGAGTCAGAGTGGGTGAATTTGAATCCTGACTCTGACATTTACCAGCTCTGTGCACTGCAAATAACCTCTTTGGGCTTGTTTCCTGCCCCTGTCAGTGGTGCCTATTTGGAAGGACTGTTGTTTCAATGAAATGAATGCATGTGGAAACTTCATCACACACTGAGCACTTTCCAAGTCACCTGGTACATGATAAGTGCTTCACATAGGGTAGCTATTACAATTGTTACCGTCATTAATATATTACAGTGAAAAACTTGCCTTAATTTTCACATTAGCTGAGCACCATAAAGGGGTGAGATAATTTGACAGTCATGTTTACAAATTGCTTTTCAGCAGTGGGAAGAGAGGCTGCAGGAACAGCGGAGAACAGTTCAGGACAAGAAGAAAACAGCCGGGCGCACCAGTCGTAGTAATCCCCCCAAACCAAAGGGAAAGCCTCCTGCTCCCAAACCAGCCAGTCCCAAGAAGAACATTAAAACTAGGAGTGCCCAGAAGAGAACAAACCCGAAAAGAGTGTGAGCTAACTAGTTTCCAAAGCGGAGACTTCCGACTTCCTTACAGGATGAGGCTGGGCATTGCCTGGGACAGCCTATGTAAGGCCATGTGCCCCTTGCCCTAACAACTCACTGCAGTGCTCTTCATAGACACATCTTGCAGCATTTTTCTTAAGGCTATGCTTCAGTTTTTCTTTGTAAGCCATCACAAGCCATAGTGGTAGGTTTGCCCTTTGGTACAGAAGGTGAGTTAAAGCTGGTGGAAAAGGCTTATTGCATTGCATTCAGAGTAACCTGTGTGCATACTCTAGAAGAGTAGGGAAAATAATGCTTGTTACAATTCGACCTAATATGTGCATTGTAAAATAAATGCCATATTTCAAACAAAACACGTAATTTTTTTACAGTATGTTTTATTACCTTTTGATATCTGTTGTTGCAATGTTAGTGATGTTTTAAAATGTGATCGAAAATATAATGCTTCTAAGAAGGAACAGTAGTGGAATGAATGTCTAAAAGATCTTTATGTGTTTATGGTCTGCAGAAGGATTTTTGTGATGAAAGGGGATTTTTTGAAAAATCTAGAGAAGTAGCATATGGAAAACTATAATGTGTCTTTTTTACAATGACTTCAGCTCTGTTTTTAGCTAGAAACTCTAAAAACAAAAATAATAATAAAGAAAAATAAATAAAAAGGAGAGGCAGACAATGTCTGGATTCCTGTTTTTTGGTTACCTGATTTCATGATCATGATGCTTCTTGTCAACACCCTCTTAAGCAGCACCAGAAACAGTGAGTTTGTCTGTACCATTAGGAGTTAGGTACTAATTAGTTGGCTAATGCTCAAGTATTTTATACCCACAAGAGAGGTATGTCACTCATCTTACTTCCCAGGACATCCACCCTGAGAATAATTTGACAAGCTTAAAAATGGCCTTCATGTGAGTGCCAAATTTTGTTTTCTTCATTTAAATATTTTCTTTGCCTAAATACATGTGAGAGGAGTTAAATATAAATGTACAGAGAGGAAAGTTGAGGTTCCACCTCTGAAATGAGAATTACTTGACAGTTGGGATACTTTAATCAGAAAAAAAGAACTTATCTTGCAGCATTTTATCAACAAATTTCATAATTGTGGACAATTGGAGGCATTTATTTTAAAAAACAATTTTATTGGCCTTTTGCTAACACAGTAAGCATGTATTCTCTATAAGGCATTCAATAAATGCACAACGCCCAAAGGAAATAAAATCCTATCTAATCCTACTCTCCACTACACAGAGGTAATCACTATTAGTATTTTGGCATATTATTCTCCAGGTGTTTCTTATGCACTTATAAAATGATTTGAACAAATAAAACTAGGAACCTGCTATACATGTGTTTCATAACCTGCCTCCTTTGCTTGGCCCTTTATTGAGATAAGTTTTCCTGTCAAGAAAGCAGAAACCATCTCATTTCTAACAGCTGTGTTATATTCCATAGTATGCATTACTCAACAAACTGTTGTGCTATTGGATACTTAGGTGGTTTCTTCACTGACAATACTGAATAAACATCTCAATAGTCAAACATCTGTGCACATCCTTCATTAGTACCTTGGGATACATTTGTTTAAATAGCATTTTCGGGCCAAGGAGTATGCTCAGCAAGGAAAGTTCTTGATCTTGTCAGTTACGCCCCAGAATGCTTGGACCATCCATGTATGGAAATGCTCACTAAGTGTATGGTGTATGGAAACCCTCACTAAGATTATTTCTCCTTCCCCATATTGATTAAAAATGTAAAGTTGGAACTGGTGGCCACCTTGGGCAAAGCTCCTCCCTTCGTCTGTGAACCATCAGCTGACAACATTCTCAGCACTTCCTACACTCCTGGCAGCTGGGAAATAGTGATTTGAGCCCCTCAAAGTATAGAGATAAATAGATGGCTTGATAGATGATTGATAGATAGATGGATAGAAAGATAGATGGATGGATAGATAGACAGACAGACAGACAGATAGATAGATAGATGATAGATAGATAGATAGATAGATAGATAGATAGATAGATAGATAGATAGATAGACAGATTTCTTAACTGCTGGAAAAGCCTATGCAACCTTCTCTATTTTTTTAACAAATCAAACTTAATAATATAACTGGTTAACTACAGGAACTGAAGAATTAGAGTATAGCAGAGTTGCCAATAGATGCTCTCTGTCTAGACTTCTTTTAAGATACATGAGAACTTACATAAATAGCCTTAGTTCTTACTTTTCAGCTCTAAACCAATGCAGTCTGATCACACTTTTGGTTTCTCTCCTTGGATACCTATAAGATGGTCTATCGCATTCTTACAGCAAAACCCCTTACTAGCTTGAGGGTGTTTCTGGTTGGGGTAACCAGTCCCTGAGTGAAAAAGAAGAGCACATTTTTACTGCAAGGATGTACCTGCTATTATTACCATTCAAAGAGCAAGAATGATTGTTTGGAATCATGGAATGAAAAGGTTGAATAAGACCTCAGAAGTCATAACCTCGCTTGTTGGAGAAAGGTTGTATAAGTTTGTCTGATTTCTTGCACATAGCTAGAGGCAGATCTGGGCCCTCAAATTTCCTGAATTTTGATTTACCAGTCCAAAGTCCACTGACTTCTTGGTAACATAAATCTGGGCTGCTAGAGGGACTATTTATTTATCACCATAGAAAGAGCAACAGGATAACAAATTTCTGCTTCTTGTTATAGTCTGATTTATGCTAATGCTGACCATATTTCCTATTGGAAAATACTTTTGAAAAGCAGTTTACACTGAAAGATGTATTACATCATAGTGAGAGGCATACCACCCAACAGTATATCAGTAATTAACTGATATTATTAGCCATAATATCAATTAATTGTCAACTCTGTGATTTAACTGATAAGGAAGCATGCCATGTTCTCCAGATGAATGAAGTACCCAAGATAGAGCATCTACTTTAATTTAAAGTACCCCAAAGAAGACGCTGAACCCTTGGATAGCAATGGAATATCCCCCCTTATTATTCAAAGAACAGAAATAAGCAAAAACATGAAATAAAACAAAAAGACCCAAAATATCAAAGTAGCTACTCAAAATGTCAAAACTAGCATTTTGGTGTGAATCCTTCTGGGTTTTCCTCCTGTTTTGGTGTATGAACTTAATAAGGCAGCATGAAAATTGCTCCACTAAAGAATGCAACAGTAGGTTTATATTGGACAGTTGCATAGCTTGGATGTATCAGAGTTTATTTTACCAATAATTTGTGAAAATGGACTTTTGAATGTGGTTCCCAAGTCATGTCAGTGTAGGATAGGTGTTTGTGACACAAATAACTTTCCTTCATTATTGAATACTAAAGACCATAAAAAATGTTGCCATAAGAGAGTGCAAAGCATAGGCTGGGCGCAGTGGCTCACACCTGTAATCCCAGCACTTTGGGAGGCTGAGGCGGGTGGATCACAAGGTCAGATCGAGACCATCCTGGCTAACATGGTGAAACCCCGTCTCTACCAAAAATACAAAAGATTAGGCGTGGTGGCGGGCGCCTGTAGTCCCACCTACTTGGGAGGCTGAGGCAGGAGAATCTCTTGAGCCAGGGAGGTGGAGATTGCAGTGAGCCAAGATCACGCTATTGTACTCCAGCCTAGGTGACAGAGCGAGACTCAGTCTCAAAAAAAAAAAAAAAAGAGTGTAAGCCATAAAGGTTTTCTATATTTTGTCTAATGAACATGTGTTACTTTTATAACTATCAGATACTACAAAAATATTATCAGACAGGTATATATATAGAATGTAGTTTGATTTAAAGACATTTAGACATGCTAATTTGAAAACTATTCCCTTGATCATATGTGTTTTCATCTGGGTCCTCAGAGAAGCAAATGCCAAAACAGAATTAAATGTGCAAAACGCCTGTGAGAGAGAATGGGGAGGGATCTGGGTAGGGCTGGGAGAGCTGTCAGAGCACAATGGATGTCCACCCTGAGTGAAGGAGAGAGGGAAGAGAGAAGAAAGGTTGGGTAGAAGCATTCCAGACTGCTGTAAAGTCTAAGGAAAGTTTGGCAAGGTTACTTGGGAGTCTTGAGCCAGTCATCTGTCAAAGGAGTCCCTCTTCTCCCAGGGATAGCTCTAAGTATCCTGTTGTGCTCAGTCACTGACTGGGAGCAACCCATAGGTAGTGTGGTCTTGCTGCAAAGGTGACAGTGAATTTCAGGGTGCAGAGCTAGAACCCTTGTCAATATGGCCCCTGCAATTGGAGGTTGTGATTCACATTCTCATACTCATCACACTATGACAATCATAAAAATATTAAAGTTTGACCACCATACTTTTCCAGCACAAACTATAAAGTAGTGTCAAGCAACAGAATGTCTCTGTCAATTTCTGTAACTGGCAGCCATACACTATTTAATCCCTAAGCCTTCGACTTTTGTCTTCATGCTTTTTCATGTCTTTTTCTTTTCGAATTTATTAAAGAAAGAATATGTTGATCACCACTACAGAACTTACAGTATTTATTTGCTTTGCTACCTGAGAGAAATTTCTGTCTACTGGAATGTAAGAAAATATTTGTAAAGAGGTAATTAATGTCAAGAACAAAGCCATGGTGTGTAATTTTGCCTTTACAGCCTAAGTCTAATATATTTAGTTGTGATATTTGTATGAGAAAAATTTTATAACTAAAACATGCAGCTGCAGTATCTCAATGAGAACAACTTTCTAATGGCCAGTATGGCTCACTTAAATGACATATTATGAAAAGGGAAAACAATTAAATTGTTTATTAACAATTATATTCAGCTAACAGGGAGGGCATATAATCAGAGGACTATTCCTAAATCTCATAACATTATAAGAACTTGAATAATATAACAAGGTGCAAAGAACTGAAGTTAAGCAAAAAAAATGGTATTATGAATAAAATTTCGCCATGGTACCAAAATAAATCTAAAATAATGTTGTTGATTCAAACTGATGGACTTTTAAAATTCACTAACATTTTAAGAATAATTATAATCATTTAAAATATTCATTATGTCATTGAAATAGTTCAGCAGCTGAAAATTAGGCAGACAATTGCTGAGTCAACTTTCTCCCTTTTTGGAATGCATAAAATGTTTGGCTTTGGAGGTCATCCAAAGTAGCTTCCAATGGTTGAGCAGGTTCAGACACAGTTCAGATAGGCATCAGTGTCAGGAATCCCTTTCAGTGTCCAGAAGGGGCACTAAGACAGTCCAGCTAGAGGGCCACAAATAGAGGACAGCATATTTTACGAAATCTGTCCATCTTCCACAGGGCATCCAAAGAAGGTACTGGAGAGCATTAGGCTCAAATCAAGAATGCTTTGGGTGTCCTGTCATGGAACTGGGCTGGATGGACTGGGTGTAGCCATCAGAGAGACTCTGGCTTTAGGGTCAAGGTGCATGACTGAGCCAGTACTAGAGAATGGGGACTGTTCTGTCTGGGGGAATTCATGTAGACACTGACCTCATCCCAGCGAAGTCATCCTCATGTATTTGGCTGATGGGATAGAGGCAGTTTCTGCACAGGTGTCCCATTGCCTACTTACTGAGCCTGTCCCTGAATTCAGACCCACATCCCCACCCTCCTGGGTATCTCATCAGCTGACAGTTCTCAGCCTCAAGCTCCAACTTTTCCTGCTGATTTTTCAGGCCTTACTTGTCTCAGCCACAGTGGTCCAGGCCATGCTTTTACTACCTAAAGTCCAGCCGAAATTCAAGACCAGCCCATTTAGCAGAAGCCCTGGTGACTTTCTAGCCTTTTAAAATCTTTCTCCCCCAGAGGCAAGAAGATATTTCCAAGTACTGCTAACCCCAGTCCTTACATGCCTACCTCTTGCTGCTGTGTTCCACCCACTAAATACAATCCCCTCGAGACCAAGACGAACTCAACTTAAAGCTTAATTGGATAGATCTCTTTAGACATTGATTATTAGATTTCTAGCTACTTCAATTAGAAAGAAATGGCCTTTCTCTATGTCTTGTGTATGAAATCTTTGCACAACTTTAGTCACATATACACACAACTGAGTGTAGCTTGCCATCTGCTGGTGAAATACGATATCACTTTTAAGAGAGTTTTTTTTTTTTTTTCTTGTTCCCCCCTCCCCAATGCATTCGAAGGTCTGGATCATTCTTGAGGCAATAGCAGTGTGCCACTCAGCACAATCATATTATGAATATCCAGATACTATCAGGCCATGGAAAGCATCAGATAATACTATTCAACCTGCGGGAGCAGGGAAGGTGAAAGAAGCGAGGAAAGTGAAGGTATTGACTGTACTTATTTCTCTGCACAATCTAAAGGAAGCCGATAATCGATTTACCTTATTTTTTACTGCATTCTGGAGAAAGATTGAGAAATATCCTTACTGATAACTCCTATGTACATAATTAGATTTTGTATAATTTAACACTGTTCACAGGCATGCTTCTCAAACATTATGTTGGAATATGAAAGTATTGCAGTGAGTAATCTGTTACTAATGTGGAAGGATCAAAGCTTGTGAGCGTCTTACTTTTATTAATATTAGAGTTAAGAAATTAAATTGAAAAGTTAATCATTCAGCAACCTTATTCTCAATCATGTGCAATCTAATATTTCTCCTGAGTGAAAAAGAGGGTGTCACGGCTAACATGCTGGGAACCACACATTACTCTGGCTATGGGCTTAAGGGCATACCACTGCAGAAAATGTCATTCAGGGTACATCATGAGAGAGGAAAAGAAACAAAAACAAAATCGGCTTATTACCTTCTTGCATTATCTTACCATGAGGGAGTTAGGTACACTGCGTGGACTGTTGGACAGTACTATAGTTTGCAAACTATATAAATCTACATGTCATCCTTTTCCTCATTTTCTGCAAGAAAATTTAGAGTCAAAACTTTGACCAATTTTCAATATACATTAGGCAGTATGCATTTGTATTTAACTCCACTCCTGGCTTTATTTGATCTCTCCTACTCTCTTCTTCCCCACATTCCGTGTTCCTCCCTCAATTATCTTGTTGTAGATTGTGTGCATTTATATACCTTAAATCTTTTCCGGAAGATCAGTTAAAAATAAACATTAAGATTTGTTTGGGGAATACATTTTTATTGTTATTATGCATAGCCATTCATTTTTGTATCTTGAGTTTTCCTCCAAAGCATGTTTTTCTTATTATTCCTCCCAGGAAGCTGTGCCAAATGGTTGTATATTGACGTGAACATATGTATTATCTTCTCAAAGTTCTAGGAAAAGAAAGAATGCACTTAATAAAATAAATGACAGTGCTATACACTAATCTTTCAGCATTTATCAGTTTCCATATTGAAGTTTTGCACACAAATCACAGAGCTGGGAGATGGGCCTTAACCTTTACCTATAGACAGCCTGACTGAGCAAGTAAGCAGTCATCAAACATTTACAGAGCAATGAGTTAATGAACAAACATTTGTGACAGGGTTAAAAATATTAACTTGTGAGTAAGATTTCTACCCAACCCGTTCAAGGATTCAGAATTGCTGGTTAAACCAAAGGTTAGGAAGACAATAGGAAGAGGGTGAGAAAAATACCAGGACAGATTGTGCAGCTCCTTCTGAACACGATGGACAGGCTGGAGTGTAAAGGCGAGGGTTGTGGGGTGGCCTGGGGGAGCAGCTGGGGGTTCAGCAGGACTCTCAGGTCAGAGATGCCCAAGAAAGAGTTTAGGGAGTTTGTTGGTATTGTTACATTTTGTTTGAAACAAAATTTCCTTTATTTACTAACTGTTTAAGAACTTTATTAAAGGCCTACTTTTTTCTTCAACTTTATTTTAAGTTCAGGAGTATGTGTACAGGATGTGCAGGTTTGTTTCATAGGTAAATGTGTGCCATGGTAGTTTGCTGCACAGATCATCCCATCACCTAGGTATTAAGACCAGCATCCATTAGCTATTCTTCCTGATGCTCTCCCTCCCCCAGCCCCCACCGACAGGCTCTAGTGTGTGTTGTTCCCCCCATGTGTCCATGTGTTCTCATCATTCAGCTCCCACTTATAAGTGAGAACATGCGGTGTTTGGTTTTCTGTTCCTTCATTAGTTTGCTGAGGATAGTGGCTTCCAACTCTATGTCCCTGCAAAGGACACGATCTCATTCCCTTTTATGGCTGCATAGTATTCCATGCCATATATGTACCACATTTTCTTTATCCAGTCTATCATTGATGGGCATTTAGACTGATTCCATATCTTTGCTATTGTAAATAGTTCTGCCATGAATATATCCGTGCATGTATCTTTATAGAAGGATTTATATTCCTTTGGGTATATATCCAGTAATGGGATTTCTGGGTCAAATGGTATTTCTGGTTCCAGGTCTTCGAGGAATCAGCACACTGTCCTCCACAATGGTTGAACTAATTTACACTCCCAACATAAAGGCTTACTTTTAATTAAGGGTTTCTGTGTTAGGATTACATGAATTTTCTTTTAAAAATGTAACACTAACTTAATTTTGTATCATTTTGGAATGGGTTTTGAAGAGTTCTCTTGCAAGAGCTTTTTGTGCTTGTCTGAGAAATCATTCTTCCTTATTTCACTATTTTTGTTACTATTTTTTTTATCCTGGCAATATGTCAGGGGTTGTGTGTATTAAATTTGCCATTGCAACCATTTGAGTATACAAATCAATGTTATTAATGACATTTGCATGGTTTGCAATTATCACCACAAACAATTTCCAAAATATTTTGTCAACTTAAAGGAAAACTCTGCACCCATTAAGGAATAACTTACAATTTCACCCTTCCTTCAGCCCCAAGCTATAATTTACTTTTTCTCTCTATAATTGCTTGTTCTAGGTAACTCATATAAGTGGTAACATACAATATGTGTTCTTCTGTGTCTAACATTTCATTTAGCAAAATTTTTTTGAGATTCATCCATGTTGCAGTATGCATCAATACTTTATTCCTTTGAATGGCTAAATAATATTCCGTTGTATCTTTATACCACACTTTATTCATTGTTTTGTTAATGGACACTTGGGTAGTTTCTTCCTTTTGGCTATTGTGAATCATTTTTCTATAAACATTACTGTACAAGTATATGTTTGAGTCCCTGTTTTCAGTTCTTTTGGGAATACACCTAGGAATAGAACTGATGGGTTAAATAATGATTCTATGTTTAACCTTTTAAGAAACTGCCAAATGATTATCCAGAAGATGCACCATTTTATATTCCCACCAGCCCAAGGTGACTGTGGGTTTTTCAATCACTGTACACTGTACAATCATTGTACACTGTACACTGAAACTTTGGCCATTCAGGCAATTACTAAAATGTCAGGAATAATAGATGCTGGTGAGGCTGTGGAGAAATAGTAACACTTTTACACTGTTGGTAGGAATGTAAATTAGTTCAATCATTGTGGAAGACAGTATGGTGATTCCTCAAGGATCTAGAACCAGAGATACCATTTGATCCAGTAATTTCATTACTAGGTTTATACCCAAAGGAATATAAATCATTCTACTATAAAGACACATGCACACATATGTTTATTGCAGCAATATTTACAATAGCAAAGACATGGCACCAACCCAAATGCCCATCAGCGATAGACTGGATAAAGAAAATGTGGTACATGGAATACTACGCAGCCATCAAAAGGATCATGTCCTTTGCAGGGACATAGATGAAACTGGAAGTCACCATCTTCAGCAAACTAACACCAGAACAGAAAACCAAACATTACATGTTCTCACTCATAAGTGGGAGTCGAACATTGAGAACACATGGACACAGAGAAGGGAACAACATACATCAGGGCCTGTTGGGGGGTGGGGGGTGAGGGGAAGGATCCTAAAGGACAGGTCAATAGGTGCAGTAAACCACCATGGCACACATATACCTATGCAACAAACCTGCACGTTCTGCGCATGCATCCTATTTTTTGTTTTGGTTTGGTTTGTTTTGTTTTGTTTTTGTTTAGAACAAATAAAGATAAAAAGAAAGAAACTTTGGCCATTCAAAGCAGAGAAGTGGAAAGGAGCTGAGTAGAGGGACTGCATGAGGCTTTTTATATCATGGTAGAAGACACCACAGCTCAAGACCAAGCTGTGTGAACCAATGGGTGCGTTGCTTGCCCTGTTGTCTCCATCCCTCCAGCCTGGATGCAGCATCCCCAGCCTGGTTACAAGCAACCAGAATCCCCACGGTCATCAGCATCTACAAGGTTCAGCTTTGAGGCTGTGTGGCTACTATGCAATAGAACAGTGTGTCTCACAGGAAATAAAGCTTGATTCAGGAATTTAGGAAAAGTTCTTCTCTTTTTAGGACAGGTTTGTCCTAGCCTCAGTCACTGCAACAAGCAAATAAAATAAAATAATAATTAAACAGGTACGTACTTCACAGTATATACTTTAGTTTTCCTCAGGATCCTCAAAGAGTCTATTAACAACCTCTTTTGCTTCATAGGCGTTAGATGCTCCATGGACAATGTTTTTCAATTTACTTATTCCAAACTGGGCTCGGATGGAGTCAGGGGAAAGTAATTTTGCTTCTTCTGGGTCTGTTGGGCCCATCAATCGTCTCCATTCTGCAACAGCATTCCACTTGGTCAGAATCATGACCATAGATGGACCCCTGCAAAGAACGGTGCTTTCAGAAGACCCAGCCTACTGAAAACTGTTGACACTGCAAACAAGGCTAAAGACAGAACACTGCAGCCTGAGCCAGGGAGCTCCTTTTTATTCTTTGTCCTTATCAGTGCAATCATGTACTTTCTTTTTTTCATTTCTCCCTCTTCTAATAGGTTTATATGCTAGGTGGGTGCTATAATTTAATTCTAGAGAATATTTGTCAATGAAGTCTTATTATTTTGCTACTTTGAGGTCTGTAAATAGAGACATTGTCATGGATTCAAGACTTGTTGCTTTATGGTTGTCCAGCAGCCTCTAACCGCTTCAGGGATTGCCTCAAGTTAAGATAGCCTTGCTCAGGCCATCCTCATTGCCAGGATGGCCTACTTCAAGTAACTGAGTGATGTGAGCATACAACAGCCTGGTCATCTCAGCCAATACTGGACAACTCTGATAGACCAATCTAGCTGTGGTTAGCAGAGGCTGTTGTCTGGTCTGCACTACATCTTGACTTGCCGTCATCCCCATCCTGCTTCTTTGCCCTGTCTTCCTCATGGCATCATTACTCAATAGCCTGAACAAGAAACTTCCAGCTTCCCAGAAAATGCAACCTGCAATAAGTATGAAAGTTAGTTTTCTAAGCTGTCATGGTACAGTCCTAGGCTTCTGCTTATTATTTATATCTCAATAGCACATATATTCCATTAAATTTTGTTAACTTTATAAATTCTGCCTTCCTAAACTCATTGACAAATTGTCAGGAACTGAAAAAAGAGAAGACATGCAATTAAAGAGGTTTCTTATACGTATTTTATACACACGTGTGTGTGTGTGCATGTGTGTGTGTATGTACAGTCATGTACCTCTTAATAATGCAGATACTTTCTGAGAAATGTGACATTAGGTTATTTCATTGTAGTGCAAACATCCTAGAATATACTTACAGAAACCTAGATAGAATAGCCTCTTACACACCTAGGCTATCTGGTTCAGCCTATGGCTCCTGGGCTATAAACCTGTATAGCATGTTACTATACTGAATACTGTAGACAACTGTAATACAGTGTTATTTGTGTATCTAAACATATATGAACACAAATGGTAATGCATTGCATTACAATGATCACGATGTCACTAAGGCAATAGGAATTTTTCAGCTCCATGATAATCTTATGGGACTACTGCTGTACATGTGATTCATTATTGACTGAAATATTGTACTGCAAAGCATGACTGTATAGAAAATTTTTGATGTGTAATATATATAAAATAGAAAAGACATGTAACTCATAGTAAATCGATAATGATGTTCACATAATTATGAACTCTGTGTAAAAGAGAGTTTTGGAAAGCAGCAGTTAAAAGCAGAGACTCCCTGGGTTCAGGACCCAGCGAAACACTAGTTTTGTGACTGCGGACAACTTCTAGCCCTGGTCCTATGTTCTCTCAAAATCAAAGTGGAAATTCTAGTAAAACTACTTCACAGAGTTATTATTATAAGAGTCAAATGAAATAAAGTGTGTACAGCTCATCACAAGGCCTGGAATTAAGGAAACAATAAATGTTAGCCTGTAATTTCTATGTGGTGGTTATAAAAGTATGTGTTGTCAGGAACAGATGCATCATGTAGAAAGAAGTTTTAAAAGAGTGTATTTCTTATCGTAATATTTATGTTATTATGTATACATAGTTTGACAAGGTATCAACACATGTAAAAAAAGATGTGAATAATCATAGCTAACATTTATCAAGTGTTTAATATCTGTCATGCACTGTTCTAGGTACTTTCAACACATCAATTATGTAGCCCTGCCAACAAGCCTATTAGATAGATACTATTATTATTCCCATTCAACAGATAAGGAAACTCAGGCAACAATTAAGTATGTTGGCGAAGCAGCGGTTTGAACTGAGGCAGCCTCTATATCTAATGTGAAGACCTAGAGAAACAGGAAGGAAGGAAGGAAAGGAAAGGAAAAGAAAGGAAAGGAAAGGGAAGGGAAGGGAAGGAAAGGGAGAAAGGAAAGTAGGAAGGAAGAAAGAATGAAAGAAAGGGAGCGAGGAGAGACAGAATGAGAGAGAGAAAAGAAGATAGGGAGGGAGGTAAGGAAATAGAAAAAAGATGAACCATGAATGTTAGCAGAATGTCTTTTCATGAATGAGATTAGATGAAATGTTTTAATTAATTTTTGCATTTTTCAAAGTTTCTATAATGAACATTTACCACTTTTATAATGCAAACAATTATGTATCAGAAACTTACACAGATAACATTTCCAATAAATCTTTATAAAAGTCTTTTCCTGTTACTTTTGGATAAATTTTCTCTATTTGCTCAGGAGTTAGGAACATTTTCTTCACCTGTGTCAGATCAAATCCAGCCTCCTTAACTATCTTCAGGATCTGCTCTAAGAAAAACAAATATTTGATAATATTGCAGATTGCTTCACTTTTCCTCCATACTCAAGTAGACTGAAATAACTAAGGAAAATGATAGTTTAATTTGCATATTGTGGTTTAACATGGCAAAACTCTGCCAAACGAAATTAAAATTCCAAAGCACCAAATTGACATTCAGAACTTCAGTATGTTAATGTAGATTTTCAGTCTCTGAGGCTCACCTTTCCAGAAACCACCTGAAACACCTAGTAGGCCACAAGAGTAGAAGGGGAAGGGACCTGCTCTCATGCTAAGAATAAAGATCTATTTTCACCTTCATACTACAAATGCCAAGGAATTTCTTGCTAGATATGGATTGAAGGATAAAGCCAATCTGAACTCTTCTCCCTGAAGAATCAGAGTACCATCGAGGGAATTAAACAAAGCAAATGTTGTCAAAATCTCACCAACAGCCTAAGTTTTGAGGGCTACATTCTAGAGACAAAGGTGAACCAACTGAGAAACTGGGAGCTTTCTGGTAAAACGGCCTCTTCTTTGCTCCAGATCAAAAGCACATAGAGTGGTCTGGGAGCTAAAGGCAATATGATTATAACCAACAGACAGCCTGGAGAAGGCTGGACCTCTCCTGCTGGAAGGGAGGTGGCCAGGATCTGCCCTAAGACAGGCACTGCAGAAATGAAAGGGAAGAAAACATAAACCTTTCCTCAGAGACTGTCTCAACAGAGAGCAAGGCCTATAAAGATATCATGAGAAAGTGATCATTATTATAGAGTAATATATAAGGTCCCCAGAACCACAGGTGAGAAAACAATTAACTTTCTCTGGAGAGGTCAGGGATGACTTCACAGAGACACTGACCTTTGTGTTAAGCATGGTAAAAATAAGGTGTGATCACCAAGTGGACAAGTAGGGAAAGGACATTGCAGGCAGAGTGAGTAATGTATGCCAAGTGCAGAGGGCAGGAAGAAGTGACTGGGTGAAAATATACTGGAGATGAAGTTGGCCAAGTAAGTAGAAGAAGGATTATCAAGAGCTATGCCCTGTGAAGAAATCTGGACTTTCCTCTAAAAACAACAAGGAACATTTAAAGCATTCTAAGCAAGAACATATTCAGATCTGTGCTCTAAAACGATAATTTCCTTTGCACCATGAAGAATGAATTAGGGTAGGAGTGGGTGATTGTGGCACTGCAAGCAAGGTATTTGAAGACTAATGCAGTTTTTGGAAAATCAATACTTCCTGGTAAAACGAGCCACCTTGGAAAAGAAAAGTCTCTTACAGTTCTTAGATAAAGACAGCAAGTGGCTCAGGTTAACGTTCAAGACAAACAGAGAGTACTGTAGGTAGTGAGACAGATTCACCCCCTGCAAAGGCCCTACCTATTAAGAAACTACCTAATTATATTAATACAAAACCAAGAGAAAATCTGAGCTGAGAAATGAAATGAGCTAACCCAAACCCTTATTAATCTTTACTGAGCCATTATAAAAATAAAATTAAAATTACTATGCTAATTAAAAAATTTATTCCCCTGTTAAAGAAATAAATAAAAGAAAGAGAAAGAGGAAGGGAGGTAGGAAGAAAGCAAGCCAGCAGAAGGATGACAAATACCCCCCCAAACTGTAACACGACACCCTAATGTGAATTAAGCAGTTTGAACATTAAAAAAATCATAAATCATAAATCAGAACTTCAAACTCAAAACCAGAAATGGCCAAGCAATAAGTAGATGTGAAATAAAAGCTGCACTCACGAAAGACAAAGATAAAATAACAGAAATAAACTAGGTGTCTAATGTAACTTAAAATACAGAGAAGGACATAGAGAACAGAAGTAAAAATAGCCAAGTAAAGGAAAGCAAAATAAAGAAAGAGAAGTCAATAGGGAAAGTGATAGATACAGAAGTTAGGCAAAGATAAGCATGTCTACACGTGTGTGTATGTAGGTGTGTGTGTGTACATATCTGTGTATATAATTAAATAATATATATTACTATATGTATTTAAGAAATTTGACTTCATCATACCAAAAGAGAATATTTTTAACTAAAAATTGAGTAAGTCAATCTAAATACTCAGAAACTTCAAAAGAATCCCCTGTTAGTTCCAGCTGGTGAAATCCCTAAGAAAAAAAAAAGAACAATGGAACAGAACTAATATTTAAAACTATAAGGCAGGAAAACCATCTTGAAATAAGAGAAGATAAGAATCTAGACAGTGAAAAAGAATAACATGTATCTAGAAAAAGAAATCAAGAGTGGTCAAATCTCAGACATATGTTAGTAAAACTACTAGACTTGAGAAACAAACAAAAATTAACACTTTCTTCTGGCAAAACACCATATTACTTACAATGAAACAAAAGTAAATATGGCACCAGGTTTCTTGAAAGAAATGCAGGAAACAAGAATAGAGATACTCTGTCAAGAAACTCCAAGAAAAAAAATGTGAGCCTAGGATTATTTCTATCCAGCATATATGTAAATAATATATTTTCTGACAAAGTACATTTAACATTTAACACAAGTTCAAAAAATAGGAGAATAGCTCAAGAAATAAGAAAGTAGATTAAGTACCTAACTGTCACAAAGGTAATAGGATATCATTTAAAGCAGAGAAAACAAATAATAGGCACTCAGTCAAGAAGAGTGAACTTTCAAGCCTATCCATCCCAACTTTTTTTGTTGTTGTGTTTTGTTTTAGGCTTTTAGCAGCCCAAAACCATGGTTTTTAGTTTCTGTCTCTAGTGATAAGCAGAAAAGAAGGATGAGGAAGGGGCTTTACTGGCCCAATCAGAAACAGAAACTAAGAACCCATGACTATATTCTTTCCCTTGGACAACTCTGATAGATATTGCAATAAAAATGGCTTACAGAACAAATAAATTTCTCAAACACAAAAGAAAATGTAAAAGACCACACAGAGAAGAACAACAGTAAATGAAAAATAACATGTAAAGTAAATATAACTTAAAATAATAAGATGTTTTAAACTAAACATATTATTAACATAAAATAAACATATTATGTGAGTTTATCTCATCTACTAAATTTTTTTCCTGTAAGACCTGAAACAACAAAACTACTAGAAGAAAATATAGGTGAAATGCTTCATAGCATTGGTCTCGGCAGTGATTTTTTTTGGTAAGACCTCAAAAGCACAGGCAACAAAAGCAAAACCAGACAAATGGGATTATATCAAACTAAATTCTGCATAGTGAAGAAAAAAATCAAGAGTGAAGAGACAACCTACAGAATTCAAGAAAATATTTTCAAGCTATGCATCTGACAAAAGGTTAATATACAGCATATATAAGGAACTAAACTCAATAGCAAACAAACAAAAACCCCAAAAAAGGATTCTGGTTTAAAAATGGGTAAAAACCTGAATGGACATTTCTCAGAAGATATCTATTGAACATACAATGACCAACAGATACATGAAAAAAGGCTCAACAGCTCTTAAAAAATTAAAAATAGAACTACCATATATGATCCAGCAATCCCACTATGGGTATATATCCAAAGGAAATAAAATCAGTACATTGAAGAAATATCTGTACTCACATGTTTATTGCAGCATTATCCACAACAGCCAAGATTTGGAATCAACCTAAATAAAATCAACCTATTTATTATCAACAAAAATTGATGGATGAATGGATAATGAAAGTGTGATGCATATACATAATGGAATATTATTCAGCTATAAAAAGTAATGAAATCCTGTCATTTGTGGCAACATAGAAGAACCTAGAGGACATTATCTTAAGTGAAATAAGTCAGGCACAGAAAAGACAAAATACTGCATGATCTCACTCATATGTGGAACCTAAAGAAGTTGATCTCCTAGAAGTAGAGAGCAGAATGGTGCTCACTAGAGGTGGGGAGGCTATGGGGCAGGGAGAAATAGGGAGAGATAAGTCTATGGGTATAACCTCTGGTGTTCTAATGCATAGTAGGGTAACTATAGTTAATAATATCGCATTGTATATTTCAAAATAGGTAGAAGAGGAGACTTTGAATGTTCTCACCACAAAGAAATGATAAAGTTATGAAGTAATGGGTATGCTATATACCCTGATTTGATTATTACATAATGTGTACATGTATCAAAACATCATAATGTACCCCATGAATATGGACAATTATGTTTCAATTTAAAAAATTAAAAATACGTGAGTTGTGTACTGTTTTATTACAGTGAATTTGGCTGTTTAACATATATTTTGAGAGAAAGCCATGAATACAAATCTGCCTTTATGGATTTTATGTGTGAGACAAGCCTAAAAAAAGTGATTCAAAAAGGCTAAAAATAAATAAATGGGCAAAAATGTACAAGGCAAATGCAAATAATAAGAAAGCAGGGTGTGTGGTCCTGATAGCAAACAATACAGAATTCAGGCCCCAAGGCATTAAATGAGACAAATAAGAACTTTGTGTAATGCTAAAAACTAAATTTACCATGAATAGTTTTAAATATCTATGTACCAAATAACATGGCCACCAACATTATAAATCAGAAAATACAGGAAATATAGCCAACAATATACTGAAAACAGGTGACTCATACCTCTAGTTTCTGACAGATCCCCCAAATTCAAGACAGATCAAGTTGGGGAAAAATAAATCAAGATGAATCAAACTGTAAGGCTGGTTTTATCTTATATTCAAACTTTTCACCATGACACTAGTGATAATATTTTTTCTCCTCATACATGTAGAATCTTCACAAAAGTTTGCCATATGGTAGTTCGGCAACACCACGATAATTTCAAAAAAATGCAAGCTTTTTCTTCTACCAGAATTTTAAAAAATCTCTTTAAAAATAATTTATTTGTTGAATAACTCAAAGGCCCAAGGGAAAATACAAACCAAAATTACAAAATTTCAATAATTAATTATCAATAATCAATAATGATAATGAAAACACGATGCATTAGAACCTGTGGGCTATAATTAAAGCAGTAATCAAAGGAAAATGTATAACCTTAAAAATTCTTATCAATAAAAATTAAAAGTTGAAAATAAATAAACTTAATATTCAACTCAAAAAGCTAGAAGAACATAAGAAAAAACTACTAGAAAATAGAAGAAAGAAAATCATGAAGATAAAACCAAAAATAGTAGTTAGAAAAGAGAAAAAAATAGAACTCATGAATAAATTAAATTTTTATTGTTTGAAAGAGAATGAAATAAGAAATGGTAAAGTAGAAATAATCACTGAAATGGAGGAAATATAATAATGATAAGAAATTACTTTACAAATTACATAGCTGGAATAGATAACTTCCTAGGAAAATATAATTTAACTATATTTACTCAAAGGGTGATAGAAAACTTTAATAGAGCAATTTCCATAAAAGAAACAGAGAAAGCAATCAAATAATTATCCCACAAAAAAACAACAGGCCCAGATATTTTCACAGGAAAATTTTACCAAACCTCCAAATACCAATCTCAGTGCTGCTTACACTCTTTTGGAGCACTGAAAAATATATTCACATTCCTTATGAAGTATTCCATTGATTTCTAAACCTGATAGATATCAAACCAAAAAAATGGAAAGCAGAGATCAATCTCACTTTTAAGTCTCAATACGAAAAAAAAAACCAAGTAAAATATAAGCAAATAGTATCCAATAGCGTATCTAAAAATGCATCATAACTAAGCAACATGTAAATAGGAATGGAAGGATATAATTCAATATTTGAAATATCATTAACATGATATTCCGTACTAATATATCCATGGAAAAAACAACTCATCATTTTCATAAATTCTGAAAAAGACTTCAGCAAAATTCAATATCATTTCTGATTAAGAGAAAGACAGAGAAGGATGAGGGAGGGAGAGGTGAGAGAGATAGCAAGACAAAGTATGACAAAGTTAATTGTTGAATCTAAATGAAGGATAGGAGTACTCATCGCAACTTTTCTTTTTTGGAATTTTCTGTTTCCTGTTTTGCTTTTCTGATTGTAAATTTTTTAAATGTTCACAAAATTTGGAGAAAATGTATACATTCACTTTTATTCTTAAATATTTACCTCTTTGTTCACTTGTTGCATGAGGTTTAATCAAGCCTAAAGTGCTTTGAAGAGGAAAGAAATGCTGTATTTCCCTTTCAGCGGTTTCTAATGAATCGCTGCCATACAACTGGTTGACCGGCAAACTGTCCATCGCAAACTGTGCACATAAACTTTGAAAAAGAAGTCAGGTTTAAAAGCTATTAGAACAGAACAGAATAATATAACACAATTTCTATAAGTTGTTCAAAAGTTATCAAATAACAGCAAATAATTCCAGATCTTGACACTGTGCAAAAGGAAGTAAGTACATGGCGGCTTAGGGCATGCTACTTCTTTTCAAGGATAACGGTCATTAGGAAGAAAGGATGTGATCATTTAAATCATCAAGGCGATGAATATTAACAGATAACTATGAAAGAGGAATGAATGCTGATATGGTTTGGCTTTGTTCCCACCCAATTCTCATGTTGAATTGTAATCCCCAAAATCCCCACAAATCATGGGCAGGACCTAGTGGGAGCTAACTGAATCATGGGGGCAGTTTCTCCCATGCTGTTCTTGTGCTAGTGAGTGAGTTCTCAGAAGATCTGATGGTTTTACAAGCACCTGGTATTACAAGCCCTGCTGGCACTCATTCTCTCTCCTGCCACCCTGTGAAGAGGTACCTTCTGCCATGATTATAAGTTTCCTGAGGCTTCCCCAGCCATGCGGAACTGTGAGCCAATTAAACCTCTTTTCTTTATAAATTACCCAGTCTCGGATATTTCTTCATAGCAGCATGAGAACAGACTGATATAGATGCCCTGTGCAGTGAAAAAGCTCAGAGGGTAGAATCCTTGTTGCACTACTTGCTAGCTGTGTGATATTAGGGAGCTGCTTAACTTCTTTGTGCTTTAGTTGTCTCAAATATAAATACAACAATAAAACCTGTTTCAGAAGGTGATTTTGCAGATGCAATCAGATGATGCCTTTGAAATATATGGTGTGTGTATTGAACTCTAAATAAATTTTCTTCTGTGGCTTTCACCATGTGATAATGCTTCACATTATCAAGCATTACATGGCATTTGACTCTAGACCAAAGATATAAAATTATAAACATTAAATCCAGAAGATACTGAAGGGAAACCTCCAGGTGAGCAACAACAGCAATAAAAGAGAAGTAGACAGGACAGCTTTGTGGGAAGAGGCAGGAGTGATGCTGATAATACCAGACCATCCACATTAGACAGTTTATTGTTATGCTTTCTTTCCTATAAATAAGCATGCATCTCTTGAATCAGTTGTTGCTCTTTGGTATTTTTTCAGTTGTCCTTTTTATCTGTTTTTCTATCTATCTATGCATATTTCAGTAGCAAATAATGCTCACTGCTCATTTCACTTTTTTCCCTTTAAACAGTCCAGGGCAATCAACCCAACAAATTCCAGCTGTGGTGAATAATGTTCCTTCCTGCTAACACTGATGTGGATTCTCCACATCACTGGAAACTTGGTTTTCTGTCCCCAGCTTCCAGATCCTCTTCTTTTCTCTCTAGTCTCAATGACTCATTCAGGGTTTTGTTTGTTTGTTTTTGTTTTTTTTTTGCCTTATCACCTTGACCTTTCCATTCTGCCCTTGGCTGTTCCCACACCTCTAATTTGGAGATACCTTCAGCCCTAGTCCCTTGGACTCTGTGATTGCCAGGGGTTAGGGATTTGGACAATGATTGAATGAAACAGCCTGAGTCATCCTGAGCACTTACTCTACTCAATGCAGAGCATTCTCCCAACCCCTGTTATGCTGTTAAACATGATTATTGGAAAATGTCCGGGGAGGAATTGTGGGATAGAGGGAGTAACAGGTAACAACGAGGGGTTGCTGTGCTTCTCTTCTATGCAAATTATCATATTTTGGGTAAAACAATGCCAGCATAGAATCTGATATTCAGGCACAGGAAAGGGGTGAAGTTCCATTTGAAGAGTTATTCCTAAAGCAACCGTAAGTGGTGGGTGGAGCCAAGGAAAGTGGAAAAGTGGGGATCAATTAGAAATAAAGATTAAGATTAATTGTGAACATGGGGCAATTTTCAGTATGATAGTGGGGTGGAGATGGGGCAGTAACTGAGAGCCTCCACACTTGGTGCCACAGTGTCTAGACCAGTGTGCCTACTGGCACAGGCCTTGTGTTGATAGCAATCCCTCTCTCTGGTAGCATGCATTGCACTCTATGCCACATTTTATTAAATGATTCCATGGCACTCTGCTCACACCACTTGCAGAGGTTCTATGCTTATTATCCTTCACAGTCATTGGCACATAAGCAAAGACATAATTGAGTAGGGCTAACTAAGGGGCAATACATGTTAATGCAACACAAGTCAGATTTAAGTGTATCCCACCCAAAAGAAAGCACTTCAGCTTTCATGTAAGTGAGGCTTCATAACTATTGTTATTTATTGTGTCAACATGTATGTCATGTTTGCAGTACCTTAAAGAGCATCTATATTCTTGCACACCTGAAGGGAGTATGAGGGGTGTCCTTTCTTCCTTTGAATTGAATCCTACCCTAAAATCAGCAAGAAGAATTCAAGGGAATTGAAATTCAATTTGTTTCCATCAGCTTCATGCCAAATATGGAGATGCGTGAGATACTATTTCTATCCTGCAGATGATACTAAGCCTAGCAGGTAAGCTCAGAAAATATTGAAAGAGTTCCCCCTATGTGCCAGGTAATATGCCAGGGGTCAAGTTGATTACAAAGTTTAGCTGACTTCTAAGATTAATCAGTAAGCTAAGTCAATAAATGTTCCCCCTGAATTGTAGAGTACATATTCAATTAGTCATCATTGTCTTAAAACTCATGATCAGTTAAAGAAGCTACAGCTGCCACCATAACCTTCTCAAAGGAATTTCTCCTAAATAGCGGGTAGGGTGGATATTTCTCCCAAGAGATGACCTGTTGACTGAAATATACACCTCTTAGCTCCCAGCCCCAAGCCTAGCACCTCACAGTGGTTTCTTGAAAATCTTTGGCCATCCTCAGGCTGTCACTGGGTTGGACCTCCAGTCATAAGCAGTCCACTCCGTCCCCAGGAAAGGTAGCTTTCCTGAGAAGCTCCCTTGGACTAGAGCTGTGGTTCCAATACTCTACATCTAAAAAGGTGTTTAAAATGGAGCCCACGAAAACAGATAGTGACCCATGGTATGAATCCTACCTCTCTGGAAAATATTCAATGGCTTCTTCAACAGTTCTTGGTCCCAGTAATTGTTTCCAGTATTGCAAGCCATTGTCTCTCAATAAAACAAGGGCTAGAGATGGACCACTATTAGAAAAGAAAACAAAGAAGAGGTAATAAGAAGTGTAGCTCAGTAGCTAATTATGTATAGGCAATACAAATGCATATTGTTAAATAGATCAAAAACATGTAACATGTAAAATAATCTTTTAACAGAGGTCTGTGATTTTTTTCCGTTGATATGTTTTCAAGAGCATATCTATAAAAGAATAGAAGCAGGGAAAGGAAGGGAAGGGGAGTGCCATGATTCTTGTAGATGTTTCTTTCATTGTTCCCATGGTCCTGCTGGTTTATATGCCCTTGCAGGATTTCAGCCTCAATTGCTATTTCAGTCATTCTTCTAGAAAGAAACCCAGCACATTTCTAGCAACTCATTCTTTCCTAGAACTAGTTAACTATAAGATTACAAAAGCTCTTGAGAGTCAGTCAGTTCTCTGCTTAAACTTCATAGTATTGTACACCCTGGACTTCTGGTGTTCAACTCAATGGGACTCCAGTAACTTCCTCTGAGACCTTCCTACTATTCCAGTAACATTCCAGGAAGACTAGAGAAGACAGGCAGGTGAGCAGAGGATTGGGATGGGAGCAGGACTGGTAGAGAAGTAAACTCAGAACATGTTTACAGACTTGAGGAGTTTGGCAGCTTAAATAGAAACCAGACTTAAGAGAAAGTTTACATGATTCAAAAATAAATCAGACTGAATTTTCTCAACCTGGATTCTACCTGGTCATGTTTTCTATAAGTTTATTAAAATAGTCTTCATTTTCATATTCCTTGCACAGTGCTTGTGCTTCTTTTTCCGATAATACTACTTGTCTTTGCTCCAGTATTTTGAAGTCTTCATCTTTAATAATACGCAAAACATCATCTAAATAAAAACAGTTACATAATAAGTTTTAAACTGGTAGATTACTGGTTATGTACACAATACATAATATACTATCATGAGGGCATACAATGCACTTTATTCTCATACGAAATTTTGAAAGTTTGCAGAAATACCTTCTTAGGTTTTAATTTAAGGTGAATAGTATCTCTTAACATCTCATTATGATGCTATTTCCAATTTTTCATCGTATAGGAATCATGCATGCACACACATACACATATACAACACACACACACAGGTATCTCATTAAATCTTTTTCTTGGGTGTATGCATGTGAATGTGAGTGATTGTGTGGGTGTGTGTGTGTGTGTGTGTGTGTAGACAGTAACCTAAATAATCAACCAACACAATTATGGAAGTCATTGCAAATAATTTTTATGTTCAATAACCATGATTTGATTTGTCCCATTTGGGGATAAACAAGGTGATTGAATACCTGAAGGTATTTCTCAACCTTCTTCTCTCTTGCCTACTTCCCACTACAGAAGCCTAGAAAATCCAATACTCACACCTCCATCCTTCCTTACAGAAAGTGTGGCAGTGTGATCCAGCTATGGTCAATGATATTTATAGGAAATACACTGGGGACTCTTCTGAGAGAGGCACTCGGGGAGAACCTCTGTCCTACACCATCTTCTGCTTCCTGCTTTTGAATGTTTGAGGGACATGATCTTTGGAGCTGTGCAGGTCATCTTGTGACAAAGAAGGATAAGTCAAAAGCACAAATATTGACTAAGATCTTGAACAGCCTTAAGCTCCTTATCGAGGCCAAAAAACAGGAAATAGAGTGAATAAAGTAGAACTAAGCAAACAATTGTAAGGAAAGAATAAAACAAAGTATCATGCATGTTAATACAGTTTAAGAAATAATTTGCTTCAGAACTACCTCACAGAAAAGAAAGGAAAACACAGGATATATAGCTCTTGAAAGTTGAAAAAGTGGAATCATATAAATTCTTAGAAGACACTGAAGTTTTTTTTAAATTACTAATTTTGTAAAAAGATTTCTCAAATGAGGGTACCTGATGACCACAGTTTAAAAAGTGACAACCAATCCCCAAGCAATTGCCATATAATGTTAACAGCTTCTTGAAATGACTCACGATAAAAGCTCAGGAAAAATATTCAGGGAAGGTAAATCTGCATAAAGCTAAAGAAAGTAGATTTAATGGGAGAGTAGGTCGATTGTCAATCCTTGAGAATCCTGGAGATTGCCTTCCCTAATTTGCACTCTCTCATTAGGTGATCACAAAGGAATTATAAACCAGGTGTAGAGAGGGTCCTCACCGTCCAACGGATAAATTGAAAAAATATTGGTGAGTATGCCTTATTTGCAAGACGGCATTGAGTTTCTTTGCTTCACTCTAAATTCCATGATGAATATAATAATAAATATTTTATTTTGCTTGCACTATGTCCATGAGAATTTTCAAACATCCTTTCAAGCATTCCAGTGACACTATCTGATGCCATATTTGGTGACAGGTATGAAGACACACAGAATTCCTGGTTCTAGATAAAGGTGTCTAGCAATTGCATAGAAGTTTCATGGAATAACCTGATGCATAAAAAAATCATACTTCAAAGCCCCGAACACCTTGTTGACCTTTCTTTCTTTCTTTCTCTTTCTTTCTTTCTCTTTCTTTCTTTCTTTCTTTCTTTCTTTCTCTCTCTCTCTCTCTCTTTCTTTCTTTCTTTCTTTCTTTCTTTCTTTCTTTCTTTCTTTCTTTCTTTCCCTTCCTCCCTCTCTCCCTCCTTCCTTCCTTCCTTTATTTCTTTTCTTTTTTTCTTTTTTTTGACAGGGTCTCACTCTGTCGCCCAGGCTGGGGTGCAGTAGCACCATCTCAGCTCACTGCAACCTCCACCTTCCAGGTTCAAGTGATTCTCCTGCCTCAGCCTCCCCAGCAGCTGGGACCACAGGCATGGGCCACCACGCCCGGCTACGTTTTCTATTTTTAGTAGAGATGAGGTTTCACCACGTTGTGCAAGCTGGTCTTGATCTCCTGGGCTCAAGCAATGCGGCTGCCTGGCCTCCCAAGGTGCTGGTACTACAGGCATGAACCACAGCACCTGGCCCACACCTTGATACCTTACTTCTCATCAATCACAGGCAAATTTCTAAGTAAGGTGCTTAATAGTTAAATAAATGTGTAAAGATCAGTTCATTCTTAGATATCTATACAATCTTGAAAAACAATTGAGCAAAAATAAAGGGAAAATATTTTGCAAGTATCTAAATAAATCAAGCCACAACCACCAACAACAAAAACTGAATTATCTACAAAGGAACAAAAACCAAGCTGACAGCAGACTTTTTCTCTGCAATACAACTTTGTGCTCACAAATTTGATAATTCAGATAAATTGACCCATTCCTTGAAATACACTGAATATTAAATACCAAAACTCACACAATGAGAGCTAGGTAATATGATTAGCCCTATATCTATTAGATAAATTGAATTAATTCTTAATAACATTCTGAAAAATACAGCACCAGGACTAGATTATTTTGCTAGTGAATTCTACAAAACGTTTAAGGAATAAATGACACCAATTCTCTGGAAACAATTTATTTTTTTCAGCAAATAGAAGCAGAGGGAACACTTTCTAACTCATTCCATGAGGCCAGACTTACCATAATATTCAAAAAGATATTACAAGGAAAGAAAACTAAAGACCAATAGCTCTCATGAACATAGGAGCAGAAATTCTTAACAAAATATTAACCATTCAAATTTAACAATGTATAAAAAAATTACAAACCATGACCAAGCTGGATTTATTCCAAGTATGCCAGGGTGGATCAACATTTGAAAGTCAATTAACATAATCGCCACTAATAGGATAAAGAAGAAAAGTCATATGATTATGTTAGTAGATGCAGAAAAATCATATGACAAATTTAATACCAATTCATGATAAAAATTATTACCAGAGGAGGAATAAAGGGAAACTTTCTCAACTTACTAGAGAACATCTTCAAAAATCCTACAGTTAACACTGTCCTTAATGGAAAGAAACTAGATGCTTTGCCTCTAAGATCGGAAAAAAAAGCAAAGCTACTCCCTCTCACTACTCCTCTTCAAATTCATACTGGAAATCTTAGCTAAAGAAATAACACAAGAAAAGGAAATAAAAGGTATACTGATTCAGAATGAGGAAATGAAACTATTGTTGTTCTTCACAGAGGGCATGACTGTCTATGTAGAAAATCCCAAAGAATCATCATCATCATTGTCAATAACAACAACACAAAACTTCGGGCACTGATAAGAGACTATTATAGCAAAGGTTCAGGTTATAATTAATATACAAAAGTCAATTTTTTTCTATATACCAGAAATGAGCAATTGGAATTTGAAATTTAAAGCAAAACAATTTATACTAGCACTAAAAAAGAAAATACATGGGCAAAAATCTATCAAAATATGTAAAGAATCTAAATGAAGAAAACTACAAAACTCTGGCGAAAAAAAATCAAAGATCTAAATAAAT
Source organism: Homo sapiens (assembly GCF_000001405.40). Lineage (NCBI taxonomy): Eukaryota > Metazoa > Chordata > Mammalia > Primates > Hominidae > Homo > Homo sapiens. The sequence continues at coordinate 37,880,784 of NC_000007.14, read as the reverse complement.
GGAGAGATATTCCATATTCATAGATAACAAGACTTAATATGAAGATGTCAGTTTTTCCCAACTTGGTCTGTAGATTAAACACAATCCCAACCAAAAGCCCAGCAAGTTATTTTGTGGATATGGAAATTGACAAACTGATCTCAAGTTTATATGAAAAGGCCAAAGATGTAACACAGTATTGAAGGAGAAGAACAAAGTTAGAGAAGTGATACTACCAGACCTAGCCACATTGATTAATGGAACAGAGCAGAGAGCCCAGAAAAAGACCCACACAAACATAGTCAATTGGTTTGTGATAAAGTTGCAAAGGCAATACAATGGAGGAAGGACAGTCTTGTCAACAAATGGTGCTGAAATAATTAGAAATACCCTCTCAAAACAGTAAGTCTAGACACAGACCTTATACTATTCATAAAAATAACTCAAAATGGATGATAGACCTATATGTAAAACACAAAACTATAAACTTTCTAGAGAATAACACAGAAGAAAATCTAGGTGACCTTGTGGTTAGCAATGAGTTTTTAGATACAACACTAAAACCGCAATCCAAAAAGAAATAACTAATAAGCTGGACTAAATTAAAAATAAAGACTTTTCTGTGAAAGCCACTTTTAAGAAACCAAGAACCAAAAACTTGGAGAAAATATTTGCAAACCACATACATGATAAAAGACTTGTATTCAAAATAAACAAACAAAAAAAACCTTTCTACTCAACAATGAGGAAAATGAACAACTCAATTAAGAAATGGGCAAAAAGTATAAAGAGACAACACATCATCAAAGAAGATACAGAGATGATTAGTAAGCATATGAAAAGAAGCTCTGCATAATATGTCATTAGGGAATTGTAAACAAGGACAACACTAAGGTAATATTATTTACCTATTAATGTAACTAAACTCCCAAAAACTGACAATACCAAATCCTGGCAAGGTTGTAGAGCAACAGGAACTCTGATTCATTTCTAACAAAAATGGAAAGTGGTACAGGTGCTTTGGAAGACATTTTGGCACTTTCTTACAAACTATACATACTTTTACAGCATGATCCTGTACTCATGCTCCTAGATATTTACCCAATTAAAATGAAAACTGACATCCACACAAAAACCTGCATATGAACACCTACAGCAATTTTCTTCATAATGGCTGAAAACTGGAAGCAACCAAGATGCCCTTCTATAGGTAACTACACAAATAAACTTAGTTGCATACATACAATGGAATATTATTCAGTGATAAAAAGAAATGAACAATCAAGTCACCAGAAGACATGGAGGAACACAAAATGCACATTGCTAAATGAAAGAAGTCAATCTGAAAAGGCTATCTACTGGCCGGGTGTGGTGGCTCACACCTGTAAATCCAGCACTTTGGGAGGCGAGGCAGGTGGATCACTTGAGGTCAGGAGTTTTAGACTACCCTGGCCAACATGGGGAAACCCCCTCTCTACTAAAAATACAAAAATTAGCCGGGCATGGTGGCACACCTGTAATCACAGCTACTTGGGAGACTGAGGCAGGAGAATCTCTTGAACCTGGGAGGCGGAGGTTGCAGGGATCTGAGGTCACCCCATTGCACTCCAGCCTGGGTGACAGAGCAAGACTCCATCTCAAAAAATAAAAATAAATAAAAACAAATATATATATATATAATGAAAAGGCTATATACTGTATGATATCAACTCTAAGACATCCCATAACATATCAAATAACAAAAGGATCAGTGGTTGCCAGGGGTTAGGAGAGAGAAAGAGATTAGTAGGTAAAACACAGGGGATTGTTAGGGTGGCAATTCTATTCTGTATGATACTGTAATGGGAATACCTGACATTATGCATTTGTCACAATCCATAGGATGAACAAAATAAAGAGTGAAACTTAATGTAAACTATGGACTTTAGTTAATGATATTTTAACAATATTGGTTAATTAACTGTAAAAGTGTATCACAGTAATACATGATGTTGATAGGAGAAGGTGGGAGGGAGCAGGTATATGGGAACTCTGTAGTATTTTTCTTAATTTTTCTCGAAGTCTACAATGGTTTAATATTTTGGCTTGATTTTTCTGTAAATCTAAAACTGTTCTGTAAAGTCTATTTATTTAAAAATAACATGTATTTGAAAATATTGTCTTTTTTAAATATTAAAAGACATTGAAAATGGCAAAAAGACAAAAATAAAACAAAATCTTCCAAAAAAGAGAACCCCATGTCTAAATCATTTTACTCACAAATTCCAGTAAACATTTAAGATATAACTCAAATTCTACACTATCTCGTCCATAAAATAGGAGTGACTGCTTCTCATCTCACTTTATGAACCTGCATTACTCTGACACCAAAACCAGATAAAAACATTACAAGAAAAGAAATCAACACATATCCCTCCTGAATATAGACACAAAAATTCTCAACAAAATATTAGCAAATCAAAACCTGCAGTGTGTAAAAAGGATAATACATGACAGCCAAGTGGGATTTTTCTGGAGAATGCAAGGCTGTTTCAACATCAATAATCAAAATAATCCACCATGTTATCAAAATGAAGGAAAAAACATAATCACATCAATAGATACAAAAAAATTGAGAAAAACACAACATCCTTTCCTGATAAAAATTCTCTCCAAACTAGGAAGAGGTGGTAATTTTCTTAATCTGATAAAGGACATACACAGCTAACATACTTAGTGGTAAAAGACCAAATGCTTTTGCTATAAGATCAGGTACAAGGCAAAGATGTCTCCTCTCATCACTCCAATTCAGCGTCATACAGGATGTGCTAGCTAGCTCAATGAGGAAAGAAAAAGAAATAAAAGGCATACAGATGGAAATGAAGAGGAACAAGTATCTCACTTTGCAAACCCTATTACTGTGTATATCAATGATTCTCAGCCGGAGAGATTTTGCCCTACAAAGGGCATTTGGCAACCTCCAGAGACATTTTTGACGTTGTCACAATTTGAGAGGTGGGGCAGAGGGGAAGGGGGGTATGATACTGACTTTTAGTGAGTAGAGGCCAAGGATGCTGCTACACATTTTACAATGCACATAACACAGTCAATCCTCCACCCTGGACAAAGAATGATCTGGCCCAAAATGTAAGCCGGTCTGAGGTTGAGAAATCCTGGTCTACATAGAAATGCCAAGGAAACTACGTCAAAGCTCCTAGAAAGCTCCTAGGTAGTTGGACAAGTCAGAGAATAAAAGGCCAATATATAAATATTAATGGTAATTATGTTTCCATATATTAGATATAAAAAAAGAATGAATAGTGTTAATTTATGACTTGTGTTCTTGTTCTGCCATATTCACTCTGCTATAAGAATATGGGATGAGATTAAAAAGAACTAACTCTTTATGTGCCAGGTACTTTATTTGTGTTTTCTCATTTTAATGTTCTGAATTTTACACGTGAAGAAATAAACTTGGTAAAATATCTTGTTCAAGTCACACTATCAGTTATGGTAGATCCAAGCTTTGAATTGGGGCATTTCAGACATAGAAGCTTTAAATCTTTATTATGTAATAATTCCTGCAATGTTAAAATCTACTCTAACAAATTCACAGATTAGAAAATACCTTGTAAACTCTTCAGCTACAAATATGTTTTATTCACTATTAAGATATTAGTAAGTTAATACATTAATTTCTTAAGGTGCGTTTTCTTCAATGTTAAATTTTAAAACAATGTCTTTAAATGCAATTATACTAGGGTTTATTCAAATCTCATCTATATAAAATACTTAAACAATTTATGCTTGATTCCCTACCTTTCCTTTCATGAAAGAGATTTGGTCGAAGTAATGCCAATGTCTTTTCTAATTTCATGCTTTTCATTTTTTTAAAATCGGGGAAGAAAGCATCCATGAACTTAGCAACATTAGCTGCATCCTCTTCAATGTCACAGAGCTGAGCTAAATGTTGTCTTTCCAGATATTCTTGTAAACTGTCAAAATCCAAAATATAATTTAAGATTATTATAAACTGAGGTTTATAACCATGCCAACAAATTAAATCTGATATGTTCAGAAATTACTAGAAGTTTAATAAAACAAAAATTAAATGTCATGTAAAGATAAATTGCATCTCCCTATTATATCCAAGAATATGATACTTAATTCAACTTTTTATTGAGCCCACTACAAAAATTACTTACATGATATTATCTATGTTTGACTTTATGAGAGAATAAACAAAGATCAAAATAAAATTTTGTGTTTTTAAGGAAAAATTTTTCTTTTCCCTATGTAGAACTTTCCAGATAGTTTTTAATTTTCTTTTTAATCTTGTCTTTGAACTAAGGGTTATCTAAAAGTGCATTTCATATTTTCAAATGAACATTTCCAATTACCTTTTTATTGTTTATTTCCAATTTTATTGGATTATAATCAGAAAAATATATGTGGTAAAATTTTGATTAAAAATTTGTTGAGGTATTCTTTGTGTAAAAGAAAAAATTATTTGTAATGTGTAAGGTTGTATATATGTTTATGTTTCATATATTATAGATAATTTATTATCTATCTATCTATCTATCTATCTATCTATATATATATATATAGTGTTTTTTTGAGATGGAGTCTCGCTCTGTCACCAGACTGGAGTGCAGTGGTGCAATCTTGGCTCACTGCTACCTCTGCCTCCCAAGTTCAAGCTATTCCCCTGCCTCGCCTCCCGAGTAGCTGGGACTACAGGCGCACACCCCCAGCCCAGCTAATATTTTTTTTGTATTTTCGTAGAGATGGAGTTTCACCATGTTGCCCAGGATGGTCTCGATCTCCTGACCTTGTGATCAGCCCGTCTCGGCCTCCCAAAGTGCTGGGATTATAGGCGTGAGCCACCGCGCCCAGTCAATTTATTATATATTATTTATGGAATATGTATTTTTAATTCCTCTCATCCTTACTTATTCTTGTCTGCTAGCAGGTATTTTTTCCAGTTCTCCTTACTTTTCCAGTAATTCCCTCCTTAGGTACTTAGCCGTTATGTTGGTGGGGCCACAATTTTTTCTTTTTTTGGGTGCCGTATTGTCATAAATGTTGCCTTCTACATCGTGTCTTTATCAAATTTAGCAATTTTAATGATCAGTGTTAATACTTTATTTTTCCTGGCTATTTTTTGGCCATCCCTTTATTTTCATCTTTTTTTTTTCTAAACAGAATATAGATGAGAAAAGTTGTTTAAATTTTTTATTTTGAAAAAAATTAAATTAATAGAAAAGTTGCAAGACTAGGACAAAGAACTCCCATTTACACCCTTCATCTAGGTTCACCAACTGTTAACACTGTCCCATATTTGTTCTCTCTGTCTCCTGCTTTCATCCCCCAATGTGTGTGGGGGCTATGGGGGGCTGTGTGGGTGTGTGTGTGTGTGTGTCTTGGCAGATCCATTTGAGAGTAAGCTGCAGATATTTTAACCAATCACCTCTAAATACTTCAGGAAATATTACATTAATACAAAATTATTACCTCATAAACAGTCCGTATTCAATTTTCACCAATTTTCTAATACCATCTTATCTGTAGTAATTTTTATATTAATCCAGGATTATATATTGCATGTAGTTGTCCCATCTCCTTAATTTGCTTTTATCTCCAACAGCGACTCAACCTCTTTTGTCTTTCATGATATTGATATGTTGAATAGTCCAGGACAGTTGTTTGTAGACTTCCCTTCATTTTGGATGGTTTCAAACTATTGGATGGCCCAGTACTTTCCTATTACATTCTGGTTATGAACCTTTGGCAGGAAAACTATCTTCATGAGCCTGCGTCCTTCTTGGTCCGTTACTTGCTCCATCACATAGGAGGTGTATGATGTCAGTTTTTCCCATTATTGGTGATATTAATGTAGTTGATATCCCCCCATTTTATCTACTGAAAAGCTACAATTTTCCCCTTATAATTAATAAGTAATCTCTAAGGACATTATATGAAACTGTGTATATATTTTTCACACAATATTTTTAAACCCAATGATGATTCTTGTGCACATCATTAATATGATGGTTTTTAAATTAGGTTTTTTTAACCTTTACCTAGTAATGTCTATATGTGACGGGAAAATTAACCTTTTCATAGTTAGCCTAATAGCCATATTCTTGACTTTATTTTTTTCATCTTACTTTATCTAGACTATTTATTTTAAATTGAGGTTTCTTCTTTTTTCCCCTTATTTTGCTGGTCTGAGCAAACTGCTCTTCATTCCATGTTTTTCCCTTGTTAATGTGGAAGTTTTACTATACTTATCCACTGCATTAATGTTTACTGTCTTTTTCCTGCCCCTGTTGTCAGATGCGTATGTCCCAAATATTTCTTGCATTCTGACACACTATCTCCCAACTTTAATACTCCATTTATGCCCTTTCTGCAAATAAGAACCTCAAAATACAACTGTCAAAATACTGCCTTCTTGATCTTTGAACCATTTTGCCACATACACCCACAAACCTCTAGGTTTTGTTGAGATAATTTAGAATCTAGAAGAATTTTCTTCTATTTCTAGAGTCCTTCATCAGCTGTTATATTATAAAACCCAGAATTATGGACTGTATGTGTCTGTGTGTGTGTTCAGAGATTCCAAGGTTCACTGTTAAGAACTGTTTTTCTTTTTTTTCCTCCCATATTTTTGATTTGGTTGAGTATATCCTCACTTATTTTCCACAGAAGGAGTATATAGGTGATATATTGCTAAGTATGTCCTTGAAGATCTTCATTTGCTCTACCAGGTAAATATCTTAGCTTTGTAAGAATGCAGGGGTTGCAGCCTTTTTCTTCCAGTAGTCCTAAAATGAGCCCTATGGCAGTCAAGTATTTTTCCCTTGTAAGTAACTTATTCTCAATTGCTGCCAAGTATGCAGTTGGTGGAAGGGATCCACCTAAAGTGCAAGTGCAATTTTAAATCAGTAATAAAACCAATTAAAAGTCTGGTTGCTTTTTATCAGCGCCATGTACCAGCACTCCTAATCAACATTAGTGATAATGCGCCTATGTACTCTTGGAGTTCACACATATTCATTACTTATCCTTTCATAAGTAGTGTGCTGTACATGGTGCTCTACATAGAATCAATCCAAAAACAACAAAGCTATTGGCATTATTGCAATTTCTGCAATGTACTGTAAAATGGGAATTTCACCTATCTTTTTCTATTAAACATAGAGTGGAGATCAATTTTGAGAACATCATGGACAAATCTTCAAAAATTAAAGCTTTCAAAAAGCAAAAACTACTTCATTTTCTGTGACAGATTAATATATACAGACATACATGTGTTTTATTGTTAAAAATATTAATTAAACAATTCATCTATCACTTGTTTCCTTTGGGACACTGTAACATTTATTTTTATTTTATACTCATATGTTTATATATTCAAAGGTACATAAAGACTATTTTCTTTTCTTTTTTTTTTTTTTTGAGACAGAGTCTCACTCAGTCGCCCAGGCTGGAGTGCAGTGGCGCAATTTTGGCTCACTGCAATCTCCGCCTCCTGGGTTCAAGCAATTCTCCTGCCTCAGCCTCCCAAGTAGCTGGGACTATAGGCATGGGCCACCACGCCTGGCCAATTTTTGCATGTTTAGTAGAGACGGGGTTTCACCATGTTGGCCAGGCTGGTCTTGAGCTCCTGACTTCAAATGCTGGGATTACAGGCACAAGCCACGGCATCTGGCCCATAAAAGACTATTTTCATTGTCTGTATTTTTATTCTAGCATAATTGTTTGCCTCATTCAGTAACTAGTACTTAAAAATAATTTCATCATACAGAGGAAGAGGCTGTTAAGATGATCTGCTCTGGGTTTCAAACATATGAAGTATACAAGTGCTTACTCTGTCTGTCTGGACACAGTGTGCAGTGTTTCTTCCCAGGATGTTCCTGTATTTGTGTGTGGGGTGGGGGTGTGGTGGCATCAGTTGAGGGTGGACTATTGTAAGCCCTTGCAATTGGCAGACAAATGCATTTATTCTGGGAAAAAAATTCCCCCATTATTTGTTGAGTTAGTTTGTCCATCTGTTCTTTCTCTGTGCAGAGTTTCTCATTAGCAATTGATCCCCTCAGCATATTATCCAGATTGCAGACTTCTGCTCTCATCCTGTCTAATTTTTTGTGTGTACTTTCAGATATTTCTTGCATCTGACTTTCCATGTCATTAATTTGAGTCTCAAATGATGATCATACCAATTCTCCACTGAACTTATAATTCAAATCACAATTTGTATAATTCAAGTTTGAAAGGCTTTTTAAATGTATACCTAGCAATTGAATCTCAAGTCCTTTTTTTATTGTTATTTTATTTAAGGGTTTTTCTGTCTCTAAGCAGTTCTTTTTCACTAGACTTGTGTTGTGATTTTTGTACAGGCCTTCCTTTCTCTGGCTGCCAGTCTCCCTTAGGCAGGTACTCATTTTTCCTTGATGGCTCACTGGGGCTTAGGTCTGATTTTTGATATGTGTTGGAAACCCTGTAGTTGGAAGGCAAGATGACCTCTACAAGCTTGTGCTTTAGAAGACAGTGGGTCATTATTCTTCTGCAGGGGCAATCAGGAAAAGCCCCCAGAGACCTAGCTAGGGCAAGGAATTCAATAATTCTACTCAGTTCTATCCTGGCCCTTTAGGAGTCAGGAAGTCTCAGTGAAGTCCACAAGTCTGTTATTCTCAGGGTCTGTGGTTGTCTGCAGGTCCTTGTTTTCTGGGGAGTTCAGGAGCTCCCCAAACTCTCGGTGGAGAAAACACCACACCACCCTCATCTTCTCCTGCCCTAGGGACCTGAACAGAGCTCCAGACCTCACTGACAGCCAGCTGCTTATCAGTTAAGCTTCCCTTTGACTATGGAGAGGAAAGAAAGCTTTGCAGATGGGAGTAGAGTCAGGGTATAGCATTCAGACTTCCCTGATCCCGGAAATACTTTTAAGGATTATTTTAGGAATTGTATCTATTATGTTTAATTTAAATGAGAATATCATAAAGGAAAAAATTAAGCTCCCTATAGCTATGACATGTATAGGGACAAATAGAGAGGCTACTGAGAAGAGAATAGATATTTTCTATGGACAGAGGAATACAATATAGTAGAGGTGGTTGGAAATGTCACCTTCACTCTGTCATAAAGACTTAAACTGAAAGTGAGCTCAGAGGTCATCATCTAATTCTTCCCCATCTTTGTATCTCTAGGATTTGGCATATAGTAGGTCTTTAATAAATACTAGATGAATGAATCAACACATAACAGAATAAGTGAATGAATGAGAAGACTCTGCCAGTTACTACCTGTGTGACTCTGAGCAATGTAGCTAATGGAACCACACCTTCCTGATCTGTAGAAAGACTGGAAAGCAAAGATAAATTACACTATCCTTTGATTTCTTAAAACAGGCTGATTAAAGAGACAGACATGTAAATAATGTAATAAAAAGCCATCATGAAAGAAGCTGGAATGTGAATGACAAACATGGGTACCTCTGCCCTGTTTCCCTGGCTCTTCCCCCACCCTTCTGCAGCCACTGGAGCAGGCAGACCATCGATGGCATGGAGAGAGTTTCCCCACAGCATGTGAATTCATAAGCTGTGAGTGTTTGTCTCCACAGGAATAACCAGCCAATAAAGCTCTGGGACTCCGCTGCTCTGTACGCAGAGGGGTCACCAATCACTCCCAGTTCAATTGCTCTGCTTTTAACTTCTCTCCTGTCTCACCCTCTCCATCCCCACCACCCAGAGAGGAGAGTGAGCAGGCTGGGAGATAGGGGAGAGGGGGCAATAAAGAGTGAAAGTGAACAACTGAATAAATTACGCATGAGAGTTTTTTGTCCTTATTCCTTTAGATTCTGGACCTACTTGAAAGATGTCACATGGAAGTGACAGTGCCTATCAGGCCCTCCCTCCAGAGCAAGAGCTGTGAAAATAAGAACAAGCATTATAGAAGTCAGGGGAAAGCTTCCCCTCTGTCCTCTCAAGTTTTACTGAAAAACCAACGGGCATCAACAGACAAAAAGTATATTAGTTGGAGAAAAAGCAGACAAATTTGATTAACATGTACACAGAGAGAACCACAGAGTGAGTACCCACCCTGCAATGAGGTTCAGAAGCCTATAGACCAAGCTTGTCCAACCTGCAGCCCACTGGCTGCATGAGGCCCAGGAAGGCTTTGAATGTGGCCCAACACAAATTGGTAAACTTTTTTTTTTTTTTTTTTTTGAGATGGAGTCTCACTCTGTCACCCAGGCTGGAGTGCAGTGGCTCGATCTTGACTCACTGCAATCTCTACCTCCCAGGTTCAAGCGATTCTCCTGTCTCAGTCTCCCAAGTAGCTGGAACTACAGGCATGCACCACCACACCCAGCTAATTTTTGTGTTTTTAGTCGAGACTGGGTTTCACCATGTTGATCAGGCTGGTCTCGATCTCCTGACCTCATGATCTGCCTGTCTCGGCCCTCCAAAGTGCTGGGATTACAAGCATGAGCCACCGCACCCGGCTCAAATTGGTAAACTTTTAAAAACATTATGATATATATTTTTTGCGAGTTCTTTTTTTTTTTTTAAGTTCATCAGCTATCATTAGTGTTAGTGTATTTTATGTGTGGCCCAAGACAATTCTTCTTCTTCCAGTGTGCCCCAGGGAAGCCAAAAGATTGGACACCCCTGTTATAGACCATCTGGCAAAACAGGTAATGGGAGCAGGGAGAAGAATTCTGTTGAAGGACAGTAAAGGATGACGAGGGAGAATGAATGGACCAACGCACAGAAATTAACTTGTACACTATCTCCGTTCAGATGTGGTTACATTCTTGGTCTTATAGGGAGAGGAAGAAAAATAATTGTTCCTGTCGGATCTGAGGATCTTAGGCAGATAAAAGAAATTCAGCTTCATCCTGTGCTTTGAGAGAGACTGCTGGCCGGGAGTGCTGGGGCAAGTCAGAGAGATTGTGAGGCTTTTTCAGTTCAGCATGTCAAAGCGCCATATTTTGAGTATCAGTTTCTGAGCCCGAGCACACCAAACAAGCATGCTCCACACTGTCCCATGCTGTCTGCTGTGGCCAGCTTGGGATAAACATGGGCCAAAGGCACATGGGGACTCTAAGTTTAGAAAGGAAATACTGTAGACTGTGCCAGAGCAAGGTGTACACATTTCATTTCACTCTGATCTGGCCCCTATAGTGCTTGCCCTTGTTCTGGAGGGAGAGCTGCTGGCATTTCCTTCTGACATGCCAATTAACATGCCTAAATTGTCCATGGTGTCATGCGAGTATTGGACAATTGGAGCTTCTCAAAGTTGGTTGTAATGGAGGTTTACTACCTAAACAATAGCCCCATGGAATGATGACTTCACTCGTCACATTAATGAGTGCTTCATAGAACGCTTTTTGTTTTTTGAATGGCTCAAAATTTCTAGGATAAAATCTGGTATCTTTTTAAACTTAACACACCCTACCCAACAAACCTTCCCTCAGCCCACTCATTATTATTTTCCCTTAAAACCCTGAAAGTAACTGCTACTGTTTAAAAAGCTCCTTGCCAGCAGGATTTACCTTATGAGTTCCTTTATCCTGCGTACAACTTGGAATTAATGATATTAGGATCTCCCACTTCCTAAAAATATGGCATCACTAGGAGCCAACAGAGGTAGGCACCCAAGAAAAGCCACTATGATTCATTAATAAGTCAAGAAGGACCAACAAGGGACATTCTGGATAGTCTCAGCCAGAAAATGCAATGGAGATGGGCTGCCAAGCACGGGGAGACACATCCCAGGAAGCCTCAAGGCTCAGATACTCTAAGTATGTTCTTGCTCACCTGACTTTCTTTCCGGTGCAGCCTGACAACTGCTTTGTTACACTCTCCATTCTCTGAGTCTTCAGAGGAATAACAGGCGCAAACAGCAGCGCATAAAACCAACATTCTACAAATTATTTATATCCATTTTCTAATATTTTAAAATCCATCAACAAAAAATATACAACCGTTTTGTTCTCAGTAATTTGTAACCACAAACCATCTAAAGTAAAAGTGCATGTTTCATGTTTTTAGGGCACCGGGAAGGTGGAAGGGGAAGGTGGGGAGATGGGAGAGGAGACTGAGTTGGCAGGGATTATACATGGTTCCAATACACCCTTCAAGCCCCAGCCCTTGTGGCCAGACTGGTATGCCCAGCTCTAGGAAGACAAACAGGGAAAAGGCCTCCCTTTCTAGTGTTCTTGACATAAACTTTCAGGGCAGTCACAGTGAGGGGAGCAAAGATCACCTGAGGGCCACCAAGCTGACTATCCAGAGGCAAAACTCCTTATCTGAGGAATTTAGAAGTAACTAGACTTCCCTATTATTTAAAGCTGGCATCTGGTACCAGGCTTAAAAAAAAAGTTATAAGTAACTAGAATTTCTATACATCTCCGGAATGCATGCATGTTCAAACTCATTGTGCAACCCTTGCTGACATCAAGGCACCAACATGTCTACAAGTGCAATTATTTATCATGACCTGTGTGGCTAATAAGGTCCAAATTACCCTTAAGCTCCAGCTTTAAGGTCCATAAATATCCCTAAACAAAAATCCACCATGGCGAGCTCAGTCCTCTCTCACTGAGGAGCCCCGCTGCACTCTTCTGCAGTGCTCTTTCTATCTAACAAAACTTTTCTTTCAAACCTACACTGTCATCTGTAAATTCTTACTACCCTACAACCCACAAGCCAACTACTTTTTCCAATGCCAGGTATCTGACACTTCACCTGGCACACAGCTCTTCTGAATATACAGTATGTTAGGTTGACTGGAAGAAATACTTATGCCTTTAACATAAAAACATTTGCCCTTAGGTACTGAGGTGCCTACACTACGCTTCATTACCCAATAACACATTGCAAGTAACACAATTCCTGGTCTTGAGCTATACCTGTCTTGTTTGTTCTTCATCATTCCAGGTGTAACCTGGGCTTCGACCTCAGGTTGATCCTCAGATCGTTCGTTAGGTTCGGTGTCAGTCTGTGGTTCGGTTTCTTCAGAGGGAGGATTGTGTTTACTTCCTTGAGATACAACTAGAATATAGCTTAAGCCACTTGTCATAAAAGAGACAAACTCTTCGAAGTCACACTACAAAATAAAATGATAAACTGTTTCCTTCAGGCTCCTGAAATGGATGGACTAAAATGGTGGTCACTACCCAAGTCAAATGAAATCTTCCCTCTCCATGGTCCCTGGGCAAAGGAATGTTACTCTTATAAATCTCCTGTTAACAATACATTTTTATTGTTTGGGGGTTTTTATTTTTGCTTTTTATTGAAAAATAATTGCATATATTCATGGGGGACATAGTGATGTTTCAATAAAGAAAATGTATAATAACCAGAGCAGGGTAAATTTGTATCCTTAGAAAAATAAATCTCTTGGACCCCAAAATCACTAAGCCAAAGGGAAAAGTCAAGCTGGGAACTCCATCAGGCAAACGTGCCTCTCATTTTATTCCTAAATAAGATTGCTACAAAGATTAAAAAAAAAAAAGCTACATACCTCCCTCATAATTTGTCCACAAGGAAATTCCTTGTGGGCCTCAAGATCTTTACCCTAAAACAGTTCTGTTGGATTTCACCCTGGCAATGTAAATTGATAATTGATAGCTTATCTTCACTGGTAGGGGACAGAGGACAGACAGAGCCAAAAGTCATCCCGCTGCTCACCAGACACAAATGCACATCTGATGGCTTCCTCTGCTCAGTTGTTTATGTAAAAACGCAGATTCACTAAGCAAGACTAAGGCATAAGTGACTATTCCTCTATGTCATCTCACATGTAAATCGTGTATTCAGTAAAAGCCTCATCAGAGACTCAGAAGAATGCTATTGATTGTCTCTTATCTACCTAAGACCTGGAAGCAACCCTGCTTCAAGTTGTCCCACCTCTCCAGGAAGAACCAATGTACGTATTACACATATTGATTGATGTCTCATGTCTCCCTAAAATGTATAAAATCAAGCTGTGCCCCGACCACCTTGGAAACATGTCATCAGGGCCTCCTGAGGCTGTGTCATGGGCGTGTCCTTAACCTTGGCAAAATAAACTTTCTAAATTGATTGCAACCTGTCTCAGATACTTTTGGTTCACATCTTTAACAAATCTCTCCCTATCCCTTCCCAGTCACTAGTCTCCTACATTTTTAAGTGGCAGAAGTTCAAAGCTAGTAGGAATTTATCTTAAAGGTAACCTAACAATATTCCCAAATTTAGGATGTTTCCAAGTCATCTACGGGGCTTGTTAAAACACATATTTCTGGAGCCCAATCCTACAGTTTCTGATTTAGTAAGTCTGAGGTGGGGCCCAGGAATTGGATTTTCTCAGAAGTTTACAGTTAATGCGAATACAGTTGGCATAACCCTTTCTTTCTACACACATGGAAGCCGGGACCAACAGAGATGGCATGAGTGGTGCAGTCAGTTCCACAAAGTGATGTCCAGTAGAATGGTATGTGATGACGTACATGCTCTTCTGCCCTTTCCAACACAGTAGCCACATGTGGATTTGAACACTTAAAATGTGGCTAGTGCAACTGAGACTTCACATTTTTAATGTAATTTAATCTTAATGAATTTAAATTCAAATGATCACATGTATCTAGTAGCTACCATATTGGACAGTTCATTTCTAGAAGTGAGGTCTCCTGACTCCCAAGCCAGTACACTTTCTAATACACAGCACTGCCTTTATTATATTATATCCCCAGACAAAAAAGAGTTGGTGGGGTAGGGAGGTGGCAGGAGTGGGGCAGTTGGGGTCGGGGCAGCCTGAGAGAAAGGCCCTTAGGTAAAGAAAAGATTAAAGCATTCTTGTGAAGCTGGTGACAGAGCCTTCAACCCAGAATAAAAATCAATAGAAAATGACTGGATATTCACTTCCAGAGGACTGATGCAGGGGCTCTTGGAGGGCCTGACATAAAGAGGTCTTCATGTCAACAAAACACAATCAGACCATCCAGTTTTGCTCGGTAGCCACTATTTCTACCGAAGATTTTTTTCAGAGCCACTATCATTGGCATCTCCATGATATGGACACCAACAGGGACACCAGGAGCTTATTTTAGTTGTTCAGACTTACTAATTTGCTTTTCTGTAATAAAGATTTAAAGCTTATGGAGGCCACTGTATTTAAACACATAGAGGATTTTTTCTTTTTAACTTTCATACCTGGTCTGCTATTCGACTATAGAAGTTGACAACTTGTTCTTCAGTGAGCACTGTCTTATGCTCTGCTTCTATAATAAATCCAGCTTTGGTAATCTTCAATTAGAGAGTAAGGTCAAATCCAGGTGTCGTGGGATCACATGTAAAACAAGTTAAGTTTGTTTTTTGGGCTTAACAAACCACCAGCTTTCAATACATTTTCTATAAGAACCTCAGCAAAATCTATAGGACACTTGGTTTGAAGTGGCTCAAAAATATACAAACTTTAAGATTTGACTGCTCTGCTGGATTTCAGACTTGCTTGGGGCCTGTAGCCCCTTCATTTTGGCCA
The DNA here is from genome assembly GCF_000001405.40 of Homo sapiens. Lineage (NCBI taxonomy): Eukaryota > Metazoa > Chordata > Mammalia > Primates > Hominidae > Homo > Homo sapiens. Next base: position 37,865,289 of record NC_000007.14, on the reverse strand, counting down.
ATTTCTCCCACTTGGAATGGCTGTATTTACCCAATACCTGCACCCCTATTGTATCTAGGAAGTAACTAACTTGCTTTTGATCTAACTGGCTCATAGGCAGAAGGGACTTGCCTTGTCTCAGATGAGATGCTGAACTGTGAACTTTTGAGTTAATGCTGAAATGAGTTAAGACTTTGGGGGACTATTGAGAAACCATGATTCGTTTTTGAAATGTGAGAACATGACATTTGGTAGGGGCCAGGAGCAGAATGATATGGTTTGGCTCTGTCCCTATCGAAATCTCACCTTGAATTTTAAACTCCCACAATTCCCATGTGTTGTGGGAGGAATCCAGTGGGAGGTGATTGAATTATGGGGGCTAGTCTTTCCTGCACTGTTCTCATGATAGTGAATGAGTCTCATGAGATCTGATGGCTTTAAAAATGGAAGATTTCTTGCACAAGTTCTCTTTGCCTGCTGCCATCCACGTAAGATGTGACTTGCTCCTCCTTGCCTTCTGCCATGATTGTGATGCCTCCCCAGCCATGTGGAACTGTAAGTCCAATAAACCTCTCTCTTTTGTAAATTGCCCAGTCTCAGATACATCTTTATCAGCAGCATGAAGACAGACTAATATACAATCTAGTATAAGAACTATAATTTTTTAAAATTTACATAGGATGCTGGTAGAGTAGGATCATTTACAGAAGGATGCATGAATAGATCGAGCCTTGTAAAGACATAAAGTACTCAAAGCCTCTAGAGGTACCTAGCACCAGTAGTGCATTTTGTTCTATTTCACTCTAAATGGTACGCTTGTCTTTGAACTGACGATTAAGAGGTTGTTATTTTGCAATTAATTTAATCATAGTTGGAAAATATTACTTACTTTTCTTTTAATTTCTAGAACTTTTTTACTAATCACAGCATCCGGTTTGATAATAGCAATACTGTATAATTCCTCTGGAAAAAAATTTAGAAAAAGACAGAATTTCATTTTCTTGGCACGAAGTCTGGATAATGAAGGATCTGGCAATTAGCAATGTAAATTTCTAATGATCAGTTAATTGTTGCCCATTGATAGCTGTGTATCTTACTACGGCATTTCAACTACCAGAGGGTTCCTACTTAGAATCAAATGGCAGTTCCTATATTTGCATGCAGGGGAAACATTTACAAGAGTTTTTAATCCAGAGGAAACAAAAATTGAGTAGGTAGGCCCTGGTGGTTTGAATGCAATTCCCATGCGTAAGAATCACACACAGGATCCATCCAGCACAGTACTACCAGTAAGTGAAGTTTTAACTGTGAATCATGCAAGTAAACATCACCGACAGATTCATCTGTGAATGTATCGACATTCTTATAATGAGCTTTTAGTGCAAGATAACTCATTTGGTTATGGCTGTTTGCCTCTGCTCCCTCCAGAGTATGAACACATACACCCCACTACCCCAATGCAGATAATCTAGTGAAGGCGTGAAATTGTTAACTGCAAAGTAAACCAAGAGTATGGGTCATCAAGGAAGAAATTATCATCACAAATATTTGGAAGATGATGAAGGATGAAATAGGAAGCTGCTGTCCAGATAAGTCACAGGAGACAGGAATCCATTGTACAGGGTAACCTCTGAAAGGCTCCAGGCCCAGAACCAAAGGTAAGGCGAGTGAGGAAAAGAAGGTGCTTTTTAATAGCTGAGTCTTGCAAGGCCCAAATCATCATTTATCTGAATAATTCCTCCTTAATAAACATGGATTTGTTACCAGTGTTTTGCTGAAACAAGTGATGCTGTGATGACCGCCCACGTACAGAAAACCCTTGGATTACTTTGAAGTAAATTTACTTACGAACACTTTCACATGGTGATTCTTCACTAACTTCTGAATCTGAGTCTACTAATGGAATTTCAGGATACTATGAAAAAGAAATGCAATGCAAAGATAACACAGTTATGTTTTAATATGATAGTGAGTGGGTTTTTAGAAATTTTGTATCTAGTAAATATTTATAGTCTAAGAAATAGAAAGTAAAGTGGAAGAGTTCCTGAACTTATCTAACATTACTGTCTCCAGCTTTCCACTTAAATAAAATAAGGGATGTTTTAAAATGGAAGGGGCAGGAATAATGCATATGTGCAGTATGAAAAGGGTAGCAAACCTTAATTTTTTAAATTTTTTTTAAATTTTTTTTGAGTAGGAGTCTTGCTCTGTCACCCAGGCTGGAGTGCAGTGGTGCTATTTTGGCTCACTGCAATCTCTGCCTCCTGGGTTCAAGCGATTCTCCTGCCTCAGTCTCCCGAATAGCTGGGATTACAGGCACCTGCCACCATGCCCGGCTAATTTTTGTATTTTTAGTAGAGACGGTGTTTCACCATGTTGGCCAGGCTGGTCTCCATCTCCTGACCTCAAGTGATCTGCCCTCCTTGGCCTCCCGAAGTGCTGGGATTACAGGCGTGAGCTACCGCACCCAGCCAAACCTTAAAATTTAATAAGAGCATGGGAGATAAAATAAGAACAAAGCAGAAATTAATAAATAAGAAAACTGCAAACACATGATAATCATGTTAAATATCAAAAGGGCATTTGATAAGTGTGAAGATCTGTTCTTAACCATTACTCTCAGCAAATTTGGAACAAAACGATATTTCCTTAACTAAAAAAAAAATATTTCTCAAACCAATAATCAATATCCTATTAAAGAGCAAAGTACCAGATTTTTTAATTCATCCAAATAGCTTTTATGTTCTTACAAATTTCAAATAAATAATTGCTATATACTTACACTTATAAAGTCAATTTAAAAACAAAAAAAAAGAGCAAAGTACCAGAAGGACAAAGGTTCCTAACTTTCAGGGAAGCCATGAATATGCTTCTGTGATTCTGTGAACTATCCGAAAGGTTTCATTTTTATGTATATAAATATATATACACATGCATTGCCAAAATGCTTCCCAGAAAAGTTGCACCATTTACACACCTGGATAGTTACAAAATTAGGTTAAACAACTTAGGATAACATCAAATAAAAGGTAATGTACTTTTTTAAAATTAAAAGACATAAAGTACTCAAAGCCTTTAGAGGTACCTAGCACCAGTAGTGCATTTTGTTCTATTTCACTCTAAATGATAAGCTTGTCTTCAAACTGTTGTTAATCCAAAGTATTACCTGAGGTCGAGCCATTTCACCTGCTGCAATTTTTCTCTCCTCATCGATCAAATTAATAACTTTTTTATTAACAAGCGGTGCATTTGCACCCTGAATCTTTTCGATAATTTTGCCATTCTATAAGGGAAATGAAAACAGGAGGGGAACTTTCATTTGGAGAACACACCAAGAACTAACACTTAAACTGGACTAAGTCATCCCTCCCTTCTACCCTACTCTCATCCTCATGAATCCTCTTTTAGCTATGGTAATTAACGTTTTACAGTAAGGTCTTAATACTGTGAATGTTCTTGACTTGATAAACTCAGCTCTTTGAGTTCTACCTCCAATTTGCATGTCCTCCAGCACCTTGCAGCAAGTCATCCCCCTGCAGGAGCTCTCACCTGATGCAATCTCTCCTGAGGCATCCTTGCTTTAAAGTTGAACAATTCTGGATAGGCCTCCCAATGACATCCTCCCTAGTTATTTTTGACACCATGCCCCTTTCACTCACTCATCTTTTAACACCTGTTTACTAAGCATCTGTTTACTGGTGCCGTACCAGGCACAATGGTATAAAATAATGGATCTGGTACCTGACCTAATTAGGTTTTTTTTAAAAAGCCCTACATAAAAACACAAACATGTGAAACAGCAACCTTAGTAGGTGCTACCAAGAGTGGTGCAAAGCCCTTGGAGCTCCTATAAGAATGGGTTTTGGTCAAAGAGATCACGAAAGGTACTTCTCAATGTCAGGAAGTGATTCTTGGTTTAAAATATGAAAGACGGGTAAGAGCTAATTGGGCAAAAAGGAGAAGAAAGAGCAAAAGGAATAACAGACATAAGGGTTCTAAAGCTGGAAGGGAAGATGGCAAGTGACAAGGCCAGGTGACAAAGTGAGGGGGAGCCTGGTGTGAGTTGAAGCCCAGCAACCAGGAGAAGCCAAACTGTGCGCAGCCTGGTGGGCCAGGGATTCAGTCTTCATCCTAAGTGCAGTCAGAATGTTTAAGCAGAGGCCATGACCATGATTAAAATTGTTTGTAAAAATTATTTCACCTACTGTGTGGAAAAAATGCTGGGGGGAGCAAAAGAAAATATTCGCAGACAAGTTAGGAGCTATGCTAGAGGTGGAGGTGGAGAGATGACGGTGGTGGAGATGGAAAGGATGGAAAGAGGTAGATGAGTGTGACAGAGACCTGGGCAGTAAAATTTACAGGTCCAAGGTATGACTTGGATAGAATGTGATGTAAAGAGATGTCACAAGGTGACTCTTCTGTTTCTCACTTGAAAACTGGATAAATTATAAGTTATCATATTATATGCCAAATTCAGAGACAATAGAAGGGGACTGTGTTTTGTGGGGAGGAAGATCTGGTATTGAATGAGTTTGCTGTGAGATGCATTTTGAGAAAGCCAATAGGAGATGCCTAGACCCCAACTGGAAATGCTGCGAGTGGAAAGCATAGCATTCAGCTGAAGATGTAAACGTGATTTATTGATATACAGATGGTGGTGATTGAAACTGTGTGTAGAGGAAATTTTCTAAGGAGAGCGTACAGCCTGATAAAGTCAATATTTAATCGTGGAATAAAGAAGGGTGAATTTGCCAAAGGAACAGAGGGAAGTGGCATCCAGGAAGGTGAAAGGAAAACCAAGTCACATAAGCCAAAAGAAGCAAATATTTTAAAAAGGAGGGCATGGTCACCATATTCAAACCATTTAAGAGGTACAAATGATGAATACCTAACAATATCCATTATACTTAGTACAGGCTGGTACTTGGATACATTAGCAACAGCAATTTTGGTGGAATAATCAGAGCTCAGGTAGAATGGATTGAGGAGTTAATGGGATGAAAAGAAAAGAAGTAAAATTAAATATAAAAAGTCTTCTGACCAACTTAGCTGTGAGGTGAAGACAAGAAATGGATGGTGGCTAGAGAGGGATATGCTATCAGAAAGAAGTATTATATATTTTTTAAATTGAAAAGACTTAATCATATTCAAAAGCCAATGAGAAAGATACAGTTGAGTAAGGTTTAAATGAAACCTGAAACTCTAGTTACCATTTCCAACTAAAAAGTATCTTTCAACAATTCTGTGAATTATCTAATATCTCTTGAGGAAGGCTTCTGCTGAGACTAGCTGGAATGAATCTGTTGTCAGCTAAAAATGCTGACCCGTACAAAGGGACATTGAGGGAATATCTGAATAAAATGAGCATTGGACTTGATGGTGTTTTTGTGATCACAGAATTCTATTCTTAAATTAATGATTATGGATGTGGAGCAATGGGCAGTCTGAGACATGATTGCAGGAGTGATTCGATGAAGTTTATTGGAAGAAAAGTTTATTAGCAGCCAGGAGGTCAAGAATTGAAAGGCCAGGATATTGGGCGGGTTGTCAGTGTGGATACTAAAGTCCTCAAGGTGATGGCAGGACTCAGGATTGAGAGTAAGACTTTAAACCACACGCCAAAGACTTCAGTCATCAATAGACCTGATCTGAAGGTCGGTAAATGACAGGAGTGAGATGGGGGAATTGGAGATTTAGCCACGTGAAACAGACCTCTAGTAATAGCAAAGAAAAGAAAGTTATTGAAGAACTAAGAAGTAAAGCAAACACCAACTATACTTCACATTCTGAAATAAACAGTTATCACTTCTGGGCTGTGGAGAGAGTGTCCAAAGGAAGAAGGTAGAACTAAGGTAAGCCAAGGAAGCGAGACAAAAGCTCAGAGCCATGGTCAAAAATCTTAGGAAGTCATTTTAATTCCAGATGTCATAGAGTGGAAAGGTTTGGGAGATAGGGGAAGAGTTGGAGAACTGGGTGTGACAAAGAATAAGCATTAGAAGGATGGATGAAACATGGCTATGAGGAAGGGTGGACTTAAACTCTGGGCACTGATTGCAGGCATTAGAGAACATGGATTGGATGGTACACTTAAGGAGAGTGGGGCTGGGTCTACTGGTCAGACTGGACTAGCGGTCGGGGTGATGGCCCGATTAGTCTGTTTTGTGTTGTTATCAAGGAGTACACGAAGCTGGGAACTTCGTAAAGAAAAATTTATTTGGCTCAAACTTTTGCAGACTGTACAAACATGGCACCAGCATCTGCTTCTGGTGAGGCCTCAGGAAGCTTGTTCTCATGGAGGAAGGGAAAGGGAGACAGCATGTCATGTGGAGAGAGAAGGAGTGAGAGAAAGGTGAGACAGTGCCAAGCTCTTTAAGTAACTAGCTCCTGCATGAACTAATAGAGGGAGAACTCACTCATTACTGTAGGGAGGGCACCAAGCCATTTATGAGGCATCCGCCCCAATGACCCAAACACCTCCCACTAGGCCCCACCTCCAACACTGGAGGTCACATTTCTGCATGAGATTTGGAGGAAACAAATATCCAAACTATATTATCGACTATCCCAGAGCTCCAGCCTCTACAATGTGACCCACCTGCCCAATCTTTTCTCTCATTCCCATGCACCTACCCACTACGTGCAGCTAAAGCCTCCTCATTGTTCCATGAGCCCCCCAAGCCCATTCTGCCTCTGTGTTGTTATTCATTCTGGTCCCCTCATGAGTGTAATGACATCTAGTTTAGGAGTCAGCAAACCTCAACCCAGTCCAGAGACTGTATTTTAATCATGCTGAAATTATTCACTCCCTGGCCCTTTACAAAAAACAAAACAAAACAACAACAACAACAAAAACAACGTTAGCTGACCCCTCACCTAAATCGTTGAATTCTAAACATCCAACTTAGAGGAGATCTACAATGCATTTTTTACCATTCAATGCATTTTTTAATCATTAACCCAGCGATTCAACTCTTTGAAAGGGTTGCAAGAATATTGTTTAATAGCAGAAAAAAGTTATATCCAAGATGTGTTTTTAATGAGTATTTCTAATATCAAAAATAAATATCCACAGTGGAGGAACAGTCCAAGTCCTGTCTATCTCCTCCGTGAAGGCTTTCTTTCTTCTGTCTCAGTTCTCGAACTCTGTAGCAGCTATACCCTGTGTCACACAATTTAGCACTAACTGTACACTCTGCTTTTAGAAAATAGCACTATTTATGTCTTTCTAATTATTCATTTATATTTTATATTTATTTTATTATTACTTATTTTTGAAAATGGAGATGTGGTCTCCCTATGTTGGCCAGGTTGATCTTGAATTCCTGGCCTCAAGCAATCCTCCCACCTCAGCCTCCCAAAGTGCTGAGATTACAGGCGTTAGCCACTATGCCTGGCCTCTGTCTGATTATTAAAGTTGTGTGTTCCTCACAGAATATGTGGAAAATATAGAATAGTATGAATAATAAAACTTAAATTAGTCACCTGTTCCTCACACATAGAAAACTGCTATAACATTTTGGTGGATCCACTTGCTTTCTTCTTTATAAATATAGAGATAAGAGTAATGTGTATTACAAAAGACTGATCATACAGATGCTTTCTTGTATGGATATGCATGAATGTTTATAACCAGTTCTCTCTTGCTAGGTATCTATGAAATTTCCAAGGTTTTACTCCTGTAAAAAATTTATTGTGCAAATCTCCGATCATTTCCTTAGTAAAGATAAACGCCATCTTACTTTTCCTTTCCCTGATGAATCCAGTGTGTCATCATCTAATCCCTTCAATCCATAATAAGCTCCTAGCAGCCAAATTATAAAATTTATAAATAGTCAAGAAAAGATAAGGCAAACATTGTGTAATTACTGTCATTGGCAAACAATTTCATGGTAATTTTACAATGTTACTTGTTCTTAACTGCAAACTGGAATCTGATAATGCAATTGAGAAAGTAAATATACTTACAACACTAAAGAGAAAAACAGGTTCACATTTATCTCTAAATGGCTGCAAAGTCACAATGTTGTCAGCTTCTGCCTGGAAAAAGTAAACATTTCATATAATAATAAATAAAACTATATTCAAGTAATTTGATACACTATGTTGAAACAATGCAGAGATATATATAATTTTTAGGTTTACTGCAACATTCGGTATGCCTTAGTGGTTTTAGGGATCAAACTGCACATACTGGCGATTCAAGCCCTACGTCATTTGGCCTTAACCTTTCCGCACCGTTTCCCTTTACATTAACCAACCTTTAGCCAAACTTATTTACTCATCTTTTCCTCCCTGGTCCTGCCCTTCTTTTACTGTCCCTGTTCAACTATCCTTCCTCCAATTCTGTCTCACTTCCTTTTGCTGTAAATCATCTCTCGTTCTGCACAGCACGTTACTGCCCCTCTCCCAAGGCACCTATGTCCCTTTCAATATTCTACTACAGGCACGTGTGGGCCTGTTACACCTGCTCTGTTAGAAGGAGAGTTGTGTGCACAGAGATAGTATGTTTCCTATCCACGTTTGTATCTCATCTCCCTCTGTCAGTCATAGGGCCATACATTAAAAGAGGTTTACTAAACATTCCTTGAATAAATTAGTAGTCAACTTTTAAAGATTTTGAATTTTATGTCTGTAATTTTCTTAATATTTTCTCATAAATTTCAAGTTGTTCCAAATTAATTATGAACAACTATACATTCAATAATAGTGTCTTCTTCCATATTAACATAGTATCCATTGGTCCAGCTGCCAGAATGAGATCGTTTGGTAGGGTCTTCTGTAAGAGTTGGTGTCTTAGTCAGTTTGGGCTGCAATAGCAAATTGCTATTGACTGGGTGGCTGAACAACAATCATTTATTTCTCATAGTTCTGGAGGCTGGAAGTCTCAGATTAGGGTGCCAGCACAGTCTGGGTGCCAGAAGTGAAGGCCCTCTTCTCCACTAATGTCCTCACCTGGAAGAAATCATATGTCTCTTCCTTTATTTAAATAAAAGCTTTGATTTTACTCTAATTACCTTCTAAAGTCTCCATCTCCAAATATCACCACATTGGAGATTAGGATTTTAACGTATGAAATTTGATGGCAAACATTCAGTTTATAACAGTTGGTTTTTGTAATCTAAGGCAATGCTTTTCAAAGTGGAATTTTCATTGTGTTCAGTGCAATACCATAAACCTTGACTAACACCTTGAGATCCAGATAAAGTGCTACTAGGGATGTTGCAAGTGCTGCTAAAAAGCTGAGAAAAATCATGACATTACAAGAAAGAGCTGACTTGCCTGATAGGTACCCTAGATTGAGGTCTGCAGCTGAAGTTGCCCACCATTTCAAGATAAAAGAATCCAGTCTAAGAGTAATTGGGTTTTTTTTTTTAAAGGAAGTTCATTGAGCCATTGCTGCAGCTGTGCCAGCAGGCATATAGATCTTGCACTTTTTCTGAAATACCTTTTTATCTCACACTGAAAATGCAGCTTTTATGCAGGTGCAGGATTACTATAAGAAAGGCATGCCTATAGACTCTAATATGATTCCCAAAAAAGCAAAGTTATCATATGACAACTTAAAGCAAAAGTAAGCGAGGGATCTAAAGCTGGAGAATTTAATGCCTGCAAAGGATGGTTTGATAATTTTTGAAAAGGTTAAAAAATATTAACATATCAGGAGAAGCAGCTGCTGCTGACCAAGAGACAGCAGAAAAGTTTCCAGATGCCTTTAAGAAAATAATTAAGGAGAAAAGATGTCTACCTGAACAGGTTTTTAATGCAGATGAAAGTGCCCTAACTTGGGATTTGGTGGGGGGAGGGGAATGCCGCAAAGTTCGTTATTTAGTAAAGAAGAGAAGTGAGCACCAAGACTTAAGGAAGAAGAGATAGGCTAACTCAACCATTTTATGCATTGCAGTTGGGTTTATGATCAGGGCTATCTTTCTCAATAAAACTGCTAACCCCCAATCCTTGAAAGGAAAAGATAACACCAGCTGCCAGTCTTTCAGTTGTACAAGAAATCCTGGACAATGAGAACCTTTTATTCTGGATTGGTTCCATCAGTGCTTTGTCCCTGGTGTCAGGAAGTACCTTGCCAGTGAGAGACTGTTTTTAAAGTTCTTTGATATTGGAAAATGCCCCTGGTCACTGAGAATCCCATGAGGTCGACATCAAAGGTCTCAAAATGATCTACTTGTCTCCAAACACAACATCTATAATTCAGCCTCTAGATCAGGGGCTCATAAGGACCTGGAAGGCTCATTACACGTGGTACTCTATGGAAAAAATGTCAGTGCTATGGAAGAGAACCCTGATAGAACATCATTAAAGTCTGGGAGAATTGCACCATTGAAGATGCCATCATTGTTATAGAAAAAGCTGCAAAAGCTATCAAGCACAAATTAATAAATTCCTGCTGGAGAAAATTGTGTCCAGATGTTGTGCATGACTTCATGGGATTTATGACAGAGCCAATTAAGGAAGTCATAAAAGAGATTGTGTATGTGGCAAAAAGGTGGGGGGTGAAAGGTTTCAAGATATGGATGTTGGAGAAATCCAAGAGCTGAGAGACACCACACCAGAGGAATTAACAGAAGACAAATTGGTAGAGATGAGTGCCTCTAAAGCAGTGCCAGACGATGAGGGAGAAGATGTAGAAGAGCCAGTGCCAGAAAACAAACTGACATTAGAACATCTGGCAGAAGAATTCCAGTTATTCAAGACTGCTTTTGACTTCATTTATGACATGGACCCTTCTATGATATGGGCACTGAAACCAAAGCAAATGGTGGAAGAAGGATTGGTACCACATAGAAACATTTTTAGAGCAATGAAAAAGCAAAAACGTCAGACAGAAATTACCACGTATTTCCATAAAATTACATCCACTATGCCTGCTTCTCCTGCCTCCCCTTCCACTTCCTCCACCTCTTCTGCTTCTGCCACCCCTGAGACGTCAATACCAACTCCTCTTCCTTCGTCTCCTCCTCAACCTACTCAATGTTAAGATGATGAGGATGAAGAATTTTATGGTAATCCACTTCCACTTAATGCATAGTAAATATATTTTGTTTTCCTTATAATTTTCTTAATACTATTTTCTTTCCTCTAGCTTACTTTATTGCAAGAATATAGTATATAATACACATAACATACAGAATATGTATCAATCGACTGTTTATGTTACCCATAAGGTTTCCAGTCAACAGTAGGTTATTAGTAGTTAAGCTTTTGGTGGAGTCAAAAGTCATATATGAATTTTTTACTACGTGGGGGGTTAGCACCCCTAACTCCAGCATTGGTAAGGGTCAACTCTATTTAGAAGTAATTCAGGTATTATAATTATAATGTTTATATTATAATACATAAATTATTAAGGATTAAATAATTTAATAATAATATAACAGTAACTATAATAAACACTATTAACTAAATTTTTATATGCCTCTCTCTATATATATAAAATATTTAATGTTCCTCTTTTAAAAAGGCACACAGCAGAAAAAAATTGTATACTGACCATTCAGCTCAGGGCAATTTTAATAGGAAATAACCTCATACATTTTAATTTTGGACCTACATGTTCAAGTTCTTCCTTGATTAACAGCAGAAAACAATATGTCCGGCAGAGGGCATCCCTCCATTGCTGCTCACAATGGAGGTTTGGAGATATAATTTTCTTTCACCTTTATGGGCAGGTCACCAGAATCTGGAACCCCTAGTCTATGTGAACGTCTACTGCCACTTTCCTAATGCCAACTGCCAGGATTCACAAGAATTTCCTGATCCTCAATTCCCTGTGATCCATCTGTCAGCTGTTAGACACTTGTGATACTGTATTTTAACTTCTATCAACCCCTTTCCAACTGCATGTGGCAATCTCCTTTAGGCTCTATTCTCTGGTCTTCTAACTTGATTTTTCTTCTCTGTGAAGAATCAAGTCTAGAATAATTTCCTAGCTCCTTTCTGGTGGTTGTGATTCTCCAGAGTGAAACAGGTTGTTACAGAATCTCGTCTTTAAAAAAACTACAATGACAAGAGAATGAAAAAACCAGCCACAGACTGGGATAAACTATTTGCAAAAGTAATACCTGATAAAAGACTGTTATTCAAAATACACAGAATACTTGAAACTCAACAATAAGAGAACAAACAACCCAATTAAAAAAATAAGCCAAAATCCTTAGCAGACACCTCCTCAAAGAAGATATACAGATGGCAAATAAGTATATATAAAGATGCTCCACCTCACATAATCTTGGGAAACGCAAACTAAAACTACAAAGTGATTCCACTACACACTTATTAGGATGACCAAAATCCAGAGAACAGATGCTGGTGAGAATGTGGACCAACAGAAACTCTCATTCATTGTTGGTAAGAATGCAAAATGGTACAGCTGCTTAGGAAGATTTGGTGGTTTCTTACAAAATAAAACATATCATTACCACATGATCCAGCAATCTTACTCCTTGGTATTTACCCAAATGAGTTGAAAGTGTAGTATGTTCATACAAAAACCTAAGCATGGATGCTTATAGCAGCCTTTTCCTAACTGCTAAAAGTTGGAAGCAACCAAGATGTTCTTCAGCAGGTGAATGGATAAATAAACCCTGGTATATCCAGATAATGAAGTATTATTTGACACTAAAAAGAAATGAGCTATCAAATCATTAAAAGACATGGCGCATATCACTAAGTAAAAGAAGCCAATCTGAAAAGGCTCCACACTATGTGATTCTAACTATATGACATTCTGGAAAAGGGAAAACTATGGAGGTAGTCAAAAGATTGGTGGTTGCCAGAGGTTATGAGGTAGGGAGAGATGAACAGATTACAGAGGATTTTGCTGGGAATGAAACTATACTATATGATGCCATAATATAGTAAGTACATGTCATTACACATTTGTTAAACTCCCTAAAATGTACAACACCGAGAATGAACTTTAATGTAAACTACGGCTTTTGGTAAATAATGATGTGCCAGTGTAGGCTAATCCGTTGTAACAATGTACCACTCTGATGTGGGATTTTGATGGTGGAAAAGGCTATGAGAGTGTGGGGATAGGGGATATATGAGAACTCTTTACTTCCTGGTAAATTTTGCTATGAGCCTAAAACTGCTCTAAAAATAACATCTATATAAAGACATTTTTTAAAAAATTAAAGGAATGAAAACCTTACAAAGTCCTTATTTCAGAAGACAAAAAAAAAAAGTCAATTCCTTCACCAGGACAACAGGATTTAACTACTGTAGACAGCCACTTACTCTCTTGAATAGAAAAATAATAAGAGGTGAGTGTCTAGGCTTTAAACTGCTTATTCATCATCTTGAACTAAGGAAAATAAGTCCTATGGAAAATGCATTTAAAGAAGGGGATGGATAGTGAAATACAAGGTCAGTAGGCAAACCCATTCCAATGTTTGGGTTGAAAGGGGCCATGAAAGACCTGTAACTGGGAGAACATGAGTGGGTTGTGGTTGCATGTCTGCATTAGGAACTATGTATTTCAGAGATAAGGAGTAAAGATCTGTTATCATCTGTTATCTGCTCCTGTATCTTAAGTCTAGTTGGTTTGGGAGCTTTTCTATATAATATAAATATATTATATAAGCCACACATATAAATTCTCCAGTAGGGACATTTAAAAACAAAAAAAGGTGAAAATAATGTGATAATAAATTTTACTTAACCCGATACATCCAAAATATTATCATTTCAACATGTAATCAATGTATAAAATTATTGATGGCATATTTCACTTTCTTTTTCCATATTAAATTTTTAAAATCTAATGTGTCTCTTACACTTGAGTATGTCTTAATTCATATGCTAAATGTTAATCAGAAATAATTAATCCTTAATTAGCTTTAATAACATTTACAGTTAAGTAGTAGATTCACATACTCAAGTTATCCCAGATTTTAAAAGTTTTACAATAACTCAATGGAGTATCAGTTTGAAAATCCAGATTTAAATTCATTAAAATTAAAAATTGAGCTCCTCAGTTGGACCAGCTACATTGCAAGAGCTCCATAGTCACTTATGCCTAGTAGCTACCATGTTGGACAACGAAATTCTAATTAGTTGATCATTTTATGTGAATAGATTGAAAAAACAGTACAATTCAGTAAAATGTGTTTGGCTATAATATTTTAATCCCTTATTGCAAGTAGGTAGCAAATAAATGAGGAAAAATCATTGCCACTGGAAAATATGGTAACTGGGTTAATGCCAGGGCACTACTCAATGATACCCAGTAAACAGCTTTTGTAGCCCTTATTCTAAAGGACACACACTGAACATGTGGTCAGGTGAAAGGAAACAGAACAATAGATGTGTCCATTATTACACTTTTCTGACTTTCACAGTCATGGTAAATAGCCTCGACGTTATAAGAATGGGATAAAAATCATATTCATTCTCAGATCTAGTAGAATTAAATATATAGTAAAACTGCCAAGTAAAGACTATCTATTTTGAAGAACTGACAGGTTGTTTAAATTAAGACAATACTTAAAGTATTAGAGGATACTTAAAAACTTAATATAATGTGAAAACAGTGGTTTAATGAAAACAAAATTCTTACGACAGCAAAATGCAGAATTTCGTCTTCGTTCAGTTCATTTTTCAATTTTCTGAATAAAGGTTGCATTGCTCTGCAAGGTCCACACCAGGCTTGGTAAACATCAATCACTAGAAGATGATGATATTTATGAAATAACAAAGTCTACCAATCTAGGATAGCAGTTATCCCAATCTGGAGCCATGGCCAGGGCAAAGGCACTGCAGGATTTCTTGGTCAAAGTGGGGACTCTAGAGGGACAGGGTGCCAGGAGGAGCTCCGGGTCAAACCCCAGGTGGCCAGACAGCCGGGGAGTCCTTATACCTGTTAAGCCTTTGTTCTGCAACATCTCATCCCACAGGCTTTGATTATTGATGACTGTCTGCAAAGTGGAAGGCACTGTAAAAGGTATTCAAGCACTAGTGCACCAGATAAAGAATTGTTGATATGTCAGACCCACCTGTAACTGGACTTCTCGTTTTTTGCTTGCCATTTATCTACTATCATAGGAAAAAGAAAGAAAAATTTTTAAGTAGGAAATTTAAATAACATTTTCTTTATGCATGCAAATAACATCTTTTAAAACAATTTTTAATTTTTGTGGGTACATAGTAGGTGTATATATTTATGTATCTCTGTATTTATGTACTTAAATATTTGTGTATTTAAATCTGAGATATTTTGATACAGGCATGCCATGCATAATAATCACATCAGGGTAAATGGGGTATCCATCACCTCAAGCATTTATCCTTTGTGTTACAAACAATCCAATTATACTCTTTTAGTTATTTTAAAATGTACAATTTAGATTTTTTGACTGCAGTCACCTGTTTGTGCTAGCAAATACTAGGTCTTATTCATTGTTCTTTTTTTTTTTTTTTTTTTTTGAGACATAGTCTCACTCTGTTGCCAGACTGGAGTGCAGTGGCACAATCTGGGCTCACTGCAACCTCCGTCTCCTGGGTTCAAGCGATTCTCCTGCCTCAGCCTCCAGAGTACCTGTGACTACAGGCACCCGCCACCACGGCGGGCTAATTTTTTTTGTATTTTTAGTAGATACAGAATTTCACCGTGTTAACCAGGATGGTCTCAACCTCCTGACCCGTGATCCTCCCACCTCAGCCTCCCAGAGTGCTGGGATTACAGTATTCATTCTTTCTAACTGCAAATAACATCTTAATGTACTAGTGAAAAATTTCCCCACTGTACATTGGATTATGCAGTGTCATCTTTGCTGGGGAGAGAGAAGCTAATGTCATGGAAGGACTATTGTATGCTAGGCTCTATGCTAAATGCTTATAGCTGCCACACTATCTTATCCTCCCAACAGTCCTGAAGCAAGGTAAGAATGTTAGGAGTTACACGTCGTCTGGTTTTTTTAAAGGTTTTGTTTTCCTGAAATATTAGAAAGTGTTTCCTATATTATCAATTGCAAACAAATGAACATGCCCGTGGATCTTTCTGGGGTCCCTCTTCAGATCTGGCTGCTCTAAGGATATTTAATCTTGAGAACAAGGCCACTAGTGTTTTCTGGGGCACGACATAAACTTCTCAAACTCCCTATTCAGTGGTATCAGGGGCGGTGTAGAACAGGGGTCAGTCAGCGTGCGGGCGATAGTGCACGCTAGCGTACAACAAAGGAAAAGCCACAAACAAGACTGTATTCCAGGAAAGGTGCTGGTTGCTCCGGCAAGCCTTACACAAAACAGGTCCTCCTCTAAGCTAGACTGGGACGTTTAAAGAAAAGGAAGGAACAGGCCCAGAGGATCTAAATCGGCTCCCTCGTTGTGGCCGTTTGAGCGGTGACCTCGGCGAAGTTCCATTCCAGTACCTAGGACCCTGGTAGGGCCCGAGGCTGAGGCTAGCAGGCCTCCTGCTGGGCTTTCTTCTCCAGCTGATTCAGCAAAAGGAAGAAGAGGGATTCCCTGCCTGTCTGGGAAGAAGAAGGGGGGCAATGTTTTGTCCAACCCATCTGCCCGTGAGACTTGAGCGGCGTCTCGAGGCCCCTGCTCCAGACAGCAGCTATACCTGGGCAGTGGGGACAAGACCAGGTGGCGCCTAAAATCCTCCACCTCTTCTGCCCACACAATGAAGGAACAACGAAGTCCTGGTTCCACCATCACAAGACTCTGTTCTTCAGCTGCCTCATCCCCAAACTCCCATCCCCCATCCTCCCATCCCTACGTTCCTCTATCCCCAGATGCGCACCAAGGTGCGCTTTCCCAAGTGCAGATTTGATCATATCTCTCCTCGCCTTTGAATCCTCCTGTGACTGGCCACGCTTTACAGCATAAAATGCATACACCTCAAATCGGAGCAGAAGGCTCTCTGCCAGCACCAGCCTTTTCTTTCTTTTTAACTTTGTCTTCATCTACCCTGGTTTGGTTCTTCTTGTTCTTCTTGTTCTTCTTCTTCTTCTTCTTCTTCTTCTTCTTCTTCTTCTTCTTCTTCTTCTTCTTCTTCTTCTTCTTGTTCTTCTTCTTCTTCTTCTTCTTCTTCTTCTTCTTCTTCCTTCTTCTTCTTCTTCTTCTTCTTCTTCTTCTTCTTCTTCTTCTTCTCTTCTTCTTCTTCTTCTTCTTCTTTCTTCTCTCTTCCTCTTCCTCTTCTTCTTCGTCTTCCTTCTTCTTTTCTTCTTCTTTTCTTCTTCTTCTTCTTTTCTTCTTCTTTTCTTCTTCTTCTTTCTTCTTCTTCCTTCTTCTTTTTCTTCTTCTTCTTTCTCTTCTTCTTCCTCTTCCTCTTCCTCTTCTTCCTCTCCCTCTTCCTCCTCCTCCTCCTCTTCCTCCTCTTCCTCCTCCTCCTCCTCCTCTTCTTCCTCCTCTTCCTCTTCTTCTTCTTCCTCTTCTTCTTCCTCTTCCTCTTCTTCCTCTTCCTCTTCCTCTTCTTTCTTCTTCTTCCTCTTCTTTCTTCTTCTTCTTCCTCTTCTTCTTCTTCTCCTTCTTTCTTCTTCTTCTTCCTCTTCCTCTTCTTCTCCTCCTCCTTCTCCTTCTCCTTCCTCTTCTCCTTCCTCTTCTCCTTCCACTTCTCCTTCCTCTTCTCCTTCCCCTTCCCCTCCTTCTCCTCCTCCTCCTCCGTCTCCTCCGTCTCCTCCATCTCCTTCATCTCCTTCTTCTTCTTCTTCTTCTCCTTCTCCTTCTCCTTCCTCTTCTCCTTCCTCTTCCCCTCCTTCTCCTCCTCCTCCGTCTCCTCCATCTCCTTCTCCTTCTCCTTCTTCTTTCTCCTTCTTCTTCTTCTTTCTTCTTCTTCTTTCTTCTTCTTCCTCTTCCTCTTCCTCTTCTTCTCCTCCTCCTCCTTCTCCTTCCTCTTCTCCTTCCACTTCTCCTTCCTCTTCTCCTTCCTCTTCTCCTTCCTCTTCCCCTCCTTCTCCTCCTCCTCCTCTGTCTCCTCTGTCTCCTCCGTCTCCTCCGTGTCCTTCGTCTCCTTCGTCTTCTTCTTCTTCTCCTTCTCCTTCCTCTTCTCCTTCCTCTTCTCCTTCCTCTTCCCCTCCTTCTCCTCCTCCTCCTCCGTCTCCTCCGTCTCCTCCGTCTCCTCCGTCTCCTTCTTCTTCTTCTTCTTCTTCTTCTTCTTCTTCTTCCTCTTCTTCTTCCTCTTCTTCTTCTTCCTCTTCTTTTTCTTTCTTTCTCTTTCGTTCTTTTTCTCTTTACTTTCCTTCCTCCCTCCCACTTGCAGCATCTGGAAATAATTTTTCACAATAGTTTCTGATTAATCCACAGGCTGAGATACAGAAAGCAACTGTAGAGTAGAGAGGGACACAATGAACCTTTTTGTAGGGATCCTCATCCCTGGAGTGGACCTAATAGATGAGCACGGCTACCTACAGAAGGATTTTTGACCAGGATCATATCCTATCAAGACAGGACATGTAGTACTCCTTCACTTCACCATCTGCAATTTTCTTTCCTTTTTTTTTTTTTATTATACTTTAAGTTCTGTGATACATGTGCAGAAAGTGCAGGTTTGTTACATAGATATACACATACCATGGTGGTTTGCTGCACCCATCAACCTGTCATCTACATTAGGTATTTCCCCTAATGCTATCCCTCCCCTAGCCCCCCACCCCCTGACAGGCCCCAGTGTGTGATGTTTCCCTCCCTATGCCCACGTGTTCTCATTGTTTAACTTCCACTTATGAGTGAGAACATGCGGTGTTTGGTTTTCTGTTCTTGTGTTAGTTTGCTGAGAATGATGGTTTCCAGCTTCATCCATGTCCCTGCAAAAAACATGAACTCGTCGTTTTTTATGGCTACATAGTATTCCATGGTATATATGTGCCACATTTTCTTTATCCAATCTATCGTTGATGGGCATTTGGGTTGGTTCCAAGTCTTTGCTATTGTGAATAGTGCTCCAATAAACATACATGTGCATGTGTCTTTATAATAGAATGATTTATAATCCTTTGGATATATACCCAGTACTGGGATTGCTGGGTCAAATGGTAACAAAAGCCAAAATTGACAAATGGGATCTAATTAAAGAGCCTCTGCACAGCCAAAGAAACTATCATCAGAGTAAACAGGCAACCTAGAGAATGGGGGAAAATTCTTGCAATCCATCTATCTGACAAAGGGCTAATATCCAGAATCTACAAGGAACTTAAACAAATTTACAAGAAAAAAACAAACAGCCCCATCCAAAAGTGGGCAAAGGATATGAACAGACACTTCTCAAAAGAAGATATTTGTGAGGCCAACAAACACATGAACAAAAGTTTTTCATCACTGGTCATTAGAGAAATGCAAATCGAAACCACAATGAGATACCATCTCACACTAGTTAGAATGGCGATCATTAAAAATAGTCAGGAAACAACAGATGCTGGAGAGGATGTGGAGAAATAGGAACGCTTTTACACGGTTGGTGGGAGTGTAATTATTTCAACCATTGTGGAAGACAGTGTGGCGATTCCTCAAGGGTCTAAAACCATCTGCTATTTTCAAAGAAGTTTTATGTATTTCCTATAATTGCTATTTCACCAGAGTCAGACTGTTAGTAAACTGACTTTTGATTCTTCTTTGATTCAACACAATAGTTCACATGGTGAAATGCTCATGCAAATATTTCAGGCAAATTCTTCATATAACACTTTGATGCAAGAAGTTTCAATGTATTCTCAAATTAGAACAAACATTTACCAGTGGCCAATACATGGAAGGAAGGTGTAATTAGTTTTTTTTGTTTTTTTGTTTTTTTACATCATTACTACTAATTGCAAAAACTTTGAATGTTGAGGCTTTAAAACATAAACCTGAAGAGCCTTTGACTTGGGTCTGCCCAGAATTGACTTTAAGGGCAAATTCTCTGAAAATGTTGGTTACAAGACAATGTATATTTTATTATAGGAGAGTGTAAGCTATAACTGCCAAAAAGCCTATGAGAGATGTTACTTTTGAAGGGACCTAATAGTTTGTTTTGCTCCTTAAATATATTTGACTTTATCTTTCAACATTCATTAAAGGTACTCTCTTATATTGACCTGCCTTTTCTTACCCTCACACAGCACTATGTATAGTGCTCAATTTGCTTTCCTTGGGGCACAAGTTTATTAGTGCCTAATTGTTTCATTTGTGTGTTCTCATGACTTCTAAATATATATGAAGACCCAGAAAATAAGAACTGGATTGTAGAATTGTTTTCGCTTTGCTCTCTTCCTCTTGAAATCCTCTCTGGCACCTAGCATCACCATTTTTGCATAAACACTTTAAAATTAGATAGCAAGCTAGTGCATTTGGAAATAGCAGATATTCTTGACACATTTATGTACTCTTTAATGAAGATAAACAAAATTCTTAATTTTTGAATCCAAGAAATCTGTCTGGTGATTTCTCAAAGAATTTAAAATGGAGAGAGCTACAATTTGACCCAGCAATCTTATTGGATATACACCCAAAGGAAAGTAAATTACTCTACCAAAAAGACAATGCATTCATATGTTCATCACTGAGCTATTCACAATAGCAAAGACATGGAATCAATCCAGGTGCTCATCAATGGTACACTGGATAAAGAAAATGTGTATATAAACATATACACCATGGAATACTACGCAGCCATTAAAAAGAATGAAATCATATCCTTTGCAGCAACATGGATGCAATTAGAGGTTATAGTCTTAAATGAATTAATGTGGGAACAGAAAACCAAATACTGCATGTTGTTCCTTGTAAGTGGAAGCTAAACACTGAGCACACATGGACATAAATATTGGAACAATAGACCTGCAGATTACTATAAGTGGGAGACAACGAGGGAGACGTGGGTTGAAAAACTACTTACCAAGTACTATGCTCATTACCTGAGTGATGGGATTTGTACCCAAAACCTCAGCATCATGCAATATTCTCATGCAATAAATCTGCACGTGTACCCCTCATTTCTAAAATAAAAGTTGAAAAATATTTTTAAAGTTTAATAAAATAAAGACACAATGCTTAAAAAAAGAAGAAATCTGGTCCAGGTAATTAAGTAGACTATAAAGAAAATAAATGGTATAGGGACTTACTTTAATTTTATCACTTCAGCTAGAGATAGAAGTAAGCTAGTCATCTATCCAGGAGAACTTTATATAACTTTTAAAAAATTTCTCCTATCTCCACTAGATCAAAATCACGGATTCTGAATTCCAATTTTAAAAGTCACCTGCATAATAATACTAAATTACATATTCTCTTTTCCCATTGTATATGAAATTAAGGCACTGAGAATAATAAAAACTCATAATAATAAAACAGAATGGGTGAACCTATTACAACTGCAACCTGTTGGGAACTGCAAGATTGATGGGTTTGGATTGAGATAAACATTTTGTGCAGTTTCTATATCCGAGCAAATCTGCCAGCCTGAAACTAATCAGAAAGAGGCTTTGGACCTCCCTGTCTGCTTTCTGGCTCAGAGACTCAGCGAGTTGCAATAAACCAAAACAGTAGCCATCCCTCTGCAGTCCAGGCACTGATTCATAATGCAATTTATGTACTATTTTCTACCTTTTACTACCTTTTTTGCTGTATTTATGGAAGATCACAGTTCTTTCTAAATAAGAAAAGCAAGGGTGAGAAAATGGAAAAATTAACTTGTGACATCCTGAGAGTCATAATCGGTGGTATGCTGGTAAATGTTAATAACCAGTTCTCTTGGAAAAAAATGTATACAACAAAGTATTACGAATTTAACTGTTAAAATGATGTTTCACATTTTTAATATATATTATAAAATATACAGTACTCTTTACTGCAAATCCCATATAGTCAATTGATTTTTACAAAAGTGTTTTTGTTTAATTTTTGCCAAACTCATGTTTCCATAGCTAATTCACAGTTGCAATTTGTTCAGAAGATGAATAAATGCTTGTTTACTATATGATTCAGCAAAGAAATTATTCATGTCATCAATGAATGTGTGTAGGTCCAGTAAGAATGTTGGTCAACATTTCAATATACATTAATGAGTTGGACAAAGTGAAACAATGAAGATATAAGTTAGAATTTCACCGATTCATCAATGACATAAACGACTTCTTGCTGAATATGGTAATAGTTTGCAAATACTGGAAGATTATTTCTCAAATATTGGGTGCTTTTTAGAATGTAACAACTACAGATGCAACACACTTTAACTTTTAATCTGCATTAATGATCAACAAATCAATAAAGTGCTAATTTGTAGCATTTGCAGATTTCCATGGTGTAAATATCCCCACCATGTTCACTTTCAAGTTACCAGCATGATGCCATGGGACACAAAAGATATGCACTAACACTTCATTATATGGTTGGTGTTTTTACCTAAAGATACAATATATATAAGTAATTTTAAGAGCACAGAAAATAGTAAAATGTGATAAAGTGATAAGGAAGTAATAAGTTTGAGAAATTTATTACTTATATTTTAAATATAAATAATTTGTTACTTTATATATTTTTTGTAATGGTTGTGATTAATGATCATCTCACATAATTCCTGAAACCTAACAATTTGTTCTCATTAACTAGCATAAGGTGGTTCCACGACTCTGCTGGATAATAATTTTAAATGATGGCTTACACGGGGACAGCGATAGGAAAAGAAGGAATGGAAATGTAGGATGAGTATGGTATATGCGTTCAGAATATTAGAGAAGAGGAGACGATCTGACTTCTGACAAGAAGAGCAGCACCAGATGTCTGCCATTTCACTAGATCTAGTTTTCAAAGTGCATTCAATCACCAACTATGTGTAGGTGAGTAAAACCAAGAAAACCTGGCACCTTGTTATTAGGCATATGACAGATATTTATATGAGTGAAGATATATATTTCAATGAAAACGCTAATAACAGCAACAACAACAAAAGCAACATGAGGCTTATGAACAAAGTAATAAAAATTAGTTAACATAATCTTCAAAATTAAAGGGTTCTTCACTAACATAAAATGTTTAAGGTATAAAGTTTGAAGAACTGACTTATTAATTGCATCCTATAAATTTCGACATGTTGTGTTTTTAAAATCACCATTCATTTATAAATATTTTCTAATTTACTTTTTTTTTTCTTTTACTTATGGGTTGGTTATTTACATATTAGTTGTCTGATTTCCAGATAGGACTTTTCTAGGTGTTTTATCATTGCTGATTTCCTTAATTCTGTTGTGGTCAGAGAACATATTCTGTAAGATTCCAGGCTTTTGAAATCTGCTAAGATTTGTTTAATGGCCCAGCTTATAGTCTAGCCTGTTAAGCCTTACATATGCATTTGAAAATAGGCTGGGTGCTGTGGCGCACGCCTGTAATCCCAACGCTTTGGGAGGCCAAGGTGCGCGGATCATGAGGTCAAGAGATCCAGACCATCCTGGCCAACATGGTGAAACCCCGTCTCTACTAAAAATACAAAAATTAGCTGGGCATGGTGGTGCGTGCCTGTAATCCCAGCTACTTGGGAGGCTGAGGCAGGAGAATTGCTTGAATCCGGGAGGTAGAGGGTGCAGTGAGCTGAGATTGTGCCACTGCACTCCAGCTTGGTGACAGAGCGAAACTCCACCTCAAAAAAAAAAAAAAACAAAAAAACAATGTGTATTATGGAGTAGTTGGAGGCAGTGTTCTACAAATGTCATTTGAGTTAAAGCCACTGACTTTGTCATTCAGATTCTTAAGGACCTTTTTTTTGGTGTAGTTGTTCTAACAATTACTTAAAAAGTCTGATAGACCACAATGAGATACCATCTCACACCAGTTAGAATGACGATCATTAAAAAGTCAGGAAACAACAGATGCTGGAGAGGATGTGGAGAAATAGGTACGCTTTTACACTGTTGGTGGGAGCGTAAACTAGTTCAACCATTGAACTAGTGTGGCGATTCCTCAAGGTTCTAGAACTAGAAATACCATTTGACCCAGCGATCCCATTACTGGGTATATACCCAAAGGATTGTAAATCATGCTACTATAAAGAGACATGCACTCATATGTTTATTGCAGCACTATTCACAATAGCAAAGACTTGGAACCAAACCAAATGTCCATCAATGATAGACTGGATTAAGCAAATGTGGCACATATACACCATGGAATACTATGCATCCATAAAAAAGGATGAGTTCATGTCCTTTGCAGGGACATGGAAGAAGCTGGAAACCATCATTCTGAGCAAACTGTCTCAAGAACTATCGCATGTTCTCACTCACAGGTGGGAATTGAACAATGAGAACACTTGGACACAAGGTGGGGAACATCAAACACTAGGGCCTGTCCTGGGGTGGGAGAGTGTGGGAGGGATAGCATTAGGAGAAATACCTAATGTAAATGACGAGTTAATGGGTGCAGCAAACCAACTTGGCACATGTATAACTATGTAACAAACCTGCACGTTGTGCACATGTACCCTAGAACTTAAAGTATAAAAAAAAAAACACCTAGGGGCAATTATTCTCAGTAAGAAATCAAAGCTATTTTATTAATTCCCAAACTCATCAAACATTTACAGAGCCCCTATTACATATGGCAAAGATAAAAATTATTATTATTATAAAAACAATCCCTTTCATTCATTTATTATTTAATTGTTTGAAAATTCATTTGTCTCTTCTAGAGTCAGGCACTGCTATTAGCTAAAAATTCAAGATTAATAAGATATAGTGCTGCACTCCAAGAACACACACTCCAGAGATTTACATCCTGAATTATTATTAGCTTACCAATGCCCAAAGAAAGAGGGAGGAGAATGTGATAGAAAGGCGGGACGTCAGCTGTATTTGTAATGTTTTATTCCTTTATAAAACCTGATAAATAAAAAGAATATTAACATTTGGAAAATCTACATGGCAAAAAGAAAGTCTGATAGAGTCTCCAATTATGACTGTGGGAATTGTGCATGACTTCCTTTAGTTCTGTCAGTTTCCTGTATATATTTTGAAGTTCATTTATTAGGCTCATATGTTTGCAGTTGTTATGTCTTCTTTTGAACTGTCTCTTTATCATTACAAAATGTCCCTCCGTCTCTAGTATCTTTGTCTTGAATTTCATGTTGGCTGATATTAGTATGGCTACTCCACTTTATTATGTTTACTGTTTTCCATCCTTTTATTTTCAATTTATTTGTGTTTTTATATTTAAAGTGCATTATTTTGTGGATGGCATATTGATGGTTCTTACTTTTTTACACAGTTTGAAAAATCTTGATTGCTGCCTTTTTATTGGAGTATCTAGTCCATATACATTTAATGTAATTACTGATATGGTTGTACTGAGGTGTCCCATTTTTCTATTTGTCTTATTTGTTTTTGTCATTTGTTCCTTAGATGCCTTATTTTAATTGAACATTTTTAAGCATTCCACTTTAATGCCTTTTTTAGTTTTCTAACTATATGTTTTGAAATTATTTTTAACTTATTGCTTTAGAGCGTAAAATATACACCTATAACTTAGCCTTACCTACTTGGAATTAGTATTGATTTTTTTTTAGGTGAAATATAGAAAACTTGCAACAGTATATTTCTAGTCATCTCTCCCCCATCCTTAATGTTATTATCATTTTAGGCATTATATTTATATATCTTGTAAACTCATCAATAAAGTGCTATAATTTTTGTTAAAATGTCATGTTTTTTAGAAAATACAGATACACACATATGTGGTGAGGGGAGGGAGAGAGAGAGAGAGAGAGAAGAGTTCTTAACTTACTAACTCACATACTTACCATCATTTTTGGTTGTCTTCATTTCTTCTAGGCATCAGAATTGCCATCTCGTTTCATCGCTCTTCAGTCTGCAGAACACTATAGGATTACTTGTAATGTAAGTCTTCTAGTGACAAACGCTCTCAGTTCTGTTTATCTGAAAATGTATTAATTTTTCCTTCATTTTTAAAAATGTTTTATGGATACAGAGTTCTTGCTTGACATGTTTTTTATTCCCTCTCTTCAGTGCTTTGAATGTATCTTTCTAAAGTATGATGGCTTCCATAGTTTCTGATGAGACATCAGTATTTAACATTATCATTGTTCTGCAGTATGCAATATGTCATTATTCTCTGCCTATCAAGATTTTCTCCTTAATTTGGCTTTCAACAAAATGACTATGATATGCTTAGTGGTGGTTTTCTTTGCATTTATTCTGCGTGTGTTTTGTGAGTTTCTCAGACTCCTACGTTAATATTTTCCATCGAATTTCAAGTTTTTGATCATATTCCTTCTAACATTTTCTTGCCTTCTTTCTCTATTCTCAATCTCGTATTCCAATTACACATATGTGAGAGTGTGATGTTGCCCCACAGGTCTCTGTAACTCTGTTTAGTTTTATTCTCTTAATTCATTCTTTGGGTGCAGATAACATATGTTGATTTATTTTCAAGTTTATACATTTTTTGTCATTTATTATTTGTTGAGCTCATCTAGTGAATCTTTTTTATTTCAGTTATTGTACTTTCCACCTTTAGAATTTACATTTTGCATAGTTTGCATTTGTCTGTTGGGATTTTCTGTCTAGTCTATTAATTAACATTATATTTTATTTAATTATTGAACTTTTTTGAATTTATTCAACATATTTTTAACAACTGCTTTGAAATCTGTGTCTACTAATTATAACATTTGGGCCCATTCAGTCAATTTCTATTGATTGCCCTTTTTTGAGTATAGGTCATACTTTTCCATCTTTTTACATATCTGGTAAATTTTAGTAATAAAACTGGACATTGTAGATAATAAAGCCAGCCTTGTAACAATTTTGAGTTCTGTTGTGTTATTTTAAACATTTCTATTTTATTATTCTAGTAGGCAATTGACATACATTTCTATACTCAAAATGCAAAATTAGAATACCCATGATATATAGCATCTGGCAAAAGGACATGCTTTTTCAATTAAAGATATATATGAGTTGAAAGTCAAAAATGGAAAAAATATAATGTAAAAAGTAAGAATGCCGACATGACCATGTTAATGTCAGACAAAGTAGATTTCAGTACAAGGAATATTTTCACAGACAAATATTTCCTGATGATAAAAGGGTTTATTAGGGAGACATAAGTATTTTAAATGTGTGTATATTTAAGAACAGAGATTCAAAATATATGAAACAAAAATTTCCTGAATTAAATGAAAAACAGATAACTCATTACATCTCAATAATTGATATAAATATATAAAATCAGTAAGATTACGGAAGATCTGAACAACCCTGTCAATCATCTGGACTAAATTGACACTTACTGAATAACTGCAGAATATACTTTCTTTTGAAATGCACATTGAATATTTAATGAATCATAAGCCAGATAATAAAATCACAATAAACTTCAAATATTTACATATTTCACTATATTGTCTCTGATCACAATAGAAATAAGTTAGAAATTAAGAACAATACAATAATGGTAAAGTCTGAAATACCTGAAAGTTAACAATATACTACCAAATAATCCATGAGTTAAACAAGAAATCAAAAGGGAAATTAGAACATATTTTATTTATGTATTTATTTATTTATTTATTTTTGAGACAGGATCCCATTCTGTTGCCTAGGCTGGAGTGCAGTGGTGTTCTCTCTGCTCACTGCAACCTCTGCCTCCCAGGTTCAAGCTATTCTTGTGCCTTAGCTTCCCATGTAGCTGGAATTACAGGCGTGAGCCACTAACACCCAGCTAATTTTGTATTTTTTTGTAGAGACACGATTTTGCCATGGTGCCCAGGCTGGTCTCAAACTCCTGAGCTCAAAACGATCCACCCCCTCAGCCTCCTAAAGTGCTGGAATTACAGGGATGAGCCACCAAGCCCAGCCTAGAAAATATTTTAAATTGAATGATAATTAAAACATACCATATCAAAGTTTGTTGGATGTTGCTAATGCAGTTCTTAGTGGGAAACTATAAATGCTTATATTAGAGAATACAACATGTTCAGAATAAGGATGTAAGTTACAACTTATGAGCTGAAATAAATGACTTATTTTTCAAAGTGAATTGAGAGAAGAAACTAACAAAAGTTAGAAAATTAATTAAATAGAAAACAAAAAAATGGAAGCTGACAAACATACAAGGTTTTTTTAATAAAGATAGAAAAAGACAAACCCAAAGCTAGACTACATAAGAAAAATAGGCTATATACAAATTTTCAGTATTGTAAATGAAAGAGGGCATATCACTAAAGACCTCATAGCAATGAAGTTACACAATGATGGAATATTACAACAACTTTATGCCATAAGCTTTTAAAACTTAGATTAAATAAAAATTACTTGAAAAATACAATTTAGCAAAGGGTAACAAGAAACTGAATTACCATGTATCTGTTACTTAAACTGAGTATATAATTAAAATATTTGTATAAAGGAAATTTTATGCCCAAATAAGAAAAATAATTTAATACTATATGAACTATTTTACAAAATAGAGAAAGAGGAATATATCCTGACATGTGTCTGCTTCCAGGCCAGCATAACCCTTATCGACCAATATACCTCATGAACATAGATGTAAATATATGTAACATATTAACAGACTGATTCTAATAATACATGAAAAAGATCACGTGTCATGACCAAATGAGGTTTATCTATCAATGCAAGCTTGAAAATGAAGCATTTATTCACCATATTAGCATAATACAAGAGAAAAACTATATCATGATATAAATAAATGAAGAAAATAATGTGATAAGCTTTATATTCATTCGTGATAAACACACACACAGAATCTCTTAGCAAACTGCTCCAATTTGATATAGTGTATCTATAAAACACCTCTGGCTAACATTATATGTAATGGTCAATTATTAAAAACTTTCCCATAATACCTTTAACAAGTCAAGAATGTCTGCTTCCCCCAATTCTACTAAATGTTATATTGAAGTGCTAGCTAGTGCAATACAAGGGGAATATAAATAATAGGTATAAAGATTGAAAAAAATATATACATACAGGCAAAGGCACGATTTTGTATCCTAAGGAATCTTGGGGAAAAATCAACCTACTAGAACTAATAGATGATTAAGCAAAGTTGCAAAATACAAGGTAAATATAAAAAATTGATTGTATACCATAAACTAGCATCGAAGGTTTGGAAAATAAAATTAACTTTAAAATTTACAATACCATCAAAGAAGATAAAAATATGTCATAAATTTAAAAAGAGAAATATATCTTATTGCTGAAAACAACAAAGTATTGCTGAAAAAAATTAAAGAAACCAAAAAAGTGTATCATATTCATTAATTAGAAGACTAATTGTTAAGATGTCACTTTTTTTGGTTTATTTGAGACAGAGTCTCGCTGTGTCACCCAGGCTGCAGTGCAGTGGTGCAATGCGATCTTGGCTCACTGCAACCTCCACCTCCCAGGTTCAAACGAATCTCCTGCCTCAGCCTTCCATGTAGCTGGGACTACAGGCACCTGCCACCATGCCCGGCTATTTTTTTTTTTTTTTTTGTATTTTTAGCAGTGGTGGGGTTTCACTATGTTGGCCAGGCTGGTCTTGAACTCTTGACCTTGTGATCTGCCCACCTTGGCCTCCCGAAGTGCTGGGATTACAGGTGCGAGCCACTGCACCCGGCCCAAGATGTCACTTTTAATCGAAATTATTCTATAGATTCAATGCAATCATAATAAAAATCCCAACCATTTTTTGTTGCACTTGACAATCTGATTCTAAAATTGATTTGGAAATGTCAAGTACCCAGAAGAGTCAGAAAGAAAAAAGGTAGAAAACGTGCACTTTACTATTAAACTACAGCAATTAAAATGGTGTGGTAATGCCATGTATAGATCAATGAAAAAAATACAGAGTTCAGAAAGAGTCCCACACATACTGTCAATTTATTTTCTCCAAAGACATCAAGGTAGTTCAACAGGGAAAGGAAATTCTTTCAAATAAATGATGCTGGAAAAATTTAAACTCCATATGGAAAATAATGAACCTTCACCTTCATAAAATATGCAATGTAGTTCAGATGGATCACAGACTTACACATAAAAGTTTACAACTATAAAGCTTTTCCAAAAGTATAGAATATTTTTACAATCTTGGGATGGTAATCAAATATTTCTTAGAACACAAAGAGTCATCATAAAATTTTAAAAGTAATAACTGGACTTAATCAAAGTTAAAAACCAAGTCTATGCCAAAAATGATTAACTTTCATTAATAATAATTTTAGAAAGCTCTGAACAAACTAAGAGTTGAGAAATAATTCCGTCTGAAACTTACAGCTAACATTGTATGTAAAATCAAAACATTAGAAACATTCTAATTAGGCTAAAACCATACAAGAATATTCACAAAATCCCATGTTCATGGATTGGAAGACTTAATATTGTTGAAATAATCATATTCTTCAAAGTGATCTGCAGTTTAAATGCAATTTCTATCAAAATCCCAATGGCATTTTTTACGGACATAGTAAAAACAATCCTAAGATTCATATTAAACTATAAAAGATCCAGAAGAACCAAAACAATCTCTAGAAAAAAAAAGAAAGCTGGAGGCATCATAGTTCCTGATTTCAAAATATATTACAAAGCTACTGCAATTAAAACTGTATTGTATTGGCTTAAAGATAAACACATAAATCAATGGAATAGAATGGAGAGTGCAGAAATAAACACACACACATATGATTAATTGATCTTTGACAAAGATGCTAAGAATACACAGTAGTTTCTTCAACAAATGTTAGGAAAACTGGATATTCACATGTGTATATTACACCACACACAACATTCAACTCAAAATAGATTAATGACTTACATGTAAGACCTGGCCAGGGTTGGAGGCTCACACCTGTAATCCCAGCACTTTAGGAGGGCAAGGTGGAAGGATCACTTGAGTTCAAGAGTTCGAAATCAGCCCAGGAAACACAGAGAAACCCTGTCTCCACAAAAAATAGCCTGGTGTGGTAGTGCACACTTGTAGTTACCTGCAGTTACTTGGGAGGCTGAGATGGGAGGATCACTTGAGCCCAGGAGGTTGGGGCTGCAGTGAGCTTTGATTGTGCCACTGCACTGCAGCTGAGTGACAGAACAATATCTTGTCTTTAAATAAATAAATAAATGTAATACCCCAACTATAAAACTTCTAGAAGAAATCATAGGGAGAAAGCTTCATGATAATGATCTTGGCAGTGATTTCTTGAATACAACACCAAAAGCACAGTCAACAAAAGTAAAAAATAGACAAGTGGGACTACATAAAATTAAAAAGTTTCTGTACAACCAAGGAAATAATCAATAGAGTGAAAAAACGTATAAAATCAGATAAAATATTTGTCAACCATATTTATGACAAGCCGAAACATATAAGGAATTCCCACAACTCAGTAGCAGAAAAACACTAAAATGCTAAAATAGCTGAGAATTTCATCTTAATCCTGTTATTTAATTTCATCAGTGAAATCGAAATCAACTCTTCATTTGAATATATTCTGTCTGAAGTCCTCATATGAATTTTCATTGCAAATGTTTATAAAAACTACCCCTGACATTATTTATTACATTTGAATTTTATTTAATATAATTAATAACGTGTAAGTGTAACTTCTCAAGACGTCCATAAGGTGGCAGTGTGCACTTCCGTAGTGGCGGTTGAGCAGCAGCGCAACAGAAAATCAGATAAACATCTACGCGACCACGTTCTGCTGCCAAGGCTCTGAAGCCCCCCTGCCCTAGACCATTTGGAGCATCAAACATGTAAAGAGTTCTGAGCTCATACCCGGGGGCTCGGCGTTGTCTTTTCTGTTGCTCATCATCTTACGCCCCAGTTCTAAAATGACACCCCCATTTGGAAATGCATGAACCTCTGTAATTCACACGTACCCAGGTGGTCCTGCAGCCTAGTTTCCAGTTTTAGGTCTCAGTTCCGAGTGGAAAGCATTTCCTAGCAGCCTGACAATACAGCCAGAAAGCATGTTATGGGGTAAGGTGATAAATATTTGCCATATGAGCCGTCCCCCACCCTCCCACTTTTGTAGCAGACGTTACTAATCAATCATGATAGTTCGTGCTACTCAGCCTCCCCCTTTCTCAGCAGAACCCCAAAAGCTCCGACACAGGAGAGTCCCTGTCTTTAGAAGTGGGAGCCGATGCCCAGAAATCCCTAGGATTCCAACACAAGTATGGAGGTGTCGTCACACATCAACCATGAACAGCAAGAATAACCCCTCAAGACTAGACCCCGCACAAAGCAGGGACTACCCCACTCCTTCTCTCATTAATCCTACCACACTCTCTACCATGGCCCCTGAGGACCTAAACTGTATTTTGCATTTTCAACCAAATTGATATTATTTTTATTAGCATAATCAATTTTTCTTCTCTCCTGAATTACTTTCCATTAGCATTTTAATCTCTGATGGCACAGTATTTTTTTAATTCTCTTGTATATCAAAATTTTAACTTTCCCCAGAAGCAAATGTAGGATTTGATATAAGTCTGGATCCCAAAACGGAACTCCCAGAAGACCTCGATTACAACCAAAGACCTGGATTATAGTTCCATCTTGAAAGTTATTTCTAGAAGATGGATCTGCCATCCAGAACGGGGAAATGAGGCTGGGCAGAATAGCCCTAAAAAGGAGTAGGGAGATGAGAGAAAGGAAGAAAAATTGCTGGTTCATGGCCATCGACATTATGCTTTCTTCAAGTGAAGATCTATGATTTGATTAAGTTCCTGATTCTAGAATGGCATCTAGGCCTAGGACAAACATCCCCAACTGGGGAAACTGGTCTGGGAAAAATATCCTCAACCTTGTCTTGGGGCAGAGGTGCAGGTGATGATGATGGCAGTGTCAGCAAGTACATCCAGGGACCAGATGGTGCCAGGGTCACTGCAGTGGCAGCATCAGAGCTACCAGGAGAAGCCGTGGGGTGGCACCCCACGCCCACAGTGGGTGGAAGAGGAGAAGCGTGACTCCCCAGGAAGCCTCAGCTGTGATAAGGGCTGAGAAGGCAGCTGCCAAGTCCACCAGGCATTCTGCCAAGGAAGGGAGGCACCCGCATCTGGGAACTTAAAGAGCTGTCCTGGTGATAGAATCTGTCTGGGGAGGCTCAGCAAGATTCTGCTATTTTTTTTCCCATGTAACCCAAGAAATACTCCATTTGTTGTGAATTTAATATTACATAGAAGAATGTTTATACTATGTTCCTATGAATATTAAATATACTGTTCTTCACAATGAATGATGGTGACAACTCTACGTGAAAAAATGATAAAAACAGTGTCCCATACACATAAATAATTTCTAAATTCTGTTATATTTAATATATAAATCTTTAATATGATATACTACTGAGCTTTTTTTTTTAACCATCATATGTTGCAATTTTTGCTTACTCTGGTATATTTTCAAAATACTCTTAATTCTTGCAGCCCTTCTCAACTGGGTTTCTGTAAAAAAATTACTTGCGGGCATTCGTTTAACTTCACTAGAAAACTTTGTAATACTGATATTTTAAATGGATCAAAACCCATAAATCCAATTCCTATTCTTTTCAGTTCATATGCTTTAAGGACGGACATACTCAGACCAGGATACATAAAAATCTTGGAAATAATGAGCCTTATTATTGCAGTGATTCTATTTTTTTTTTTCTGATTTTCATCTTAGCTTAATCTTTTTATCCCCTTTGTGAACAAAAGCTCTCTGAAAAAGAATCTGGAGGAAAGAGATTTTATTCCAGAGAACTGTTTGCAAATCAGGCAGACATGCAGGCCGCTGTGTAAAATGAAGGTCCATTCCAGAGAATGAAGGGATGGCATGCCTGGGGTTTTATAGGAAAAGTCCCCACCCAGGTTCCCAACCAGGTCTATTTATGCAAACAAAGGGTTGAGTCTTGTTTGGTTTTGACTGGCTGACAGAGCTGAGTTCTGATTGGCCCAAACAGCTGAGCCTTAATTGGCTAGGGGAGGTGATCTCTGGTTGCTTCCCAAGCCCCAAACCAGCAGTCCCTGTCAGATGTTTCTTTCAAATGGCCAATGGGGCCTGGGGCTTGCGGCACTGGGAGGTGTGGGCAGGTGCTGTGCTTTTTGCAGCAGTTTATCTTGTAGCCCAACAACAGAACAGGAGCTGGTTCAGCTTGATTGTAGAATGGGAGGTCCTTTGATACTTTTACAACATCTTTCTGAGAGCGCAGAACATGTGACCATTCTGTCACCCAGCTATGGACACCTAGTTCTGTTTTAACTTTGAGCTCCTCAGTTAGCCACAGGGAGTCCATTTTGTCTGGGGGCATACTTTATCACCTTTCTTTTCCAAATCTTATATTATCTGATTGAACTGCACACTTTAGCACTTAATTATATCGGTATACAACGCTAGTTTATTTAGAATTGTTTTTTCGCTAGTTGTTTCAACTGCACGTGCCTTGCCTTCCTTAAGTGAGTGTGAACTCCTGTAGGCAGGAATTGCTGAACACACATTTGTTTTGTTGTCTATAATTTCTAAAAATTCACATTTCATTAAAATAGCCAAAGTTACCCCTACTAAACAACACTTAGAGGCAATTAGATTAGATTGCTTGTTGGGCTCAGTGAATCACTTCTTGTTAGTCATGGAACCATAGTTCTTTAAGCATTGGGTACTCACATCTCTGGTAGATGTGAATTAAGAAATTAATCCAGGATGCATTTTGGAATGTGTAATTATCATTCCTGAAGCCACACACAGTCACTGCTCTTAGAACTGGAAAGGACTTCTCTTCTTATAGATGCAGCATTTGAGACTCAGAGCTGATAAGAAAATAGCCTGATTAACAGACTTCAATGTTGAAGACATTTGAAATTCAAAGCGGAGCACTGCTTTTTCTCAGATTTAGAATTAAAAGGGAAAAAAGAAACAAGTGACTTTCACATTTGGTGCGAAGCTTGAAAACATACTCTTTTCTTTACTCACTGGCACATCTGAGCACACACATTAACCCTTCCTCACCTGAGACAAATTGTAAAGAATCTACATGCGCCTCCATATATGCGCACCTCTTCCCTCCCCTTCTACCCTCTGCCATTGCAGTCAGGGAAGACAGTGGCTAAGATGTGCAGTGTGTTACCTTTCCCATGAGTACTTGCATTTTTAAACTTCCATTTTCATTTTGGTAGAGACAATGCGTGCTTCCCTACATATGCTCTCATTTCCTTCTCGGTCATGCTGGTAAGTCTGCAATGCTAGTTCCTGACAGGCAAGGTCATGTGATGTAGTCTAGCCAGTGGCCTGTGACTAGAAATGGCACCTTCAGTTTCTAGCAGGGGGTCTGCCACCGCCACATTCTCTTTTCTTTACTACCCTTAATAATCACAAGACAGAAGGAGCCTGGATCTTTGAGTCACTGGCTCGAGCTAGCCCTAGTTAACCTGCATGGGCCTTTGTGTGACGGACAAATCAACCATCAGTGTGCTACGCCACTGGGATTTGGCAATTTATTTGTTCCTCAACATATTCTTATTAATTCCTTCTAATACATTTACATAAAGAAATATGTGTTCATCAGAGACAAATCAAAATAAGAAAAAAATCAGTACTTTGCTGTTCAATATATCCTCACACGTTTTTCTATAAGTGTATCCATACAAGTCAGAACCAATTGTATCCGTAATAATTCCATGTTGCTGCATGTTACACAAAACCCAAGTAAGAATGGTTTAAAAGCATAGTGGCTTAATTTTCTCTCGGTGAAAAGAAGTGTGAATGTAGGCAGTTTGAGAATGGAGTATCATCCACAAAATATCATCAAAATCCTGCCTGCTCAAGCATTTTCTCCTCAGGGTTGTGTGGCCTCAGTGACTTTACCTGTGATTAAGTATCCAGGAAAATAAAATCAGTATGGCATGGTATCACCTGGGGTAGGCATTGACAACAGCTGCTTGGAGTACCAAGGATCAGAATAGGCTTCCTGAAGAAAGTGGTGTTGAAATGACTCCCGTTGTGTTCCCCCACAGAGGGAGCCTGTGCGATGACCCTGTCGTGAGAGGGGCCAGCCCACTTTGGGAAGCTGTGAGGAGCTCGGTGTCGCTGCAGCTGGGTACAAGGTCAGCAGGAGGCAGATCTGGAGGAGCCTGGGAGAGGTATGAAGAACTGGGTATACAGCCTGAGGGCAAGCAAAACCACCGCAGCCTTCTACTGAGCAAAGTGACTGCTCATTTTTACATTTTAGAAACCCTACTCTGACTGGGACTGGAGAATGGGTTGAAGGAGAGAGGACAGGATGGAAAAACAGAAAAACTGGGGGAATCAAAGTGAGATGGGTGGTCTGCTGCAAGACTGAAGGAAAAACAGAAGAAAGTATATGGATCCACAAGAGGATTAGGAGGTACCTGACAACACATTTACACCAGTAAAACTATTTAAACCTGCACATCAAATTAGATATCTTTATGTCTTAATAGATTAAATATTTTTCCTATTACTCATCACTTCTGCATGTTATAATGCTTAAACAAAACCAAAAATGGGTCGAGTGTGGTAGCACACGCTTGTAATCCCAGCACTTTGGGTAGGCTGAGGTGGGTGGGTCACTTGAGCCCAGGAGCCAGGAGTTTAAGACCAGCCTGGGAAAAATAGTGAGACCCTGATTCTACCAAAAAAAAAAAAAAAAAAAAAAGTTAAAAAACAACAAAAACGTTAACTCAGATTATGATCTGATTAAATATATAAATATATGCTATTTTTTACTTGTTGCGTCTTATTTATTACGTACTAGTTCAGAACTTCATGGCTTTCTCCAAATATTAATGTTATTAATATTTAAATGCTTAAACAAATATTAATGTTATTAATATTTAGTGAGAAATGTAATTGAAATATGATTTCATTGTTTTTGAAATCTTGATTTAATATTGTGTGATGGAGTGATTCAAATGCCTGCTTCTAAGTTTTAAATTTATTTCAATGCTGAAAATACTTTCTCACAAGAAAATGCCATTTAAAACAAAAGATATTTATCTTTCAGTATCTTCCAAAAATTATGAAAAGACTTTTGTTACAATTACTCTGTAACTTTTCAACATCCTAAAAAATCTAAATTGCTTTTTCTACCAAATAAATGGGAGGGGTTTGCATTTGACAAATGACTTAAAAATGTAACTTTTGGGGAAATTTTTTAACACAATAGAAAATTTGTGATGCTAAGGTATTTTAAGGGTGTAATTGTGAGCGGGTTTATAAGTCATGCTCATTTTCACTATTAAGCCATGTTAATTATAGAAAAATTTCAAATATTGGTTTTCATACATTTCCACCTCCTCACCATGAGTTATTTCAAAAAGCAGTAATTTTTTCACTGTTTCAAAACATCACTTTAATCTTGGGGGAATAGATAATGATGATAATTTTTTCAAATATACCTCTTAGATAGCAAAATTTAGACAGCCACGTGTCCTCAAATTTAAAACATTTTATTTTTACAAAATAAAAATGAACTTTGCCATGAGATAACCAGTAAATAATATTCTGTAACCATTGGTTTGCGAGTTGTTTTGGAGTGGACATACCAGTTTATCAGCATTGCTCAGGAATAATAACTGGATTTAGACCTATACCACCTGGTTTTGCTGGAGCCCAGGGATAAGGAGGGAGAGGGAGCTTAATGGTCAAGGCTGACCAATAGCTGGGATGTTCCTATGTGACCAGCTCCTTGTAGGAGACACTCAACAAACCTTGAGCTTCCTGGTACCTTTGCATATGTGTGGTGGTTGAAAAACCAGAGACAAAGTGTGTCCGTGCGAACTGGAAACAGGAGGACGAAAAGCCATTGAGGACACTACTGATGATGCATATGATAACCATTAATAAATTAGCACTATCTTTTCTCATATTTCAGATAAGAAAATCAACAAAAATATACATGTATTTTTCTTTGTGTAGCCTCATAGGTTTATATTGCACACCCCAGGCAAGGCGTACACAACACATTGGAGACTACTGGATATGAAAGATACTTAGGAAATACCTGGGCTGGAGATATAGATGTGTTGATAATCAGCACATTAGGGGAATAGAAGCAGAGGAGATGGCCAAGAAATTTGTGTAGTTTGAGAAAGTGAGGGTCCAGGAGGATACGCTAGGAACATCAACTTTCAGGAACAGGTCATGAAAGTAAAGCTGATGAAGGAAAATGAGGAGGAACAGCCAAAAAGGCAGGAGAAGAACCAAGAAGTGATGTCATAAAAATCAAAGAATGAGATGCTGCTGAGGCAGCAATACTATTGCCAAGTGTTACAGAGTGGCCAAATAAAACAAGATCTGGCCAAATAAAATGTCACTCACGTGGACTGAGCAACAAAGATGCCAGTGGTGATCATAAGAGTGTCTTCAGTAGCGTGGTCTGGGAAAGTCCCTTGAGAGACTATAAAGACAGGAGGTGGAGACAGAATCAGCAACTATTTCCAGAAGCGTAAGGGTGAAGAAATGGAAACAGAGAAGAGACAGTTGCCCAAAAAATGTGAGTGCTGGAGGGCTCGTTTTTCTTTTTTAAACAAGGAGGAAGAAGTTTGACTATAATACTATATTTAAATGCTGATTTTTAACAGTCAGGAGAGTAGAAGTTGAAGAAATAGAAGATGGGAGGT
The DNA here is from genome assembly GCF_000001405.40 of Homo sapiens. Classification (NCBI taxonomy): domain Eukaryota; kingdom Metazoa; phylum Chordata; class Mammalia; order Primates; family Hominidae; genus Homo; species Homo sapiens. The sequence goes on along the minus strand of NC_000007.14, from coordinate 37,826,743 downwards.
GCAGGTGAAGAAAATACGTCAGATGAGAGGAGGGGCGCTTCCTCTAGCATGACCGAAAGAAAAAATACAGCCTTTCCATATATTGTTTTTCTCCATTTTATGTATTTAAATAGCTTATATTTTCAATAACTTTTCTAGCGTCTTTATGCAAATTATTTCTATTACAAGCATCTTTGAGGATCCCTGTGGTGCAAAAATGTTACCATTTTAAAAATCCATATCCATTGGCCGTGACTTTATCCAGTCAATCTGTAATCACAACTATTTAAAAATTTGTATGAAATGCAAGAAAAAATAACAAAGGATTAAAGCATCCAGTTTATGCTCATGTAAACAGTCCGCAGTAAAAGTAACACATCTCATTTGTAGTTGTTCACGCAAAATAATTTCAGGCTTCATTGGAGAGAAATCTACATATCACTGCCTGTTAAGCTCCTTTCTTATCGTATATATGTGTGCATGTGTGTATCTATAGATAGATATACACACACATGTATATACACACATACATGTATATGTAAGATATGTATATACATATATAAGATAAAAAAGACAGCTCTTATAATACACATGTATATAATATATATTCTGTGATGTTATACATGTTATATATTATGTATTTTTATCAGAGGTGACTTTATCAAACTTTCATTTTATGTTTATACTATTTCAATGGCAACACTAATGTCACTAGTAGAAAATGGTCAACTGGGATTGGTTCAGGTATGAGTTCAGATTTCAACCTTTTTTTCTGTTTTCTAAAGGGAAAAATGTTAGGAAATTGCTCAGCTTATTTCTTCATTCATTTATTCCCTGGCAAATATTTATTGAACAGCAAGGCATTATTCTAGAGCATGAGGACACAGAGAGAAGTATAATTTAGTTTTCTCTCTTTATGATTTCCCTGTCTGGTACTATGTCATAGCTTGCCAAATGACAGTCACTGCAATAGAGGCACAGGTAAGATGACAGGGGAGTTGGTTAAGAGGAGTCTCATAATCAGTCTGGAGATAGAAAAGGAGCATCCTGAAATCCTGGCATATGAGTTCTTGCAACAGATGCATAGGAGTAATTAATCACTCCCGCCACTGTCCATAAAGGACTAGAGGTAAGACTAGAACACAATAAGGTGGAGCTGAGCATGGAGCATAGAGGGAGGAAGATGGAGATAAAGGGATTTTGGGGGAAGGGACTTCAAGGTGCAGCAGGAAGTAAGTGTAGTCACAGGGATGGGAGAGCCAGATGTATGGAGGTGCCTGTGGATTTGATGCTTTACCTGATGTGAGGAATTCATGTGAGGGCATGACAAGCCTGGAAAGGCAAGCTTGGCTGCAGCATAGGGAGTGCAATAAGCCTGATAATAAATTTGGGCCTTATACAAAAACAGTATGAAGCTTCTCAAAGTTTTAAGTGGGAAGACTTATGATAGATGAATGACAGGAAAAGGTTTCAAGTCTAGAAAAACCACTGTGGCATCACTGTGGCAATTGTAGTAAATGTGGGTGGGAAGTGAAACAAGAGATAAGGAGATATGGGCCTGTTGGTGCAACCCAGAGGAGCTCGGCCAAGGGCCTAAACTAAGGCAGAGACTGTGAGTAAGGAGCAAAAGAGACTGACTCGAGAGATATTTGGGGTTTAGCATCAAGGGGACTTGCGGACTTACTCTGTGGAGGGGTGAGGGAGGGGGAGAACCACAGAAATCTCCTAAGTTTCAGGTTTGGGTGAGGGAATGATGCCTTTCATATTGACAAAGACTCTCTCTCCTTTGACCAAATTTTAATCAGGCTCTTCTGAGCCCTCTGCTCAACTGGGCCCAAGCTTCAGCTTCCCTCTCTATTCTTATAGAATCCAGTCTGAGCAAGAATCCTGCTAAGTCAGTTTAGTGAAAATTTCCCACCCTTAGTATCCAACCACTCTCCATTCTTATCACCTTGAGTTGTCTTCAACAAGAATTCTGTTGAGTCTGTCTAGCAAGAATCCCCCTAACCCTTGATATTTCTTCCTAGTAATTTTTCATCCATTGACTCCCACTCTGCTCCTTGGCTATAAATCTCCACTTTTCCTTGGAGTTGAATTCAGACCCAATCTCTCTTCTCCTATTGACGTGGTTCCTACACTCATCACCATAATCCCCTTTCTTAGTAGAACCTTCTTTACCATCTTTAATAAGTGTCAAAGAATAATGTTTCTTTAACAAAGTTAATGAGAAACGTAAAAGGAAGATCAGATCTGAAGGGTAGATCATGAATTCAGGACTTTTAGAATGACAAGATGGAAGAAGACTCACTACCACTATTGACAGTTAAACCAGGATTATTATGATCCACACATATGATGATTACCAAGGAAACAATGAATAAGACAAAAGTCCATTTTCACAATAGCATTAGGTTTGGGCCAACATTGTTCTATGCAATCAGTAATTTGAAAATAAATAAAGCATATTACATTAGGGCTTTTCCTAGCTAATTAGCTCCCCACACATAAACATATACACTTTTTTGGGGGTAAAATCTCCATACAGCAATATTGGGTAGTGGTGGTCTTTGTGACCTTGGGTAAGTTTCTTAACCTCCCTGAACCCCAATATCTTTGCTGGAGATTATAAACTAACTTATCAAATGGTTTCTGTGAGGATTCAATGATTTTAAATATGTAAAAGGCTTAGAAAAATCTCTAACTTATGGTGAGCATTCAATAATTATTATTTACTGTCATGCAGAGATATAACTTTAATATATTTTCATTACTATATCCGTATAAAATTTTACTCTACCTGAACTTTGAGAAAATGTATTTTCACAAACTAATTTCTATCACTATTAAGTTAGAATAGAATGGAGATGCAGAAGAAGGAATGCCAAGGGACAGATATGGGGATGGGGAAGGGGGAAGAATTACATGACTAAAATGTTTTAAGATGTTAGATACTGATGTCTGTTCAGACAAATGACTCATTGATTGATTGCTAAATCAGAAAAACAAAATTTGATTACAGCATCTGTATTTAGGTCATCTTAACATTATATCATCTGAGACAAATTGCTCAGCCCACAGAATATGAAAGAAGGTCATGAATACCTATGGCTTGTTGTTACATATGAAATTCCTGTGGTTCTGGCCAAGACGTAGTAAGACAGACCAGATTTGCCCTACTCCCCGAAAAAGTTAAAAACTGGCAAATCCCTATAACAATAGTTTTCAATACATTGGGCATCAAGCAAAGAATGACAGTGATCAATGACAGATGAAAGACAAATGAGATGAGCCCTGTGATCAACTTACTGCCTTGTGAAAGTTTCTACTTTGCAACCTAAGGGGGAAACTGGCAGAATGAGAAGCCATCCCTGGGATCTGAGGAGGCCAAACTGAAAATTCAAGCAGCTAGAATTTGCAGAGCAGGGTAACAGAAAGAAGAAAGGAGACAGCAAAACAGAGAGAACCACAGGCATTTACAGAGTCCCTATCCTCCTCCCTGAGCTCAAGTGTTCCGCTGAATACTGATCAGTCTGGAGAAAGAAGAATATGAAAGAATTAGTAGGGGCAGTGTCCAGTGTTTACATAGCTCTGAGAATGGTAGATGTTACCACCAGGTACATTGAAGAATATAATTTATGGAACACTGAATACGGTACTCAAGAAGATCTTGCCTACATAGTGGGAAATGCATAGCCTGAGATTGAGCACTGATCTGGATTCACCTAACTCATCTTAAAAGCAACACCTGAAATGATCAAACTGCATTCCAGAAGAAAGCACACTCATATTTATAAAAACATAAAAATACTCAACATCCAATCAGATGAAATTTACAATGAAGGACATCCCCAATTAAAAATTGTCAGACATGTGAAGAAGCGGGTAAATATGACCCAAAATGAGGAGAAAAATCAGAAAATCAATAAAGCTGCCAGATTCTAGAATTAACAGATAAGGATATTAAAACAGTAATCATAATCATGTTCTATATGTTCAAAAAGTAGAGAAGAGATATCAAACACATAAAAATGATTCATATCAAAATAATACAGATAAATATTCTGGCTGATATGAAAAACACAGGATGAGACTACTGGCAGCTTAGACATCACAGAAATAAAAAATTAGCATAGTTGAAGACAAAACAAAGATACTCCCCAAAAATCAAACACACAGTGAAAAATTAACTTTTAAAAATCAAGAGTGCATCATTGCAGGGAAGAGAGTGTTCAGGGGGAAATTTATAGCTGTAAACACAATTGAAAAGAAAAAAGATCTAAAATTAACAACCTGAGTTTACATCTTGAGGAACTAGAAAAAGAAGAGCAAACTAAAACCAACACTAGTAGAAGAAAGGAAATAATAAAGATTATAGTGAACATAAATGAAGTAGAGAATTGAAAAATAATAAAAAGAAGCAATGAAACAAAAAGCTTGTTCTTAGAAAAGAAATTTTCAAATTGGCAAACCTTTAGCTAGACTGACAAAGAAAATAAAAGATCTTAATTTTGTGCACCAAAAGACATTATTAGGATAGTAAAAGGCAACTACGGAATGGGAAAAAAATTTACAAATCATATATCTAATAAGAGTTTAATATTCAAAATAAATAATGGACAACTAAAACTAAACAAAAAGACAGAAAACTCAATTTAAAAATGGACAAAAGACATAAATAAGACATTTCTCAAAAGATATACAAATGGCCAATAAGTTCATAAAAAGATGTTTAACATCACTAGTCACTGGGGAAATGTAAATCAAAACCAGAATGAGATACCGTTTCACACTTAACAAGAATGGCTTAAAAACATACGAACAAAAAACCTAACATAGAAAATCACAAGTGTTGACAAGGATGTGGAGAAGCTGGAACTCTCATACATTGCTAGTGAGAATGTAAAATGGTGCAGCCTCTGTAAAAATCAGTTCAGCAGTCCCTCAAAAAGCTAAACAAAGAATTTAAAAAAAAATTCTTTAACAATGTTTTTAAAATTCTATTTTTTTTCCCCAATAAAGCTCTTAGTCCCAGTTTGGTAGTTGAGGAGGAGTCTAAGAAAACAAGCCCTTCCTCAATATCCCTGGGAAAGAAGGGTTGAGAGAACACAGATCCACCAGGCCCTAGGTGACTGCATTGCTGGGGTCATGCAGGGCTTAGCACTCCACCAAGGGAAAGTGCTGATTTTCCTTGTCATTGTCCTGGCCTTGCTCCCATGCTGTCTTCCACTTTTCAGAAGTTGCCCAGTTCCAAGAATGGCTCCTTCCTTTAGTTCACTAACATTTTCACTTAGTGAAGACTGCTTACCCTTCTCTTGCTTTACCTGTCATGGTGTCAGGGTGCCAGACGAGTTGTTCTCCTGCAGAATGGTGAGGGACAATCTCCCTAGTATCTTGCCATTTGGCTTCCATCTATTGCACATAGAACCTGAAGATCTGGGAGTCTCAGGGTCTCTCAAGGGCTTGTTGGAGCTCTGGCTGGCTACAAGGGTTTCTGTGGGCTGTCTTGCTTCCTCCTTGAGAAACACCTGTTTGGCATGAAACTCAATCTGGTTCCAAGACTACTGAGTTATGTTGTGTGTGTGTGTGTATATATATATATATATAACCACAACTTAAAAGAAACTTAAAGTATAATAATAATAAAATTTAAAAAAAATAAAAAATAAAAAAAGAGAATATATAATTCAAAGTTAAAAAAAAGAAAAAAGAAAATAAAAGCATATCAGTAAACTGGGGAAAAAAATTCCATAAGCACAGTATATATGTAACTGGAGTCCTCAAAAAAGAGGGTAAACATCAGAAAAATTATTTGAAGAAATGGTGGCTTAATTTTTCCAAATGTGATGAAAGGTATAAAACCACAGATCCAAAAAGCTCAAAAAACCCCGAACACAAGAAATATGAAGAAAACTACACCAATTTATATCATAATCAAATTTCTCAAAACCAGAGATAAAGGTAAAATCTTAAAAGTAGTTACAAGAAAGCAAGAGATATTATATACAGAAGATCAACGTTAAAGCTGCCAAAAGATTGCTCATCAGAAACAATTTAAGTGAGAAGATAGTGGAACATGTTTACTGTACTGAAATGAAAGAACTGTCAACCCAGATTCCTTTTATTTTTGGTTTTCGTCATTATTTATAAAATAAATTTTAAAGTTTGAGGTTTACAACATGATGTTATAGAATACATACATATACTAAAATTGTTACTATACTGAAGAAGAGTAACATGTATTTACTTCATCTCACATAGTTACTTTTTGATAGTGACAAGAACAGCTAAAATTTACTTATTTAACAAAAATCTCTAATACAATACAATTTTACTAACTATAATCCTTATGTTGTATCTGAAATAATAACTTCTTAGAGGATAACAATACATATGTTGAATCTCCTTTTCTGTGTTCAACAATTATCATTTTCTTGTTAATTCTTTTTGTTTTAAAAAATTTTCATATAATTATTTTTGCTTTTAATAATTCCGATTTCTGAGTCCTTTGTTATGTTTTCAGCAATTTCAATTCTGTATTATGAAGTTTTCAGCATGGCCTTGATTTCTAAATTTCTGTTTTGTTTATTCTTTGAGATATGCCAGCTTATATTTTATTGCCTTTTATTTTCTTACTATGGCTGACAAGTTTTACCTCTGCTTTTTGCTTTGGTTTTGGAGGCAGTTGTTTTAATAAGAAACTCTTTTTTTAAAGGGGCTTTGTCAACACTTTTCTCCATAGTTGTCTACCCTGCTCCACCCAGAGAAGCTGATCTATGTGAACTACATCAACAGGCTCTCTTGCCTTCTGGCTTCTGGTGAATTCAGCCCCAACAACAAAAGATTTGAGGGATGGAGAAGAATAAGATTGTGATAAGTATTCCACCGGTTGATGCTCTGTGGTGTTGCCTTGAGATGGTTGCGTTTCTGAACCTAAGATCAGAGCGTCTTTCAAAGCAGCTCTCTCCACATTATTCCCTCTTTCCACCTTTGATAAACACTCACTCCCTTTGCCATTCAGGCCTAGGAATATTGATAGCACTGCTGTTAGTAGTAGTGTGGTACTTCACTATTGTTTGTGGTTTCTCTATGCTGTCTCCACACTTTTGTAACTAGCCTCTTATCCTTGAATTATTTTGATTTGTGAGGATCATCTGTTTCCTAATGGGCCCTTGACTAAATAAAGGCTGGGAGTTTTTGATCCAGCTGGCATCCCCTTTCTAAGCCTGAAGATTATAGATTTGGTATTAATAAAGTAGATAAAGAGTTTATCCTCCTTGTAGTTCCTTGTGAATGGAGCATCTGATAGTGAACTTTTATGCACACAATTTTATTAAAGATTTATTTGCTATAAAGTGAAAACATACCTGGTGAAGGCGGAAAATATCAGAGAATAGTAAATCAGTGAATCAAAAGATCTGTATTTGATCCAGATAATGTCTGAGATCTGTTCTGCTCTCCAATTTGATAACGTTCACTCTGAAGTATCAATGTTTATCATCATCTAGATTGAGAGGTGTTTGCACAATCTCACATCTGCCCAGGTTGTGAGATCATTGGCTATTCTCTGTTATGTTAGCAGCTTCCATCCTAGGCAGAGTCTCATAAACAGATAAATGATACTTGAGGACAGAATATTAGATTTCACAGATTCAAGCTCTCATTCTTTGCTTAAAGAAAGTTTTGATTTATAGGTAAACATACACAATCAGATGACACTGATTTTTTGCTCTCAAATATTTGGTGAAATGGGCAGTGGCATATCTGACAGAGAATTCCATAGAGACAAATTATTATGTAACAAGGGCAACGATAGATGTCTCTACAAATATGTTTGCCAAGTATCTGTTGGCAATTTTCCTACTGTATCTTGATGCTCATTTTGTTTTTAATTTTATTGTTTGCTAAAGGCTTGGAATGAAAATATTAAAAGGGAAATACCAAAGGAATTAATGCAAAAATAGGATGGAGCCCCAGATAGTGTATGAGAGTGGTGATGGAGGCCTTGGGAAAAGAAGGAAGGGTTAACTGAGCTAAGGAAGCCTGCATATGCACAAGAGCTAACAATAAGTAATTATCCAGAGTCTAAAATAATTCCTGTTTTTAACTCACTCTGAAGTGTACTGATAAGTTACCAGTATGCAGTGCCAACTATTCTTTGGACTTGAGAAACTTGAGGAGCTCATTCGGTGTGTACCTACATCCTTTGTCTCAGGGTACGCTTTCAGTGGTTGCTGCCCTGAATCCGGGCTTTAAATGTAGCTGATAAAGTGCCAGCACTTAATAAGCTTTAGCCTGAATAGGGAGAGTAAGGGGAATAGAAGAAAAAGCAGTAAGAGAGCCTTCAACGGAAACAAACTATGAAGGAAAATCTCTAAGAAGTTGCAGTGAGGCCCAGATACAGGCAACTGAATCCTTACAATGCATTCCAGCTAAGGTGAATAAGAAAAGCTACAGAGTAAATTTTTACAGCATACCAAGCCAGTATTTTTCCTCCTTGAGTGTTGTCATCACCGTTGTTATCATCATTGTCATCATGTATTTAGTGTGGAACCTGGTGATGTACAAGTACTCTAGCATTCTGAGGTCACTCTTATTTCACAACCAAATAAAATGATTCAAACCATTGCAGAAAACTGTACAGCCTGTGGTGATTCACTGACTTCTCAAATATTTCCAAAAATTCTCCAAAATTTAGAATTTCCTGGACACTTTATGCTCTCATTTCCAAGAGTCAGCAGAATTCTCATTTTGTGTCCTATGGCTCCTGTTGTCTCTCTATTCCACTTTATTGTATTCATTCACCCAAAGCACCAATAACCTAAGTGTTAGGCTACTTAGGTTAATTTTCACATAGAAAATTCCAAACATATAATTTTCTATGTGGGTGGCATGTTTTGCTGTGGTAAGAGCATGGAGTGTAATCTCTCTCCCCAGAAGAATGTTATAACACCTTATCAGACCACATATGCGAGTTATTGGCCTCAACTACTCCAAAACACATATAAACCCAAGACTTTGACAGACATTAAGAGCTTAGAGTGTGGCAGGGTACTTTCTGCCAGCCTTTGAGCTACTCTCTACAGCTTTGCCCACCAACACCAGCACTATTTGAAAGCACTGAAGGAGCTTACATATCATTGTGTTCATCAAACGTCTCTTTCAAGAACCTCTTGTAGAAAGGTTAAGTGTTAAAAGAAAAGCTTCAGCAGAATTAAATTTAAAGGCGTTTAATTGAGCAATGAATGATTCATGAATTGGGCAGCCTTCAGAATCACAGCAGAATCAGAGACACTCCAGGGATGCCTCATGGTCAGAACAAATTTATAGTCCAAAAAAAGGGAAGTGACATACAGAAATCAGAAGTGAGGCACAGAAACAGCTGGATTGGTTGCAGGTTGGCGTTTGCCTTATTTGAACACAGTTTGAACACTTAGCAGCCTATGAGTGGTTTAAGTATGACCCCTGGGGTTGGCCAAGACTCAGCTATTGTTACAGGCGCATACCCTTAAGTTAGATTTTCAATTTTGTCTGCCAATTAAGCTAGGTTACAAGTTCATCCACAAGGACTCAAATATAGAATTACAGAGTCCTTCTCAGGCCATATTTAGTTTGCTTTAACATAAGCCTCAAACCTCCATTAGACTTTACATTCACAGATGCCTGCTTCCATCCTAATTGAGCAGCTAGACTTTAATAATTGAACTCTAAACAAAATTGGAATTCACTCACTATGTGCTTAATGTACCTTGTCTATTAAGTGTGTTCTCTGTGAGGTTTATTCTCCTTATTCTCCCTCTCTTTGAGTGTGGTGGAAAAAGCAGAGCATTTTTATGTGGCAATAAACTGTATGATTGTGATGAATAAAATCATACTTTGATCATCTCCTTATTTTAACCATACAAAACACCAAGGCTGTTGTGTAAGAATGCTGTAGAGAAGTTTTAATATCAATAAAGAGGCAAACACAACACAACATGGTACAGAAAATAGCTCAAAATAAAATATATGAGCTGTTTCCACATGCAAGGAGATTGGGTGTTGCCTCTCCAACCTGACAACAAGTAAAAATCTGAGCAAAATGAAAAAAATTAACAATTCTTCTTAGATCTCTAAGAGAAGTGAAGTCATAGCACAAACTGCTGCTCCCCAAATTGGAGAGACAGACAAAGAGGCACAAGGCATTACAACTTTTCTCAAGCAGAAATTCATAGAAATCTCCACAGGAGATTTTCACAGTAAATATGAGACAAAAATTCCTTTGGGGTTCCAACAGTAAATTTCAGAGAAAAACCTCACATTTTTAGCAGGGGGAGGGTAAAACGGACATTTTTAAATATACCACAGCATTCTGTTCTTAACAAAAACTGTTCTCAGGAGAAACTGAAGAGCCTAACCTGCTGGGATGGTATCAAGCCTAACTAACCTTGGGGAATGGAAATACCCAACTCCAGCTCACTCTAGCTAGATAGAGTAAGCTCATAAGTTATCTTCATCCTGTCTCACCAAAGGAGAGAAAAAAATAAAACCTGAGAATCATGTGTAAAGTTCATAGTCCGGAGGCACAGGCTCACTACGAGACTGACACCTAATCATAAGACTAAGAATGTATTTCCTCCCCCAACACCTTAACCACTACATTACTAAAGGCCTATTTATGGCCATTTCTTTTACCCAGCACATCATGTCTACCTAGATAGCAAGAAAAATTACAAGACATACTAACTGGCAAAATACACAGTTTGAAGAGGCAGAGCAAACATCCCAACCAGACCCAGATATAGCAAGGATATTGAAATGATCAGACCCAGCATTTAAACAACTATTCATATGCTAAGAGCTGTAATGGAGAAAGTAGACAGCAGGCAAGAACAGATGGGCAATGTAAGCAGACAGATGGAAATCCTAAGAAAGTCCCCAAAAGGAATGCAAACCAAAAACACTAACAGAAATGAAGAATGCCTTTGATGGGCTTATTGGTAGGCTGGACATAGCTGAGGAAACAATCTCTGAGCTTCACAATGTCTCCAAGAAATCTCCAAAATTGAAAGGCCAATAGAAAAAAATTCATAAAAATGTAGCAGAATATCTCAGTACTGTGGAACAACTACAAAAGTAGTAATATATGAGGAGGGAGAATACCAGAAGAGAAAAAAGAATAGAAGAAATATTTGAAACAATATTAACTGAGAATTTTCCCAAATTGATGTCTGAAATCCCCACCAACCTAAAATTCTGTAATCTGCAAAGCTACCCTTCAAAAATGAAGAAGAAATAAAGATTTTTCTCAGGCAAACAAAAACTCCGAAAATTTGTTGCTAGTATGCCTGCCTTGCAAAAAATGTTAAGAGGAGTTCTTTAGAGAGAAGAAAAGTGACATAGCTCAGAAACTTGGATCTACATAAAGAAAGAAAACACATCTGGCCAGGTGCAGTGACTCACACCTGTAACCCCAGCACTTTGGAAGGCTGAGACAGGTGGATCACTTGAGGCCCGGAGTTCGAGACCAGCCTGGCCAACCTGGTGAAACCTGTCTCTACTAAGTATACCAAAAAAAAAAAAAAAAAATGAGTGGGGCATGGTGGTGTCCCCTTTTCTCTGCATCCTTACCAGCATCTGTTATTTTTTGACATTTTAATAATAGCCATTCTCGGGAGGCTGAGGCAGGAGCTTGAACCCAGGATGCAGAGGCTGCAGTGAGCCGAGATTGCACCACTGCACTCCAGCCTGGGCAACAAAGCAAGACTCTGTCTCAAAAATAAATAAATAAATAAAAATAAAAATCAATCAATCAATAAATAGAAGGAATAAGAGGATGAAATAACTTTTATTGTTACTATTCTTTTTTAAAATAAAACCCTTGATTTTATTTTATTCATTTATTTTTCTTTCCAACTTTTATTTTAGGTTCGAGGGCACACGTGCAGGTTTGCTACATGGGTAAATTGCATGTTGCAGGGGTTTGGTATACAGATAATTTTGTCACCCAGGTAATCAGCATAGTATTCAATAGGTAATATTTCAAACCTCACTCTCTACCCTCAAATAGGCCCTGGTGTCTACTGTTTGTTTCTTTGTGGTATCCATGTGTACTCACTATTTAGTTCCCACTTATAAGTGAGAATATGAAGTATTTGGTTTTGTGTTCCTGCATTAGTTCACTTAGGATAATGGCCTTCAGCTCCATCCATGTTGCTACAAAGAACATGATTTTCTTCTTTTTTTATGTCTGAGTAGTATTCCATGGTGTATATGTACCGCATTTTCTTTATCCAGTCCACTCTTGATGGGCATTTATGTGATTCCATGTCTTTGTTATTGTGAATAGTGCTGTGATGAACATGTGCATGCATGTATCTTTATGGTAGAGCAATTCATATTTCTTTGGGTATAAACCCAATAAAGGTATTGCTGGGTTGAATGGTAGTTCCATTTTAAGTTATTTGAGAAATCTCCAAATTGCTTCCCACAGTGGCTGAACTAATTTGCATTCCCACCAGGAATGTATAAGCGTTCCTTTTTCTCTGCATCTTTACCAGCATCTGTTATTTTTGACATTTTAATAATAGCCATTCTGACTTGTGTACAGCATCTCATTGTGGTTTTGATTTGCATTTCTCTAATAATTAGTGATAGTGAGCATTTGTATATGCTTGCTGGCCATGTGTATGTCTTCCTTTTCAGAAGTGTCTGTTCATGTCCTTTGTCTATTTTTTAACGGGTTTGTTTGTTTTTTGCTTGTTGATTTGCTTAAGATTTATTAAGATTCTGGTATTAGTCCTCCGTTGGATGTGACTTGCAGTTTGCAATATTTTCTCCCATTCTATAGGTTGTCTATTTACTCTGTTGATAGTTTCTTTTGCTGTGCAGAAGCTCTTTAATTAGGTCCCAGTGTCAGTTTTTGTTTTTGTTGCAATTGTTTTGGAGTCTATGTGATGAAATCTTTGCCAGGGCCTATGTCCATAATGGTATTTCCTAGGTTTTCTTCTAGGGTTTCTATAGTTTTAGCCTTTACATTTAAGCCTAATACATTTTGAGTTGATTTGTTTTTTTGGTTTTTTTTTTGAGACAGAGTCTTGCTCTGTTGCCCAGGCTGGAGTGCAGTGGTGCGATCTCGGCTCACTGCAAACTCCGCCTCCCAGATTCACACCATTCTCCTGCCTCAGCCTCCCGAGTAGCTGGGACTACAGGTTCCCGCCACCATGCCCAGCTAATTTTTTGTATTTTTAGTAGACATGGGGTTTCACTGTGTTAGCCAGGATGGTCTCGATCTCCTGACCCCATGATCCACCCACCTCAGCCTCCTAAAGCGCTGGGATTACAGGCGTGAGCCACTGTGACTGGTCACATTTTGAGTTGATTTTTTTAATATGGTAAAGGGAAAAGGTCCAGTTTCAATCTTCTCCATATAGCCAGCCAATAATCCCAGTATCACTTATTGAAAAGGGAATCATTTTCACATTACTTGTTATTGTCAGCTTTGTTGAAGATCAGATGGTTACATGTGTGGCTTAATTTCTGGGTTCTCTAAACTCTTCTATTGGTGTATGTGACTGTGTTTGTACCAATACCATGCTGCTTCAGTTACTGTAGCCTTGTAGTATAGTTTGGGGTCAGGTAATGTGATGCCTCCAGCTTTATTCTTTTTGCTTAGGATTGCTGTGCTTATTCTGGCTCTTTTTTGGTTTCAATTGAATTTTAGAATAGTATTTTTTAAATTTTGTGAAGAATGTTGATAGTTTAATAGGAATAACATTGAACCTATAAATTGCTTTGGGCATTATGGGCATTTTTACAATATTGATTATTCCTATCCATGAGCACAGAATAGTCTTCCATTTGTTCATATTATCTCTGATATCTTTCAGCAGTGTTGTGTCATTCTTATTGTAGAAATCTTTGACTTCCCTAGTTAGCTGTATTCCTAGGTATGTTATTCTTTTAGTGCCTATTGTGAATGGGATTGTGTTCTTAATTTGGCTCTCAGCTTGGGACATTATTAACATATAGAAATGTGACTGATTTTTGTACATTGATTTTGTATCCTAAAATTTTGCTGAAGTTGTTTATAGAACTAGGAGCCTTTGGGCAGAGACTATGGGATTTTCTAGGTATAGAATATATCATCTGTGAAGAGAGATAGTTTGACTTTCTCTCTTCCTATTTGTCTGCCTTTTATGTTTTTCTCTTGCCTGACTGCTCTGGATAGAAGTTCCAGTACTGTGTTGAATAGGAGTGGTGAGAGTGGGCATCCTTGTCTTGTTCCAGTTTTCAAGGGAAATGATTCTAGCTTTTGCCCATTCAGTATGATGTTGGCTGTGGGTTTGTCATAGACAGCTCTTACTATTTTGAGGTATGTTCCTTTGATGTCTAGTTTATTGAGGGTTTTTACATGAAAGGATGTTGAATTTTACCAAAAGCCTTTTCTGCATCTATTGAGATTATCTTGTGGTTTTTGTTTTTGGTTCTGCTTATGTGATGAATCACATTTATTGATTTGCATATGTTGAAGCATTCTTGCCTCCTAGGAATAAAGCTTACTTGATCATGGTGGATTAGCATTTTGATATGCTGCTGGATTTGGTTTGCTAGCATTTCGTTGAGGATTTGTGTGTCTATGTTTATCAGAGATATTGCCCTGAAATTTTCTTTTTCTGTTGTGTCTCTGCCAGGTTTTGATATCAGAATGATGCTGGCCTCATAGAATGAGTAAGGGAGGAGTCCCTTCTCCTCAATTTTTTGGAATAGTTTCAGTGGGAGTGGTACCAGCTCTTCTTTATATGTCTGGTAGAATTTGGCTGTGAAACTCTCTGGTCCAGGGCTTTTTCTGCTTGGTAGGATTTTTATTACTGATTTAATTTCTGAACTCATTATTGGTCTGCTCAGAGTTTCAATTTCTTCCTGGTTCAATCTTGAGAGGTTCTTTCCAGGAATCTATCCATTTGTTCTCTGTTTTCAAGTTTGTGTGCATACAGGTATTTGTAATAGTCCCTGAGGGTTTTTTGTATTTCTGTGGACTCAGTGGTTATGTCCCCTTTGTCATTTCTTGTTGTGTTTATTTGGATCTTCTCTCTTCTTTTCTTTACTAGTCTGGCTAGTGGTCTACAAGTCTTATTTACTTTTTCCAAAAAAACAATGTTTGATTTTGTTGATCTTTTGTATGGTTTTCTCTTACCTCTATTTCATTCAGTTCAGCTTTGATTTTAGTTATTTCTTTTCTTCTGCTAGCTTTGGGGTTGGGTTGCTCTTATTTTTCCAGTTCCTCTAGGGGTGACATTAAGTTGTTTATTAAAGTTTTTCTAAATTTGATGTGGCCATTTAGTGCTGTAGACTTTCCTCTTAACAATGATTTTGCTGTTTCCCAGAGATTCTGGTGTGTGGTATCTTTGTTTTCATTTATTTCAAAGAATTTATTGATTTCTGCTATAATTTCATTGTTTACCCCAAATTACTCAAGAACCAATTGTTTAATTTCCATGTAATTGTATGGTTTTAAGAGATGTTCTTGATGTGGATTTTAGTTTTTACTGTGTCGTGTTCTTTTTTTTTTTTTTCTTTTAAGACGGAGTCTTGCTCTGTCACCCAGGCTAGAGTGCAGTGGCATGATCTCAGCTCACTGCAACCTCTGCCTCCCGGGTTCACGCCATTCTCCTGCCTCAGCCTCCCCAGCAGCTGGGACTATAGGCACCCGCCACCACGACTGGCTAACTTTTTTGTATTTTTAGTAGAGACGGGATTTCACCGCATTAGCCAGGATGGATTGTGTTGTGTTCTGAGTGTGTGGTTGGTATGAGTTGTTTTTTAATTTGTTGATAATTGCTTTGTGGCCAAGTGTGTGATCAGTTTTGGAGTATGTGCCATGTGCATAGGAGAGGAATGTATATTTTATTCTTGGGTGAAGTGTTCTATAAGAGGATTTTAGGTCCATTTAGCCAAGTGTCAAGTTTAGGTCTCAAGTATCTTTTTTAATATTCTGCCTTGATTATCTGTTGAATACTGTCGTGGAGTGTTGAAGTTTCCCACTATTATTGTATGGTAATCTAAGTGTCTTTGTAAGTCCTTTAAGATCTTGTTTCATGAATCTGGGTGCCACAATGTTGGGTGCATATGTATTTTGGATAGTTAAGTCTTCTTGCTCAATGAAACCCTTTATTATTATGCAATGCCCTCCTTTGGTCTTTTTGATCATTGCTGGTTTAAAGTCTGTTTTCTTGGAGATAAAAATAGGAACCCCTGCTCTTTTTTGTTTTCCATTTGTTTGATACATCTTTCTCCATCTATTTACTTTGAGCTTATGTGTGTACTTGCATGCGAGATGGGTTTCTTGAAGTCAGCATATAGTTGAGTCCTGTTTCTTTTTTTTTCCTCTCCCAGTAATTTAATTTCCATTAATGGTATATTAAACATTATATTTTCAATCATTTTCAGGTTTAGTCAGCTACTTAAAAATAGGCTTTTTTCCACATAAATAAATTGTATACCATTTAACATGTTTTATTTCAACAGACTAATAGATCTTTTAATACTTCTTAGTCCTCAAAATAAATTATTAAAAACTTTGTATTTCATGTCATATTATATAAGGAAATAGAATTTTGAAGAATAATTCATGCTGTTTTAAATTTTTACATTGTACATTTTAATAGCTAATCAACTCTTTTTTTAATATTCTTTTTTTTTTTACTTTTTTTTATTATTATACTTTAAGTTTTAGGGTACATGTGCACAATGTGCAGGTTAGTTACGTATGTACACATGTGACATGCTGGTGCGCTGCACCCACTAACTCGTCATCTAGCATTAGGTATATCTCCCAATGCTATCCCTCCCCCCTCTCCCCACCCCACAACAGTCCCCAGAGTGTGATGTTCCCCTTCCTGTGTCCATGTGTTCTCATTGTTCAATTCCCACCTATGAGTGAGAATATGCGGTGTTCAGTTTTTTGTTCTTGCGATAGTTTACTGAGAATGATTTCCAATTTCATCCATGTCCCTACAAAGGACATGAACTCATCATTTTTTATGGCTGCATAGTATTCCATGGTGTATATGTGCCACATTTTCTTAATCCAGTCTATCATTGTTGGACATTTGGCTTGGTTCCAAGTCTTTGCTATTGTGAATAGTGCCGCAATAAACATACGTGTGCATGTGTCTTTATAGCAGCATGATTTATAGTCCTTTGGGTATATACCCAGTAATGGGATGGCTGGGTCAAATGGTATTTCCAGTTCTAGATCCCTGAGGAATTGCCACACTGACTTCCACAGTGGTTGAACTAGTTTACAGTCCCACCAACAGTGTAAAAGTGTTCCTATTTCTCCACATCCTCTCCAGCACCTGTTGTTTCCTGACTTTTTAATGATTGCCATTCTAACTGGTGTGAGATGATCTCTCATTGTGGTTTTGATTTGCATTTCTCTGATGGCCAGTGACGGTGAGCATTTTTTCATGTGTTTTTTGGCTGCATAAATATCTTCTTTTAAGAAGTGTCTGTTCATGTCCTTCGCCCACTTTTTGATGGGGTTGTTTGTTTTTTTCTTATAAATTTGTTTGAGTTCATTGTAGATTCTGGATATTAGCCCTTTGTCAGATAAGTAGGTTGCGAAAATTTTCTCCCATTTTGTAGGTTGCCTGTTCACTCTGATTGTAGTTTCTTTTGCTGTGCAGAAGCTCTTTAGTTTAATTAGATCCCATTTGTCAATTTTGGCTTTTGTTGCCATTGCTTTTGGTGTTTTAGACATGAAGTCCTTGCCCATGCCTATGTCCTGAATAGTAATGCCTAGGTTTTTTCTAGGGTTTTTATGATTTTAGGTCTAACATTTAAGTCTTTAATCCATCTTGAATTGATTTTTGTATAAGGTGTAAGGAAGGGATCCAGTTTCAGCTTTCTACATATGGCTAGCCAGTTTTCCCAGCACCATTTATTAAATAGGGAATCCTTTCCCCATTGCTTGTTTTTCTCAGGTTTGTCAAAGATCAGATAGTTGTAGATATGCGGCGTTATTTCTGAGGGCTCTGTTCTGTTCCATTGATCTATATCTCTGTTTTGGTACCAGTACCATGCTGTTTTGGTTACTGTAGCCTTGTAGTATAGTTTGAAGTCAGGTAGCGTGATGCCTCCAGCTTTGATCTTTTGGCTTAGGATTGACTTGGCAATGCAGGCTCTTTTTTGGTTCCATATGAACTTTAAAGTAGTTTTTTCCAATTCTGTGAAGAAAGTCATTGGTAGTTTGATGGGGATGGCATTGAATCTATAAATTACCTTGGGCAGTATGGCCATTTTCACGATATTGATTCTTCCTACCCATGAGCATGGAATGTTCTTCCATTTGTTTGTATCCTCTTTTATTTCCTTGAGCAGTGGTTTGTAGTTCTCCTTGAAGAGGTCCTTCATGTCCCTTGTAAGTTGGATTCCTAGGTATTTTATTCTCTTTGAAGCAATTGTGAATGGGTGTTCACTCATGATTTGGCTCTCTGTTTGTCGTTATTGGTGTGTAAGAATGCTTGTGATTTTTGTACATTGATTTTGTATCCTGAGACTTTGCTGAAGTTGCTTATCAGCTTAAGGAGATTTTGGGCTGAGACAATGGGGTTTTCTAGATATACAATCATGTCGTCTGCAAACAGGGACAATTTGACTTCCTCTTTTCCTAATTGAATACCCTTTATTTCCTTCTCCTGCCTGATTGCCCTGGCCAGAACTTCCAACACTATGTTGAATAGTAGTGGTGAGAGAGGGCATCCCTGTCTTGTGCCAGTTTTCAAAGGGAATGCTTCCAGTTTTTGCCCATTCAGTATGATATTGGAAAGTCAACAAGGATACCCAGGAATTGAACTCAGCTCTGCACCAAGCGGACCTAATAGACATCTACAGAACTCTCCACCCCAAATCAACAGAATATACATTTTTTTCAGCACCACACCACACCTATTCCAAAATTGACCACATAGTTGGAAGTAAAGCTCTCCTCAGCAAATGTAAAAGAACAGAAATTATAACAAACTATCTCTCAGACCACAGTGCAATCAAACTAGAACTCAGGATTAAGAAACTCACTCAAAACCGCTCAACTACATGGAAACTGAACAACCTGCTCCTGAATGACTACTGGGTACATAATGAAATGAAGGCAGAAATAAAGATGTTCTTTGAAACCAATGAGAACAAAGACACAACATACCAGAATCTCTGGGACACATTCAAAGCAGTGTGTAGAGGGAAATTTATAGCACTAAATGCCCACAAGAGAAAGCAGGAAAGATCCAAAATTGACACCCTAACATCACAATTAAAAGAACTAGAAAAGCAAGAGCAAACACATTCAAAAGCTTGCAGAAGGCAAGAAATAACTAAAATCAGAGCAGAACTGAAGGAAATAGATGCAAAAAACCCTTCAAAAAATTAATGAATCCAGGAGCTGTTTTTTTGAAAGGATCAACAAAATTGATAGACCGCTAGCAAGACTAATAAAGAAAAAAAGAGAGAAGAATCAAATAGACGCAGTAAAAAATGATAAAGGGGATATCACCACCAATCCCACAGAAATACAAACTACCATCAGAGAATACTACAAACACCTCCATGCAAATAAACTGGAAAATCTAGAAGAAATGGATAAATTCCTAGACAAATACACTCTCCCAAGACTAAACCAGGAAGAAGTTGAATCTCTGAATAGGCCAATAACAGGAGCTGAAATTGTGGCAATAATCAATAGCTTACCAACGAAAAAGAGTCCAGGACCAGATGGATTCACAGCCGAATTCTACCAGAGGTACAAGGAGGAACTGGTACCTTCCTTCTGAAACTATTCCAATCAATAGAAAAAGAGGGAATCCTCCCTAACTCATTTTATGAGGCCAGCATCATCCTGATACCAAAGCCGGGCAGAGACAGAACTGAAAAAGAGAATTTTAAACCAATATCCTTGATGAACATTGATGCAAAAATCCTCAATAAAATACTGGCAAACCGAATCCAGCAGCACATCAAAAAGCTTATCCACCATGATCAAGTGGGCTTCATCCCTGGGATGCAAGGCTGGTTCAATATACGCAAATCAATAAATGTAATCCAGCATATAAACAGAACCAAAGACAAAAACCACATGATTATCTCAATAGATGCAGAAAAGGCCTTTGACAATATTCAACAACCCCTCATGCTAAAAACTCTCAATAAATTAGGTATTGATGGGACGTATCTCAAAATAATAAGAGCTATCTATGAGTCCTGTTTCTTTATCCAATTTGCCAGTCTGCCTTTGAAGTGAGGTGTTTAGCCTGTTTACATTCAAGGTTAATATTGATGTGTGCTGATTTGATCCTGTCATCATGTTCTTGGTTGTTAGGTAGACTTGATTGTGTAGTTGCTTTACAGTGTAAATAGTCTATGTACTTAAGTATGTTTTTGTGGTGGCCATTAGTGGTCTTTCACTTCCATATTTAGCACTCCCTTAAGCAACTCTTGTAAGGCGGGTCTAGTGGTAACTAATTCCCTTAGCATTTGCTTATCTGAAAAAGATTTTATTTCTCGTTCACTTATGAAGCTTAGTTTGGCTGGATATGAAATTCTTGCTTGGAATTTCTTTTCTTTAAGAATGCTGAATATAGGCCCCCAATCTCTTCTGACTTGTAGGGTTTCTGCTGAAAGGTCTATTGTTAATGTTGTGGGGTTCCCTTTATAGTTAACCTGCCCCTTCTTTCTAGCTGCCTTAACATAATTTCTTTTGCATTGACCTTGAAGAATCTGATGACTATGTGTCTTGGGGATGTTTGTCTTGTAAAGTAGCTCACAGAGGTTCTCTGAATTTCCTGAATTTGAATGTTGACTTATCTAGTGAGGTTGGAGACATTTTTGTGGATAATATCCTCAAATTTGTTTTCTATGTTGCTTGGTCTCTCTCTCTCTCTCTTTCAGGGGTGCCAATGTGTTGTAGGTTTGGTCTCTATACACAGTCCCACATTCCTCAAAGGTTTTGTTCATTTTAAAAATTCTTTGTTGTTTTATTTTTGTCTGACTAAAATAGTTTGAAATTAAAATAATTTGAAGAACTGTGCTTTGAGCTCTGAGATTCATTTCTCAGCTTGGTCTATTCCACTGTTAATACTTCTGATTGTGTCATGAAATTCTTTTAGTGAGTTTCTCAGCCCTATCAGATCAGTTTTGTTCTTTCTTAAAATACCTATTTTGCCTTTCACCTCTTGAATCACTTTACTGGATTTCTTAGATTCCTTGGATTGAGTTTCAATTTTCTCCTGAATCTCAATGATCTTCAATGCTATCCAGATTCTTAATTCTATGTCTGTCATTTTAGCCATTTCATTCTGGTTGAGAACCATCACTGGTGAAGCGGCATCATTGTCTGGGGTAAATAACCAAGGTTCATCATCTCATGCCAAGGAAATCAAGTATGCATATGCAAGAGGTAGGTTTAGGGGCGGAGGTTTAACAGGCAAAAGAAAGAAAAAGGAGAACACTTCTCTCTCCTGCTTTAGAGAGGGGTGCCCAAATGGGACTTCTGGCCCACAGTGGAGTGCTCAGGATTTTATAAAAAAGCTTGAGGAGGCGGTGTCTGATTTACATAGGACCCAAAGATTGATTAGACTAGGGTGACATTTACATAGCATGTGAGGAAGCTGGCTTCCCCACCCTAATCTTATTATGCAAATGGGATATTTGCCCTGTCAGCGCCATGTTGTCTTCGCCTTACTGTACATATGGTTTGGCAAAGAAAAGGAAAGAAGGAGCTGACATTTTGAACATGCCTAGTCCCCAGGTAGCTCCTTTCCTACTGGCATAGCTGCCATCACTTCCCCGTGCAAACTTCTAGCTTGCCTTTCTATGTCTGCAGCTCGATTTTACAGGTTGCTCTTTGTTAGAAAAGAAAATGATTTGGGGGCTGCTTTTCATTAAAAGGAAAACCTTACTAAAGACTTTCTTACCTCACTGTCTGCCTAAGTAATTTCTTTTTAACTCCTACATCATTGAGGAGCTAGTGTGGTCATTTGGGAATAAGAAAACACTCTGGCTTTTAGAGTTCCCTGCGTTTTTGCTCATCTGTGTGGGCTGATGTGCCTTTAACTGTGGTGTAATTTGAGTACAGTCAGTTGAATTTGTTTCTGGATGTTTTCAGAGGGCTGATGCTTTGTGCAGGGTCTTTATTTGTGGCTGAATTCTTGTCCTTAATTTTATGGGGAGGTATGTTAGCAATGTATTTTTGGTGTTAAAGTTTGGGCTTCCATCCAGTAGATGGCACTTAACCGTAATGGCTGGTAGATAGGCTCTTACCCAGCCACATGGTTCCTCTGTATTTCCTCAATTGCAGCTATGCTCTCTCTCAGTGCTCTGAGAGTGTGGGCCCCTCTCCCACTCAAGTGTTGGCCATATATCTCAGCTTGGCACTCCCAGGCTGTGCACTGTAGCCCCTTTGTGAACTCAAGCTTTTTGTTCTCTCCCTAGCTTGGGGGTGGCAGGGGTGGGGACCTTGACAGTGGCAATGGCAGAGGGCCTTTCACTTGTCTTTGAAGGATTCACCCCAGAGAAGCACAGAGCTGCTACCAATCAAAATGATCAGCTGGGGGTGGGGCAGCTGCATTGTGGGCCTCAAGCCAGGCGGCCCTTCCCGGTGAAGAGCTGGAGGATTGGAGGCTTGCTGTAAAATCAGTCTGGCCTCTTCTCCATAGAGCAGCTGTGGCATGGAGGTGTGAATAAAGCACTCGGGCTCTTTGTTCCTTGCCCAGTCTGGTGGCAGCAAGGGTGGGCATCCACTGCAGTGGCAGTTATAGGGGGCTGTCAGTTGCCTCGGGGAACTCCACCCCAGAAAGACATGGAGCTGCTGCCAATGAGAACATTCAGGTGGAAGTAGGATGGCTGTGCTGCAGGTCCAAGCCAGGGGATGAAGAGCAGAGAGGTCAGGGGCTCACCAGGAAGACAGACTGGACTCCTTTGAATATGGTGGCTTCAGTGTGCTGGAGGTACAAGCAAAACAATCAGTGTCTTCATTCACTCCACAGCACAGTTTGTTTAAAATAATAATAGCAACTATGCATTCAATTATGTATACTTATGTGTATATCTTATGCATATATGTCTATCTGTGCTTATATATGCTTACATACAAGTAAAATGAATGACAGCAGTGATACAAGGGATAGAAGGGAGGAGTTTGAATTATTTTGTTATTATAAGGTACCTGCACTAGCTGTGAAATAGTACAGTGTTTTTGGAAGTTGCCTTGAAATAGTTATACATGTATATTGCAAACTCTAAGGCAACCACTAAAATAAGTGAAAAAAGGCATAACTGATATGCTAAGAGAGGAGAGAATATGGAAACATATAAAGTGTTCAATTAAAACCACAAAAGGCAGAGAAAGAGTGAAAGACAAAATAAGAACAAAGAACCAAAAACAACAAATAGAAAACACTAAATATGGTAAATATTAATTCAACTATATCAATAATCACTTTCAATGTCAATGGTATAAAATAACCAGTTGAAAGACAGAGATTGGCAGAGTGGATGAAAAAAAAATGACACAACTACATGTTGTCTACAAGAAACCCACTTTAAATATAATGACACATAGATTAAAAGTAGATGGATGGGCCAGGTGTGGTGGCTCACACCAGTAATCCCAGCACTTTTGGAGGCCAAGACAGGGGGACTGCTTGAGTTCAGGAGTTCGAGACCAGCCTGGGCAACATAGTGAGACCTTGTCTCCATTAAAAAAAAAAAAAAACAAAAAAAACCTGCATGTGGTGGGATGTGCCTGTAGTCCCAGCTACTTAAAAGGCTGAGGCAGGAGAATCACTTGAGCCCAGGAGGTTGAGGCTGCAGTGAGCCATGATCACTCCAGCTTGGGTAACAGAGCAAAAACTTGCCAAAAAAAAAAAAAAAAAGAGAGAGAGAGAGAAAGAAAGGGAAGGGATGGAAAGGAAAGGGAAGCGAAGGGAAGGGAAGGGAAAAGGAGAAATATGCCATACTAACACTAATGAAAACAAAGCAGGAATCACTGTATTAATTTCAGGCACAATGGACTTCAAAACAAGGAAAGTTAGGAAGGGTAAAGAAGGACATTACTTAATAATAAAGAAATCAATTACCCAAAAAGACAGAACAATCCTTAACATGTATGTGCCTAACAGAGTAAAAATACATGAGGCAAAAACTAATTATGCTGGAAGGAGAAATAGGTTAATCTACCATTATGGAGGAAGATTTCAGTACCTCCTATCAGAAATGAACAGATCCAGCAGGCACAAAATCAGCAAGGACATAGTTTTACTCAACAGCAACATCAATCATCTGGACATCTGTAACTCTCTACAACAACAGCCGAATATACTTTCTTCTCAAGCTCATGTGAAATATTAACCAAAATAGACCACATTCTTGGCCATAAAGCACATTTTAAGAGATCAAAGATAATAGAAATGTCATGTAATATCTGGTGTATATCACAGTGAAATTAAACTAGAAATCAATAACAGAAAGATAATTGGAAAATCCTAAACTACATGGAAATCAAACAAAATTAAATAACACATGAGTCAAAAGAGAAATTTCAAAAGAAATTTAAAAATTTTTGAACTAAATTGAAATGAAAACACAACTTATAAATGTTTGAGGGGTGCAGGAGAAGCAGTTCTTAAAGGGAAATTTATAGCATTGAATGCATATATTAGAAAAGAAGGGAGATCTAATATCAATCATCTAAGCTTCTATCTTAGGAAACTAGAAAAGGAAGAGCAAATTAAATTCAAGGTAATCAGAAAAAAAGAAATAATGAAAATTACAACATAAATCAACACAGTTGAAGATAGGAAATTAACAGGAAAAAATCAATGAAACCCAATGCTCGTTCTCTGAAAAGACCTAGAAAATAGGTAAGATTCTAGCTAGGTCAATCAAAAAAAAAAATTCTTCATATCAGAAGTGAAAGAGGAGACATCACTGGAGATCCCATAGACAATAAAAGGATAATCAAGAAATATTATAATCAACTGCATGAACACAAATTTGATAAGGTAGACGAAAGGGACCAAGTCCTTGAAAGACACAATCTGACAAAGCAAGAAGAAAGAGGCAATCTAAATAGGACTATATCTATTAAAGAAATTGAATCAATAATTAATAATATTTCAAAACAGAGAGCACCAGGCCCAGATGGGTTCACTGTTAAATTTTACCATACATTTAAGGAAGAAATTATACCAATCCTCTACAATCTCTTCCAGAATATAGAAACAGAGGGAATACTTCCTAACTCATTGTATGAGGTCAACATCACCATAATAGTCAAACCAGACAAAGGCACTGCAAGAAAACAGAACTACAGACCAATATCTCTTATGATCATAGACGCAAAAGTCCTCAGCAGAATATTAACAAATCAAATCCAGCAATGAATAACAAGAATTATATATCACACCCATAGTGAGATTTATCCCTGGTGGGCAACTGGTTCGACATTCAAAAATTAATTAATGTAATTCATCACATCAGCAATCTAAAGAAGAAAAATCACATGATGATATCAATGGATACATAAAAATCATTATAAATTTCAAGATGCTTTCACAATAAAGCTGTCAGTAAACTAGGAATAGAGGACACTAGATAAGGAATATTGAAGGGTGACATAACACGCCACCTCAAAATATGCCACTTTGACATAGTATTACTTCAGACTAAAGGCACTTAAAAAACATCATTTGCAAGAAGGCATTCTAATCTTCCCCTTTTCTTCCTGAAAACAGAAGAGAAAAACTCATAGGGAAGATGCCCCCTCTATAGCAGGAGAAAAGAAACATCCTTCAATAGAGAATCATATCCAGAGAATTCTGGGCAAACAAATCCTGTTAAAATAATTCTACCTTTTCTACCTTCCATTAGCCTCCCCATATAATTTAGTTACTTTTCCATGACTACCTCTCTTTGTTCAACCTAATATAAAAGCATACAAACTCGCCACTTCTTTGGATCATCATTTCCTTATGAGGACTCCATATCATGTAAAATTTAAATTCAATTTGTATGCTTCTCTCCCATTACTCTCTTAAGTCAATTTAATTCTCAGGCTTAACTGGGACTTTACAAGGGTAGAGGTAAAATTTTGCCTCCCCTACAATATTTATCAAAAAACTGACAGCTAACATTACACGTAACGATAAGAAATGAGAAACTTTCCCACTAAGATTGTGAACACGGCAAGGATGGTCTTCTTACCACTTCTTTTCAGTATCATACTGGAAGTCCTAGCTAACCAAATAAACGAAGTTTTTTTTTAAAGCATACTGACGGGCAAGGAGAAATAAAAACCATCTTTGTTCACAAATGACAGTCATCTATGTAGAAAGTCAGAAAGAACAAACCAGATAATAAAACCTCCTAAAACTAATAAGCACAGCAAGGCTGCAGGATGCATGGGTATTATACAAAAGTCAATCTGTTTTCTATATACCAGTAATGAAAGGTGGAATTTTAAATTAAAAACGCAATAACATTTACATTTGTGCCCCCCAAAATGATACACTTTTGTGTAAATCTAACAAAATATGTGCAAGATCTACATGAGGAAAGCTGATGAAAGAAATCAAAGAGGAGCCCAGTAAATGAAGAGATATTCTGTGTTTACGGAGAGGCAGACTCAATATTGTCAGGACATCAGTTCTTCCTAACTTGATTTATAGGATCAACACAATCCCAATTAAAATTCCAGCAAGTTATTTTGTGGATATCAACAAAGTTATTCTAAGATTTATGTGGAAAGGCAAAAGACCCAGAATAGCCAGCACAATGAAGGAGAAGCACAAAATTGGAGGATGAAGAGTGCCTGACTTTAAGACATATTACAAAGCTATAGTAATTAAGTTTGTGTGGTACTGGCAAAAGTATAGGCAAACAGATCAATGAAAAAGAGAGGCCAGAAATAGACCCACATAAATAGAGTCAATTGATCTTTGACAAAGAAGAAAATGCAATGCAATGAAGAAATGCTAGCCTTTTCAACAAATGTTGCTGAAACAATTGGACATCCACATGCAAAAAATATGAATCTAGATTCAGATTTCACACCCTTCGCAAAAGCTAATTCAAAATGGATCACATACGTAAATGTAAAACACAAAAGTTTAAAACTACCAGAAGATAACATAGGAAAAAATCTACATTACCCTGGGTTTGGTGACTACTTTTTAAAGACAGCACCAAAGTCAGAATCCATAAAAGAAAGAAAGCTAGAATAGATAAATAGAAAGAAAAGTAGATGATTGATAGCTAGCTAGATATAATGGGTTAAACAAATTATATTATTATTATTGTGGATTTTGCCTCTTCCTTTTAAAATTTTTAATATGGTAAGTAGAAAATTTTAAATAATACATGTGGCAATTATCTATTTTTATGTAACAAATAATCCTAGAATCTAGTGGTTTAAAGCAACGATTTCTCTCATAATTGTGTGGATCAGGAATTTAGGCAGTATTGAGTGGGCAATTCTTCTGCGCCATGTTGTGTGGGCTGAGGTCAGATAGTGGTATTCCCATGGCAGATAGGTTGTTCTGGAGGGCCCAAGACAGCTTCTTCGTTTACGTGCCTGGTGCCTTCACTGGAAGTCTGGCTATATCTGGGCACATCTCCATGTATCTCCATGTAATCTCAGGCATCTCTAGATGTTCTGCAGCATGCAAGTCAGACTTCTTTCATGGAGTTCAGGCTCCAAGAACCCATGCTTCAAGAGACAGGAAGCGGAGGTTGCTAGTTTCTTAAAACCTGCAGCTGAGAATTGGCACAGCACCACTTTCCTTGTGTTCTATTGGTTGAAGCAATAACAAATTCCACCCATAGTAAATTATAGGAGATATAAATTCCACCTCTCAATTGGAGCAGTTTCAAAGAATTTGTGCCCATTTTCAATTTATCAACTTAATCCAGTGCAGTGGTTCTCAGATTTTAGCCTGCATCAAAATCACCTGGAGGGCTTGTTGAACCTCTAACCCACACCCAGAATTTCTGAATCAGTGGGTCTCAGGTGGAGCTCCACTGATTTTTCCTTCTTAGAATTTTCACTTCTAACAAGGTCATAGGTGCTACTGCTGCTGGTAGTGATGGTCCAGGGCCACATATGGAGAACCAATGGTCCAGATTTCAACATGACTAACAGAGCAATTCTTACCCACTCTTCAACTGACCCCCTTGCAATCTTTACTCTAAATGAGCCCAGTGTATCTCCATGTACATTATATGCTCATACCCCTACTTTTCAGGCATAGAAGTAAAACTTCTAATACAGTACCAGGCACAGTTCTTATTGACTCAAACAACAGGCAAGGATATATTTTTATCATCAGCAACTGGAATAAGCAGAGACTAAGAAGCAGGTTGTAAATGTCAGACACTAGTGTCTTATGTGGCAGCATTCTATAGGTGTAAATAACTTACTATATTCGTTATCTATTGCTGCATAATACGTTACTCCAAGACATGAGGACTTAAAACAACAAGTTTCAAGTCAGGAATCTAGCAGCAGCTTAGCGGAGTGGTTCTGGCTTAGGGTCTATCATGAAGCACCAATCAATTCCCAGCCAGGCTGCCAACATCTCAAGGTTCAAATGGGAGAGGTGGGAGAGGATCTGCTTCTGAGCTTGCTCCACAGCTATTGGTAGGTCTCAGAAGATCCACTTCTAAGCTCACTCGCATGGCTAGTAGAAGGCCTCAATTATTTGCCACATGGGCTTCTCCATAGGGCTGCCTTATGACCTGGTTTCCTCCAGAGTGAAGCAATCCAAGAAAGACAGAAAGAGTGCTCGAGATGGAAGCCACAGCTTTTTTGTAACCTAACCTTGGAAATGACATTCCATCACTCTGCCTTGTTCTATTAATAAGAAGTCAGTAAAAGGGGAGGAGATTCCACATGGTCATTATACAGGAAATATTAGGAGGCAGGAATCGTTGGAGCTCCTCTTAGAGGCTGCCTACCATATTAAAAACGAACTTGTGAAACCTAATGAATTAGTAAGTTGAGTACTGACAATAATGAATACTGTCTATCTTGAGAAGACTGACTTAAAACACACCATGTGCCCTAAGAAAATTGATTAAATATAATTTGAGTGCACTGCCATTTATCCTGTTATGTGGTAGCAAAATTATAAAGTGGGTCTACTATAGCATTTTCAAATATAATTAATAATTATAGTAACAATAATAATGGCAAGTTATTATGCCTAGTCATTCCTGAAAGAGTTTTCTCTCTGTTGACTTCCTATCCGAGCTAATGTTTTCCTCCAAATACCAAAGACAGTAACTGAAGCTTTACTGACAATCAGTAGTTTTCAAGAAGCAGCTATGTCAACTTAAGTATTCTCTAGAGCCCAGTTTATACTGTTCCTATTTCCAGGTTCTCTGGATCTTAAAAAATTGATAGGTGGAGATGGAGGGAAAGAATGTTCTAGGGTCAGAACTCAAAGAGAGAGCAAATGTCACAACTTTTGCTCACAATGTAATTTGAGTACACTGACATTTATCTTGTTCTGTGAAATCTGTGAGCAAATTTCCCTGGAGAGTACAGGGAAACCAATTGTTGTGCTTAGCTCAAGTTAAGTACTGCATGAAGGTAGTTAAGTCTGGAAAAAATGATGCAGTCAGCTTATATAGAGCTAAGAGATTGAACATATTGTATGGTAAATATAGAACTGGTAATGGTTCTCTAAAGAGAGGGGAGCAATCAATCCTCATTACCTTTTTGGGAAAAAAAACAATTCTGATGATGATTAAGATGAAAAATTTTGAAATCACAGTAACACTCATTCAGTTAAAGCATTTTATCACAAAGGTGGGAAAATACTGTGAAGGAAGAGACATAGGAATGCTTAATGTATAACCCCACTTAAGAAACACAGCATATCCAGGCAACAGACAGTCGTTAAAGCAACATAAATTTCATTATAAAGAACTAAGTTAGAAGCTTTTCTCTCTGAATTATTTTGAATAAAGTGTACCCAGAATGCATGGTGGGGTACAAAACAGACAACTATTACTAGAAGGAAGAAGAAACTCTTGATTTGGGGTCTATACTCTTGATGGGTCCACATGTCAGGTCAAAGAGCTTTTATCAGTTGAATGATGACAGCTGTCTGTATCAGGAAGAGGATCACAACCATTGTCATCCGTAGTGACAATCACAGAGTAGTTCATGATAATGAATTCTCTGTGGTTAAGATCTTTGCAGAATTCAAAGCATCGTTGTTCTGAGTAACTTGGATCTATGCCATACTGTAAAAAAAAAAAAAAAATTGACAAAAATGAGGCAACCCACCATCCAAATAATAATGCTTAAAACTACTACATGGTAGTTTTGTAACTGTTGCATTTGGAGTTTCTTAACATAAATGAGTAATCAGAGTATGACAATGGCCACACAGAAAACAAAAGTAAAGTACATATGCCCATATATGATGCTAACCACTCGGCAGGTAAAGAAATCCAAGCTCCCAGATGACTAAGACATAATAGCTGAGGTGGAACGGAAGGCTGACCAGGAGGATGGAGTGCAGCACTATGATATTGAAGATGATTGTACCGATCATTGATTGGCTATTTGTTTTGAAGATCATACGTAACATCATAACCATTCCTGCAGTGCCACTAAGTACAACCACACTGTAGAGTGTCATGAGGATTATCCTACAATGCATGTCACAGTGATCTAAGTCTATGTTTGAGGAGTCTGACAGGGTGGATGTATTGATCATCTACATGTTTTGCCATGCAGAGCTTGGACAAACCCCTAAGTGAAAAGTTTTACAAAATTATGATAAACATATTGAAGCTAAACAACTGTGTATTAATATTATTGAATTTGGCAACCCCAGATAATTATTTAAAAACCAAACCTATATACCAAAAAAAAATTGTCAGAGATTCCACCCAATTACCAAACATATTTAAGAGACAGAAGTTGGTGAAATAAATTAACAACAAAAGTTTGTTTGAATATAAAATTCAGAGCTGTGCACCTAGGTATTCTACAGACAAGTTTAAGCACACATATCAGGGTCAGGGCTAGTATGAGACATATTAGCTTCAGGGGTAAAATTTAGGGAAGGGCCAAAAAACACAGGAAACAAAATAAATAATATTTTGAAGCAACATTTTTAAAATAAAAATTAATGCAAAATATCATGAAAAAAATAACAAAATTTTAAGTAAATGCAGGATCAGTATACATCCAGTCCACACTTAGGTCAGATATATAAAGGTCGTTCTCCTATTGTCATGCGATCCAACTGGGGAAAACGTAGAGAAAAAGACACTAATCATGTGTATTTATTGTAAGACAGTATATCAGACAACATTTTAGAATATTTTCTGTGGGATCTATTGAGCAGAAAGTAGCATATAATATATATATTTCCTACAGTCCTTTCTTTTTAGACCTGAATCTCTTCTTGCACTGATGTGTTACATTTTGGTGAAATGTTGGGGATTGAAGATAGTTCTTTTTAGTTTTTATTTAAGTGAGAGTTTAAGGGGCAGTGATCACGCAGCAGAAGGACAGAGCATTGTCGATCTGCCACCCTGCAAATAAGTGCCAACTCTGTCATTTAGTTACTGTGGGCCTGCCGTGAGTTACTTGGCTTCTCAGAGCTTCAGCTGTGAAGCGAGAAAGGTTGTACTGCCTGACTTAAAGGGCTATTCAAAAATTAAGTAAATTGGCAGGGTGTGGTGGCTCACACCTGTAATCCCAGCACTTTGGGAGGCCGAGGCTGGTGGATCACGAGGTCAGGAGTTCGAGACCAGCCTTGCCAATATGGTGAAACCCTGTCTCTACTAAAAAAAAAAAAAAAAAAAAAAAAAAAAAAAAAATTAGCTGGGCGTGGTGGCGCGCTCCTGTAGCCCCAGCTACTCGGGAGGCTGAGGCAGAAGGATTGCTCGAACCCCGGAGGCAGAGGTTACAGTGAGCCGAGATCACGCCACTGCACTCCAGCTTGGGTGTCAGAGTGAGACTCCATCTCAAAAAAAAAAAAAAAAAAAAGCCATATAAATGTTATGGTTCTTATGGCAAAACAACAACCACAAGATGACATTATTTGCCTCTTCCTCTCTACTGTAAGTAGGGGCAGAAACATAGTTACGATCCATAAAATTATGGTTGCATCAATAGCTATTTAGTAAATATCTAACTGTTTAAAAACAAACAATAACTTTTCCAGACTTTTTTCTGACAGTATGAGAAACCCAGGCACCAACAGCTCAAAATATTCTCTCTGGGAAGACCTGTGTCATTTTCTTCATGTATCTCCTGCCTACCTGGCCAGATTGGAGTTTGATTCTATCAGAGTGAAAAGTTATTCCACAGTGAAAGTCTAAATATCTTAGAGCTTTTCCTCTGCTACTACAGAATCTTCCTAGAATAAGTAATCTTTTTGTTTGTGATAGATTATATTGGACTTGGCATATTTACTACCCTCAATAAGATTTTATGGCAACTTAAAAACATAATTACAACTGACATAGTGATCTAAGTTTTATGTGTTAAAATATGCATTTTTAGAAGTATATATATATATAAAATGTAATGCTTATAAGCTTTTGGGTAAAATAGAGTAGGTTTATATGACTTAACAAGCAATAAATATGATACTGATTTAGTTTTAAAATATTGGTCATCCTTAAGTCTAAGCATACAGGATCTTTTAAAATAATTTCAAGAGAATGAAAAACCTAAATTATTTATCACTTCCATGGTTTATATGAACATATCTCCTAAGGCAGTGTGATGTTTGGAAACAGACAGGTAGTGCCACACCTTACTACCTGGTGAATCATGAGACAGATATTTAACTCTGTAGCTGTTTCTTCAGCTATAAAAATGAGAATGATAATGCCTATTTTGTAAGATTTTTGTAGGTAGGAAGTTAGATCACATCTGCAAAGAACCTAACAGACTCTCTGACATATTATAGGTTATTGAAGTGTCAACGTCATGTGTCCTTCTATAATGGACATAAAGATATTTCACAAACACAACGTGCAAAAGCCCATTCTGCTTAAATTGCCTCTCAGAAACCTACAAATATTTAAATTCATAAGGACAAATTCAGAAGGAGGGGATAAGTTACACAATCACTTTTCATATCCCTCAAGACCCTATCCTATGACTGCACAACCACTCGTAACATTATCTTTCAAAAACCCTTAATTTCTGGGATGGTACTTGCTTATTAAAACCAAGTAAAGACATTTTTGGATCTGTATTATACTCAGAAACAAATGGCTATACAAACTATTTACTTGTTCTTTTCCTGTTACAATGTGCTTAATAGCACAGTGGGTATATAACCTGTAATATTATTTGCAATATCATCGTAGGGGAATATTACCCCTAATATCATAGTGGGTGTACACCTGCTGTGTACACACTGTGATATTATTCATAATAACTTGGGGGATATTACTTCTAATATCACTCTGGGTGTACACCCTGTGATATTATTCATAATATCTTCGGGGGATATTACTCCTAATATCACAGTGGGTATACACCCTGTCATATTATTTGTAATACCTTAGGGGGATATTACTGCTAATATCATAGTGAATGTACACACTATGATATTATTCATAATATGTTGGGGGGGTTGACTCCTAATATCACAGTGGGTGTACACCCTGTGATATTATTTGCAATATCTCAGGGAAATATTACTGGAAATATCACAGTGAGAGTAGACCCTGTGATATTATTCGTAATCTCTTAGGGGGATATTACTCCTAATACCACAGTATGTGGACACCCTGTGATGTTATTCATAATATCTTAGGGGGATATTCCACCTAATATAATAGTGGGTGTACACCAGGTGTGTACACTTAGTGATATTATTCGTAATATCTTAGGGGTGTAGTCATCCTAGTATCACAGTGGGTGTACATGCGTTGTGTACACCCTGTGATATTATTTATAGTATCTTAGAAGGATATTCATCCTAACATCACAGTGCGTGTACACCCGGGGTGTAGACCCTATGATATTATTCATAATATCTTAGAAGGATATTCTTCCTCCTCTCACAGTCGTTGTACACCCAGTGTGTCCACATTATTCCTAATATCTTAGGGGGATATTCCTCCCAATATCACAGTGGGTGTACACCCGGGGTTTACACCATTTGATATTCTTCGTAATATCTTAGGAGGATGTTCCTCTTCATATCACAGTGGGTATACACCCACTGATATTATTTGTAATATCTTAGAGGAATATTACTGCTAATATCACAGTGGGTGTACACCTGGTGATATTAGGAGTAATATCTCAGGGGGCTATTACTTTTGGTATCACAGTGGATGTACACACAGTGTTATCAGGAGTCATATCTCAGAAGGCTATGACTCCTAATATCACCATGGGTGTACACCCGGTGATATTATTCATAGTATCTTAGGAGGATATTACTCCTAATATCACAGTGGGTGTACACCCGGTGATACTATTCATAATACCTTAGGGGGATATTACTCCTAATGTCACAGTGGGTGTACACACGTGATATTATTCACAATATTTCAGGGGGATATTACTCCTAATTTCACTGTGGGTGTACACCAGTGATATTATTGGTAATATCTCAGGGGGATATTACTTCTAATATCACAGTGGATATACACCTGGTGATATTATTCATAATATCTTATGGGGATATTCTTCCTAACATCACAGTGGGTGTACACCCTGTAATATCTTCAGGGATTCCCCTCCTGATATCACAGTGAGTGTACACCCTGTAATATTATTCATAATATCTTAAAATAATATTCTTTATAATATCACAGTGGGTGTACACCATGTGATATTATAAGGAATATCTTAGGGGGATATTCCTCCTCATATCACAGTGGCTGTACACCCTGTGATATTATTCATAATGTCTTACGGGGAAATTTCTCCTAATATCATAGTGGGTATACACCCTGTCGTATTATTTGTAATATCTTTGGGAGATATTTATCCTAATATCACAGTGGGTGTACACCCTGTGATATTATACGTAATACTTTAGGGGGATATTCTGCCTGTCATTACAATAGGTGTACACCCTGTATTATTATTCATATTATATTAGGAGGATATTCCTTCTAGTATCACAGTGGGTGTATATCCTGTAATATTATTTATAATATATTAGGGGGGTATTCCTGCTAATATCACAGTGGTGTGCACCCTTTGATATTATTTGTAATATCTTAGGGGGATATTTCTCCTAATATCACAGTGGGTATATACCCTGTGAAATTATTCATAATATCTTTCAGGGATATTCCCCCTAATATCACATTGGGTGTACACACTGATATTATTCATAATGTCTTAGGGGGATATTTTTCCTAATATCATAGTGGGTGTACATCCTGTGATATTCATAATATCTTAGGGAGATATCTCTTCTAATATGACAGTGGGTGTACAACCTGTGATATTATTTGTAATATCTTAGGGGGATATTCCTCCTAATATCGCAGCGATATTATTCGCTGTGTACACCCTG
The DNA here is from genome assembly GCF_000001405.40 of Homo sapiens. Taxonomy (NCBI): domain Eukaryota; kingdom Metazoa; phylum Chordata; class Mammalia; order Primates; family Hominidae; genus Homo; species Homo sapiens. The sequence goes on along the minus strand of NC_000007.14, from coordinate 37,791,209 downwards.
TGATATTATTAGTAATATCTTAGGAAGGCATTTCTTATATCACAATAGGTGTAAACCCTGTGATATTATTTGTAATATCTTAGGGGGGATTCCTCTTAATATCACAATGGGTGTACACCCTGTGATATTATTCGTAATGTATTAGTGGGATATTTTTCCCAATATCACAGTGAGTGTACACCATGCAATATTATTTGTAATATCTTAGGGCAATATTCCTCCTAATATCACAGTGGGTGTACACCTGGTGATATTATTTGTAATATCTTAGAGAGGTATTCCTCCTAATATTATTGGAGGGGGGAACCCAATGATGGTTTTCAAAATATCTTAGAGGAATATTCCTCCTAATATCACAGTGTGTGGACAACCTATGATATTATTTGTAATATCTTAGGGGGTATTACTCCTAATATCTCAGTAGGTGTACGACCAGTGTGTACACCCGGTGATATTATTTGTAATGCCTTAGGGGGCTATTAATCCTAATATCACAGTGGGTGTACACTCAGTGATGATATTCATAATATCTTAGGGAAATATTACTTTTAATATCACAGTGGGTGTACAACTGGTACACCCTGATATTAGGAGTAGTATCTTAGAAAGATATTTGTACCCACCCAGTGTGTACAACCAGTGATATTATTCACAATATCTTAGAGTGGCATTACTCCTAATATCACAGTGAATATTCACCCGATGCGTACACCCAGTGATATTAGGAGTAATATATTTGAAAAATATTACTTCTAATATCAAAGTGGGTGTATACTCCCGGTGATATTAGGAGTAATATCTCAGGGGATATTACTCTTAACATCACAGTGGGTGTACCCCCGGTTATATCACAGTGGGTGTACACCTGGTGTTTACACCTGGTGATATTATTTGTAATATCTTAGATGGATATTCCTTATAATACCACAGTGGGTGTAAACCTTGTGTTATTATTCATAACATCTTCAGGGAATATTTCTCCTAATATTACAGTGAGCGTACCCCCTGAGATATTATTCGGAATATCTTAGGAAGATATTCCTCCTAATATCACTGTGAATGTACATACACCCTGTGATATTATTCGTAATATCTTAGGGGGATATTCCTCCTAATATCACTGTGGGTGTACACCCTGTGATACTATTCGTATTATCTTAGGGGGATATTTTTCCTAATATCACAGTGGATGTATACCTGGTGATATTATTCGTAGTATATCAGGAGGCTATTTCTCCTGATATCGCAGTGAATGTACACCTGCTCATATTATTCGTAATATCTTACAGGGATATTACTCCTAATACCACAGTGGGTGTACAGTGGTATTAAAAGTAATTTATAATATCAGGAGGATAGTGCTCCTAATATCACAGTGGGTGTACACCCAGTGATAGTATTTGTAATATATCAGGGGGATTTTACTTTTAATATAGAAGCGTGTATACACACGGTGATATTATTCTTAATATCTCAGAAGGATATTACTCCTAATATCATACTGGGTGTACAGCCGGTGATATTATTCATAATATCTCAGATGGATAATACACCTAATATCACAGTGGGTGTACACCCAGTGATATTATTTCTAATATCTTAGGGGGAAATTACTCCTAATATCACAGTGTGTGTACACCTGCGGTGTACATGCTGCAGTATTATTTGTAATATTTTGGGAGATATTTCTTCTAATATCACAGTGTGTGTACAATCTGTGAAATTATAAGTAATATCTGAAAGGGATATTTCTACTAATATCACAGCGGTTGTACACACTGTGATATTATTCGTAATATCATAGGAGGATATTCCTCCTAATATTAGAGTGGGTGTACACCCTGTGATATTATTCATAATATGTTAGAAGGATATTCCTCCTAATATCACAGTGAGTGTACACTCTGTGTATTATTTGTAATATCTTAGGAGGATATTCCTTCTAATATAACAGTGGGTGTACACTCTGTGATATTATTCTTATTATCTTAGGGGAATATTTTCCTAATATCACAATGTGTGTACACCTTGTGATATTACTCATAATATCTTACAGGAATATTCCTCCTAATATCACAACGACTATACAGCCTGTGATATTATTCTTAATATCTTAGGGAGATATTCCTCCTAATATCACAATGGGTTTACACCCTGTAATATTATTCATAATATCTTAGGAAAATATTCCTCCTAATATCACAATGGGTGTACACCCTGTGATATTATTTGTAATATCTTAGGGGGATATTTTTCCTAACATCACAGAGGGTGTACACTCTATGATATTATTCCTAATATCTTTGGAGGATATTCTTCCTAATATCACAGTGGGTATACATCCTGTGATATTATTCATAATATCTTCGGGGGATATTCCTTCTAATATCACAGTGGCTGTACACTCAGTGATATTATTCGTAATACCTTAGGGGGATATTCCTGGTATCACAGCGGGTGTACACCCTGTGATATTATTTCTAATATTTTGGGAGTATATTCCTCCTAATATCACAGTTGGTGTACACCTGGTGATGTTATTCGTAATATCTTAGAAGGGTATTCCTCCTAATATTACAGTGGGTTTACACCAGGTGATATTATTTGTAATATCTTAGGGGGATATTCCTCCTAATATCACAGTGTGTGTATACCTTTTGATATTATTCCTAATATCTTAAGGGACATTACTCCTAATATCACAGTGGGTGTACACCTGGTGTGTACACCCGTTGGTATTATTCATAATATCTTAGAAGGCTATTACTCCTAATATCACAGTAAATGTACACCAGCGTGTATATCTGGTGATATTATTCATAATATCTTAGGAAGATATTTTTTATAATATCACAGTGGAGGTACACCCTGTTATATTATTCTTAATATCTTTGGGGAATGTTCTTCCTAATATCACAGTGGATGTACACCCTGTCATATTATTCGTAATATCTTAGGGGGACATTACTACGAATACCTCACGGTGTGTACACCCTGTAATATTATTCATAATATCTTAGGGAGATATTACTCCTAATATCACAGTGGGTGCACACTCTGTGAAATCATTCATAATATCTTAGAAGGATGTTACTCCTAATATTAAAGTGGGTGTACACCCTGTGTTATTATTCATAATATCTTAGGGGGATATTATTCCTAATAATACAGTTTGTGTACAACTTGTGTGTATGCCCTGTGATATTATTTGTAATGTATTAGTTGCTTATTACTCCTAATATCACAGTGGGTGTACACCTTGTGATATTATTTGTAATATCTTAGTGAGATATTACTCCTAATATCACCAATGTTGTACACCCTGTGTCATTATTCGTAATATATTAGGGGAATATTACTCCTAATATTCCAGTGGGTGTACACTCGGTTTGTACACCATGTGACATTATTTGTAATATCTTATGGGGATATTACTCCTAATATCATAGTGGATGTACACCTGTTGTGTACATCCTGTGACATTATTTGGAATATCTTATGGGGATATTGCTCCTAATATCACAGTGGGTGTGATATTATACCCTGTGATATTATTCATAATATCCTAGGGGGAATTTACTCCTAATATCACAGTGGATGTACACCGTGTGATATTTTTCATAGTATTTCAGGGGAATATTACTCCTAATATTATCTTTTATAAGGATATAATTTACCATAGTCATTTGCTAATCATGATCAGGGCAGGCAATGAGAGCAGTTTACTGGAACCAAGACTTCGCTAACCTCAACAGTCTTTAAAACCATGTGAAAAATGAGGAAGCGAGAGAATAGCTTTAGACTGAAGGCTCACAAGGAGGAACAGTGAAAATGAAGAGCCCAGATGAGCCATCCCAGCCACAAAGGAATGTTTATCTCTACAGTTAGTGGTGAAACACATTCGAGAATATTCTCATAAGTAAATGCTTCATTTTCACTCTCAATGTCTTATTTTCAGAAATATTTCTTATTAAAATGAAACACTTAAAAGGTATTTTTCAATGCTGTTTCTCATTGTACTTTTATGTATTGCCCCAAATGTTTCACATTCAGAATGAAAACGACCTGTGGCATGACTTCCTGTGAGACTTTTGTATTCTCAGCAGTAAGCGTCCAATATTTATAACTATAATTTTCCATTTTCAAAGGTCCCTTCTCTCATCAACTGCCATTTGGACATATGGTTTTCTTTGAAGTCCAATCCTCTGGTGATGTAACTTCAACAATGAGGGTTGTTTTCCTCAAAAGTTTTTAATTTTCATATGTCAACCTTCTCACTTTCTGCCCTAACTTCACAGTCATCTGTAGCTGTGCTAAGACATCAAGGCATACTTTTGAGGAAGTATTGGGTGACTACACCCTAAAGATGGAAGGAACTAGCAGTTACAGGAAAACTCAGCACCAAATCATATTATTGCTCAGCTACAGGAATTCAAAAGGACAAAAATGCATAATGCAAGTGCGTTATGGCCTACGTTTAGGTAACAACTGATAAAGTTCTCATTTGCTTTGGAAAAGAGTAAGTATTGTCCCCACCTGTGCCATCTGCTCCACAATCATCCAACAGTGCTTGTGGCCACAGAGATGTAAAACAACAGAATCCAAATGTTATGGAGCCATATGCTTAATTATTTCAAAAAAAGCTCTCAATAAAAGATAAGATTTTAATTCTTATTATCAAAATCAAATATGTACCAATTCAACTCAGCTGGAAAATTTCACATGAAACCAATTTTTCAACTAATTTTAAACAACTCTACTTAAATGAAATTAATTCAAAAATATAAAACCTGGGTTATAGTCCTGAATTTGGACGTATTATCTGACAGTTCCTTATTTTTCAGATAAAACGTGTTCCTGGAATCTTCAGGAGAATGTATGTTCCCATAGAAACCGTGCTATATTTAGGGATTGCTTGTCTAACAAAGGACAAACTAAGAAATAAGTTAGATGTGACCAAGAGTGGAGTATAAAAATAAAAATCAGCTACAATTTGGAACTATGACCAACACAAACTTTAATTGTTCACATTGATGATATTACGATTTCAAAGTACTAAAATCTGTACATATTGCATTTGCAACACAGCTAGAAGAATGCAGGTGTTTCATATATTTTCTTACTATACTCAGAATTCAGCACTTTTTTCTTGGGTAGTGCCAAGATTTTAAAGAAAACTAACAATTCCTTAATACGAGAGCTCAGAAATAATTTACTCCAGAATAATATAATTCTCTTATTTAAGAGATGAAGCCACCCCAATTCGGAGTTTAGGAATTTACCACAAGGCCACAGGGCTACTTAGGGAGAAGATAAAGATGAAAACCAGGGTTTGTGTTCCAAGTCTTTATTTCCACTGCCCCATGATGTACACATGGCAAGGAATTTGAGATAGTCTCTGGCAGACACATTAACTATCTATGGCTTCATTTTCCACCTTCTTTTTGCTATCTGGAATCTTATTTTTGAGTTGGAACTTAACCTTTAAGTAGAAGTTTATTTTTAAATCCTAGAGAATTAAAATTCTTTAAACATAATTATTTTCCCCCTCTAAACTGTTAAATTAAAACATTAACATAAATGATTAGCCTAATTTCATTTTCAGAAGACAAAGTCAATCTGTCCTCGGCTGAGGCAAGTCCAAAGCAAATGCTGCTGGAGATGCCACCAACTTGCTCACTTCTCCTTTTCCATGGAAGTGCCATTTGAAATGGCCATTGCTGGGCAATCTCTGCTCCTGAAAGAATGGGTGGAGGTCACTTTTCTTCTCTAGAGTCCTTAAATTGCCACTCTGAAGTATTTTTAGGAAAGTGGTAACAAAATCTGCAACTGCCAATTTCCAAACCTGTTTACACTCAAAAGTCATTAGCCAAAAACTTGAGATGCCAGGCTTGGTGCCCTGTTTGATCTAAAAAATCCCAGAGTCTTAGCCAACCTAGAAACTAGGAGTAGTGTGTAGGCTCTTCACACTAGGCACCTACATTCATAAAGTATCTCTCTTTATTCATCTTTCCTTCTCTGCGTATGTGCATGTCTCACTCTGTCTCACTCTTGATTGAATGTATCCATGCTCTGGGATGCTTCCAAAGTGTTAAGATACACAGTGCCCTAAAAAGGCCATCTTTGGAATTTGGAGAACCCTCCAGCTGTAGTGGATTTGAGATGGTCACGTTGGGTGGCAGAGCTGGTTAAGAAAGGAGGATAAACTGAGAATCTCAGAGCCAGGGCATTTCAGTGCTTTCCACTCAGGCTGACTCTCTGGGTTCTGTTGCTAAAGTATTTTACAGGGAAGAAACAGAACCCAGAGAGGTAGCCTGAGGAGAAACCACAAAACGGAGATTTCCCAGCAATGGTACAATAGACCTTTCTTCCATTGAGACATGAGATTTCAAATGAGAAGTGTCCAGATAGGTTATCCCATCCCTGTCTTCCACTTTGCAGATGAGAGATGAAGGCCCACAAAGGACATTCTGTCTCTCTCACTCCTCCCCCAGAGGAAGGTGATCCAAGGCAGCATTTCTGAGCATCCATAGGACCAAGAAAACAAGCATGTTAAAAAAAAAATTATTATCTGGCATTTATTTTCTAGTCTAGATATAGTCTCAAATAATGAAATCATAGTTGGCACACAAAAGTCTTGGATGGTTGAAAGCTGTGGATATTAGTCTTCAAATATTTATAAATGCATACCCTGCCCTATAAGAGTGCTCTCTACATCTAACAAAATGATAAATGATTTTAAGTGCAGCAAGAGAGTTGAGATTAGCCACTAGAAGGGATCTCTAATGAATACAGAGAGAGATTTATGCTGGCCTACGACATCCTCCTTTTATATGCTTGACCATAATTCCTACCATGCCACGCTCCATCCCTTGGATTTTATTTTGCTCCTGGAGCCCACCCAGCTCTTTGTGCATTGTGATCTTTCCACCTGTGGGTTTCTCTGCCTGGAGTGCTTTTCTCACTTCCACATGTGGGGCAGTCCCTGGTCATTCCATTCTCAGTATTAATGGCACCTACTTGGGGAAGGCTGCTTTGACTGCCACAGTGTTAGGAAACTGCTCAAGCACTATCACATTATTCTATTTGAATTCTTTGCATATGACTTTCCACCAGATGTTTTTATTGCCCTATTACTTGGCATGGGTTCCTTGTCCGCCTTCTGCTGAGATATTCTGCCTCCAATATCTTAGTGGACTTAGTCACTATACTTTAAAATCAAACAAGGCACCCCCACCTGGCATTTTATAGTCTTGATCAGTGTAAACAGGGAGGGTAAACAGGTTTGAGAATTAGCAGTTGCTGATTTAGCTAACACTTTTCTAACAATATATTCCACATGGCCCTAACTATATTGTTTATTGTTATTTCCCAATGCCCAGAATAATGCCTTGCACATATTTGTTCAAGTAATTCAATATTTTCAATGATGGTCTAACTATACATGATTTTCTGAGAATAGTCGTGGAATAACCCTTCTTTTGTAGATAGCTATTTAATCATTCTTAACTTCATTTTCAAAACTTTTCTGGGATCAGTGTTGAATGTGAGGAGAACTGACCTAAAAAAAGGCTCTATCAAATCCATATACATTATTTTGCAGGGAAGGAACAGAACCCAGAGAGGCAGCCTGAGTAGAAAGTATTGAAATGCCCTGGCTCTGAGATTCTCAGTCCATCCTCCTTTCTTAACCAGAACTGGTACCCAAAGGGATCTCTCAAATCCCCTACAGCTGGAGGTTTCTCCATTTCCAAAGACAGCCTTTTTAGGGCACTGTATATCTTTATTTTAATATTAATATATGTGTTTCTTTATTAGTATAGTAAATACAGTATCTAGTGACAGGTTTAATGGTCACTGTAATATTGAAGTCATGATTTGCATAAATGGTATTCTGAGAATTTGCCACAGTTGCAGTGTAATGTTAAATGATCTGTGATTCCTACTGGTGACAGAGACACTGGTTTCTCTAATACAATTCTCCTTTTTTGTCTATATTTATAATAGATGGAAATGACAGATTTAGTTATAGATGAGTGAAAAATAAAAGTCAATTGTTTTCTGATCCCAGTTCACAGTTGAGGGCATTGTATATCTTAACACTTTGGAAGCATCCCATAGCATGGGTACATTCAATCAAGAATGAGAGAGGGAGGAGCAAGATGACTAAATAAAGCCCTCAATTTATCATCCTGCCAAAGGAATATCAAATTGAACAATTATCCACACAAGAAATCACCTTCTTAAGAAGCAAAATTCAGGTGAGCAATCACAGTATGTGGTTTTAACATCAGATCAAGGAAAGGGGAATGGAAGAGGGTAAGAAAGACAGTCTTGAAACACACCTTTCCCATCATTCCACAGCACCATGTGGAGCATGGAGAGATAATTTGTGTGCTTGCAGGAGGAAAAGTGAGTAATTGTGGGGCTTTGCATTGGAAATCAGTGCTTCCCTGTAACAATGGAGAGCAACACCAGGCAGAATCCAGCTTTTGCCCATGGAGGGAGCATTCCAGAGGAGAATCGCTCATCTTAGTGGCCTGAACCTGAGCTTCAGTTAGCTTCACCACTGCAGGTTAAAGTGCTCAGGGTCCTAAATAAATTTGAAAGAAAGATAGTCTAGGTCACAAGAAGTGCAATTCCTGGGCACTCCAGTGGACTTGGAGTGCATGTGACCTAGTGAGACACCAGCTGAGATGTCAGGGCCAAGAGATTGCTTTCATCACCCTTCCCCCAACTCCAGGCATCACAGCACACAGCTCTGAGACTTCTTCCACTTGAGGGAAGAACAAAGAAGACTTTGTTTTGTAGCTTGAATATCAACTTAGCCACAGTAAAATAAAGCACCAAGCAGAGTCCTGAAGCCCCTGTTCCAGGCCCTAGCTCCCTGGGCCAGAAAGGAATCTGCTGTCCTGAAAGGAAGGACTCAGTCCTGGCAGGATTCACCACAACCTGCTGGCTAAAGAGCCCTTGGGCCTTGCATAAACATCAGCAGTAGCTAGGCAGTAGTCAGCATGGGCCAGGGCAGTGGCAGACACAGGGAGAGACTCTTGCTTGAGGAAAGGAGAGGGAAGAGTAAAAGGACTTTGTCTTGCAACTTGGGTATGAGTTCAGCCATAGTAAAATAAAGCACCAAGTAGACTCCTTAAATTCCTGATTTCAGGCCCTATTCCCCAGATAACATTTCTAGGTCAATCCTGGGCCAGAAGGGAACCTGTTGACCTGAAGGAAAAGACACAGGCCTGGAAGGATATACCACTTGCTGACTAAAGAGCCCATGGGCCTTGAATAAACATCAGTGATAGCTAGGCAACAGTCTCCACAGGCCTTGGGTGAGACCGTACTGTGTTGGCTTCAGGTGTGACCCAGCAATGGAGGCCACAGGAGTGGTTCCATCACCCCTTCCCCAACTCCAGGCAGCTCATCACAGACAGGGAGACTCCATTTGTTTGGGGGAAAAGTATGGAAAGTGAACCAGAGACAATGCTTGGGAATTCAGGGAATTCACCCAGATCTTACCCAAGACCACCAAAATGATGCTTTTACAAGTCTGCAAGGGTCACATTGTTACTGGGCTTGGGGTGTCTCCTAATGCAGATGTGGCTGCAGTGAGTGACCAAAGACTTAAATCACAACACTCAATTCCCTTTGAATACTTGGAAAGCCTTCTCAAGAAAGACAGGTACAAATAAGCCCAGAGTGTGAAGATTAGAATAAATATCTAGCTCTTCAATGCCCAGATATCAGTGAATGTCCACAAGCCTCAAAATCATCTAAGTAAATGTGACTACATCAAACAAGCTACATAAATTACCAGTGACCGATCCCAGAGTAACCGAAATATGTGACCTTTCAGACAGAATTCAAAACAGTTGTTTTGAGGAAGCTCAATGAATTTCAACATAACACAGAGAAGGAATTCAGAGTCCTATCAGATAACTTTAGTAAAGAGATTGAAATAATTTTTTTAAATCAAGCAGAAATTCTGGAATTAAAAAATCAATTGACAAACTGCAGAATGCATTACTGTGTCTCAACAGCAGAATTGATCAAGCAGAAGAAGGAATTAGTGTGCTTAAGGATAGGCGATTTGAAAACACACAGATTAAACAAAAGAAAAAAAGAGTGAAGCATGCCTACAAGCCTAGAAAATAGCCTCAGAAGGGCATATCTAAGAGTTATTGGCCTTAATAAGGAAGCAGAGAGAAAGAGATCAGGGTAGAATGTTTATTCAAATGGATAATAATAGAGAACCTTTCCAAAATATACAAATATATTCATGTTTAAGTATAAGAATGGTATAGGCCACCAAGCATATTTAACCCAAATAAGAATACCTAAAGACATTTAATAATCAAGCTCCCAAAGGTCAAAGATAAAGAAAGATTCATAAAATCAGCAAAAGAAAGAAACAAACAACATATAAAGGAGCTCCAATACACCTGGCAGCAGATTTCTCATTGGAAAGCTTAGAGGCCAGAAGAGAGTGGCGTCACATATTTAAAGTGCTGAAGGGAAAAAACTTTTAGCCTAGAATAGTACATCCAACAAAAATACCCTACATAAATGAAGGAGAAATAAAGACTTTCCCAGACAAACGAAAGCTGAGGGATTTCATCAACACCAGACATGTCTTACAAGAAATGCTAAGGACAGTTCTTTAATGTGAAGGGAAAGGATGTTAACAGGCAATAAGAAATCACCTGAAGGTACAAAACTCACTGGTAATAATGAGTACACAAATACAGGATATTATATCACTGTAACTGTGGTGTGTAAATTATTCATATCTTGAGTAGGAAGACTAAAAGTCACACCTATCAAAAATAATAACTACAATGACTTTTTAATGCAGAGATAGTATAATAAGATATCAATAGAAAAGCAGTAAAAAGTTATAAAGTGGTGTGGATGAAGTTAAAGCATAGAGTGTTCATTAGTTTTTCTCTTTGTTTGTTTTTGTAGTCAGTTAAAGTTTTATCAGCTGAAATAATGATTTATAAGACGTTATGTGCAAGCCTCATGGAACCTCAAATCAAAAAACCTGTAACAGACATAAAAAATGAAAAGCAAGAAATTAAAACATACCATCAGAGAAAATCACTTTCAGAAAAGAGAAGACAGAAAGAAAGGAAGGAAGACAAGACCAAGAAACAACCAGAAAACAAATAGCAAAGTGGCTATACTAAATCCTTACTTATCAATTAAAAACATTGAATATAAATAGACTAAATTATATAATCAGAAGACATAGAGTGGCTGAAAGGATTGAAAAAAAAAAAACAAGATCCAATGATCTACAAGATACTTCACCTGTAAAGAAGCACATAGACTGAAAATAAAAGGCTAGAAAAATACTCTATGCAAATAAAAATAAAAACAGAAGTAGCTATACTTACATAAGATAAAATAGATTTCAAGACAAAACTTATAAAAAAGACAAAGATTGTTATATAATGATAAAGGGGTCAATTCACCAAGAGGATATTGGGTAAATATATATGCACCCACTGTTGGAATACCCAGATATATAAAGCATATATTATTAGACCTATATAGAGAGATAGATTGCAATACAATAATAGCTGGAGACTTCAACACTCTCCACTTTCAGCATTGGACAGACAGATCATTGAGACAGCAAATCAACAAAGAAACATTGGACTTAATCTGCACTATAGACCAAATGGATATAATAGATATTTATAGAACCTTTCATCCAATGGATGCAGAATACACATTCTTCTCAGCACATAGATTACACTCAAGGATAGACCATATGTTAGACCACAAAACAAGTCTTTAAATATTAAAAAAATTGAAATCATATCGAGTAACTTCTCTGAGAATAATGGAATATAACTACAATCAATAATATGAAGAACTTGGGAATCTATACAAACTCATGGTAATTAAACAATATGCTCTGAATGACCAATGCTTCAATTAATAAATTAAGAAGTAAATTTAGGCCAGGCACAGTGGCTCATGCCTGTAATCTCAGCCCTTTGGGAGGCTGAGGCAGGCGCATCACCTGAGGTCGGGAATTCGAGACCAGCCTGACCAACATGGAGAAACCCTGTCTCTAATAAAAATACAAAATTAGCAGTGCGTGGTGGCACATGTCTGTAATCCCAGCTACTCAGGAGACTGAGGCAGGAGAATTGCTTGAACCCAGGAGGCGGAGGTTGTGGTGTGTCGAGATTGCACCATTGCACTCCAGCCTGGGCAACAAGAACGAAACTCCATCTCAAAAAAAAAAAAGGAAATTTAAAAATTTCTTGAAGCAAATTAAAATGAAACCACAATATACCAAAACCAATAGGAGTGCAACAAAAGCGATACTAAAAGAAAAGTTTATAGCAACATGCACCTACCTCAGACAAGTAGAAACTTTTCAATAAGCAAGCTAATAATCAATAAACAACCTAATAAACAGTAAACAACCTAATGATGTATTTTAAACAACTAGAAAAACAAGAGCAAACTAAGCCCAAAATTATTAGAAGAAAAGAAATACTACAACACAAAAGCTCAATGAAATGAAAAGTTGTTTTTTTAAAGATAAGCAAAATCAACAAATCTTTAGCCAGACTAAGAAAAAAAAGAGAGAAGACCCAAATAAATAAAATCAGAGATGAAAAAGGAGATATTAAAACTGATACCACAGAAATTCAAAAGTCATTAGAGACTATTCTGAATAACTATATGCCAATAAATTGGAAAAACCAAAAGAAATTGATAAATTTCTAGATACATACAATCTACCAAGATTGACCAATGAAGAAATCCAAATTCAGAATAGAACACCAACAAGTAATGAAATTAAATCTCCTAGCAAAGAAAACTCTGGGACTTCATGGCTTCCCTGCAGAATTTTACCAAACATTTAAAGAAGAACTAATACCAATCCTACTCAAACTATTCTGAAAAATAGAGGAGGAGGGAATACATCCAAACTCATTCTATGAAGCCATTATTACCCTAATGCCAAAACCAGACAAAAACACATCAAAAAATGAGAGAGAGAGAGAGAGAGAGAGAGAGAGAGAGAGAGAGAGAGAGAGAGAGATAGGCCAGTATCTCTGATGAAAATTTATGCAAAAATTCTCAACAAAATACTAGCAAACTGAATTCATCTGAACATTAAAAAGATGCATTATAATCAAGTGGGATTTATTCCAGACATGCAAGGATGGTTTAATGTATGCAAATCAATCAATGTGATACATCATATCAAAAGAATAAAGGACAAAAATCACATAACCATTACAATTGATGCTGAAAAAACATTTGATATAATTCAACACCCCTTCATGATAAAAATCTCTCAAAAAACTGGATAAAGAAGAAACTACTTCAACAAAAAAAGTCATGTATGACAAATCCACATCTAGTATCATACAGCATGAGGAACAACTAAGTCTTTCCTCGAGATCTGAAACAAGACAAGGATGCCCACTTTCACCACTGTCATTAAGTAAAGTACTGGAAGTCTCAACTAGAGCAAAGATATGGGAGAAAGAAATAAAGTGGATCTAAATTGGAAAGGAAGAAGTCAAATTATCCTTGTTTGCAGGTAACACGATCTTATATTTGGAGAAACCTAAAGACTCCACCAGAAAAACTATTAGAACTGATAAACAAATTCAGTAACGTTTCAGGGCACAAAGTCAACATACAAAAATCAGTACCATTTCTATATGCCAACATCAAACAATCTGAAAAAGAAATTAAGAATATAATCCCATTTGCAATAGCTGCAAGTAAAGTAAAATACATAGGTATAAACTTAACCAAATAAGTAATAGGTCTCTATAATGAAATTTATTTTATTATAACTATTACTGATACTCAGTAATTTATAAAGGAAAAAAGATTTAATGGGAACAATTCAACATGGCTGGAAGAGACCTCAGGAAACTTACAATCATGGTGGAAGGGGAAGCAAACATGTCCTTCTTCACATGGTGGCAGCAAGGAGAAGAGCCAAGCAAAAGGGGAAAAGCCCCTTATAAAACTATCAGATCTTGTGAGAACTCACTTTCAGGAGGACAGCATGGAAGTAACCACTCCCATGATTCAAATACCTCCCATCAGGTCCCTCCCACAACATGTGGCGATTATGGAAACTATAATTCAACATGAGATTTGGGTGAGAACACAGCTAAACCATATCATTCCACTCCTGTCCCCTCCCAAATCTCATGTCTTCACATTTCAAAACACAATCATGCCTTCCAAACAGTCCCCCAAAATCTTAACTCATTCCAGCATTAACTCAAAAGTGCAAGTCCAAAGTCTTATCTGAAACAAGGTAAGTCCCCTCTGCCCATGAGCCTGTAAAATCAAAAGCAAGTTAGTTGCTTCCTAGATAAAATGGAGGTACATACTCCCATTCCAAATGGCAGAAATTGGCCAAAATGAAGGGGCTACAGACCCCATGCAAGTCTGAAATCCAAAAGGGCAGTCATTAAACCTTAAAGTTCCAAAATGATCTTGACTCCATGTCTCACATCCAGGTCATGCTGATGCAAGAGGTGGGCTCCCATGGTCTTGGGCAGCTCCACCCCTGTGGCTTTGCAGGATACAGCCTCCTTCCTTGCTGCTTTCACAGGCTAGCATTAAGTATCTGTGGCTCTTCCAGTTGCATGGTGCAAGCTGTCAGTGAATCTACAATTCTGGGGTCTGGAGGACAGTGGCCCTCTTCTCACAGCTCCTCTAGGCAGAGTCCCAGTGGGGACTTTGTGTAGGGTCTCCAACCCTACAATTCCCTTCTGCACTTCCCTAGAAGAGGTTCTCCATGAGGTCTCTGCCCCTGCAGCAGACTTCTGCCTAGATACACAGGCATTTCCATACATCCTCTGAAATCTAGGTGGAGGTTCCCAAATCTCAATTATTGACTTCTGTGCACCTGCAGGCTCAACAGCATGTGGAAACTGCCAAGGCTTGGGGCTTGCACCCTATGAAGCCACGGCCTGAGCTGTACCATGGCCGCTTTTAGCCATGGCTGGGGCAGCTGGGATGCAGGGCACCAATTCCCTAGGCTGCACACAGCAGGGGGGTCCTGGGCCTAGCCTGCAAAACCATTTTTTCCTCCTAGACCTCCAGGCCCGTGATGAGAGGGGTTGCCAAAAAGGTCTCTGACATGCCCTGGAGACATTTCCCCCATTGTCTTGATGATTAGCATTTGGCTCCTCATTACTTATGCACATTTCTGCAGCTGGCTTGAATTTCTCTGCAGAATATTGGCTTTTCTTTTCTATTGCATTGTCAGGCTGCAAATTTTCCAAACTTTTATGCTCTGCCTCCTCTTGAATGCTTTTCTGTTCAGAAATTTCTTTTCCAAGTATCCTAAATCATCTCTCTCAAGTTCAAAAGTTCCACAGATCTCTAAGTGAGGAGCAAAATGCTGCCAGTCTTTTTGCATAGAAAGAGCGACCTTTACTCCAGTTTCCAACAAGTTCCTTATCTCCATCTGAAACCACCTCAGCCTGGGCTTCATTGGCCATATCACTACCAGCGTTTTGGTCAAAGCCATTCAATAAGTCTCTAGGAAGTTCCAACCTTTCCCACATCTCCCTGTCTCTTGAGCCCTCCAAGTCTCTAGGAATTTCCAAACTTTCCCACATTTTCCTGTCTTCTTCTGAGCCCTCCAAACTGTTCCAATCTACCCAGTTCCAAAGTCACTTCCACATTTTTGGGTATCTTTATAGGAGCACCCCACTCTCTGCAGTACCAATTTATTATATTAGTCTGTTCTCATGCTGCTAATAAAGATATACCTGAGACTGGGAATTTATGAAGGAAAGAGGTTTAATTGACTCACAGCTCAGCATGGCTGGGGAGGCCTCAGGAAACTTACAATCACGGTGGGAGGGGAAGCAAACACATCCTTCTTCACATGGTGGCAGCAAGAAGTCCCAAGCAAAAGGGGAAAATCCCCTTATAAAACTATCAGATCTTCTGAGAATTCACTCACTTTCAGGAGAACAGCATGGAGATAACTGCCTCCATGATTCAATTACCTCCCACCAAGTCCCTGTGGGGATTATGGGAACTACAATTCAAGATATTTGGGTGAGGACATAGCCAAACCATATCAACTGTAAAAAGTTGATGCAAGAAATTAACGAGGACACAAAAAGATGAAAAAATATTCCATGTTCATGGATTGAAAGAATTAGTATTTTAAAATGTCCATAATACCCAAAGCAATCTACAAATTCAATGCAATCCTTATCAAAATACTGATGATATTGGCCAGGTGTGGTGGCTCACGCTTGTAATCCCAGCACTTTGGGAGGCCAAGATGGGCAGATCATGAGGTCAGGAGTTCAAGACCAGCCTGACCAACATGGTGAAACTCAGTCTCTGCTAAGAAATACAAAAATTAGCCGGGCATGGTGGCACACACCTGTAATCCCAGCTGCTCAGGAGGCTGAGTCAGGAGAATCGCTTGAACCTGGGAGGCAGAGGTTGCAGTGAGCTGATTATCATGCTACTGCACTCCAGCCTGGGTGACAGAGCAAGACTCTGTCTCAAAAAAATAAAAATAAATAAATAAATACTAATGATATTCTTCACAGAAGTAGGAAAAAAAAACCTAAAATTTATATGGAACTACAAAATACCCCAAATAGCCGAAGCCATCCTGAGCAAAAAGAACAAAACTGGAGGAATCACATACCTGATTTCAAATTATATTACAGAGAAATAGTAACCAAAACAGCACAGTACTAGCATTAAAATCGGCACATAGACCAATGGAATAGAATAGAGAATCAATAAATAAATCCATACATCTACAGTGAACTTATTTTCAAGAAAGGTGCCAAGAATATGCATTGGGGAAAGCACAGTCTTTTCAATAAATGGTACTGGGAAAATAGGATATTCATATTCAGAATAATGAAACTAGACCACTATCTCTTGGCACATACAAAAAACAAATCAAAATTGATTAAAGACTTAAATCTAAGACCTCAAACTATGAAACTACTAAAGGAAAATATTGGGAAAACTCTCCAGGGCGTTGGTTTGGGCACAGATTTTTTGAGTAATATCCCAAAAGCATGAGTATCAAATAATGGTCAAGAGGGAGCACATCAAGTTAAAAAAATAGGAAAAAATATAATAATCTAATTTAAAATGGCATTTATCAGAAGAAGACATACAAATGGCAAACAGATATATGAAAAGGTACTCAACATCACTGATTATTAGAGAAAATGCAAATCAAAACTACAATTGGATATCATCTCACCCCAGTTAAAATGGCTTTTATCCAAAAGACAATCAATAATGAATGCTGGTGCGGTGGTGGAGTAATGGGAACCCTGATACATTGTTGGTGAAAATGTGAATTATCATAGCCACCCTGGAGAACAGTACGGAGGTTCCTTAAAAAAACTAAAAATAAAACTAGCATATGATCCAGCAATCCCACAGATAAGCATTTACCCAAAATAAGAAAATCAGTATATCAAAGAGATATCTGCATTCCCATGTTTATTGTGGTACTATTCACAATATCCAAGATTTGGAATCAATCTAAGTGTTCATTAACAAATTTTTTTCTATTGAGTTGCTTGAGCTCCTTTATACATTGTATCTATTAATCACTTGTCAGACAGACAGTTTGCAAATATTTTTTCCCATTCTTTGTCTCTTCACTTTGTTGTTTCCTTTGCTGTGCATTTTTTTTTAACTTGATGTGATCCCTGTTGTCCATTATTGCTTTGATACTTGTGCTTTTGGGATACAACTCAAAGAAATCTGGGATAAAGAAAATGTGGTACATATACACAATGGAGTACTATTCAGCCATAAAAAAGAATGAGATCCTGTTATTTTCATCAATATGGATGTAACTGGAGATAATTATGTTAAGTGAAATAAGCTAGGCAAATAAAGACAAATTTCACATGTCCTCCCTCATTTGTGGGAGCTAAAATTTAAAACAATTGAACCAATGAAGATAGAGAGTAGAATGATGGTTACTAGAGGCTGGAAAGGGTAGTGGGGAAGTGGCAGGGGGCAGAGTGGGAATGGTCAATTGTTAATGGGTGCAAAAATATAGTTAGATAGATGGAATAAGATCTAGTACACACATACAGTCTACAGTAATTTATTGTACATTTTAAAATAAGTAAAAGCATAATTGGAATGTTTACAACACAAAGAAAGGGTAAATGCTTGAGGTGATGAATACCCCAATTACTTTGATGTGATTATTACACATTGTATGCCTGTATCAGAATATCTTATGCACCTCATAAAAATATGCACCAACATACCCATAAAAATTCAAAATTAAAAAGTAAATAAAATGAATGAAAAAACATTTTGTCCAATGTAGACTTTTTCTCTGATCTTCTTTTTAGTCTTAGATCCTTAAATGTTTTGTGCAAATCTTCACTCATGCCTTAGAGTACCAGTCTGATTTTAGTATAGAAGAAGCAAGTGACCTCTTTACAGGTTACTGTACAATGAGGTTTAATTTTTTTCATCTTCTTTATTCTATGTCTTTATGAAAGAAAGAAACTATTTATTTCCCCAGAGCACAGGAAGGGAGCTGGCATTTTTTCTAACAAATGATATACTCTGGACTAAAGAATGACATGTAGCTCAGATCAGTAGATTAAACTCAACTGTTTACAGAAACAATTATCTTAGAATTTTGACATCCAGAGGAATGTCAATCAAGATATAATCAACAATATATCTGATTAATGTGACAAGGAGGACTCTGTAAGAATTCACAGAAAGCACTTTCTTCAGGGTATAATAATATCCAGAAGTTGTACACATGTCTGTCACTCTAGTGGTTTAAAAGTTAAACTTCTAAAGCACTATTTCTCAAATATTATTGTGCTTACGAATCATCTGGTGATCTTGCTAAGATGCAGATTCTGAGTCTGTAGGTCCAGGGAGGAGCCTGAGAGTAGGCATTTATAACCAGCACCCAGGTGATGCAGAAGCCACTGGCCCATGGACCACATTTTATGTGGCAAGACTTCACAAAACACTGTCCAATAAAATAGCCATTTGTCACATGTGGCTCTTTCAATTAATTTAAATTAAATTACATTTAACAATTTACTTCTTCAATCACGTTGGCCACATTTCAAGTGCTCAATCAGAGAGAGTTCTATTGAATATATCTACTAAAGAAAACACAATTTATCAAACAACTCCTAATCCCTGTGATCTCACCTCATCTCTCTTTTAGCTGTGGGCTGACAGCTTACATTTGGAGAAGAGCAAAAATTGGCTGGATAAGCACTTGGATTTGGAACTGGGGGCAATGGGACTGAAGAGAACCAGTGAGAATAATTGTTAAGGAATCAAAAGAACAAGGGGATTTCAAGAAAGGCATGATCAACAGGGTCAAATGCTGCTGGGAGGAAAAAGAAGCTAAGGCTTAAAAACTGTTCATTGACCTTGAAGAGAAGGACAGAGTAAGAGGGCAGGAGTTGGTGGAATATAGCATCAAACAAGGGTTTCTGAAGATGGAAGATTTTTGCTTGTTTACATGATAACTCTCAAAATGGCCATGAGGATATACTGGTTTTGAATGCTCCAGTCGAAATGGGACCTGTGGTGACCTAATTTATGCTCTGACAGTTCAAAGAACTCAAACAAATACCATTAGCTGTTAAAGATTTCGGTCTCCCATTCTAAGAAGCAGATCTCAAGCCTTCAAAGAAACCTCCCATTTCCTTCTGGCTAAGTAGAAAAATAATTACTTTGTCATGAATACACCAGTGACTACAGAACTCTTCGCTGTTTTGCAGGCTCTAGTTAGGATGAGGAGCAATTTCACTAATCATTTTTTACTCAAAATCTCACCAGACCCTTAAAAATAAACCCTCTAGGCCAAGCGCTATGGGATTTTGCCAATCGAAATCTGAAGCCTTGTTCAGAGTGTGAAAAGCAGTTTTAATTAGGAGCACAGGCCAGCCTCTTTTTAAAGGAAAGAAAACTTCTTAAAATTACATTAATTGCCCTATTATTAGTAAATTAAAAAAAAACACAAAAGTCTGTAGAACTCAGTGATGGGTGAAACTGATTGCATTTTCCCGTTGCAGCAGCAGAAAAGCCCTCTCAAGGAGAATGGCATGCATCATGTGCTGGGGTAGATAAGGTTTAATTTCCCCCGGGCAGTGCCGGGCCTTGAACACTGAGAATATTGCTTCCTGGATTGTTCCAAATTACTACCAGAGCATTGCATCACTGCATTACATGCTGGCAAAGGACAGCTGACGAAGTTACTTGAAAGGACTCTTGGGACCAGTTGGACAATGAGATTTTGGCTCAAATGAGTACTGCGTGACTTCGGGCAAACCATAGATTATCTTAATTCTGTTATTTTTAAAATAGGCAAAATATAATTTTTTCTTCTCTTAAGAGATTTTTTTTAGAGGAACAAAAAGCAAAATAAACAAGGACATCAAAGGCATCTTGATTTCTTCAAGTAGTTGAGCAGTGCTGACCCAGCTCATGCACCGAACATTAGTTGATGGCTTATACTTTTATTTTAAGCAATTTTTTAAAATCTGAGTTTCCTTTGATTAACTCATAGAGGTCATTCATGGGGACACGGTATCAGTGGACATCTGGGAGATGACATAATTGAGTTGAGCTTAATTACAGGTACTGGAGAGAAAGATGAAGACAGAAAGGATGGGACTGAGGGAATGGACACCACCAAGGGGCTTGCCCCATTGGGGCAGTGGGGCCATCCAAGGGCAGGCTCAGATGAAATGACAGACTCAGGCAGGTTCGACCTGGTGAGGACAAGGAAGCAAGAGGAGATCCAGGTGGTGGATGTATTCTAAACCCAGGCAGGTAGAGGCAATGAACCTGGTTTTATGTTCATTCATGCATGGGCCCGGTGAGAGAACAGTCAGAAGGTATGTGGAACTTTCAGCTTTAACCCACTTCTGAGTCATCTGGGAGGCTTGCTGACATGACCCTTCCTGATGGACTGTGGGGAGCTGGGAGGAGACCGGGCATCCACACTTTTGAAAGCCGCTAGGTTGTCCTAATACAATTGATCAGATGACCACTTCTAAAGCAATGGAAAGGAGGCCTTGTCATTCCAGGTGTCAAGGTAGCACGCAACAGGGCCAGATTTTACCTGAGGCCCACCTAAAAAGGAAGCTAGTGTTCTAGAGAAGAAATAGAAGCAGAATCATAGTTGTGTGGATCAGGCAACAGGCTGATGAGCAGAAAACGATTAACTCGGGCTAGCCAGATGTGTTCACCTCATACATGTTGGCCAAAGCCCTACCACACTTCCTGCATGACTATGGTCTGTGAGATATAACCCTAGAGGCAGGGTTTAGAGGCAGATCCAACCATAGAGAAGCCTAGAAGGTAGGGATACATCACATCTAGAGTAGCCTCAGTAGTATTTATTACCAAGTGATGCCTTCAAGTTGAAGAATCCCAATACAAGAGTCTTGGATAAAATGAGAGATTTTGTATCCCACATTACAAGAGATTTGGGGTGGATGGCTCCAGACCAGGTTATTCTTGAGCACTCACTGATGGCAGAACTCTAGCTTGGTTTCCCTGTGGTCTCATGGCCTTCTTTTCATGACTACAAAAAGATGAATGTTGCTTCAATTTTCAGGCCATCACACAACCTTCTGGAGAGGAAGACAAAGAAACTATATCTTCCTGGTGCCTCTTTTTATCAGGGAGAAAAACATTTCCTGAAGCCCTCGTGCAGATCTGCCTTTACATCTCATTTGACAGAATGAATATTTGTTGATTCCTCAGTCCATCTTAGAAGCATTATAGTTCACACTGTGGCTAGAGAAGAGCCTCTTTTCCCTGAGCCTACTCCTCCCAGTACAGAAAAGTATTGTGGTGCAGTGAGCAAGGCAAGAATTGGCATATCTCTTTAAAGACAACACATAGTGCCTTTACCCTTTGACTCATGTGGCAAGGCTTGAAACCTCTCTAGCTCTGATGCCTTATAGTAAAATTAGTAGTTGTGTTAGATTATTGATGTTTCATTTGAACACTGATGATTTTATGATCCTATGCTTTCTCTCAGCAACTAGTCTTCTGGATTTTTTCATTTATTATCCAGTCATCAGGACTTTTACCTAAATTTTAGATACAATGGCTAAGTGCCAAGAACACATCCGTGCAGAGTTTACTGCATGGATTCTTTATGGTCTGCCCATTATCAAATTATGGCAGTAAAGTCATGGTCAAAGAACTAAGCTCCAAATACAACTGAGAAGACTGTAAGTCCTCCTTCCATTCATCCTCCTCTGAAAAACAGTAAAACAGTGTACATTCCCAGCACACAGCCTCCTGTGCAGGATTCTGCAGATCTTCTCTGTGTCATTGCAACCCTTGTTGTGATGCACTTAGCAATATTTCATAACTTGAATGTTTCCTCACTTTTTAAAAAAAAAACATAAATTCCTTCTTCCTACTTCTTTTCATTTTATTTTTCTCAAGGCTTATCTTAAGATATCGCACCTCTAACATATTTCCTTCTTCAAGGGAAAGTGTCTTAAGAAATGCTGCACAAAAGTAGTCTGGGTTCTGTTTTTGAAATGACATGAAATCATGTTTTTCTATATGCCCACAAGGACATTCATGCCTAACGATTTCTGTGAATAATGTAACTTAAAAACATATAGGCCAGGCACAGTGGTTCATGCGTGTAATCCGAACACTTTGGGAGGCCGAGGAGGGCGGATCACTTGAGGCCAGGAGTCCAAGACTAGCCTGGCCACATGTCAAAACCCCATCTTTACTAAAAATACAAACAAACAAACAGACTTCTTGCTTGGTTCCATTTATGTTTCATAATTTTATTATCTGGTTTGCACTTTTAAAGCTGTGGCAAGAGAATAAATACTAGCAGTAAGAGTATCTTAGTTGGCTTCTGTATTCCTGCATTCCCTTTTCTTTGGCAAGGTACATTTTAAAAAATCTCAATATCAAACAACTTATGTTTGAATATTCAAAACAAGCTTTTTTAGGAACAATAAAAAATGTTATTGCAGAACAATCAGCCATTGTATCTAGAATTTAGGTAAAAGTCCTGATGGCTGGATGATAAATGAAAAAATCCAGAAGACTAGTTGCTGAGAGAAAGCATAGGATCATAAAATTGTCAGTGTTCAAATGAAACATCAATAATCTAACACAGCCACTAATCTTACTGTAAGGCATCAGAGCTAGAGAGGTTTCAAGCCTTGCCACATCTCACATGAAGGAGGATGCGGAGACAACCCTTGTCTTGCTTGGGCTTATATCTTGGACCTGCACTGCTTAAGGCAGCAGCCCCAAGTCAAATGGGGCTGAACCCTTGAAATGTGGTCGTCCTAGTTGAGATGTGCTTGAAGGTAAACTACACACTGAATTTTGAAGTCTCACTATTAAAGAAAAGAAATGTAAGATATATTGTTAATATCCTTATATGGATTACAAGTTGAAGCGATTATATTTTTAACATATTATGTTAAACAAAATGATATACGAATTTCACCTATTTCTTTTTACTTTTTAAAAAATGTAGTTACTAGGGAATTTAAATTTTCTCACATGGCTGGCATTATATTTCTATTGTATTTAAACTTAGATGGTTAGCTCTTTTGGTCCTGAATACTAACCCTATTGAATGAGAAGGGCATAGTCTGGCCTCATGGAAGGTTTGTCTCACTATGATTTAAGGAGTTTTGGGGGGGAGGGGGCATAAATTGTGATTTTTTTAATTGGAAAAATTAAAAAATCAGCTCACAATGGGAGTGGATTTGAGGCAAATTGTGCAAGCAGATTTTCTTTAAGTGGCTAAGCAAAGTTTAAAAAGCAAGTAACAATGGAAAAAAAAATGTTTCTGGTACAGGACCAGCAGTACAAAAATAGTGTACGAGTACCTAGATAACATACCCATTTTGCAAAGTGCAACTTTTAAGTACACTATTTTAATGACTTTATTTGTTGCTTAATCCTTTGGATCATTATAAAATAGTTTTATGAATCAATCAATAGCCAGGAAATTTGAGGTATATTTCCTACCTCTATTGTTTATCGTACGTGTGTTGGTCTCTAGTCCCACTTAAACTCTACAGCCCATGCCTGGCAATTAGGGACTAACACTATGGATAGAGGTATATGGTTTTACCAGAATTCCTGACTGGAAAAAACAATCAGCTTTAACTGGTTAGAAGTCATCAGTGCTGGTTTATCTATTAAATAAATCACTTCCGTAAGTCTGACAGTGCCTTAGAAAGAAGCACTTTTCCCTGGAGACTTCACCTATGCGGAGCACAGAACAATGAACTCCAGAGCCAGCCATTGCTGGGAGATGGAACAACAGTAAGGAAAGCTGAGAGAAGCATGGTGTCAGTCCAGGGCTATTCCCTGCAAGCAGCAGAAACTTTGCCTTGGCTGACATTAAACAGAAAAGGAGGTTTTGCAAGGTTATTAGTTGGTTCACAGAATAATTGGGAAGATGCAGAACTAGTTTCTGAAAATAGGCATGAACGGAGGGCAGCCAGAACCACAGCCCAAATCAAGACTCAGAACTTGATCTTAGGGTGGTCAACGCCGCACTGCAGATGCTGCAGATTCCCCTGCAGTCACTGTTGACCCTGCACACTGAGGCTGAAACTGCCACCCCCAGACTCCAGCAGCAGGTGACCCACTTGCGCTGGTATGCTCAAAACTCTTTGCTGGTTTTAAACTGATAGTCTGGGCTCCTGAGAACCCCCTCTGTCTTCAGCAAAGCAGGACAGTTGGTCACACTAGTCGGAATAAATTCTCCACCATCCACGGCTCCCATGTTCAAGTGCTGGGCATGTATGTCTGATTAGGCCCTGCTGGGTCACCTAAGTTCTGGCTGCCAGAGAGATGAAGAGAGAGGGTCTGGCCATCTATCTTCCCTAGTGGGTGGCTGCCCCAGCTTTCCATCAGAGGCTTATAACTAAAACATAAGCAGACTACTTCTCAGTAATTTGAGTTAAATAGAGGAAACGGAACACAAAGAAAAGCAGCCAGGAGCAACAGGAACTGGTGGCTCTCCTTCTGAGGCAGCGTCCTGTGGTCAAAGGAGGAGGTGCTTTGCTGGGACTCATTTTGTTCATTCGAAAGTTGGAGAAAGGACTCTAAAGGAGCTCATGTAAGGAAAGTACCTAGCCCACATCACATGCTCAAATATTTCTTTCCCCTTTCTTCTGTTTTTCACTTTCTTTTCTCACCCCTTCATTGGAATCTGATGTCACTGCTGTAGAAACTAAACTGATTTACATTCTCTACCAACTAGCCATTATTAAAAATTCAAGTAATAATGTGTAGAACTCATCACTTACTAGAACTTATCAATTACTGTGTTTTATTTATTTATACTTTTGAAGTTACTTATGTCTTAGTTGCAAGTTGCGAGTTCTACATAATGCTGTGTCACTGCACATTTCTTCCCAAATCTGTGTTTGGTGACATCACTCGGATAGCTTGAAATTGGCCTGGTGGGAATTGGCAAATACTACAAATCAGGGCTCAATTTATTTTTTATTGACTGTCTAGACTTATGGAAGTGGTAGAGAAAATGTTGATAAAGCAGATTAAACTTAGAAGTGTGTTGTGTGTCTGTAGTTATTACACTGACCAGCACTGAAATGAAAAATACAGTTTTCTAGTATTCAACCACTATTACACAATTCAACAGGGAACTTGCTCACACCATGGACAAAACAGTGAATTTCCGAGACGTGAGTCTTCATTGTTTGACTTTTGTCTTACATGAGATAAACAAATGTGTCAACTAACTTATTCATCAGTTGCAAACAAAGGTTGGCTATAGATAAGAGTTTGGTAAAAATTAATAAAAGCATTCTGTGGGAACTAACTGGCTGTATGGAATTTATAATAAATAATATTGTGTATATAATATATATGCATATACACATACATACACACACACGCACATACATACACACACACACAGAGGTTTTTTTTAGGGAGAAGGGAACCAGTTGTTCAAAAATTACCAGTACACCACAGTGAGCTGCCCTCTTTAAACGTGATCTATCTTTACAATCATATTATTATTGTTGTTTTTAATTTTTATTTTACTTTAAGTTTCTGGATACATGTGCAGAACATGCAGGTTTGTTACATGGGTATACATGTGCCATGGTGGTTTGCTGCAACTATCAACCCGTCATCTAGGCTTTAAGCCCCAAATGCATTAGCTATTTGTCCTGATGATCTCCCTCTCCTCCTCCCCCTACAGGTCCCCATATGTGATGTTCCCCTCCCTGTGTCCATGTGTTCTCATTGTTCAACTCCCACTTATGAGTGAGAACATGTAGTGTTTGGTTTTCTGTTCCTGTGCTGGTTTGCTGAACAAGATGGCTTCTGGCTTCATCTATGTCCCTGCAAAGCACATGATCTCATTTGTTTTTATGGCTGCATAGTATTCCATAGTGTATATGTACCACATTTTATTTAACCAATCTATCATTGATGGGCATTTGGGTTGGTTCCATGTCTTTGCTATTGTAAATAGTGCTGCAATAAACATACATGTGCATGTATCTTTATAGTAGAATGATTTATATTCCTTTGGTTATGTACCCAGTAATGGGATTGCTGAGTCAAACGGAATTTCTGGTTCTAGATCCCTGAAGAATTGCCACACTGTCTTCCACAATGGTTGAACTAATTCACATTCCCACCAACAGTGTAAAAGCATTTCTATTTCTCCACAGCCTTGCCAGCATCTATTGTTTCTTCTGTCAGTTCATCCATGTCATCCTCCGTCCAGTTCTGTGCCCTTGCTGGAGAGGTGTTGTGATCATTTGGAAGAGAAGAGGCACTCTGGCCTTTTGGGTTTTCTGTGTTTTTTTTTATTTTTTCTCTTCTTCATAAGTTTGTCTAGTTTTGATCTTTGAGGCTGTTGATCCTTGGATGAGGATTTGTGGGGACTTTTTTGTTGATGCTATTGTTGTTGCTTTCTGTTTGTTTGTTTGTTTGTTTTTTAATAGTCAGCTCCCTCTTCTCTAGGGCTGCTGTGGTTTGCTGGGAGTTCACTTCAGGCCCTATTCATCAGGTTCACTCCCGTGCCTGGAGATGTCACTCGAGGAGACTGGAGAACAGCAAAGATGGATGCCTGCTCCTTCCTCTGGGATCTCTGACCTCGAGGGGCACCAATGTGATGCCAGTAGAAATGCTCCCATATAAGGTGTCTGACAACCTCTGTTGGAGGATCTCACTCAGTTGGATGGCATGGGATGCAGGACCCATTTAACGAAGCACTTTGGCTGTCCCTTGGTAGAGGGGGTGTGCCTCGCTGTGGGGAAACCTACTCCTCTGGGCTGCTCCGATTCCTCAGAACTAGAAGAACAAAAGACCAAGTCTGCTGGTCCACGGAGACTATGGCCACCCCTTCATGGGCTCAGGCCCAGGGAGATTAGAGTTCTGTCCCTGAGCCCCTGGTTGGAGTTGTTGGAATTCCTGCAGGGAGGCCCCACCCAGTGAGGAGGAATGGGTCAAGGTCAGGCCTGAAGAGGCACTTTGGCCGTAGTCTGCCACAGCCGGTTTGTTAGGCTGTGGCGAATACCTCTTGGGACCCAACCGTCCAGCCTCCTTGGCTCCAGCAGAGGAAAAGCGTGGCCTGGAGCTATAGAGATGGCTGCCGCCCTTCCCCTGCCCTGGGAGCATAGTGTGTTAGGCAGCTAGCATTCCCAGTGTTGCCTGCCGCCCCTCCTCCAAGGAGCCCAGAAGGCTTAGACAGCAGGCAGCTGCAGCTGTGGCGATGGCCTCCCCTCTCCTCAAGAACTGGGCAAGCTTAGGCAGATTCTAGCTGAGTGGCTGTTGAGAATCTGCATGGCTCCATAGTTGGGACGCTAGGCCACGGTGGCTTGGGTTCACGAGTGGGATCTTCTGATCTGTGGGTCGCTCAGTTGCATGGAAAAAGCACAGTTTCCCAGGCTGGGTAGTGTGCTCACTCACCACCTCCGTTGGCTGGGGGTTGAGGTCTCCTCCGCCCCTTATGGCTCTCAGGTGGGCCGCCCATCACACTGCTCTTCCTTCCTCTCCGTGGGTCACCCCAGCCTCCTACTCAGTCCTGATGACAGAACCTGGATATCTGGGTTGCCAGTGGAGGATTCGCACACTGTTTTGGTTCTTTTCAATGGAAGACTCTGACTGACACTGATTCTAGTCGGCCATCTTGGCCCTGCCCCCCAGTCATATTATTTTCCAAATCAAATAAAAATACATGATTGGACAGATTTATTTTCTGAATTGTAGAACTTTTTACATGAAAATGCTTACATACAATTAAATCATATTTAGTTTTATGTTTACTAGGTTGTCTTCATGAAAAAAATTGTCACATAAAACCAATACACAATTCTACATAAATTATAACAATGCATTACTTATTTGAATAATAATAATGTACTATATTATGAAAATATAATCAGAAAGACTTAGTGTTTAGCTTTTGCTGTGTGATATTGGGCAAATTATCCTGAGTATCAATTATCTCATCTATACACGCAATTAATGATATCACTCTCTCATCCTTTTATTCAAGTCTTTTAAAATAATTTCAACTTTTGTTTTAGATTCGGGGGTAGGCGGGCAGGTTACTTACATGGGTATATAGGATGATGCCAAGGTTAGGAGTACGAATTATCTCAACACCCAGATAGTGATTATAGTACCCAATAGGCAGCTTTCCAGTCCTTCTCTCCCTTTCCCCCTCTAGTAGTCCCCAGTAACTATTGTTCCCATCTTCATGCCTGTGAGTTCTCAGTGTTTAGCTCCCACTTATAAGTGAGAACATGCAATATTTGGTTTTCTGTTTCTGTGTTAATTCACTCAGGGTGATGGCCTCCAGCCACATTCATGTTCCTGCAAAGACATAATTTTATTCTTTTTAAAGAATGTGTAGTATTCCATGGTATACGTACCATATTTTCTTTATCCAGTTTACTGTTGATAGGTACCTAGGTTGATTCCATGTCTTTGTTATTGTGAGTAGTGCTGCAGTGAACATGAATGTATGTGTCTTGTTTGTAGAAGGATGTATTTCCCTTGAGTATATACCCAGTAATGGGATTGCTGGGTAGAATGGTAGTTTGTTTTTTATTTCTTTGAGAAATCTCTAAACTGCTTTCCACAGTGGCTAAACTAATTTACATTCCCACCAAGAGTGTATAAGCTCAACAAATATTTATTGAGTACCTACCATGTACCTCACACAGCACAGAGTGCATTGAACAAGACATGGTCACTGTTCTCAAGGAGCAGATGATTTCATGTCATATGAATTTTTTTAAATAATATGTAGAGTGTCAAACATGGCAGGCTCTCAGTAACAGTTGGTTTCTTATTTCCTTCTCATTTTTCCAGTCATCCAGGTCATATGGTCTTCAAAACTATGTACATTTTGCCCTCCCTGTGCTATTAAAGAACCTATAACTTTCTTCCCTTTGACAATCTTAATCATAAGATCACACACACACACACACACACACACACACAAATTGGAGAACAAAAATGTTTCTTCTGCAACTTGTCCTCTGACCTAATAAACCCTAAGTGTCAGAAGCAGAGAAGAGAAATTCAAAAATCAACTAAATTAAGAGCTGAAATAATACAGAAGACACTGTTTCCCTAGAAGCTGAAAGTGATATTTTCCTTATTCCTCTGTGAGTGAACTTAGCTGGCCCCCTGAAGTCTTTCCTGGCCAGAAATTAATTGTCTGTGTAAGTTCCCTTTCTTATCCTCAATTTCTATCTCAAAGTAGAGCTATTCTGAGCTTGAAGTTTTATATGCGTCTGGTTTTGCCACAAAGGAAATTAAATCAGCACCTGGTAGAGATATCTGCACTCTCACATTCATTGCAGCATCATTCACAATAGCCAAGTTATGGAAACAACCTAAGTATCCATCAATGGATGAATAGATAAAGACATTGTGGTATATATCTACAGCGGAATATTCAGTGGCCTTATAAAAAGGAGGAGACACTGCTACTTGCTACCACATGGATGAACCTGAAGGACACTGTGCTAAGTGAAATAAACAAAATCACAGAAAGAAAAATACTACATGATCTCACTTATATGTAGAATCCAAATGAAAGTCAAATACATAGAAACAGAGAGTTAGAATGGTGGTTATCAGGGGCTGGAAAGAAAAAGAAATGGGGACATGCAGGTCAAAGAGTCCAAATGCTATGATGTATGCTGAACAAGTCTAGAGATCTGATGTACAGCAGGGAGACTACAGTTAATAATATTGTATTGTATATTGAAAATTTGGTAAGGGGGTGAATTTTATATTAAGCATTTAAAATGAAAATGTTTACATATAATTAAATCACTTTAATTTTATGTTTACTAGATTCATCTTAACTGAAAAAAATTGTAACATGAAAGTAATACACTATTCTACATAAATTATAACATTTAATGCATTATGTATTTGAATGAGGCATGTCTCTAGATAATGTACCATAGTACAAAAATGCAATCAGAAAGACAGTGTTTTGCTTATGCTGTATGATATTGGACAAATTATTCTAAGTATCAGTTATCTCATCTATACATGCAATTAATGATATTTCTCTCTCATCCTTTTATTCATCACTTTTAAAAATAACTTCAGCTTTTATTTTAGATTCAGGGGTACATGTGCAGGTTTGTTACATGGGTATATAGCATGATGCCAAGGTTAGAAGTACAAATGATCCCATCACCCAGATAGTAAGTATAGTACCCAATAGGTAGCTTTTCAGTCCTTCTTGCCCTCTCTTCCCGTTTCTAGCAGTCCCCAGTGTCTATTGTTCCCGTCTTTATTTCCATAAGTGCCCAGTGTTTAGATCTGACTTATAAGTGAGAACATGCAGTATTTGGTTTTTTGTTTCTACTTTAATTAACTTGGGATGATGACCTCCAATTATATCCATGTTCCTGCAAAGGACATGATTTTATTCTTTTTAAAGAATGGGTAGTATTTCATGCTATAAAAGTAAAGGTACTCCAAGTTAAGTACCTATACTTTACTTACCTGTAATAATAAATTCACTACATGTATGAATACCTCATGTTGTGCACTATAAATATATACAATAAAAAATGAATCAACTTATTAGTTCATTAATGAAAACACAGTCATATTTCCTCCAGTATTCAAACTGTAATGACAATGTCCCCAAGCACATGGTTGGAAAGTGAGATTTTATTCTGGACTTCTATCCAGGTCATGCTAAGACTCTCTACTGTAGTTTATACTCCTGAATAATCAGCTCTCCTTGGTGTTTCCCTGCTGCTGCCATCTGTCTGGAGAACACAAAACCAGCTGTGCCCACGACAGCTGATCTCTAATCTGCTCACTTCTGGGCAGGTGGTGCAAGCCCCGTGTTCTGCTGGGACCCAGCGAGCAGTAAGCCAGTGTGATCCCACAGCTCTAAGCTGGGCTCTGCTTGCCCAAGGAATCACCATGGTAACCAAGGCCCAGCCATCCTTGCACAGCTGGCACTCCAGCAACCCTGTGTAATATGCTGTCTACAGCATTGATCCTTCAATGTTTCTCTGTAACAGATGAAAGTGTTTGACTCTTTAATAGTACACTCGACCAGGGGTGTCCTACAGCAACAGCCACAGGACGCAACACCCAACAGTTCTGGGCTCTGAGACAACAGCTCTTTGAGTTTGCATACATGCAGCTATCTTCCCAGTAGAAGATAGGAGGAAAGAGTAAAATAATGGGAACTGCATCAGGAAAGGGTACGGTACAGCCACAAATTGTGTCTTGATCCAGCCTTTTTCTGAGAATATCTAGGCTCTGGGTTACATCCAAATCACTCATTTAGATCCCTCCCTGATGGTGAGTTTCCTCCTAGGGTACCCTGTTGACCTTTCTTGGTAGCTGGTTTTATTTGCCACCCTTCTAATGCATCAAACAGATTCTAGTTAATTATTGTAAACTTCAGAGATGATATTTGTGTTCTATTTCTCTTTCTTCCAGAAAAGTCCTTGGCTTCTAGGAAAAAACATAAAGCAGAATCAAATCAATACATAAGAGATACATTTTGCCTAACCATACACAGCAAGGTTTCTGTGTCCCAGACTCCTGCTAGGCTGACATGGATGACACATTCTTCTTTCAGAACAGTGAGTGGGGTACTTGATCTACAGCAACATCACTAAGAGGGACCATTGAGAGCAAAAGGGTCTATTTCAGTAGGTACAAAACTTCAGGTACAAAAATATAAAGTCTGCTCATCTCCAGCCTTAGCGAGAAAACTGCTTTCAATGGAAATGTGAGCTTCTCAGCCTGCATTTAAGTTCCATCTGTTATGACATCTTTTCCATGTGTTCCAACATGTTCCCTGGAAGAGGAGAGGGCAACGCAGAATTACAGCTATTCCACAGGGAATATCCTCCAGCCTCCAGCCTCTGTGTGCTTTACTGGGAGAGATAGTGTACCACGTGTGAGTACTATCCATCACAGAATAGGGAAGAATAGTTGAGAATGACTGTGCAGAACTACATGCACCTGCCTGTTCACTCACTCAATGCTGCATGTGTCACCCTTGCCTACATGGGCACAGAAAATATTTCTAACAGGTAGTTTGTCAAATATTTTTTTGTCCCCAAATTTAGTCAAATTCAGAGAATATAACTGGGCTCCTGTCTGAGATGACTGTCCAAATGTTCTTGGACATCGCTAGACTGCAGTTGAACTAGGAAAGCAGGCCCATCTCAACCTTTGCCCTCCTGATCCTGACACTTGCCTCTCTCCACTGTTTCTTCCTTAGTAACTAGCCCTCATGGACTCCTACTCAGAACCCACGTTCCAGGCACTCGCAGTGATTTTCTGTCAAAGTCAGCCTCCAGCGAGGATTAGTTTCTTCACACTGAAAGAAAAATGACTGGTCTGACCAAGTGCTGCTCTTCCCAAAAGCCCAAAAGAATGCCAAGGAGAAGAATGAGAATCTGAGAGCTCCCCACTCTCCAAGTTATACTTGCAGATACATCTTATTACTTTGGAGAAAAGCAAATCATCAAGACTGAGAGTTACACAAATTCTATTTCTTCCAAAACTCTGTAGCTTTAATCAAGGCATGCTGACACTAGATGATGTCTGGTTTATGGCACCACAAAGTTAAATTAAATTAAATGATTAATTTACACTAGATTAAATATTTAACTGCTATGACCACATGGCAGACTTTGAAATAAAGATTGTTTCAGCAACAGCCCCTGCCTTCAAGGAGCTCATGATCCAGAAGACATATAAGCAAATACATAAGAGCAGAGTATATCAAGTACCTGCCAACAAGTGCACATAAGGGACTGATGACTAGAACCACAGAGCCTAGGGAGGGTGCAGCCAGGTTTGTGTCCTACTAACACTCTGTGGAAGTACTGCCGTCCCTACCAATTATCTTTTGGTTTTGACAAAAGTGATGACGTCGCTGTGGTAAGAGCTAATCAGCCACCTCTGAGAGCACTGGTTAAAAATCAGGTCAAGGCTGGGTGAGGTGGCTCTTGTCTGTAATCCCAGCATTTTGGGAGGCCAAGACAGATCACCTGAGGTCAGGAGTTTGAGACCAGCCTGACCAACTTGGAGAAACCCCATCTCTACTAAAAATACAAAATTAGCTGGGCGTGGTGTCCCATGCCTGTAATCCCAGCTACTCAGGAAGCTGAGGCAAGAGAATTGCTTGAACCCAGGAAGTGGAGGTTGCAGTTAGCCAAGATCACACCATTGCACTTCAGCCTGGGCAACAAGAGCAAAACTCCATCTCAAAAAA
Source organism: Homo sapiens (assembly GCF_000001405.40). Taxonomy (NCBI): domain Eukaryota; kingdom Metazoa; phylum Chordata; class Mammalia; order Primates; family Hominidae; genus Homo; species Homo sapiens. The sequence goes on along the minus strand of NC_000007.14, from coordinate 37,757,392 downwards.
ATAAAAAGAAAAAAAAATCATGTCAAATGCTGCACTAGTGCATGGCCAGAGAAGACAAGGCTCTGGCTGTGGGGCTTCCCCTGGAGGGCTCCCATCATGCGTGGCAATGCCAGGGGACTCTTCCACAAGGGGCCCAGATGATATTCTTTTACCTCACTTTTATCTGAATATCCTTATTTTAAAACTTCGGTTATTTGTTCTATTTCTGAAAATATTCACTTAAGCACCTAGGAAATATATTATTGAAAAGAAAAAAACACAAAAATGAAGAAATTGTATTGAATCTAGTTACACTTCAAAACTAAACCTTCTCTGTGAAGCTCAATTCTCTCTCCTCATTCCAACAGAGAGTAGTCATGTGATACCACCTCCTTCCAACTGAAAACCACCCTCTCTCCTTATCTGTGACTACGGTTTACTGTCACTAGACACCCAGCCCTCACAGCAAAAAATATCCCTTGGCAGATCGAATGAGATTACCTCATGGTCAACATTCTTTCAATTCTGCTTTTAATTGTTCACCAAAGGTGGCAATTGCACCATTAAATTCACCTTTTCCAAGAGTGAATAGATTGCTTTCTTAAACCTTAAAATATTACCGAAGTCATACACATTTACTACTTTAAAGTCCACAGGAGTAAAGACATTCAGAAAAAAAAAAAAAGCCAATCAGAATCAACTGTGAGTACAGCTAAAATCTCAATTTAAATTCTTCTCGATAACTTTACATGTAAAGATAAACACACACACTGTATTTGTCATATGCTTAGTTTCCTGAATAATACACAAAGAACATTTTTTTCATAGAAAGAAAAGTTCAGCAGCACCATTTTTAGGACTGCATAATAAAATAAAACACCTATGGATAATAGGCAGGGTTGCACAGATGAAGGAATGATCAGCTCTTCTTGAAGGAATGAATTCTGTTCTGGGTTTTAAAGGACAGTCAGCAATTTGCTGGGCAAACAATAGAGACCACTGTTGGCAGCAGAGAAACAAGACAATGGCGTGTGCAAAGTCACTGAGGCGAGAAAACATGTGAAGTGCTTTGGGAGTTTTAAAGAAACTTCATAATGCTAAAACATAAGAAAGTTGTAAGTGATGATTTTCTTTCTAGAAAAGTAAGTAAGGTTTTTTAGTTTGATGTAGCCCTACTTGTTTATTTTTGCTTTTGTTGCCTGAACTTTTGGTGTCATAACCCAAAACTCACTGCCAAAGCCCATGTAAAGGAGCTCATTCCCTATCTTTTTTTCCAGGAATTTTACAGCAAGTCTTACACTGAAGTCTTTAATCCATTTTGAGTTGATATTTGTGTATGGCGTAAGATAAGAGTTCAATTTCCTTTTTTTGCATGTGCATACCCAGTTCTCCCAATAGCATTTATTAAAGAGACTATCCTTTCTCTGTTGAGTATCATTGGTTTCCTTACTGAAAGTGAGTAGTCCTTATATGTTTGGACTTATTTCTGGACTCACTATTTTGTTCCATTGGTCTAGATGTTTGTTTTTATGCCAGCACCATACTCTTTTGATCACTATAACTTTGCAGTATAATTTGAAATCAAGAAGTGTGATGCCTCCAGCTTTGTTCTTCTTGTTCAAGATTGCTTTGGCTATTTTGGGTCTTTTGTGTTCCATTTGAATTTTAGAATTGTTAAAAATGTCATTGCAATTTTGAATAGGAATGCGTTGAATCTACATACTGCTTTGGATGAACATTTTAATGATTAATTCTTCTAAACCATGGACAAAGGATATATTTCCATTTATTTCTATCTAAGGACTGGGGGAATATATTTCTAAACAATATATCTGATTGGGGTTAATATCACAAATATATAATAAATGCACATAACTCACTAACAACAACAACAAAAAAACTCAAGTGGTTTAAAAATGGGCAAAGGACCTGAATAGACATCTTTTAAAAGAAAATATACAAATGACCAACAAGTATATAAAAAGAAGCTCAACATTACTAATCACCAGGAAAATGCAATTCCAAATCATATGACCTCACACTCCTTAGGATGGCCGTTACCAAAAAGACAAAAGATAGCAAGTGTTGATGAGGGTGTGGAAAAAAAAGGGAACCTTTGTACACTATTGGTGGGGCAGCTATTATGGAAAACAGAATGGAGATTCCGTAAAAAATTAAAAATAGAAATGCCATATGACCCAGTAATCCTTCTGTTGGATATATATCCAAAGGAAACGAAACCAGCACATGATAGAGGTACCTGCACTCCCATGTTCACGGCAGCCTTACTCATAATAGCCAAGCTATGGGAACAACCTAAGTGTCATTTGGTGGATTCATGGACTAAAATGGTGGATTTATGGATTAATATTAAAACTAATATATATATACACACACACACACACACACACACTATATGTGTGTGTGTGTACAGAATAGAATGTTATGTGACCTTTAAAAAGGAGATACTTCCATTTATGACAACATGGATGAGACATTAAGTAAAATAAGCCAGACACAGAAAGAAAAATATTGTATAATCTCACTTATATGTGGAATTTTAAAAAGTTAAATACATAGAAATAGGGATGGGGAGATAGTTGAAATGGGGAGATGTTGGTCAAAGGGTACAAAGTTGCTATTCTGTAGGATGAATGTTTAGAGATCTAATGACTAGCAGGAGGACTCCAGGTAATAAATCTGTACTGTATATGGAACATTTGCTAAGAGAGTAGATTTTAGGTTCTCTCTCCATAAGAAAAATAAAGGCAACTCTGTTTGTAGATGGGTATGTCAATTTGCTCAACTATAGCAATCATTTCACTATGCATGTGTGTAAGCAAACGTCATGCTGTACACTTTAAATAAATGCAATTTAAAAAAAAGAAAAAGCAGGCAAGGGCCAGATCAAGTTATGGAGGTCATAATGAGGAATGTGGGCTGTATCCTGCATGTCATTACTTTCTAAACTTCTTTTGAGTTGCATACTGACTTTGAAAATCTAGTGAGATCTATGGATTCTAAACCCTGAAAATACAGGCATACGAGGTACACACAAACATTTACAAATAATTTAGGAGAATCAGAGGCCTCTGAAGTTAAAACCAGTGAAGTGTTTTAGGCAGCGAGGTGACAAAGTTACATATGTCCCTGATTGGTTTCTAGTAATAATGCTTAACTGGGTTATATTCGGTTCCACACACATCCTTCAAATAGCTTTGTCACCTAAAAGAGAAAAGTAAACATACTGTGCAATCTCTAATGGCCATGTATAACAGTGATTTGTCATTTGGGATATGTAAATTCACAAAATAAAAACTTATACACTAAGAGATCTCTTTCTCTTAAACACTAACAGAAACGCAAAATATAACCCTGTTCTTTAATTCTGCTACGTATATCTTGAAACTTTTGTCTTTAATTATTATCATCCTCTATAAATATTCATAGACCTCCTAGCAGAGCACTCCTCTAAATCATGTAGATAAAAGGGGAAAAGGGATTTTGTTCCTGCTCCTGAAAGAAGTAAAACTTTAGAAAGTCTGTAATGCTTTAAATCAGAATCTTTACCCAGCCTTAGCTCATAGTTATCTCAATTCCTTGGCAAAGTTCAGCTGTCATTGAGAAGGAGACTTGACTTCTTTTCTAGATGGTTTCTGTTTTCCTGTAGCTTTGTTGTGATTTTTTTTTTTTTTTTTTTTTTGGTAACCAGAGGTTTTCCTCTGCCTGTCTTGCATAGAGACAGAGCACCAGCTTTCAGCCACATATACCTGGGCATAGCCACATCCATGTCTCTGCCAAATTTTATCCCTGTGTCCTCAGACTAGTCACTTAACTTCCCTGACTCCTATTCTTAGCCTTGGAATAAGTGGATGATAAGACCTATGCTTGTTGTTATGTTACTGTGAACATGTGTAAAAGTAGTACATATAGTTTTTAATAGAAGACTCCTGATTCATCAATGAAACAGGAAACAGCAATAGCAGCAGCAAAAACAACAATGTACCAATAAATGTGCTATGAGTAGGCCATCATCCACCTTTCCTATGCCCATACCACAGCTCTTTTTCCCACCTGAACTCAGAGAATCGTTGCAATTCTTCTCAACAGAGGAGTCCAAGCAGACAATACCATTCTAATGTAACTGGTCCTCAGGTTGAAGATTCTTTGATATCCTGAGCAGCTGATTCAATCACAAAGCCTCACAACACAGGACAAGCATCAACTCCTTCCCTAAAGTGCACATCTGCTCGGGGATAGGCTCTCCTCTCTTCCTTATTACATTTAGGTTATTGAAAAAGTAATTGTGGTAAGTAATTACTTTTAATGGCAAAACTGCAAGTTACTTTTGCACCATCCTAATACCTTTTGTTTACGTAGAAATGTTATTAATTTTTTAAATTAATCAAATTCACTGAGAGAGAGACTCTAATTATGATTCCCACAACAATTCTGTCAAAATTATTAAAACAAGAACATAGCCTATTAAGGCCTAAGGCACTCCCGAAGTTTATGCTCTACTGGATCAATTCGCAAAGTCAAAAAGAGTCATTACAAACCCATCAGAATTACAGAATTTCCCCAAGCACATAATTTATCATCTCTGAAAGAATCATTTTTAAATCATCCAAAAGAAACCAAAAAAACCATTTTATTAATGAAAAGAACTTTTCAAAGAAGCGAAACCATGATGCTTTTATCTGAATACAGGCTGTATATGCTAAGCTGCTCAGTGACGGGCAATTCACTTAGATATCTACTCTGCTTTATGGCATTGTGCATATGGGCTGGCACTGTTTCCACACCTCACAAATACCATCTCACTTGAGATCTGGAACCAAAATACCTCTGTCCCATAAACAACGCCATAGAACATACTCTCCTGCCCCAGTGCTAACCAAATCTGAGACAATATATTCTCCCTGTTTCTTTATTAATCAATACTGAGAACAAACAAAACACACTTAGCTACTTGCTCCTTGAAACACTTGCTTGTAGAATATAAGACTGTAAGCCAACCCAATCACTTATTCATTAGGACTAACAGCTTGCTAACTTAATTCATTTTACCACCCTCACCCTACTGTGTCCATCAAAGCACAGCTGTTTCATAAACTCTGTCCAATCCAAACCTTAATAGACACTCTTTAAAATCTCCCAGGCTGGCCTGTGGTCCTATAAATATCCTGCCCTAATTGCTCTTTTTAAGAAACTACTTAGACTCCATCAAGAGATGGCTCTGCTTGATCAAGAAGTCTTTCTTATGGTTTTTTGAGGAGATATCATCCAACCTGGTGAATTTTCACAGTAAGCTTGGGAGAGTTAAATGTTTTAAACTATCATCTTAGAGAAGAAGAATTTGAGGTTCTTAGATATTGAGAAACTGACTCAAACTTTATATGCTAAAAAATGGCAGATCATGGGTTCAAATCAGTGTTGAAAAGCAGGAATTCATTCCTTTACCCACTTTTTTATTCTTTCAACATATGTTTATTGAATGCCATTAAACCTTAGCTCACAATAGCCAGGCAAAAATAATTTCCTTCTTTATGACACTTAAATTCTAGTGGACAAAAATTTAATTAATTCTTGTTAATTAAGAATACTTAACATAATTTGTGGTAATAATAAATGCCAAAAAGAATATAAAGTAGCCAGGTGTGGTGGCTCATGCCTATAATCCCAGCACTTTGGGAGACCAAGGTGGGGAGGATCACTTGAGGTCAGGAGTTCAAGACTAGCCTGGCCAACATGGTGAAACCCCATCTCCACTAAAAATACAAAAATTAGCTGGGCGTGGTGGTGTGCCCTTGTAATCCCAGCTACTCAGGAGGCTGAGGCAGAAGAATCTCTTGAACCTAGGAGGTGGAGGTTGCAGTGATCCGAGATCGCACCACTGCACTCCAGCCTGGGCAACAGCATGAGACTCTATCTCTGAAAAAAAAAATATATATATATATGTATATGTATATATTATATATATATATATAAAATAGTATAAAAAGTAGGGAACAAAAAGCTACAATTTTACATAGAGAAATAGAGAAATCAGGACCTTCTTTGCAGAGATGACACTGGAGCAGTTATGAATGATACAGAGGAACCAGCTATTTGAGGAAATGTTCCCATCAGAGATAACAGAAAATTCAAAGCTTATGAGGCAAAAACAAAGGAACAGAAAGAAGTTGACTGAGAGACAGGCAAGGGTCTGATCATGGCGTTTACATTTTCATCTGAGTGAGATCAAAAGCCACAGGAAAAATTTTAGTGGAGACTATCATGATTTAACATCAGTACTATAAATTAGTATAACATTGAATTTATACTTTCACACGATGTATGGCTAATGTGCAGAGAACTGACCACAGTGCAGCGAAAGTGAAAACAGGGAGAGGGAGAATGTTGTACTAGCCTGAGAAGGTAGTAGCAGTAGAAATGGCGAGAAGTGGTCAGATGAGAGACACGCTTTAAAGCAGAGTCATCGGTATTAGAAGATACAGCATACGTGGTGTGGGTGTAAACAAAAGAAAGGCTATCCATCCATATATTGTCTTCGGCTCCAAATCCACCCTCTACTGCCCTGCCATGAAACTAGCACGTTTCTCCCTTACCAATGGGTGGGATGCTAAACTAATCTTCATCATTACAAGGCGCTGAAGCAGCACTTGGGGAAGAATAGGCTTTTCTCCCTGGCTCTGGTACCTGCTTTCTCGTAGCAGGCTCCTGCCTAATGCACGCAATGCATGTGGCCTCCTCGTGGACAGCCATCCCTGCCCTTCAGAGAGCAGCTTCCAAAGGCATTCGGTTCCTTGGGCAGATGCCCAGCATGGCCTGAGATGCAGTTTCTCCCCTTGGACAGCTTTTTCTAATACCCCTATGAGTGGCTTTTCAGCAAGTTCCATCAGCAAAGCACCTTTGTGAACTTCTCCATCATCCAGGGGACCCACCCTTTCCTGCAAGGTCTGCATTTCAGTGCTGGGTGTGTGTGTATGTGAGGTGGGCTGGTGGGGGTAAGGAGGCGGATTCCTTACCCAGGTTGGTTTTTCTTTGCATGCTTTGCCTCTGATCTGAAGATAGTGGCTGCTGGCTACATCTCCTACTCTTGTATTCTTTAGACATCTCTTTACCTCTTAGTAGCTAATCTCTCAACACTTCAATCTCCTTTTATAGCTAATGATTAAACTTTCCCTGTTTAAATCACCAAGCAGTTTCTGTCTCATAATTGGAACCCGATGGACACAAAGGGCATTGAGCATAACTTCTTGGTATTTGGTTTGAGCTAATGGGTAAAAAGTGATGCCATTTTCTGAGATGGGGAAGGCTGCTGAGGGGAGGAAATCCAGTGTTTTGCTCTGGTGAAATTAAATTGAAGTTGCGTATTATTATAAGCAGAGGCTTCAAGTGTAGCTGGAATCTAGGAGGGAGGACAGAGTGAGAGATATAAATTGGTGAAGATCAGCGTACAGATCACATTCAAAGCCACAAAACTGGTAAGATGTTTTAGGGAGGTGTGCAGAGAAAGGCAGGAAGGTTGCTGAGGATGAAGCCCTGTGCACTCCAACCTTTAGAAACTGGGAAGAAGAGGATGAATAGCAAAGAAATGGAAATGGAACACCTAATGAGGTAGGAGAAAACCCAAGAGCAGGAGACATTTTAGTAATTAAATGAGGAAAGTATTTCCATAAAAAGAGATTTCTCAACTGCATCCTACCCTACTTTGAGATTGAATAAGGTGAAGACTCAAACTTAACCATTGAATTATATAATTGATACCATTAATTACCTTGACAAAATTGGTATGGTGGAGTGGGGCATAAAGGAAACTATGGAACTGGGCCAAGGGAATAATGGAAGGTGAAGAACTGGAAACAGAATGCAGCTTTGGGAGGCCAAGAGGGGCGAATCACCTGAGGTCAGGAGATCGAGACCAGCCTGGCCAACATGGTGAAATCCCGTCTCTGCTAAAAATACAGGAATTAGCCAGGGGTGGTGGCTGGCGCCTGTAATTCCACCTACTCAGGAGGCTGAGGCAGGAGAATCACTTGAACCCAGGAGACAGAGGTTGCAGTGAGCCAAGATGACGCCATTGTACTCCAACCTGGGCAACAAAAGCAAAACTTCGCCTCAGAAATAAAATAAAATAAAATAATGTGGATGTTACCTTCAAGGAGTTTTCTTGTAGAAAACTTATAAAGGGAGGCAAAGCAATAGCATGGCATTTACTGGAGATGATGGGAGTGGTTTTGTTTCATTAATACTGTATCATTTATGCAGACATGGGTAGTTCAGTAGAAAGAGAGAAAATGATGGTGCAGGAGTCTGAGGCCACAGTAGCAGAGGCAAAGTCCTGAGTGGACAAGAGAGGATGAGGTCTGTGGAATAAGTACGTATTTATATACCAACACTCAAGATTTGGTAGTTTCATAATTTTGGAGCATTTTTACTTCAAAAAATTATCTGCATTGATCTTTTAGCATAGTATCTTATATTTAAATGTATTTAAAGGTTTTGTGGTTTTAAAGCATTAGAGCAGACAAAACTTATTAATATCATGCAGTAGAGTTGCTTTGATCATTTGCATTTAGCTCAATAAATCTGAAGTGAATATGTGAACACTCATATTTTCAAGTAATTCTGCATGACTCTCCTGGCAGGCTGGATGTTATTCTCATCATGCCCTTCTGTGAATTTACTCACAACACAATTCATGGCATACACATTTTTACTCTGTCAGGTCTTTTTAAAAACATTCAAGGCCAGGCGCTGTGGTTCACGCCTGTAATCCCAGCATTTTGGGAGGTCAAGGCAGGTGGATCACCTGAGGTCAGGAGTTCGAGACCAGCCTAGTCAACATGGTGAAACCCTGCCTCTACTAAAAATACAACAATTAGCCAGGCGTGGTGGCACACATCTGTAATTCCCGCTACTCAGGAGGCTGAGGCAGGGGAATCACTTGAACCTGGGAGGCGGAGGTTGCAGTGAGCTGAGATCGTGCCTTTGCACTCCAGCCTAGGCGACAGAGCAAGACTCTATGTCAAAAAAGAAAAAGAAAAAAAAAGAACATTCAAACAGACCAACTGGAACAAACTTCACTTTGATATGTTTAACATTATTGGTCTTTTAATATCCATAAAAGGTAGAATTAATTTTAATCATCAAATACATCAAAAGTCAGGACTTCGAGAGAAATTCAATGTGTGTTCACTTATTGATTTTTTACAAATAATTCCAATTGCATATAAAAATTTATTGTTTTAAAAACTTTGCCAGATATTTTTGGAGCAATGTGTCATCTGGGGTGACTTTACTGATAACAACAGCAGATATAGAACTCATTTTGTGTCCATGATATACCAAGACTGGCCAAAAGACATCTAAGGCCAAAGACTGGAAACTGACCAATATTGTCAAGAAAATTGTCTATGTGTGGTTCTTAGCACAACCACCATCTTGCAGATTACTTAATTATAATCTTATAAATGGTGCTTATAATAGTTCTAGTACATTATGATATAATACAAATAAAGTGAATTATAAAAATATGTCTCTGAATATATCATTAAATATGTTTCACTTTAAGAAAAACTCAGTGCATCATTATTGCATTTCTTATTTCCCTGGAAAAACAAAATTTTATTATGAATCAGCACCTCTCGTGTGTGGATTGAAGATTACTTAGAGGTTCACTGACATTGGGTAGAGGGGGTTTGTACACACAAAAAAAGGGCAGTTTCTTCACTCCAGAATCATTCTGGGTACACAGGGCTGACCACTTTACACAAGGGAATTAATAACTATACAAAAGAAACTGCAAAGTTAGTAGAGTTTTCCATAATCCCTACAGCCTCTCTCTTGCCCTTGGGCACTTAGCACCAGGAACTGGTAATCAATCTCCAATTTTTACATTTAAGTGGAAGCCTCTAAGAGCGCCTGATAATAAGGAGTTGCTGAGAAGAAGCCACTGACACAGTTGATAAGGAAAACTAAGGCCTGGTGATATCTTACTTAGGAATACAGGAATAAGGGGAAAAAACTACATGTGGCCAATAACCTGAACTGCTCAAATTGTAGAAAGAGCACGTCTGAAAAGAATTTTCTGAATGAGACGGAAAGGCATTGTAGACTGCACTGGTCAATTTTAAACCATTGATAAAACTCAAAATACATGTTTTCTATAGAACAGAGGTTAAATGTGCAATAAGTTAACAGGTTGTGATAAAAATGGAGATGAGGCAGAAATTTAATTTTAGGAAAGTTTAGGAAATAAGGTTGTGAAACTAAATATGCAATAAAAATTCAAATGCAAAGCAAAATTTTGAAGATGGTTGTGATAGGAGGAGAGAGACAATTATTTCAGAACAGATATCTGGCTCTCTTTCTAGTCTAACTAAGGAAATAGTGACATGGGAGCGGCTCTAAGCGGGAATGGAACGTGAGAACAAGAGGCCAGGGAAAGCTGCCTTCCTATTGTAAGAATCATGGAAGAAACATTTTTCTAGACTGAGTGCTGAATGGATCTTATTCTAAAAGGAAAGTTAGGTTTCGCCAGCAACTTGCCTCCTGAAAAGATAATTTGGCCTCAAGATAACCAAGTGGAGTTGCTCTCCTACCTGTGGAAGACCCTGGAGAGGGAGAAGCAATGGCTTTGGGATGATAAGCCCCGAGATGGAGAGGAAAATCCGTCTCAAGTTCCTTTGTTTACCCAGGGGCATGCACAGTAATTGCCTGCTTAGAGAGTTCTTAGCCATGATATTTTAAATCAAAATCCAATAGACATTGCTTCCCATTTTCTGGCATTAGGCTGTGAAGGAAAATACTTAATACCTTTCTAATTGTTTTTCTTTCTTTTAGAGGTAAACATTTCTCTTGCCTGGCTTTTTTTGTACTAATTCTTTGTTCTTAAAATTCAAAGCATTCTCCAAGGATATGTCCAGATGTGAAGTGTTTTCCATTTGCTTTCCCTATAGGTAGTCCCTTGATAGGAGGACTGAAGTCTTTCTATGTCTCAGACTAGCTTTTTTCTTTCTAATATTTTAACTTTCTCCATCAGCTCAGTTCTTGCCTATTAAAGTTTCTAAATATATATATATATAAATGTTATATATATAACTAAATATATATAAGATATATATATATCTTCTAATTTAAAAAATTGTTTATTGTGATAAATATGCATGACATGAAATCAACCATCTTAGCCGTTCTTAAGTGTACAGGTCAGTAGTGTGTCCCACTGTTAAGCACAATGCTACGAAAATAATGGAATTCTGAGAGGCAAAGGACAACTCAGAGAATGGGGTACCCAGCTGGGCTGTGGTAAGAAGTGTGCTGTGTTATACAGAATTGAACATCATTGGAGAGGGGGCCTAGATGTCTTTCCAGACCCTCCTGAGGGTGCCAGAGGCTGGTGTAGACTTTGGCAAGTGTCTACTCCTGACATGTAAGATGATGCTTTCCTGAAAACAGAAGGGAAACTCTTCAGACCCTTCTCTAAATTCCAAGGGATTCTTTTCTTACTTGACTTAAGGATGAGCTGGAGATCTTTATCCAAAATCTCTGATCAGGTTGCCAGTGGTTACATCTTTGTAACCACACCCTGTCCTCCATGAGATCTATGGCCCAGATCAGCAACAAAGGGCAGAAATAATTCATTGCTAATGACATAAACTATTAGGACAAACTGCAAATAAAATAAACCATGCTCGCCAGCACTTTCTTACCTCCTGTTCAAAACAGTCTTTGTTTGCTGCCTCCATTGCCCTGTCTTCCAAGAGCAGTCCTGTTTGCTCAGAACTCCTGAGCAAGACTCACACAAGCCCCTCCTGCTCTCAGCTAGCCGTTCTCAGACCTGGGTCTCATTTCCCCAGCAGCTCCTGCTGGGTCTTCAGATTCCCCTGGTTTCCAATACCCATGGGTGTCCCTTGGCATGTTGCAATCTCTGGGCATTATCCCCACAGTTCTGCCATCCCTGTGCCCCTTTACCATGGAGCTCTCAGTACCAACTGTCTACAGAATGCTGTAGTTGGCCCCTATAACAAGAAGAGCTTCCTTGTTCCTACCAGTACCAATAGGTGTGAGAGTCTTTGGCCTATGTCTGTCTCATAGAGGAAAGTGGGCAAAATCTATCCAATCAAAGCTATGACAGCATCCCAAATTCTAACTTCACACCAAAAGCCAATGACTGAGAATGGATTGGCCCAATACCCTCCTTCAGAAAAACTGATTCTTAACCCAACAATCGAGTTTTCATGGCAGCTTCATTGAGGAGGATTTGGGGAGGCAAGAGGGATTTATTAACACCTCTTGAATCACTTTACACAAAGTTCATTTCACCTACAATTTCTCCTTAATTTAAATGAAGTTGAGGAGGAAGGCAGGGGACTCAATGATCCTTTCACAGGAAAATTAAGGAATAAACAAGAGCCAAATAGTGTCCCTTTTAATGGGTGCCTGAAGAGATCTTTCTCCCTGGGCCTCAAAAATTATTATGTCTGGGTTAAAAATCTGGTAGATATTGATCAAGAGCCAATCTGAGAGTGGTGAGGCTCAGAAAAAGTGTATTTTTCTTATTAAAAAAGAAAATACACATGTATATTTTCTTCACATTTTTCTAAAAGTTGCATTTAATTGCTGTAGAAACAAAAGAAGTAATTTAGAATTGAATGAAGATGAGGTAAGTATTTCAAAAACACTGAAATATTTTTCCTGTTTATAATGTTAAAATTTATAAATTTCCCTCTTATTTTGTCCCTTTGTGGTAATTCAGTGGTTCTCAGCTTTCTCAGACCCAATACCTTGCTTTTTATCACAAATATTTGGTAATACTTTTACCATTCTAAAAGGAAACTTACAGATAATTTTACCATTTCAAAATGAAATGTATATGCTTTCTACACTAATAATGTAAACATACACATTATTTTTACGTATAATGTTCTCACTGTAATATAAATGAGTAATGAAAAGAAAAGTTATGGATAACAGTATATAATTCAGTGTGTAAATGCTCAGGCATAATCACATAAAGAGACAAAATGAGTGAGTCTGATGCTGACACCTGTATGTAATATCTCCTGAATACAATAGCTACAAATATTGCTTACAGGTATGTTGTGTCATATTTTAATGTCATAAATGGTATTGTTACTTATAATGTCATTTCCAAAGTACTGAACAACTCTTGGTAAAGCTCAGAGGAAACCAAAGTAAAATCTTTCTTCAATCCATGATAGCTGCATTTCCAGAAAATTCAGAGAATTAAAGCTATACAAAAAAAAATACTACGTGTTTACGAAAACTGGGTAAAACCTGATAGCTGCTCTGATTGTTATGAGTATATGTTTCACTTCATTAATATCTAATAGAGTATTCAAATAGAGAGCAAGACCTGATACTTCTTTATTGTACAGACAATTATGTGCAAGGCAAGATGTCTATTCCTTGGCTCCCACCACCAAATGCTAATACTAGTGCTCTCTTATAATGGTGATATCCAAAAATGGCCCTAGAGGCCAATGTCACTCCCAATGTCACATGAGGTTCATTTCTGTATTGATTCAAGACAAAGAACAGGAAAACTAAAATTTTTCTATTTATTCCATAAATACTGATGAAAAAGATATTTTATATTATGAAATATTGCATTTCTATCTTTTGAGAACATTTCTAATAAGCCTGTTATTATAATATATGAAAATAACATAGTGTTATGTTAACATTATAACAGATTAATACAGAGATTAATTCTTTTGAATTGCCTGACCTCAACATATCTAAAATCTGGAAAAGAGTATGACATAATCTACAAGGTAATGAAATTCTCATGAATACTTTTAATTTAAATATTTTTCTAAATTTTTTTTACATATTTATAGGTATTATAAATTTTCTTAAAACTATCAGGGGTCTTAGTAACGGTCTTACAAATTTTATGGTTCAAAATGAGAAAGAAAAAATGTAAAAAATAAATGGGAAAAAAGGCAAGAAAGAAAAGAAATATTACTTGTTTAAAAGGATATTTAAAAGAATATATAAAACAGAAAATATATGGAAACAAGTCATGTTTGAACTATGTTGCTACTTCTGCTTCCTCAGAATTAATTTCTGTGGCTCAGTAATTTTAGTGGTCACAGAAATTCACAGAGGTATTTCTTATTCATCTGAGGAATTTGTGGATCCACAGTGATAATAAATTATGAAAAACTTTTAAATCCCGAAGATATACCTTGATGAAAAAAAAAGTTCCCTTAATTCATTCTGTTATTCTATTCATGTTACTAATCACTTCAGGTTTTCTGCAGCATTAAATATGAAACTGGATCAGATCCTGGGAAAATTTTAAGATAAAACACTGAAGACACTGGAAGTATGGGCAGGAGCAAAAAAAACCCAAAAAGCAAAAACCCACAAGCCTATGTATCAACCTAGCCAGTAACAGAAGTTCTTGAAATAAAATCAGTTTAACGTGCCACATGCCACAAGTTATTAATACAATTTTACAAAAAGTAATTCCGAATTTGGAAAGAAAATCCATATTATTTTATTATTATTACTTTAAATTTTATTTTAAGTTCAGGGGTACATGTGCAGGTTTGTTACATAGGTAAACATGTGTCATGGGAGTTTGTTGTACAGATTATTTCATCCCGAGTATTAAGCCTAGTTCCCATTAGTTATTTTTCCTATATTTTAAAGGATTATGATTTTATTGCTTTGGGGGACATTTATTTATCCACTCTTCAAATATTCAGAAAACCTTCTTCATGCAACCTAATCTCACAGAGTCTAAATTAATGGTTTTTCTATATACTTCTCAAAAGTCCTCTTTTAAAAACACAGTTTTCATTTATTTAAAAATATATAATTTTAACCTGGAAACCATCATTCTCAGCAAACTAACACAGGAACAGAAAACCAAACACCGCATGTTCTCACTTAGAAGTGGGAGTTGAACAATGAAAACACATGGACACAGGGAGGGGAACATCACACAATGGGGCCTGTCCAGGGGTGGGGGGCTAGGGGAGGGAGAGCATTAGGAGAAATACCTAATGTAGATGGGTTGACAGGTGCCGCAAACCACCATGGCACGTGTATACCTATGTAACAAACCTGCACATTCTGCACATGTACCCCAGAACTTAAGGTATAATTTAAATATATATATATATAATTTTAACGGCGGAAGGGAGCTCTAAAGATTTCAGTATAACTTTCTGTCCCCCCTAAAAATCTTAATTAACTGTGGCCCAGGACATCTAGAAATTCTCTCAAAAAACAGAAGAGAAAAAAATTTTAATCACTTCCCTTGGGAACTCATTTTAATGCCTACCAGCACATTAGTCAGGGATAGTCTCTAAATTACAGTTTCACCATTATGTAGATATGTCCAGTAAGCTTTTAAATGATTTTTGGAGCAACAGTGCAATTGGTGATAATTGAGGAAGTTGATCCCCAAGTCCTTAAACGACCTTTCACAGGACAAATCTAGAAACCCTTGTTATAACAGGAGGCCACACGTTCTTTTTCTCTTGATTTCTAGACAGATGACTTCCTACCAGAGTTATGATACCCTAGAAAAATTTTTAACTATTCTCTCCCCTTATCAGTTTTTATCAGGGCATGAGATGAATGGGACATCTAACCTGGTTAGCGAAGGAGAGTTTGTGTCTTTGGAGCTGGGTGGTGGCCAGAATTTACTTACCTAAGGTGAAGTGGGATGAAAAGAACTAAAGGTCTGAGTTCAGTCCAAAACCTAAGAGACCATGCTTCAAACAGAGGAACTTAGAATGAGCTAATGAAACTCTAAAACTCTTAAAACCTATGTTGCTTTCATGGGCCACACAGACATTCTGTACTGGAAAATAATGTAATATTGCAACTCCAGGTGGATTCAACAACACTGGTCTTTGTACGGCCATCACTCAGAGATGGGAGGGATCCCATAAGGACTACAATGAGGGCTCTTGCATTTTATAGTCCTTTTGTTTTGGGTACATCAAGGCATGGTTTTGATCAAGTAATGAAATACCATTCTTACCTCCCCTATACCCATTTTTATTCCCAATATAAAGGAAGCAAATATGAATACTGTAGTTTGTGGCTAACGGCACAAAACACAATTCCATAAGCCAATTATCTTTTGCTTAAACCAATGGCTTCCCCCAAAGACAAAGAGAAGCAAATCATAGCAGCTAATTGCTGTTACACTCAAGAAGATTTCGTTATAAAATGCAACCTTGCTGTTACAGGCATTGGAATGCGTCACAACATTCAAGTAATAGATCCTAAAGAACTGGTAGGGAAGGAAACAAACAAGGATGACCCCTATAAAAAATAGGTTTTTCAGCTGAGCCCAGAACTCCTGGTGGGATAGTAAAGAGTGGCGTAGCTTCTGCACCATCAACATAATGATGAAGACCTGGAAGACCAACAGAATCACAGCAACGGCTATGACAAAAATGACTATCATATAGTTGATGATTTTCACATATGTGTAAGCAAGCTCTTTGTGAAATTTAAAACAGTGCTCCTCATTGTATTCCTCATGGATTCCATACCGGGAGACAACCAGGGGTACCACAATGACAATCACCAGCGTCCACATGCCAGCACTGGCAGCCACAGCATGCAGTTTTCTGTAGAATTCCACTTTGTCTTTGCACTTGAAGAAGATGAGGTATCTGGTGACCAGGATCACCACATAGAATAGGAACGTGAGGTACATGTGGATGTGCAGCATGGCACTCACAAATTTGCAGAAGGGCAGCCCAAACATCCAAGTCTTCTTGATGAGGTAGGTCAAGCGAAATGGCACTGTCAGCAGAAAAACGCTGTGGACCACCACCAAGTTAATGACCGCCATGGTGGTCACTGACCGGGTGTTCATTTTCACCAGGAGGAAAAGAATGGAAATGACACCCACCAGCCCGCCAATAAGCACTATGAAGTAGAGGCTGATTAAGTGGGGTGTCACTATAGGATCGCAAGAGGAATTCCTGGAGGTATTGTGGCCAGGCATACTTGGGAAGTCACCTGGAGGAGAAAAAGCACCAGAGTAACTGACAAGCTTTCAGAGCTTTGTTCCTATCTCTTTTACAGCACTGACAATGTGACTTTGCCATTTATGTGCTTATATGATATAAACTTTACATGCTTTAAGAATGAAGATT